>NC_000001.11:148809587-149434587 GCF_000001405.40 Homo sapiens | reverse complement strand
CCCCCACGCTGGCCCTGTAAAAGGAATTTGGCTTCAACTTTCTTTTCTTAATCCACTAAGCAATCGCATGAATAAAAAGATAATCACATGCCCTGCATGCCTGATAGAATTTTTATAAATCTTCTAAGTGTTTTAATATTTATTTTCTATTTTGTGAAAATAATATTTACTGAACAAGCTAGATCATTTTCTTTCTCCACAGAAAAAAAGGTAAGGTTGGTGAAAATACACTGAAAGCTCTGCTAGGTACACATTATTTTTGCATAAAATTTTGCTTAAAATTCTGTGGAGGCTGGCAAAGCACTGTAGAATGATTGACATGGCTGCCTTGATATTGTTCTTGCTTTTTCTTTGTCCACTTATGTTGACCCTGCCACTCCTAAATATGCTAATATTACTTTTGCTGAGGTAGGGAATCACTCTCTTTATACAAGTTTTGTTGTTCATCTTGGTCTCCCAAAAGGATGGCCTCACCAAATTTTTTCTTACTCTCTCTCAAGGAGTTTGTTTCCCTCAAAACAGGAAAGACATCTGAGGGACATACCCAGAACTGTATCCATAAGCATTCCATCCTATCAACAATTAACAAGTAGCCAGGGACAGAATTTAGGCAGCTCCATTTTCTTTTTTTTTTTTTTTGGAGACACAGTCTCACTCTGTCGCTCAGGCTGGAGTGCAGTGGTGCAATCTTGGCTCACTGCAAGCTCCGCCTCCTGGGTTCAGGCCATTCTCCTGCCTCAGCCTCCCGAGTAACTGGGATTACAGGTGCGTGCCACCACGCCCAGCTAATCTTTTGCATTTTTAGTAGAGATGGGATTTCACCGTGTTAGCCAGGATGGTCTCCAACCTTGGTTGGAGAGTATGAGACTAGCAGCCCAACAGTCCAACAAAGAACTATTGGACTTCTTCCCAACAGTGACCCTTAGGTGTCCTCTCCTGGTAAGTGCTCAGAGATTAGTCTCCCCTAGAAACCTTCTCTCCCCATGTCAGACCAAAAATATATAGGCGAACACTTAGAACATATTTGAAATTCTCCATATATAAGTCACCAAGTTGAATGATCTTCAAATAGAACCAATTTGCCTCTCTGTATGGTATTACCACCCTGAATGCTATGTGAAGTAAATAAACTTTTTTTAAATTTTGCTTTTAAGTTTTGGGATACATGTGCAGAATGTGCAGGTTTGTTTCATAGGTATACATGTGCCATGGTGGTTTGCTGCACCTATCAACCCGTCATCCAGGTTTTAAGCCCCACGTGCATTAGGTATTCATCCTAATGCTCTCCCTCCCCTTTCCCCCCACCCCCTGACAGGCCCCAGTGTGTGATGTTCCCCTCCCTGTGTCCATGTGTTCTCATTGTTCAACTCCCACTTATGAGTGAGAACATGCCGTGTTTGGTTTTCTGTTCCTGTGTTAGTTTGCTGAGAATGATGGCTTCCAGCTTCATCCATGTCCCTGCAAAGGACATTAACTCATTCTTTTTTATGGCTGCATACTATTCCATCGTGTATACATGCCACATTTTCTTTATCCAGTCTATCACCGTTGGGCATTTGGGTTGGTTCCAAGTCTTTCCTACTGTAAATAGTGCTGAAGTAAACACACATGTGCATGTGTCCTTATAGTAGAATGATTTATAATCCTTTGGGTATATACTCAGTAATGGGATTGCTGGGCCAAATGGTATTTCTGGTTCTAGATCCTTGAGGAATCGCCACACTGAAATTTTTAAAGGAGAGAACCAGTGTCTTCTTATTTAACATAAATAGATAAGAAACATGTGCATGATGGTATCTACTTAGCACCTTTTAGTTTAAGAAACACATTGCTGAACAATAACTACACCAGGCACTGTACTAGGCATTAACTATGCAAAAAATGCATAAGACTAAGACCTCACATTCTAGCAAAAGAAACACATCAACAAATGACCATAATGCAATGGGGTTAACTACCACAAGAGTAGTTAACAGAATAAAGCAAGCAACTAAGGCACCAAATGCCACAAAAAGACTAAACAAGATTTCAGTGGCCTACTCTAAGGTATTAAGTTCCCTCCCTTATTATCTCCAGTTGTATCTCCATTCTTAGAGGAGAATGCACCACATGTTTTTTTTTCCTCCAGCTAGAAAAACTAAATGAGCAGCCCATAATAAGCTACATAAAACCTTTATTTCCAATGTTATCTTTATTCCAATCCAAACAACCTATTGTTAAGCTTTACTGTCATCACAGCTTAAAATATTTTCACTTTAGTGAAGAAAATTATTTCTGACTTGAAAAAAAAATCTTGTTTATAACATTAAAAAACTAAATCCTGGTGTCAGAACAGATCTCACTGGAAAAAAGTTGTAATTACATTCCTGGTAAGAAATAAAAATGTGTTGGATAAACTCACTTAAAATGCTTACTAAGCAAGTACCTCCACCAAAGCAAAGAAGAACTACTCCTCACAAAAATGAAGGAAAAGAAGAGAAATTTCATATTACCAAATTTTATTTCTCCAGCATCTTCCCTGAAATAAACAGAATGGATACATATTCCTCTTAAAAATTTTCAATTGAGGCAGAAGAAAAAAAATTATTTGCAGGAAACCTAGAAAAGCTATTATGAAATTATCTCACAGCCTTCCTCAAACAAACAAAACGTCTTGGCTAGAGTAGATGGTTGGAGAAAAAGGAAAAAAAAATGCTCTTAAGCCAAGAACTAGCCTACATTTTCCTTCATCCTTACTCTTTTATCCCCATATAATAATACACACCCAAAGCCCCTGCTCCCCCTCAATCTACACATATGCACACATCTTCCTCTCTCACTGTCTCACTTTCAGAATTAGATTTTTTACACTAGAAAAAAATATGAATATAATATTCACATATACTGGGCCGAATATTAAAGTTGATATCTATTTGGTTTTACTTAAAAACAAGATAATAGGTAACATGTTAAGGGGAGACTCTAAGAGTATTCCTTAATCTGAAAAACACAAGGGAATCTAATATACATTTTTTTATTTTTTTTTATTTCTTTTTGAGACGGAGTCTTGCTCTGTCACCCAGGCTAGAGTGCAATGATGTGGTCTCAGCTCACTGCAACCTCCGCCTCCTGGGTTCAAGTCATTCTCCTGCCTCAGCCTCCCGAGTAGCTGGGACTCCAGGCATGCGCCACCACACCCGGCTAATTTTTGTATTTTTAGTAGAGATAGGGTTTCACTATGTTGGCCAGGCTGGTCTTGAACTCCTGACCTCGTGATTCGCCCAACTCAGCCTCCTGAAGTGCTGGGATTACCAGCATGAGCCACCATGCCTGGTCTACCCCATATACATTAACTAGCCACTCACTGAAAAGTCTTTTTCATAGTGAGAAAGATAACAGTAAGATAGTAAGAAGTTCTTATTAGCCAATTATCTGGCATCCACATCCTTCCATCCTCACCCCCAACCAAAATCTGTACCAGGAAAGCTCAAGAACCAGTAACATTCCACAGAAGCATTAAAAATAGAGGAGTAGAATCAAATCTTGTCCAGTGTTCTATCGCAAAAAGAAAATATATGAAGAGAAAAACTTACTTGCAGTATCCTGTGCCATTGTGGTAGGTAACACACATTCCTTCATTTACACAGGGTTCATAGCCATCTCGACACTGCAATGCTAAAAATAAAAACAAATGCACATTAGAAGTAAGTCACTAATCATAACCCTCAGACACCAAAGAAGTGTAATCCAATCCAGATCAGCATTCATTCCCACCTAATCTGGGTTTCTTTTTAGAGTTTTAATCAGTTTTTTATGTTTTGGCTTCTAGCACAGAAGCCCATCCCAAAACTATCTTCCAACAATAACCACGTTTGTGGTCTTCAATGATGCTCTTATTTCTCTGTGTTTCAGTATCTCCAGCTGTTACATCTCCATCTCCCAATTAAAAATTAAAGCCATACCATCTATGACATGACACATCATCTTGGGATTTAGATACTTCAGATGAGTATTATAAGGATTCATCAATGAGTGTTTAGGAAAATGCTAGATAAATAATAGATCACCATTATACTGATGAATTACTTAGCCTTCAGGTGAAGTTTTAAAACGGACTGCTTCAAGAAGTAATCAGAAACAGCAATAACAGTAATTCGACAAACTAAAATTGAGAGCCTAGTATGCACCAGGCACAAAATTAGGATCCAGAAAAAAGGAGAAATGGAATACATAAATAAACGAATAAACATAATCTCTAGCTTTAAGGGGCCCATAAAAAGATGGGGAGTAGATCATGAATAGAGACTGCAGAGAGAGTATCAAAAGAAATAAAAGGAGAAGGCAATTTTATACATACAGATAAAACAAAAATTCTCAAACTGTTGATTCCCCCATTCCCTTTAAGAGACAATAAAAAGGCACTTTACCATCTCAGGCCCTCCCAAAAACAGACTTTTCAGAGAAAAGAACAAAAACAACAGCAATAGTAGACATTTTCATTGATTTCAGCCAAGAATGGAAGAAGTCTACTCGAAATCTGCCAATCACTTGCTGGATAATTACAATATCTTGATTGTTTAGCTTTTAGAGTTGAAATTTTCATCACCAAAATACATATCAAGAATCCTAACAACTGGAAAGGTAAGACAGAAAGAAACCTAGTCAAACAATAAATATCAAATTGAAGCTCATGAACTCTTTCTTGGAAGTTATTAAGATGTCCATCTCTTATGATAGTTAATGTATAAATACCTGAAAGCAAAACTGAGAAGTTCCCCCCTCCAAGTTTCCTCTACCCACACCACTCTATGCATAAATTGTGCAAGATCAGAGACGCTAGGCCTGGCCATCCCTGGCCACGAAACCAGTAGCCCAGGTGCAAGCTGGATGTCAGAACAACTCCTCCACCAACAATTACTGCATAAAAGCCTAGTATTGTATCCAGTAGTAGAATCATTTGAGAACATGTTTACAGAAAATGCATCCCATCCTTGAAATAATATTTTTAAATGGTAATAGTAATAATAATAGGCTAACACATAGAACTTACTAAATACCAGGCACTATCCTAAGTACTTTACATAAATTAGCTAACTAATTCAATCTTCACAACAACCCTTAGAAGTAAATTTCATTATACCCATTCTCAGGTGAGAAAACAGGGAGGATAAGTGGCCTGCCTACTGCCATGCCACTGAGTTAGAAAGCTAGAATTTGAATCCAGAGACTCTGCCCTTAACCACCAAGATACACTGCTTCCCACTACCTGAAATTTCTCAGGATTGGCAGGGTGGATATTATTATACCCATTTACCAATAGTAGAGGCCAGAGAGAATAAGTGGCCTCTTTATGGGGCATCGCACCACTAGCTGGTGGCAGTGCTGGGCCTAGGACCCAGGTCTCAGTAAAAGTCCAACCCATCTCTATGACAGCTGTTGGGATCACACAAAGAGTCACCAGGCTGCAGGCCCAAACAGGCAAATTCAGGAAGAGGGTCATCTTGTTGTCCATATCCCACTTCCCTGTAAGGCTCAAATGCTCCCTCTTCCCACACTGATAAGCCCAATGCAACAACTATAATTAAAACAGTTAATGTCAGGTTATTTCCTCCATACCAAAGTTCTCAAACTGATTTTTTCATTCTCTTTAGACACTTTTATTAGTTTCAGTGAGAACTTCCGGGGTTTTTTCTATTTACTTTTTTTCTTTAAATAAAATAATAAATAAATAAAACCGTCACAGTAGGAAAGGAATGCCCTGTAGGCACAGAAAAAGCTGTAGCTCTGTCCCCCTGCAGGAATCCTGGTGCAGTGGAGGGACTCAGGAGACCTGAAATCCTGTCTGTACCCCTAACTGCAAGCAAAGCACAACTTCATGGGGGCTCAATTTCCCTACCTGTACCAAGCTGAGAGCGAACTAAATGTCCCTAAAGGTTCCCTGTGATCCACCAGCGACAGCTCCCTCCTTATAAGTACATGAATGGCATGCCCAGTGCCTGAAGAAACCTGGAGTACATAGTGACCCAGCCACCCATGACTCAGAATGCCATGGGTGCAAAAATCACGGCCTGTTCCTATTAAGTGTCCTGACAAATCATTACAGTGACAGGTTCAGAGAAATACAAACAACCCAAAGTCAATATGTAGCAATCAATCTAGCAAATAACTTTACAGCCTAGCCTTAGTGAACCAATCAAACTCAGTGACTGAAAAGAAGGTGGGCTTACCAGGCTAATAATTAATGCCACTTGGCTGATGTGTGGGATCATGCTACCTTGAACCTTTAGCATTTACTGAGCCACGGTTCTCAAACTTTAGTAAGCATTGGAATCACTTGGAGGGCTTTTTAAAAAAGAGTGTTAGACTCGACCCCCACAATTTCTGACTAAGTCCGCAGGGAGCCTGGGAATCTGCATTCCTAACAAATTCCCAGGTGATGTTGATACCACAGGTCTGAGGAACCACACACTGACTATGACTATATGAACGCTTGAGTGTCCACTTTTAAAAATACTCAAAAGCTATATAATATAGAGGTCTTAGATGATTTAGATGATAACATATCGTCTGAATAAACAGGATGTGGAGAAATGGAACCCTTCTACTCTGTTAATGGGAATGTAAATTAGTACAACCATTGTGAAAAACAGTGCAGACGTTCCTCAAAAAACTGAAAATAGAATCACCACATGATCTGGTAATCCCACTGCTGCGTATTTACCCCAGATATTTTAAATCAGTTTATTGAAAAGATGTCTGTACACCCATACCAAGTTATGGAAGTGTCCATCAACAGATGAATGGATAAATAAAAGGTGGTAGATAGGCCGGGCACAGTGGCTCACGCCTATAATCCCAGCACTTTGGGCGGCTGAGGCGGGTGGATCACGAGGTCAGGAGTTCAAGACCAGCCTGGCCAAGATGATGAAACCCCATCTCTACTAAAAGTACAAAAATTACAGCACGCCAGTAATCGCAGCTACTCAGGAGGCTGAGGCAGGAGAATCACTTGAACCTGGGGGGCGGAGGTTGCAGTGAGCCGAGATTGCTCCACTGCACTCCAGCCTGAGTGACAGAGAGAGACTCCATCTCAAAAAAAAAAAAAAAAAAAAAAAAGCTGTGGTAGATACATACAATGGAATACTATTCAACCTTTAGATATAAATTCTGTCATTTGAGACAACATGGATAGAATTGGAGAACATTATGCTAAGTGAAATAAGGCACAGGAAGACAAATACAGCATGTTCTCACTTATACGTAGAATTGAAAACCATCAAAATCATAGAAGCAGAGAGGAAAATGGTGGTTACGGAAGCTGTGGGCCTGATGATCAATGGGTACAAAAAGCTACAGTTACACAAGAAGAATTTTTTTGTATATGTTTGAGATATATTGCATAGAGTGGTGAATATAGTTAATAATAGGGTATTATACATTTCAAAATTGCTAAGAGAGTAAATTTCAAAAAATGTTAAATATTTGAGATGAAGGATATACTAACTACCTTTTAATTGTTCTACATTGTATTAGCAAATTATAACATCACTTTGTACCCTATAAATGTATACAACTATAAATTGACAATTCTAATTTTTAAAAAAGAAAAATAATCTTGAGACTCGTGGCTTTACTCAGGAGCAAAAATGAATACTATAATTATCTTCCATACAAAGAGAAATTAAAACTTTGATAACCTGAAGCCATGAAAGTGAGACCGGGACAGATCTCATTTCAAAATTCAATTTACTTTTTTCCAATGTAAAACACTTAAATTTAACAATAAAATTGAAGGCAGCTTCATGCTTATAAAGTAAAAAAAGAAACATTAATCATACCATAGAGAATTGATGTTTAAACTGATGCTTTAATAGACTCCAAGAAACTAGTCACTCACAAAGAGTCACATTTAACCCCAATTTTCATGTCAATAAATACTTGCTGGCTGAAATAAATCTTATTTACTGTGTGTGTATCTGCTGTTTGTGCAGGCCCTCCTCTACTCCACCAAAAAAAAAAAAAAAAAAAAAAAGGCAAAAAGAAGTAGTAGATTTCAATCTCATCACTCCATCATTTGGCAATATAATACAAAAATCTAGAAGCCAATTTCCAATTTTCATACACTTTCAGTGCAGTGCATTTGGGAACTAGCTATCTAATATTCAGAACATATTTAGAAAGCATCTACTATCGGCAGGCACAAGCCCTGATGTCAGGGATACCGTAGTATACAGAATAAACTCCCTGTCCTCAGGAACCTTATTTCTATAAGAGAAAGGTGGCTAAAAAATTAATAAATAAAATAATTTAGGACAGTAATAAGCGATAAGTTCCATTGGAAACAAAACCCAGTAATGTATAAAAAGCAATCATGAAGGCTGGGGGTGCAGGAGTGTACCTCAGATAGTGTCTAGGAAAGGCCTCCCTGAGGAGGTATGCTTTGAGCTACAATGTAAATGAACAAGTGTCATGAAGATATGAGGGAATAGCACCCCAGGCAGAGGAAACAACAAGTGTAAAAGCCTTGAAGTGGGAATTAGACTGGTATTCCAGGTTCATATGGCTAGAGGTTATTAAGCAAGGACAGAGGCCAGGGAGGCAGGCTGGGGTTAGATCACAAGAGCCCATGATAAGGATCACAGCTCTAAGTAGGAGAGTAAACTACTCAGCTGTTTTAAATAAGAAAAATGACACAGATTTATGTTTGAAAAAAGTCAAGATTATGAAATGGTCCAGTGAGTAAAAAGGTTTTTCTTTTCTTTCTTATATAAGCTTATTCAAGTCATCCCTTTTTAGACTAGACTGAAGACATCCATTTTCCCAGCTCCCCAAAATGGCAATGATTTTATTCTAACCGCATCTAACCTTCCAGAAGCACTACTTGTAACATGTTGCCCCACTACTTTCTAACCTACAATGGCTGTCAGTTCTTACTTAGTTCTCAGAACTTAGCCTCAGTTTGGCTCTCCTAAGAACCAGTTGGGAGGTCTGTGCAGTACCTTCACACAGTACCAAGTTTGACACTTTTTCTTCCAAGGACAAGCCATTTCTTACTTTAACCAGTCTAGGCTCCCATGCTGGCCTTCCAGATCAGAGCTTACTTTACGTGCCCAGTATTACTCCCCACCACTTCCACTGCATTCTCTGCCCAGTTTATGCCCTCTTTCCTGAACAGATCGTCATTGAACTCAGTTCCATTCCTCCACGCATGTCTGTGCTTCCACTGATTTCTGCCTTCCTCATTACTATCTAAATTCTACCCATTCCTTCAAGGCCCAGTTCACCTCTTGCCTCACCCAGAAAGCTTCCCCTGGAGGGTTCTGGTCCTCACAGGGCCACCACCCCCTATCCTTGTAACACTCATGACTCTCAATTCAGCACTACATGGTCTTCTAGCTCTCTGCTTTTTCACTTTTAAGTTCCTGGGATATGGAAAACATTTCGTCTTTTCTGAGTATTTGAAGCAATGCAGTTAAGCAGTTGAAAGCACGGATGCAGAAATCAGACAAATCTGGGTTTGAATACTAGCTCCACCATTGACTATCTCTGTATCTTCTTTGTGCTTGATACAGTTTGGCTATTTTGTCCCTTCCAAATCTCACGTTGAAACGTAATCCCCAATGTTGAAGGTGGGGCCTACTGGGAGGTGTTCAGGTTATGGGGGCAGATCTCTCATGAATAACTTGGTGCCCACCCACAGTAATGAGTGAGTTCTCGCTACCATGTGAGCTGGTTGTTTGAAAGAGACTGACATCTCTCTTGCTCCCTCCTCTCTTGCCATGTTACATACCTGCTCCCTCTTCACCTTCAGCCATGAAAGTTTTTTGGGCCCTCACCAGAAGCAGATGTTGGCTCTAAACTTCTTGTACAATATGCAAAGCTATTAGCCAAATAAACCTTTTTTCTTTATAAATTATTCAGCCTCAGGTATTCCTTTAGAGCAATGCAAAACAGACTAACATACTTCTTTTAAAAAACTATAGCACTGAAGGCATAAGGAGAAGTGATCCACTAAAGGTAAAATAAACAATATATGTGAGCAAAAACTCAATTTTAATACAGTTCCACTAATATTTGTCAAGAAACTACTGTCAGCATTGTCCCCTACTAGGCACTGCATGAAAATTAAGCACAAATAAAACAAACAATCTCTGTCCTCATGGTCCTTACAATCTAATGAGAAGTTGGGAGTAGGGGCAGAGAGAATGTGACCTAACCAAATGACTCTAAGATAAATACAAACAAAATAAAAATTGCCAATATATACCCTTGGCATACCCTCTTAATACCAATCTTGGAATCACTCCAAAAAGAACTTTTAAGAAATACAATAGGAACCCTTGATGTTTAGCACTAACTGTAACTCAATCCAGACAAGGCTCTTTTATTTATTCAGGTTTATCAGCTCCAATTATACATCAAAACTGCAAACAACAGAACAAGCTGCCATTGATTTTAACCAGTTCCAGCGCCTCAGAAATTTATTCATTTAAGGATAAGGCTAAGGTATCCAGACTTGATGGAATCTTCCTTAAAATTTCCTCTAGGCATTTACCTAGGTTTTCCAATGCTTTTCAGTATCATACCAGCTACATATCACTGGCTTAAAAGCCTCCCTTTGTTTTAGGAATCTCTAACATGAGTAATTAAGTCTGTACTTCAGCCAGTGTAATCTGAGCAGCCTTCAATGTGTTTTACTTGTTGCATTAACATGTAATCGTTTTAAACTGGCATTACTTGTTGCTTTGTAGCTTCTTCAAATAAGCCTCTGTCGTCTATCTCACATGATTTTTTTCATATCCTTCTCCCTATCTGCAGTGTGGTATCTGTGCTTAGACCCACTGCTCAATCGGAAGGTATTTTAATGTCTTGACTGTCTGAGGCTCCTAAAATACATGAAGAGGAGTTATACAGGCTCTTTTAACTTTTTCTTCAACGTTTATGCAAATTTCAAGTAGCAATATTTGAGAGATGAAGTCTGAGTTTACGTCCTAGGATCTTGGCTGTGGTTGGCTGCTGTTGATTCTGGCACATGGCCTCTGGAAGAGGCTCAGTAAAATGAACAAAGCAAAGTTTTCTAAAATGACTGCCTGCATTATTACCAAAAATAGGAGAATTGAGGGCAGACAAAGAGACATCAGGGATTTGCAATAATTCTCATAGCGCCCTGCAATTTCAAACAAAACTTTCTCTAAATTTTGTATTCCATTTTTTGGGACCAAGCCATGAAAAAAAAATCCAAACAAACAGAAGAAGTGCGGAAGCTTCAAATCCCAAGTGGTACATTTAAATAAAAACGAAGCGGAGAAACATCTGTCTTCCTCCTTGAAATTTGTCTTGATTAAAAGGAAAAAAAAAACCCAAAAAAAAGCAATAAGAGATAAATCGATTTTGTTTTCCTAATAGTGTTCCAAGGATTTATGTGCTCTTTACAGATATTATCATATAGAAAGTGTGTTTTCTACCTAAGAGATGCTAGTATCAGATCCAGATATTAAGAACTGGGCTATAGGGTCATAGCAAATTATTACTGCTTTTCAAAAACTGAAAATATACCTTAAGAAAATATAATCAACGATAACAACTTATAAATGAATATTTTTTGTATTACTAATAGACTTTTCATACTATAAAAAAATCATTCCAGTTAGCTGATAAATCTAGAATAATTTTTGGTTTTAAAAATTCCAATTTTGTTCTATTTTATAATATTGAACTCATTGCAAAAAAAATTCATCAGTGTTTGCTGTGCTATATTGAAATCTACTATACACTGTGTAGTTTTTCCTTTTATTTTTCTCTTATTAAAGACTTCAGAAAAAAATTCAATTTATGCATGGGTTAAATTTCAATACCTGGATCTTGGAGATGAGACTAATGCATTCAGCTCTTCTACATGAAATATAAGGTTTGAAAAATCCACAAATACTTACAAATTAGGATGTAGCCAATTTGCTAATAATGATCACCTCTATACCCATGTACATTCTTTTACCTGAAAAATATTTTACCTCCTTTTCCTTTTTCTCTATCTTGCTAAATTCCTACTATATTTCAAATCACAGATAAAGCATTATTTTCCTGAAGAAGCTGTCAGAGACCCACTGATACAGATGTTCCTCTTCTGTGCTCCCATTTTATCCTAGGTAGATGTATTATAAGTGCTGGCTCACTCATCTCTCTCTCTCCCACTTCTAGGCAAATTCCATAGAGGTAGTAACCACAATTGGCTCCTCTTTGTACACCTGGGACCTAAGAAGATGCCTGGACCACAGCAGGTACTCAATACTCAATAAGATATTCAATAAACTAAATATCTATAATTAAGACAAAACCTATGAATAAACCCAACCTTCAGCTTGCATGTTTATGTGTGGAATTTCACTTTGTGTAACAAATTAGAAAAGTAAAATAAGAAAGAAAAAAATGCTGCAAATTTCCAGGCCTTTAACAAGGATGAAAAGTTGAGAAAGTAGAATTGTACTTTTCTAATCTTTGCAAAACTAAAACAGTTTTGAAAGTTCCTTTCTTACCATTTGTTTGAATGAAGATACACTCTCCACTCTTAGCCTCCTATAAATCTTAAGCCATGTGTATTATGGTAAAAACTAGCTGAAATAGGTTGAATGGAAGCCAAAATAATTTACATCTAAATGAAAAACATAGAAAACAGAGTAATAAAAAAATTCCAACTGAATGGGAAAATTCATTGTATAGTATTATCTTCCCCATGAGTAGGTTCACTAATACACATCGGCAGAACAATAAGCACCAACGAGATCCAAATGACACTGACCAACATGATCACAGTTTACATGTCCAAAAGGTTCAGGATCTCAGTGTAATAAAACCCAACAGAGAGGAAGAAGCTGTATCATATCTAGAAATTTAATTATTCTCTACAAAAAGTGCTATATATTTGTGTGCTGCTTAGTGGTCAAAGAAAGTGAATATGAAGTGTTATTCCATGTCTTGTCTTATATCTTGTATTATCTGTTCTGTTCCACTATCTGTATTTGTACTATTATCAAGACAAATTTTGCCTGTCACCAATTTCCTGTGCTTTTAGTAAACTCCCTTTTTAAAGCTTTTTTTTTTTTTTTTTTTTTTGAGATGGAGTCTCGCTCTGTCACCCAGGCTGGAGTGCAGTGGCGCAATCTCAGCTCACTGCAAGCTCCTCCTCCTGGGTTCACGCCATTCTCCTGCCTCAGCCTCCCGAGTAGCTGGGACTATAGGTGCCCGCCACCATATCCGGCTAATTTTTTTTGTATTTTTAGTAGAGACAGGGTTTCACCGTGTTAGCCAGGATGGTCTGGATCTCCTGACCTCGTGATGCTGGGATTACAGGCGTGAGCCACCGCGCCCGGCCTTAAAGCTTTCTAAAGATTATTTTGTTAAGTACAGCTTAGTTTTTTTAAGTCCTTAATTTTAAGTACATGCTTTTAAGTACACTTGCTGGAAAAAAATTTATAAATATATATAATCTTCTTGCTATACACCCAAAAGAAACAACATATTCTTTTAGCTTAAATTGCTCAGGACACTTTTTAAATGGAGTACACAATTTCTCATGTTTGTTAATTTAGAGGTAGACACCCAAACAGAATGAATAACAAAATTATGTTAAAAATGAAAATGGAAAAACCTAAGATTGCTACATATTATTATATAAAATCATGGATACTTCCTAAAACAAAACAGGGAAAATCCAAAGAACAACCTCAGATTTCCCTACATGCATCCTTCCTCATAGCCTTTTTAAAACATCCTTGGGTGGTAGCAATGAAGGCTACTCACAAGGATGGGGACAGAGGTCATCAGGGATACCATAATCAATGTACTGTGCAAAAATAGTGCAGAGGAGATTGGTTAGTCCTACATAAAGTCCAACTACATGTATGGCTAACTATTCTCAAGTCAGGGTTCGCAGAAGCTAAGGTCCTAACATTTGGATTATTTTTATATTATTATCTGGATCAAATAATATGCCTTCAGCCAAAATCAAACTCTGTTCACCTGTGAATAGTATTCCTGTACCCAAATTCCTGTACACATCACTGAGAATTGTCTAAACCTAAGTGCCTCAAAAGGTCCTAAACCCTTGACTCATAGCCAGGATATTTCTTTTTTTTTATTATTATACTTTAAGTTTTAGGGTACATGTGCACAACGTGCAGGTTTGTTACATATGTATACATGTGCCATGTTGGTGTGCTGCACCCATTAACTCGTCATTTAACATTAGGTTCTAATAAGCTCAGAAACTAGCACTGTGAGGGAAATATCTAAATATGGAGATTATAAATGCCTATCATTGCCATTTCCAGAGAACACACCTGAGGCCAAAAACCTTGGAACAGAGGAAAGCAGATAATAGAAAAATATCAAATCTTTATTAAATACCAAAGGGAGAAGAAAACATAAAATATAGCCCTAAACGGCCAGGCACGGTGGCTCATGTCTTTAATCCCAGCACTTTGGGAGGCCGAGGTGGGCGGATCACGAGGTCAGGAGATCGACACCATCCTGGCTAACACGGTGAAACCCCATCTCTACTAAAAGTACAAAAAAAAAATTAGCTGGGCATGGTGGCGGGTGCCTGTAGTCCCAGCTACTAGGGAGTCTGAGGCAGGAGAATGGCATGAACCCGGGAGGCGGAGCTTGCAATGAGCCGAGATTGTGCCACTGCACTCCAGCCTGGGCGACACAGCAAGACTCTGCCTGAGGAAAAAAAAAAAAAAAAAAAAAAAAAATATATATATATATATTCCTGAACTTCAATTTTTATTTATTTTATTCTCCCTTGCTTTGTTTCTTCAGACATACAACTATGTCCCACATCAACACAACCTGGGTCTCCTGGTCAACAGAAAAAAATAATAATGGGTACTTAATGATATTTGATGAGGAGCTGATAATCTCAATGTCCAAATCAGTTCCTCTTAAAAACGCCAGTCCTCCAACTCCATCAGCCTTTTGATTACTCATATTCTTTCTTTATTGTAAATGCAAGCAAGAATTTATCTTCAAGACTACTCAGATTTCTGCAGAGTTGTAGCAGTCATTTTAATAAAAAAGCAGCTCAACACACTAACAGTCACAATTTGGTTTGCAAGTGCTCACAATCATTCTATTTGCTCATCTAGTTGTTGCTGGAATGACAAAGACAGCAAAGACAGAAAATTTTGTATATATTAAGTGACCATATTGGAACTTAAAACTTTCCATGTTTGTGTCTTTAAGCACAGAAGAGAACTCTAGGTTTCTCCATTTGCAGCAACACCTAATTTGGCAAACTCAAAAAGTTACATTGTCTTGATAAAGGCTTTCTTTGTTCTAGAGAGGTCAAAAGATTTCTCTCCAGCTTCAGCCTGAAGATCTCGGATCAAAAGAAACAATATAAATTCCAATATATTAAATTTTAAAATGGGGGGTAAGCCCTAGAAGGGGTATTGGCTTTCTTGAGCCCAGTGCTTCCCTGATTCTCACAAATGAGTAATAAACTGCTAAAGAAAGAGAGAGAGAGAAAAGAAAGAAAAGAAAAGAAAAAAAAGAAAGAAAAAAAGAAAGGAGAGAGAGGAAGGGAAAGGGAAAGAGAGAGGAAGGAAGCAAAAGAAAGAAAGGAGAGAGAGAAAGGAAAGGAAAGAAAAGGAAAGAAAAGGGAAAGAGAGAAAGAGCAAGCGAGCGAGCGAATGAGCAGATGCCCTGGCCTACCTTCCATTTCATCTGCTTTGTTGCCACTCCTGTCTGGAAGCCTAAGGGAATTCCACCAGAAGACAGATTCTGGAGCTAGGCAACACCTAAGTGAGGTCTGCTCCACCTAGCTTCAGCCCAGCTATAATACCATGGTAAGTGCTTGAAAAATGTCAGCCAAGCTAAACTGTTAATGAGCAGGCCCAGTAGTTTTCTATCTTCCTCCGAGAGAGGATAACCAAGTCTTTAATTTCCCATAAGACAAAAAGAAAATCTGCAAAATTACAGTTTATTCTAGTCTTTAATGGTAACAATGACCTGGCACAGGAGATATTTCCATCTCTTTTGTTTATCACTCTTAAAATTCTCTCTTCAATAAAACTCCATTCTACTTTAGGGACATGGGAGTGACACTCATGTTGAACAAGAGGGACTTACAAAGGGAGTTTTACCAGTTTCACCACTTCGGGCCCAGTGGGAATGTCCTTCCCATCATCACCTCATCACATTAACAAGATTAAGTCCTTTGGAAAACCAGTATAAAAGCAAGGAACCCTCAGTTCAAGCAAAGGGACAAAGGATTTAGTAAATGTGGTTATTAGTGTAGTGCTGGTGATTAAATAATATTTCTCCTCCTCCCCACTAAAGCACACATTACCTCACTGAAAATATTAAAACCAATGCATTGTAATCACTTTGGCTATGAGCCTAAATATATGTTACCACATAAAGTTTCAAATACAAAGTTTTATATTAAAAAACACTAAATAAATCTAGTATCCTCCCCTCCCCCAATCCAATGTAATCTGGCTTTAAAATTGTTAAGAAGAACAAGTTTATAAATTTGAGCACAGTGAGTTTTTGTGTGTGCCCACCCACCTCCACGGAAAATACCCCAAAAGCAGCAACCTTCAGAAAATACAAGACTTTACTCTCAAGGAGTAACTCTAATGTGAGTTCCAGAAGATAGCCAGCCATATCCTAAATCAGTTGGCTGGTTAGTTTCTTCAAGTAAAATGAGAGTAACAGGCACCTATGCTACCTGAAGATGAAGCTAATAGGGCATCATGAAGAAAAGCAAGGCATCTGATAGTACTCCATAGAATATATTTAGGATTAACATCTCAGCTTCTAATAGGCAGGGATTTTCAGCTGATTTCCATCTACATTCCTCCACCCAAGCCTACAAAGCATTCTATGGCTTGTGTGAACACCTCAGCCAAACAAATCAGAAAGTCAGCTCACAACCCTCTATTTCTCACTCCTGAGAAGGCTGCTCATAAACAGTGATCTCATTTGATCCCCACAACAACACTATGAGGCATGTAAATTGGTATTAGCACCATTTTACACAAGAAACTGCAACTCAAAGAAATAAGGGCCTTGCCCAAAGTCACACAAATCAAGATGTCTGAACCAGGACCAGAGCACAAGTCTTTTACCTACTGACCCAACATTCCTTTCACTCACTACATCTGTAAATACGCAGTTAGAAAAACCTGATATCCGGCCGGGCGCGGTGGCTCACGCCTGTAATCCCAGCACTTTGGGAGGCCGAGGCAGGCGGATCACGAGGTCAGGAGATCGAGACCATCCTGGCTAACACGGTGAAACCCCGTCTCTACTGAAAATACAAAAAATTAGCGGGCGTGGTGGCGGGCACCTGTAATCCCAGCTACTTGGGAGGCTGAGGCAGGAGAATGGCGTGAACCCGGGAGGCGGAGCTTGCAGTGAGCAGAGATCGCGCCACTGCACTCCAGCCTGGGCGAAAGAGCGAGACTCTGTCTCAAAAAAAAAAAAAAAAAAAAAAAAAAAAAAGGAAAACCTGATATCCACCATAATCTGCAAACTTCCATAATATACATTTGTGACTACAACATTCTCAGGTAGGTAACCACCCACATACCAGCTATGCACATCAAAAACATTTACACGAAAGATCAGCTAATGACCTGCTTATTAAAACAAAACCAGGACTTGCTTATCAAAAACAAAACCAGGGACAAGAGGGGCTGCCAATGCTGTATCTCAGAACTACCACTCATACACATGCCCTAATGACTAACACCCATTGACTAGCATCACCCCTACCTACACAACAAAAGAACCCCACTTTTGAAAACTTGCCAACTCTAGGATTCAACATACTACACTATGCATTATTTCTCCAGGAAAAAAAAAAAAACTACCCTATGACTGAAATTGTTTAGAATTTTTTCTTTGTAAAATTGACACTGACAAGATACCATCTCTTCTCAATAATAGAGTAGCAACACAGGAGCAAAAGGAAATTATGGAGTTAGAGATGGAACCAGATCATAAGTATGATATACCCTATCTTGACAAGATTTTACTCTTAAAAATGACGGCCCTATTAAAAGTAGGTAACCCATCATCATTTTATCCAAGTACCCATAATTCAATTGATTAGAAATAAATCCCTCCAAGAACACATCTGCAGTTAAGTTAGTGAAAACTGAACTACTGAACAGAGAAGCATGGCCTGCTGCTCAGAGAAGACGGGTCATAACTAATGTGGTAAACCAAAAATGCCATAAGAGATAAAGTATTTTCTTCATCTGGTCTGCTTCTCTCCAACTAAAGAAATCAACTCAGAGGGGGAAAAAAGACAAAAACTCACCTTCCCAAACCAACAAATAAACTATCCAGACACATACCCTTCATGATGTTGAATCCCAATTTAGGAAACCTCAGACAGCTCAGAGCACTGTCTTATCCACAAGGCTGAGAATACAAGACTTTTGTCCTCCAAAATTAAAAGTATAAATTTTATCACTAAGTTTGGTATACTGTCCCACAAAATGCCACCTTATTCCATGTCCATACCACTAAAGAACTATAGAAAATAATGACATATTAAAAAAGATCACTCCTCTGTTTTCCTTATGGCATTTTTATCATCTGACACATATAGCAAACATGGATCTTGAAATGGGAGATAAATTAAAGTTTTAAACTATAATAAGTCTATAATAAATAATATACCCTATAAATAAATTATCAAAATTCAGGGTATTTGGTGATAGAAATCTAAGGAGGAAATGAATTTTTGAAATGTCTCAGGCCAAAAGAAAACTAAAAGGCTATAATCAAGAAAGAAAGGAGATGGGCAACTTCTTTTTAGAGCCCCACTTCCGAAAGAACAGCTGTCTTTGCTCAGCTGTAGGAAAACCACAGGACTTGGAATAACTCACTTCATGTACTGTCCTTCTTATGTTAAAATGACACTGTTGACTCACCCTCAGTAGGATATGTGCTTGGTTAAACTTGTTTTTCCAGTAACAGTAATGAACTGAGTTACTCTACTATTGAAATGATTTGTACCCCCACAACTGAAAAAAATATTTGGAAACACCTACATATCTAGTATGCATGTCCTTGAGTAGTAGGTCTGGTTTGACTATGCAGCCAGAGCTTTATCCTTCTTCAGAGTCTCTCCACAAATGATGATCAGTGTAACAAAAGAATCTTTCACTGCATTTGCTCAGTGAATCATTGTCTTAGCTAATAGCTAATCCCCACAGTCCTGGGCTTCCAAAGTCTGAAATGAAATAAACTGTCTAATTTATTTTTCTTACTTTTAGTTACATGTACTGCTCAAATTTGGGTGATACTGCAGAAGGCCCACACCAAATCCACAACCCTTGCATGCAGCAGTAGCATTCAACAAGGTCCTGTAGGACACTCTGGTAGATTCCCCCTTCTACTGCTCTGTCATTTCTAGCTTACTTGCTAGTTAAGGTGGAAAGACTTCAAAAAAAAAAAAAAAAAAAGGAGCCTTTACCAAGCCCTAACTCTAGCTTATGAACCAAACTAATCATCATATGGGTGGGAAGGCTTAATAACTTCAAACAAGGATTTTTACTTATACCAACCCAGACAATGAAAGGGAGGGTTGTTAGTTCTCCTTAGATAAAAAACAGTATTCCCTCTTAAGGAGAGATACAACCTAATTCACATATATCTTCTATCTTTATCTTTTCTACCTCAAGGATACAGTTTTTTAATTGAAAATTTTAACTCAAAAATTATTTTGCAAACGGATATTTGAAACGTGGGGAGTAAAAGATAAGCTACAAACAAAAGAACAAATATCTTAGACATTAAACTCTTCAATTTACATTCTGGACCAGTGGTCTGCAAAATTAGGTGTGTGTACCCCAGAAGTAGGGGAGGTGTAAGACCATCCACTGGGGCACTGGAAGAAATTTTAAAACATCTCCATATTTATGGGCTAAAAAACATATAATAAGCTTTACTTAGAGTTAACATATGCATACATGGTTTAATAGCCAGACATTTATATAATGTATAAATATGTATTTACTTGAGGAACCGTTCATGCTTTAAAAATGTTTTTCTTGGGGTATACATTTTTTAAGGGTGTGAAGGGTCCTGCTTTACCCCCAGATTTCATAAAGTAGGATACATATGCGCTCAAGAGTATACAGTATGCCAGAAAAATGCAAAGAAACTGGATAAACCTGGTATATCTTCCTGGCATCTCTATTTCACTCACTCTAGGGTAAGTGACATTCATTCTTCCCTATAATCAGGTGCTTTGGAAGACACCTCTGGCTAACATGTCATTAGGATAAAAGAGTCCACAAAATGATGGCCTGGATTCTGGGTTCTATGCCTGGCTCTCTATCTTCTAGCCATCTGACCAAGGGCCAATCACTTCGCACTTCCAGGCCTTTCCAGCTCCTTCCTACTCAAATTTTGCGATTCACAAGTTAAGTTTTTCATCCCATCTTTAGTTGCTTCATGGCCCTGCACATGTCATTCTTCTAATTAGAATGTAACAGCCACTCCTCTCCACCAATCTCAGCCTCCTTTCCGCTCTCCAATGAGGCCTTGACTTTGCATTCCCTCAGCTTCCCATGATCTGTTTATATGATGTGAAAGGGCACTTTCTGGAAGGCTCTGTAAGTGTTCTCAGGTTATTACCAGTGTCCCCCAGTACTTCTGGACAGACTGTAGAGCTCCTTTGGCTAAAGTGCTAGAGGCAGCATTCTGCATGGGGGACCAACATGTATCATCACCTCACCATGCTGAAAATCTACAGCCTGGCCCCTGATCCAAATCAGCAATATACTAATATTAAGGAAAAAGTAACAGAAACCAAAATCACCCACCTAATGAAGATATATGATCTAGCAAAAGAAAACGAGGCTGAGAACATCCACAGGTAAGCCAGGCTATGAGGAACATAGCTCTGAACTCAGCAGGAACAAAATGAGGAACCGGGGAGAGTACAGAGAAGTGTTAACTCACACTGGTAGGATGCCCCTTCTCACTCAAAACAGCTGAGTTCATATCCCAGGCATGGCCGCTGTATCAAAATAATTGGTAATTAAACAAGTTAATATATGCAACATGCTTACAGCTTGGCACTGTTAAGATTATTACCCTCTTTCCTTCAAGCACAGCAGAACATGAGAAATGTCACATCTTTATCTGCAGACTTTGGGGGATCCAAGGCAGAATTTTCACCTACTCAGAGCAGGCTGAGATTCAACTTCCCTTTTCAGGTTTCACCGACATCCCTGAAGGGTTCCATAGCATATCTGCCATCATGTGGAAAGATAAAATTCAATTCCCAGGCATTTCCAGGTGCACTTCTAAGGAAGTGGTATGGTGTGAAGAATAAAGCAATGGACCAAGGGCTAAAAAGTCAGACATCTGGCCTGGCACAGTGGCTAACACCTGTAATCCCAGCACTCTGGGAGGCTGAGGCAGGTGGATCATTTGAGGTCAGCAGTTCAAAACCAGCCTGACCAACATGGTGAAACCACGTCTCTACTAAAAATACAAAAAAATTAGCCGGGTGGTAGTGGCACACCCCAGTAATCCCGGCTACTCGGGAGGCTAAGGCAGGAGAATCGCTTGAGCCTGGGAGGTGGAGGTTGTGGTAAGCCAACATCGCACCACTGCCCTCCAGTCTGGGTGACAGAGTGAGGCCCTGTCTCAAAAAAAAAAAAAAAAAAAAAAAAGTCAGTCATCTTGTCTTTGTACTGCCACTGACTATTTTTGTGCTCTTGAAAAATTACTTTACCTTGGTTTTTTTTTTTTTTTTTTTGAGATGCAGTCTCTCTCTATTGCCCAGGTTGGAGTGCAATGGCGTGATCTCAGCTCATGGCAGCCTCCGCCTCCCAGGTTCAAGCGATTCTCCTGCCTCAGCCTCCTGAGTAGCTGGGATTACAGGTGCACGCCACCATGTCCAGCTAATTTTTGCATTTTTTTCAGTAGAGACGGGGTTTTGCCACATTGGCCAGGCTGGTCTTGAACTCCTGATCTCGTGATCCGCCTGCCTTGGCCTCCCAAAGTTCTGGGATTACAGGCATGAGCCACCATGCCCAGCTGAAAAATTACTTACCTTTCTAAGGCCTACAGTTTGTAATCTGTTTTTAAAAAGTGATTAGATGACATATAGTCCCATAGCCAAGAAAATAGTAGCTTACCAACATGTTTTACTGTGACCTACAGTGAGAAATATATCTTGTACCAGACCTCAATATTCACATATATACGTGCATAGCAAAAACAAAAATTTCAAGAAACAATGCTTGTCCATACTATGTGATACTCTCTATTCTACCCTTTTTTCCCCCAAAGTGCTGTTGGAGACCTACCAAATTGGTTTCATGACCCATTCGTGGTCATGATCTGCAGTTTAAAAAACAATGGACTAAAGCATGCAGTAAAGAATGTGGCTTTGCAATTAGACAGGCCCAATACCACTTTTTTTTGTTTTTTTTTTGTTTTTTTTTTTTTTGGAGACAGGATCTTGCTCTGTCACCCAGACAGATGTGCAGTGGCATAATCATGGCTCACTGCAGCCTCAACCTCTGGGGCTCAAGCAATCCTCCTGCCTCAGCCTCCCAAGTAGCTGGGACCACAGGTGTGCACCCCCACTCCTGGCTAATTTTTTTATTTTTCGTAAAGATGGGGTCTTGCTATGTTTCCCAGGTTAGTCTCAAACTCCTGGTGTCAAGCGATCCTCCTGCCTCAGACTCCCAAAGCACTGCGATTACAGGTGTGAGCCACCAAGCCCAGCCCCAGCACCACTTTTAACTAGCTGCATAATCTTGGGTAAACTACTAACCTTTCCAAAGTACATCTTTTAAATTAAGACTAATACACCAGGGTTTTTTCTAAGGATTAGATGAGATAATGTATGTAAAGCACTTAGCCACACTGTGTCTGACATAAAATACACACTCAATAAAAAGTTATAGTGATGACTAATAACATCAATATTATTATTATTAAATTCAAGAATTCCAAAAGAAAGTAAATTAAGTGGAAGAAAGCTAGAAAGAGAAATAGGCTCACCTATAAGCATCAATAAACAGTAGGACTGTTGTCAGGTTAACCCAGGACTATGCTCACTGAAATTCTACAAACAAAGGGGTTTTGCTTACTTTCTTCACAATATCCCCTCGCAACTTAAGCAGTGCCCAGCACACAATAGGTACATATATTAGTTGAATGAATGAAAACATCTGGAGGCTCACCTCTATGCAGTGGAGGTGCTGTGAAGAGATCCCAGCAACGCCTGCACAGCACCCCTGCCCAAAAATCCAAACACCTTGAGATTGCTGTAAGCCAGTGACTCTCAAAGTGTACTTTCCCAAACAGCAGCAGTATTACCTGGACGCTTTTTAGAAATGCAATCTACCAGGTCCCGCTCCAGACCTACCAGATCAGAAACTCTGGGGGTGAGCCCAGCAATCTGTATTCTAACAAGTCCTCCAAAACTTGATGTGCACTCAAGTTTGAAAACCAGCATTACAAACTGATGATTTAGGGACCAATAGCAATTCCAGGGAGCTACATGTACAATCAAACGGACTCCTGCAAAGTTTATTGATTCTAGGAATTAGTTACTTACCTAGTTCAACCCAGACTTTTCAGAGTTAGCTGCAACTTCCAAGGAAGTTACCAAGAATTGCTTCTCCTCTCTGCTTCTCCTTAGTGCACCAATAAAGCCTAATTGCTGCAAACTCTCTGAAACAACCACTCTAATATTCAGCACAAGGCCTGATTGCTAAAAAAATGCAAAACCTATTTGTTAAATGATCTTTTATCTAAGCACATTCCCTGGGCTCACACTATCCATACCAGAACTTCTGGAATGCAGGCTTACGGTGTTTTTTCAAACTCTACATTAGTTCTCAAAAAATGAACAAGGTCCCACAGCCAATCTGCATGCAGCAACTTTGCACCAAAGTTATAACAGTACTGATCTACCAATACCTTGCATTTCACTATTTGCCAAAACAACAAGACCTTATTTAGCATCAATTTTGTGTACATACACTTCAGAAAGAAGATAACCAGATATTAAAGATAACCAGATATTAAAACTCCAAAGTTAAGGTTTGTAATGTGTTGATAAATCAAACAACACATATTTGTATCACTAGATTGAGCCCAGTAATTTCTATAGAACCTTAATTTCCCAAAAGGTACCTTAATCAGACTCTAGTCAAACACAACAAGATTTAGAAAAAAACACACTGTTTTTTATCAAAAGGCAGGAAAATATAACTGTCTTCTTTCTACTCTGGTAAAGGATTTCTAAATATACCTTCCAAGGGCAAAAGGGTGCCTTTGAAAAATAAGAAGATTCCTTATTTCTGTCAACAGAATAATGATCCAGTTATATACCAAAGAGCAGATAGAAGACCTGGCTTTGGAGTCATGTGACTCTGCATTAGATCTCATGGGGTCTCTGTCTCAGTCTCTACAAATAAAAACATGGCCTTTTCTCTATAAAAGATACAATGTACATAGAAGTGTTTTGCAAACTATTATATATTATCTTCTCAACATGCAAATTTATCCCTGTGAACTGATTCTTTCCCTCCCACTCACAGTGGCCAAAATAATTTATATTAGAATGTGTCCATAGGTGGCTTAATAGCAGTTGTGACAAAAGTGCAAACTAGAAAAGATACTGAATATTTACACACACATAAAGCAGCATGAAGCCACAGAAGGCTTCAAATGACAAAGAAATGAATTAGAAAAATCACCCACAGTACACTGGCCCTTCCTGGTTTTGGCAAGGATTTCAGCCAGAAAGACATGGTATTTAAGAAGAAAAATTAATAAAAAGAAAACATAAAATGAATTCTTTCAGAACTTCACAAAAGGTTATGTTTAAAAAGAAGTTTGGGAACAAGGGGATGCAGAGGGCTATGTTTTTTTCAGGTCTGACTTATCCTTTGCTATGGGTACACTGTCTTTTCATGTGGCCTCAAAGAAATAGTTGAGCCATTATTGTTGTTGATAATGACGAGCAGATGCTGATGGGATGATTGCACATCAACAGTTCTCAGACTCAGGTCTTGTATAATTGGGTGTGTCAATCTATGTCACTCCACAGATGGTTATTAAACTAGTTACAACTTCCCTAAATCTTTTCACTAGATCTATGCAGCATTCTGGACAGCTATTCCTTGCCAACTGAGATTAAGCACTATTATAAAAAAAGTTTTGAAAAAACAATTCCAAGGTCTATTCCTCCTCCCAACACACACACACACACACACACATGCACACACACACACAGAGTTAAATCAGAGATACTTAATTCAGATATTCAAATTTTTTAATTTGAAATTTAAAATATTACCAAAGCCATAAATATTCCTTTAATGCAGTGAATGTAAGAAATCTATTAATTTCAACCTGTCTTGAATAAAAATTATAATACATATATAATTTTCTATGAAAAAATTGTATGTATTTTGGATAATCTATGTACCTCAGGAGTAGCCCTTCTATCAAAGCTCTTCTCAGGATGGTGGAGAATGGTGAATCTCAGCTCTCACAACATAAAAGTGCCAAATTCTTCTTAGTGAAAGAGGTGTATAGCCTTGATGTGCTAGACAAAAGTGGCCTTCAGAGAAGAAGCTCTCCACTGACCACGGGGCATGGTCAAATGTCCAGTTGGATTGCTGTGAGAGTCAAAATGATCCACTTGGCATTTTGTTGATATTGAGGTGTCAAACCTTTAACTAGTTGGCCACTCCTTCCAGTAAGCTTCTGTACACTGGACAACTGAAAGAAAGTTTGTTAAGAAGGCTCCCTTAAACAAAAGGTACAACTTATAAAATACACTGTTGTGGAAAGACAAGTATAGCTTCATTATCATATAGATGTAAACAAGGCAGAGACTAGGCTAAAATAAAGTGTAAAATGTGAGTTTGTTAATTTTTCTTTCCCTGTGAACATTTGGCAGAGTTAAAATTTTAGCCATCATACATTTTATTCCCTGAAATGTATCAGTCACAGTTCCCACAGGCTCTAGATACACATTTCCTTGTGGGTGTATGTGTAAAACTACCATAACAAAACATTTTCTATTTCCTCATTTTGATTAAAAGGAAAGAAGAAATGCTAAACTGCACTTACATAAGTGACAGTGCAATAGTGACACACCCATCTGTGTACACAATTTGTATTCTGTTTAAATTTAAAGTTATAATGATAAGGTGAGAAATGCTAAGAGCTAGGAAATAAAAATACACTTAGAAGCAGCCTATGTTGTACGCTCTTGAAAAACCTTAAGGAAGCTTTAAAGAGCAGCAAAATCACTTCAGGCCACTCAGGAAGAACTATGGCTTGAGACATTAAAAATGGCTGAGGAAAAATACTAAGAAATAGACATCAGAAAATTAAAAACGCCTGTAAACGAGGGTGACATTATAGACCCACTAGCAGGACATATGAAAGTTGTGATGAGTTAAGCTGAGTCAGACACATATTCCTGCCTATTTCACATGGATCAACATCCTGTCTAGGAACCAGGGACAACTGATTAACAATGTAAGCACAGAATAGCTTTAAGAAAAGCTAACTGACCCATCTGGGGAAAGAATACTCAAATTCTGCTCCATTTCTGTCATGCTCTGATGCAGCTAACCAAACAGAAATAAAGAGAATCCTTTCACATCATGAGAAATGAAATTCGGATTTAGGGACATTATAAAATTATGCGGTATCATGAAATAAGAACTGCTCTGGAAATCAGAACCTGGGTTCTAGCTCTGGCTTTTCCATATACTAACCATATGGTCTAAAGGAATTCCCTTAAGCTATTTGAGACTGATTATTTTCATCTGTAAAACTAAAATAATGTAACCAGCCCTCCATTCTTACCAGAGTTCATTTGTGGCCCAAATAAATCATGTCTATTAAGGTGATTACAACCTAGATAGCATTATTTAATGTAAAATATTATTTTATAATAGCACAATTCCCAGTCTAAAAATCTGTGAAACAGAAAATCCTTACCATCTAACCCAGAAATGATAAATGATTACATGATTCAAATTAGATCACAAACACCTATATTATTATTAGATCCATTCCTCCAGCCCAAATGGGGGTGGTAAGTATACGTTGTTAGACCAGTGTAACTAACTTCAACAACTTTTTGTTTTGTTCTGTTTTGCAAATCCACCCAAGAATGCATTAACTTCAACAATTTTTTAAAAACAATTTCCACAATCCTCTCCTTGTGTCTCAACCATGCTCAGGAATTACAAGTACAATAATCTCCTCAACCTCCCCTAGCCTTTCCTAGCTCAGAAATCCGACATAGGCCACTTCGCATGCCTGATCAGATAAGCTTTCCCAATGCTGAAAACCAACTGCTTCTAACATTTTAAACCTGATTTCCATGAAAACTCAGGGGTGAAAGAAACAAATAATCCAACCAAATCAGTTCCTTCTTATTGAAAGAGTTCTTCATCTTTCATCTGAAATCCTAAATAATTTTTTCTATGAATCAATTGCTTCTGAGATGAGAGGTACAAGACACTACAAACTATGACCACACAAAAGATTTTTAAAAGCTTTTGATTCACAGTGAGTTAACCTACAAACTTGAAGTTACTAGACAATAGTACTTTTAGTCTACTCTTTAGGTGATCCATAATCTTGCGTTGGCCATGAAGCAGAGCCTAAAGGGAGTCATTAAAAGAAACTGAAACAAGGTCTAGAGACAAATGTTCCCAGGCTATATATTCCAAAGGAGGAATTACCATGAAAGTAATGAACTTTAAAGTTCAGGGGCCCCTACACTCGGGTGCCTATTCTGTGCCCAGAACCACGCAAGCACAATTAAATATGTTGCTTTCAATCTTTACAAACAATCCTGCAAGTTAGATATTACTATTATTCCCATTATATAAATACGGATACTGAGACTTAAAGAAGTTAAGTGGCTTGTCTAATATTCTTAGCTAGTACAAATCAGAGCCCAGTCTCTCTGATTCCAAAACTCACCAGCTATGCTAAAGCAAAAATCAAAAGGTAGTAGGGAAGGGTATCTAAAAGTCATTCTGAGAGATAATTAAAAATAAATAATGTTTGCTGTCACTTATCTCTTTTACCTTCTTTAATATCCCTTGGCATCCTCTCCTTCAACATTCAACTATTGACTAACACAACTAAAACCTAAGGAGGAAGTCCAGTATGTTTGAAAGAACCCACATGTCTGAGCATGCAGGTGAAGGACTGTGTTTTAAAATAGCAGGGATAATCTAAGATTAGGTATTGGTGTCAAACACACTTCTCTTATCTATTAGTACAGATGACCACCAGTTTTCAGTAACAAAAGATATGGTAATAAGAAAAAACAAATCCACAGAAAAGGAAAAAAACAAGCTTGTCTTTATGCTTGTTCTGTAATGATATGTGTAGAAATGCTACCCACAGTTAATTTCATAGTTCCTAAGCCAAGACAGGTTAGTACTGGGTAATTTTAATAATTGGCTATGTGCATTGTTCAGATGCTGAGGCATTCCAATCATTTTACATGGTCTCTTACATCACTTTCAGAATGGTACCATAAGAACACAACTGTACAGTCAAGAAAAAGCTATTTGTAACTAAAACGGCTGGCATCAAACATTTCTGAACATAAATCTGGCTCTGAATTGCTAGTTGCAATCTCTCTCAATTTTTTATTTAAAAAAATCCACACATTCATTCCTGGTCTTAATCTACTAAAGAATTTCTTTTGGGATCAAAAAGTAACAGGAAAGAATGCTAACCAACTTTCCTTGGATTACAACAAACATAATTCCATTCTTCTTCCCAGTTACAAAAAGATTTAAAAGAACTACAACTCTTCAAAATGGAAGTTTGCAATTTAGATCATTCTCCTATTATGCAAATGTTCATTCAGAATTAAAATATTGTTTTAAAAAGTAAAATGTAAGTCAGTTTAGTGCACAAAATGTTTACATTAAATACAAAATTACACTATCTAAGGGACTACAGGATTCCACCAGACAATGGCATTATTTATTATGGTTAAGTATGTTGGCTTTGGATCAGGAAAGAGGGGTTCCAGTGACCGTTCTTTACCACTGACTGGCTAGGTGATCTGGATGAACATTCCTTAACTTTTCTGTAAACAAGAATCCTAACATCTATTTTAAGGACTAAAGGAAACAAGTAAAGTCTTTTGTCCCCAAGCATCTGTCACATAATAAACCCTCAGAATATGGAAGCTACTGATAGTCACATAAACTTCATGAAAACAGAAACATTCATCTGTTTTGTTCACTCTATTAACAAGGAGGCATGACTTGATCAGTATTCATGCAAATACTTCCAGTTCCTCCAAAGTGACATTCATATTTATCTATATTAACTACATCCAAATTCTGCTATCCTTCGTGTATACTTCTCTTTTATTATAAGCAGCTTCAGCTACTTTTATGGAAAGATTTAAATTATTGGAAAATATTTTAAGGGTATTTAAGTTAACATATGGACCATTTACATATTCCATAAACTGTGTGCTTACACATAATTATAAATATCTCAGACTGTAAAAGAAAACCTTCCATAATGTTCCCACAATGGAAAAATAAAGTCTTAGAAATAATTATAGAGGGAGCAGAAGGGAGTGGCAGGTAGAGGATAACTTACTAAATCGGCAAAATAAAATTTGGAATTTTTTCTTAAAACAAAACAAAATAAAAACCTGACAACCACTTGTTCAAGGCTGCCAAAACTTGAGAAGAAGCAAACTGTCAAGGGAAACAAATGTTAAAATATAAAGCCCTTTTCTGAGAAAGTAACTCCACCAGTCCAGGTTAATCCAATTCTGAATCACTAATGACACCAGACCTGCCGGGTTGTCTCAACTACTACAAAGAAGTCCAAAGGGACAGGCAGAGGTTCACAGGCAAATTATTTTCACTGCTGTCATTGAAATTTTAAATATAGCCACACCTCTCCCATCCCAACACCCTTTCTACTCCTCTACTGTTGTTGACTGGCACTAACCCTTTTCAGACCTCAAAAAACAAGGGCCGACATATTGATACATAATTTGAGTACTGAGCATAGTGGAAAAATCACTTGACTAAAAGTCAAGAGATTGAATTCTGGCCCCAACCCTGACCCAGCTCTAGGTACTTGGGCCAGTCACTTTGCTTCTTTGGTTTTCTCTCTTTAAAACAAGGATGGATTAGATGGGTGGTTCCCCACACAAGATCCCAAAATCTCCAGGAGCCCCTGAGGTTGCAATAAAAGACAATGGGATATTTTTATTATTTCAAAATGTCTAACAGAGATAGTTCATTAACTGCTTTAAGGCTAATTAAAACACCAAGTATTTTGGCTTCACATTAGTACTCTGCATGGTGACACTGGATGGCATGTGATTATGTTTGTCATATCATAGGAAATTTGGAAACAAGAGTGTTAGACCTGATACTGTTCTCAAAGCTGTACCTCAGAAAATCACAATATCTTTACTAAACATAACATCCAATCACAAATGTGTGGTTAATAAAAATTGGGAAAATGATTTAACACCTATCAATGCAATTTGCATAATACAAGCATACCTTTGTGATATTGTGGCTTCAGCTCCAGATCACCTCAATAAAGCAAACAGTACAATGAAGCAAGTCAGAAATTTTTTGGTTCCCCAGTGCATACAAAAGTTATGTTTACAGTATACTCTAGTCCATTAAGCATGCAACAGCATTATGTCTAAAGCATAATGCATATACCTGAGTTTAAAAATACTTTATTGCTAAAAAATACTGACACAGGGACATATAGTGAGTATATGCTATTGGAAAAAATGGTGCTGATACATTTGCTCGACATAGGGTTGCCACAAACTTTCAATTTGTAAAAAATAAAACAAAATCTGTGAAGCACAATAAAAGGGAACACAAAATAAAATAAGGTATGCCTATAGATAAAATCTCCCCAAACTGAAAGTGTACCTCATTAAGGGAAAAGACTCAAATATGAAACCCTTAAATAATTATTAGATCACAGGAAACCAGTGAACAATCCACAGGCTGCAAAGATGATGTTCCTATTTCCTCATGAAGGTTCCCAATCACTCATCCACTTTTGATTAAAGAAAAGTGAATGCACCAAGAAGCCAGTCTGTACTGCAACATAAAATAACACCAATACCAACAATAACTACTATTTACTGCACTTTAACTATGTGCCTGGTACTGTCCAATGAATCTAACATTTATTAACTGATATTATCTTCATAACAACTCCAAAATATACTGCTACTATCTTTATTTTTAAAATAATAAAATTGAGGCACACCATGCTTCAGAAACTAGCCCAAAGACACGGGGCTAGTAAATTTAGAGCAAGGCTTGTATGTTTTCCAACCTTCTCCCCACCAAAGCTGGCATCTGCCTTTCAAAAAGATGTCTCCATAAATACAAACAGGAATGCCCCAAGCAGAGCCCAGAGGAGAAGGGCCATTGCTCCTGAGAGCAGTCCTCTGAAGAGTTCATCACTGTGGCCCTTTTCGGCTTAAAGATTCATCCTTAATGGAAACTCCCCTCTTTTCCCTCCAAATTATATTTGCTTGTCCTGGTAATGGAAATCAACTGATAGAAGGTTAAAAGCCATCAATGTATCGGTCAGCTAATGTCCATCCACTTCTTACTTATTCAGAAGATACAAAAGAGTTCTAACTGGCTGACCCTTCAAAGAAGGTAGTTTTTTAAATTAATTTTTACTTATACATATCATAAAAATAGGCATCTGCAGTATCCTGGAATGAGTGAGGGTTATGGAGACAGATCTAGCTCTGAATCTCGACTAAGCCACTTACTAATTGCATTATCCTGTGCAAGTTAGAAGCCCCAGTTTCCCTAAATACCTACCCCTGTCTCTTAGGGTTGTTGCAAAGTGTTAAGTGTATGAATGTACATAAAACACCATGATTTATTGCAGCGGCCCTAGAGCCAGACAGGGGTTTGAATCCTGGCTACACCCCTCACTAACCATAGGCCAACATCCAAAGCTGTGAACCTAAGTTCCAAATTCCTTACCTATAATGTAGAAAAATATTGTCTACTCCAAAGGATAGCCATATGAATTAAATAAAGCAATATTTGCAAAGCCCCTAGCAGAATGACAGACACATAATAATAAAAATCAAAAAAGAAAAAAAAATCTGATGTTTAAAAAATCAAGCTGCAAGGACCAGGCACGGTGGCTCACCTGTAATCCCAGCACTTTGGGAGGCTGAGGTGGGTGGATCACCTGAGGTCAGGAGTACGAGACCAGCCTGCCCAACATAGAGAAACCCCGTCTCTACTAAAACTACAAAAAATTAGCCAGGCGTTGTGGTGCATGCCTGTAATTCCAGCTACTCGGGAGGCTGAGGTAGGAGAATCATTTGAACCCGGGAGGTGGAGGTTGCGGTGAGCCGAGATTGCGCCATTGCACTCCAGCCTGGGCAACAAGAGCAAAACTCCAACTCAAAAAAAAAAAAGAAAAATCAAGCCACAAGTTTAAGTACCAGCTCTGTCACTTATTATGTAGGGGTAAACAATGTATACAAGTCACCTAGCCCCTGTGAGGCTCCATTTCCACCAAGTTTGTGAGGATTAAAGGAGATCATTGTGTAAGAATACTCTATAAACTATAAATTTCCAACAGAAATGTTGGAGGTTGTTTGATTCTACAGAAGCAATTTTTATATTAATTGTATTTACTGGTCCTTCCAAACAATATCTTCATCTTTAAAATGGAAAAAACTGAGGCAGAGAAATGTTGAGCCATAGAGGGAAGGCTACTGGTTTGAAATGTAGGGTGGAGACAAGGGCTGGGCCAAAATAAATTTAGACCAGGACAAAGCAGAAAATTTCTGAAAGCTTCAAAGGAGAAAAATGAGAATACTCATCAACCTATGTTTTTAATCAACAGCTTCACCTGCTGGTTAAGCCTCTCAGTGCACAGTGTGGGCATAATAATTCTCTTACTTCCTCCCAGAAACAGTATTAGACTTCAGAGTGAGAAAGAACTTCACTATCAAATCTCTTTTCCTATTCATAAATTAATTTTGGGATGGGGCACAGAAACAAAGACCAGTGGACATAAATTTGAGTCTCAGTCTAACTGGCGTTTTCTGAACTACACCATTAAAAAAAAAAAAAAAGAAAATATTGTAATCCTTCAAATAGGTTTCCTTCCTTGGTTGATCAGAAATGTCCTCATTCCCCAGGTCTCTTCATGCTAAATATGGTAATAGCTGGCAGACAGCCAGCCCAGTAAATTCCAATGATACTTAAGAAAGCATTCATATGGCCTGAAATTACTCTGAACCAAACACTTGAGACCTGCAGGGCTTCAGCATAGAGCAGTTCAGCTGGAGCAACGAATGTCAAAACCAGCGGGGTGCCTTAAAAACACAAAAGCTTGGAAAAAAAGCAATCTACTCTTCTTTATTGCTACATTCTTTAGCAACAACATTGATCTCCTACCCACTGTGCACACAGCACTGCACTAGGGCAGTGAGAGGCTGGACGGAGGAATGGAAGAAACAGGTGGTGTCCATGGGTTGCCAAAACAACAGGTTGCTTCAGTCAGTTCTGTCCTACAACTAATCAATTTGGTGAGGAAAGGGGGAGAGAATCTTAGTCATCTTGTTCTCTGACCAAGCTAACTGACTAGACCCACTGTACTGGCATTTATCCATTAGGTCAAAGTGTCAGAATTAGCAGTGCATGGTAGACATAGCATTAGTCCTGCCTTTCAGGGATGTTAAATGCTTCAAAAATCTTGGCTATCTAGAAAAGGAGGACAGTAGCCGATTACGTCACCCACCCAAAATCATGTATTTGACTCCAGAACACACTGCTTTTCTCCAACATATTTTTTTATTAAGTATTAAAGTAAATGTCAATTTCCTAGACATATACAGCTGAAAGCATGCTGATTTACGATACAGTCAGATAAGAACTTTCAAGTAGCTACAGAAAATAGCAGTTAACAAATGAATTAACCAATATCATTAGAAACCAAAGGATTAAAAAAAATTAACCTATGAAATGAACAATTTTTATATCAACATTGGTAGCAATTTGATGTTATGTTATATACTGCTAATTATTTCCATACATATTGTGACATATTTAAGACAAAAGACTAACACCCTTAATATTTAAAGAGCTTTTTCAAACCAGTAAGAAAATAATTAAATGAGTAAAAGACACAATTTACCAAAAGAAGTAGAAAAAAAGGCAATACAAACGCCACTGATGATATGAAAAAACATTCAATATCACTGTAATGAGAGAGGCATATTAAGATTAAGTAATATTTACCACTTATCAAATGGTAAAGATTTTTAAAAATAAAACCTAGTGTTGACAATAGTATATTATGTGTGTGTGCATATATATATATGTAGATCTGTTCATAAACTAAAAAAAAAATATATATTATATATATATATATATATAAATAAATCAACAGCTTTTCTAAATCTAAGGGTAAAAAACCAAAGACGTATACCAAAAAATTAATGGCAGCATGATTGTGGACATTTTATTTACGCTTTTCTAGATTCTTCAAACATCCTTAACTACTTTTTCAAACATAATTACTTTTTATATTACAAAAATAAAAAAATCTTGTAAAGGTGCCAGAGAAAATCAGCAAAGTTTAAATATGAGTTAATTATCTGTAAACATAACGAATAATTCTGTTGCTACGTAAACCTACCTTAAACTGTTTCAATGTTTGTTTTTAGTTACAACTATTTTCCTTAACTCTCTTAGAAAGAATATGTCAGAGAAGCCACTACATATTACTTACTTTAAATAGTAACATAATGCCAAAGACTTGCATGAATCTCAGGATACGGTCTTTTACCTAAAATTCCTCATGAAGATTAGAATGCACTTTAAATGTTGTAATAAAGTAAATGCCCTTAATGTTTCTAACTAAAGAAGATCTAGCAAATAAATAAACCCATATTCACAGCAAATAAAAATATAATAAAATAATCGAAATACACATGTCCTCAAACTTCAATGTGTCTTGACAGCGTCTGAACCAAAGCATGTGTAAGGAGAGAATTAAACAAAAATGTCTTTGCTACTTACCACATTTACCATTTAGAGAAGTTAATATATCAGCACTATCTAGTTTTGTGATTATTCATACTTAGAAACTCAACAGAATAGATTAGTGAGTAAACAGTATTCAATTATTCTTATTTGAATGTTGGTTAGGTATACCAATAGAACAACCTCTCCCTGCTAGGTACCCGTTAAAATAGATTATTGAAAATATTTGAGGCTTAAAAACTTCCAGAATCTTCTCACAAAAAAAAAGATGAAAATAAAAAGAGATGAAAAAGAAGCAAACAACAATTTTAAAACATGCCTGCCTCAGAACAAGGCAGTTTATTTTAGAATGTAACCACAGCTTCTTGTACAACACCTTATTCATCAAGCACAACTGTATTTTAAAGGAATGCTATTTGTTAAAAAGACAACATATTTAGGATAAGGTATCTAACTCCAACCACAATATTATCATCATGTTTTCCTTACTTCACAAAATACACACATACATTCATCATATGAATAAACATATATAATAAGGGTGAGAGAGCTACTCTTAACCCAGAAACAGGTTCTGCAACACCCATAGATCCAACCTGTCGTTATGCAACAATGAGTCCATCTTGGCAAGATGTTTGGCTGATGTATTCAAATAACCCAGAGTTCTGCCAGCTGCCAGTATCCTGCAGAAGGAACTGACTCGGAGACCAGAAACTGCCCTAGGCAAGCCTCCAGGGAAAGGTGCTTCAGTCCAATGGAAAGAAAAACCCAGCCCCTCACTGCCTAGCCAGAGGACCCGGGGTACCATGGCTGGAGCGACGTAGCTGGCTGGAAATGCGAGAGGGGCAAGGGACACTAAGGTGAACCCCCAAGAGCTTGTTCAATCATACCTAATAAAGGCCAAACTATTGGGGAGCTAGTAGAACAGGGTTTTGCCAAGACAAGTACAAAAGGGTGAGGGAGATATTAGTATGATTAATCAATGCCACCTGAGGCAGCAACTCTGGGTGTGTCCACACCACACTTCAGTCACTGCCTGGCTGTGACGAGAAGTTCCTTCAGCCACTGCCACTGAGAACTGCATCTTCCAAGGAAGATATTTCCACCATAACTTGTCCTAGTTCAGGCTTGGCATTCGGGACTAAGAACACAGCACTCTCTCTTGCCGCAAACCCACTAACAGACATAATAGACACAACAACATGTGCCAAATTTATATTTACACCCTCACCAGACAAAGGGGTTTTTGTCTTTTCCCCAAGCCAAGTTCTAATACTTCTAAATTACAACAAAGAAAGAGGAAAATGGCAGACAGCTCACGACAGCAGACAAGCCCAGCAAGGGTGAGCTGGAGGTCGCCTTTCCCTGGTGGTATTAAGACCTGAAGTTTACTCCCAAGACCCTATAGATCCGAGTCACCCTGACTGCAGGAAACTGCTTTCAGAGAGCATAGATAAATGATAAAATAACTGTATTTCATATTCCTAATTGTGTGCTTATCTGTCTTGTCTCCATGATGATGTCAGCTCCTTGGGAGCAGGACCATATTTTCTACTTGGTCAATGATTCCCACACATCTAGAAGAGTAGAATACCCTGTACTTGCTACCACATGATGCCAAGGGAAGCACACAAATTAAGTGTGACAACACACCACAATGCTCCCCCAATACACCACTAAGACAGCAGAGCTACAAAGATAGCAAATGTTAGTGCCAAGGGCTAGTGATCCTACCAGTGAATTACATGGAAACCTATGTATTTACATACACAAATTAATACAATAATTCCTTTGCTTTTCTTATTCCAAGCTATGGCTTTATCATCCCCCTTTCTTGGCTTTACTCTCCTTTTTAAGACCACAATGTATGTTCTGCCATACAGATAATATTCTCCTCAAAAAAGAGAGACAGGAGAAAAAACAGATCTACGGCAAACCTCCTACCACTACCAGTGATGCAGTTTGTCCCGTCTCAAGCCTATGAGCATATCCTTTCAGATCTGAAGCCACTTCCTTCTTCCTATCAAGGACAGTATTATCAAGTGTCTTTGTGAGAGGAGCAATCCTGTGCCCCTTCTTGCAGATTGTTTTGTTCTGCTCAAGAAGCCCTAGATTCCTCCTTTATTTTCCTTTCCTTATTTCATTTGCTGCAGCAGCCCAGAAACCCCAAAAGCAGGACCACCAGAAATGAGTGACCTTTATATCTCTCCACACTAACACATCTGAGGGAAACTGCCGACACCAAATATGTGTTCATGAGCTAATGAAGCAGAAATCCTCAAAGGAAGCACCATTTGCAACGGCTGAGGACAGAATTCTTTAGTGGACACCAAAAAGGCTGTGGAACTCCTATGCATTCTAACATCTCAGGTAACATTCTAATGGAGGAATAAGGAGGCTTACAACAAAGTCATACAACACAAACAGAAGTCCGAAAATGCTGGATTTCGCAAATTTCTTTTAAGACAAAACAAACAACTTTACTAACCTTATACCATAGCAGCTTTCTTCTCTGTACTAAGTGAGGCCAGCAAGTAGGAGGCATTTCCAAGGGGGAAAAATGACCACAGGATCTAGCCAAAGCAACCTGTCTCTAATACTCTCAAAAAACAAACAAACAAAAACAAACACTTTGATTTCCCAGATTCACTCTGCAGTGATTCTAAAACTTTCCTAATGTAAGAATCACCTGGCTATTTCTTGAACACACAAATTCCCAGATGACATTCCAGATGCACTGAATCAGAATCTCCATGAGAACACCTGAGCTATTCTTATCATAAGAGAGGTTAGGGAAACACTGCTTGATAAATGTGATTCTCCCACCAGTGCCCACCTGTGCAGGGAGGTATGAAACAAGTAGGGCTAAGATGCTTTACCTGAGCAATCACCCCAGACATGCTCCTCACTGGGTTTGACTCCTTTTATGGAGAGCTGGGTGTCAGCCCAGTAAAGTCTACAGACAAGCATCTCTTTGGGTCCCTATCACCTGCACAGGTCTCAGGACTCTGAGACAAATTTCTGAGTAGATGTCAATGAGGACAAGTCATGAGGAGATGGATTACAGCTGAATATAAGAAGATCTTTCTAAGAATTAGAGCTGGCCAAAGATGGAATAAACTGCTGTGGAGAGCTGTCTACCACAAGAGATGTTCAAGAAGAGAGAAAATATGGTACCTCTTGACTAGAATGTTGTAAACATCAGATCCAGCATGGGATGGACAGAAAGACTAGATGAATTTTAAAGTTCCCGCCAATGCATAAGTCAACAAAGAGGAAAATTTCAGCCACTCCTTAATTAATTAAAAGAGATAGCAAAAAAAGTCTGTGGGTGGGGTCAGCTTTCAACTGATCCTATCTCTTCAAAGGAAAAAAGAACATAGAAACACACTCCAACTCACCATCAGCCTCTCCTATAGAATGTTCTAAAGGTGGGAAAGCAGGAGTCATAGATGCTGTGACTAAGACCTGCCGCTCAGTTGACTCTGAATTTCGGGCACATGCCAGACAAGTTCTGTAGTACAGAGAAGAAATGTGTGTAGCACAGACCTGGCCCTCAAGGATCAAAATCATGTGGCAGAGACAACTCAACACCATGTGATTCTCTCAAATATTTATTCATCATATTTCACCTTTAGTTTTTGTCAGCAGGGTGTTCAGGGGACTCTCTTGGTTCAAAAAAAAAAAAGCAAATATACTTTACTAAATGTACATATTCTCTCAATCCAGTACAAGTTTGCAATATCCAACTCAATGAAAAAAATCTCAAAAAAAATTATCAAAATAAATATAAACTTAGTTAACTCTAATTTTAAAAATAGTATTCCAAAAATGACTAGTCCCCAAAATGATGAAATTACAATAAGGTGTGGCTATTCTGGACAAAATAACAGAAATTGCTGGCCTAGTAATACAGTAATACAGGAAGCAGTGGAAGCAAACTTGAGTGAGAGGCAGGGGGTGGGTGGCAGTGCCTTTGAAGTGAGATTCCAAAGTCAAAGTGACCTTTATAAATTGCAGAAGTGATCAGAAAAAGAAAGAAAGAAACCCCACACACAAAGAAATTCAAAATTACAAGTTTAAATGAAACATCTGGGGAAGGGAAAAATTTGGTTTTTCCCCAAATGTAAGGTAAGCATGACTCCTGCAAATACTATTTTTAAAATGTCTAGGAGTACCACAGTTGTCCAAAATAAGAAAGTGGCTAAAAATAATTGTTCGACTGAACAAGTATTTATTGTGTGCCTATTAGATACCAAGGCATCATGCCAGGTACAGGGGTAGGGTATGGGCATTAGAATAAACACATAAATGAAAATACACGATTCCTTCCTCATGTACGCATTAACAATAAGCACTTGAGGATGTTATAAGAGTTTTTGTGCACATAAGCGCATTTGTACATGAGATGGAAGCAATGTGGACAGTGAATGAGGCACTGGACACCAGAAGAAAGGAATTCTAGTCTCAACTCTAATTGGCTCTGTGACCATGAACAATGAACATCAGAAAATGGAGGACCAAAACAGTGGCTCTCCTACAAGGTCACCAAACCAATTAATAACAGACCTGGAGAAGAATTCTGGTCTTCTGGCTCCTAGTTCAGTGATCTGTCCAAAATACTACACATATGGTAGGCTGACAAAGAAAGAAAAGAAGACCTTTTGGTTTCAAGTCATTTGCAGAGAAAGGGTGGGAAACAAAAACAGGAAAATCAGGAAAGGGTGGAAGGAAAATTAATAGTTCAAATTTAGGCATTCGAACTGAGACATCAAGAAAGGAAGCATGTAACTATGGACTGTGAACACAATATAAAGAAAATGATGTAAAATTTCTTATATCCTTATTCAAATCACGCCTTGCAGTTTTTTACTCTAAAATCATTGCAGACGTATATAGATAAAGGGTCAAAAAACAACATGTATGAATGACATTTAAGGAAAACGAGATAACAGAAGAAAAGGGAAAAGGAGAGGTGGAGAATTTATTATATCATCTAAATATATGAAGCCCTTCTAAAGGGTCAATGCAGACATACTGCACCCAGATAAACAGAAGAAATGACATTATATTCTATATCTCTTACGTCAGCAATTTTAAAATTCTTGAGTCAGAAGTGTTAAACACTGGAATGACTAAGGTTACATTTGTTATGGAAATTTCTTAAATTTAGAAAGACCTCATACACACACCTGAAGGTAAAAAAAAATGTACTTAATCAGTGGGTTGCAACCAAGTTACTTGTCAGAATCACCTGTAAACCTTGAAAAAATATGGATTCTCAAACTTACCTTATCAGAATCCCTGGGTGCTGAGTCCAAGATCCACCCCAACAGATTTTGATGTAGCCAGGACACAGAGTTTTTTTCTACCATAATGGGAGAGGTAGGGAGGAGGATCACTAGGAATGGCAACACAGAGTGGGAACTAGATCAATGCAAATTTTGTGGGCAAAATAGAATTTCTGTGGGTGTGATATTTTTAAAATGTATTGTAAGGCTGCTCTGAACCATCCAAGCATATCCCACTGAATTTAAACATTCTCTAAAGGTCCTGAAGTCAGCAACTACAATCCAGGTGAACCAAAAGTTGCTTCTCTATGTCATAGAAGCCTACAGGAGAGGCAGTAGGGTGGGAATGGAGCAGAGAGATCCCAAGAAGTTATGGGTAAATATTTTTTAAATCTAAACATTCAGAAAAATAAGAGAGACTAGGAATCACTCTCCTCCTCCTCTCCACCACACCAAAAAAAAAAGGAATAATAAGAAAGTGAAAGGAAAAATAGTTTTAGGTTAAATTTCATCACCATCTGAAAGAAAATTACTCCGATTTTGTTTAAGAGAAGAATTCAGCTGAGAAATTATCTAGCAGGCAGCAAAATCAGGGAGTCACTTCCCATTGCAAAGCAAAAGAAAACAAGGAGCAAGAGGATGGTCCTGGATAGCTGTTTAGACAATCAGACATACTGCTAACATCTCCTTGCCTTAGAAACTCCGTGATGTTTAAATTAACAATTGGCCACAAGCCAAACACAGGAGCACTCAAAAGTTTAGAAGGGTGTGCTGTAATTGGTACCTTAGCAAAACACAATAATAAATTAAGAGGATTCAAGAAGCCTTCACTGTAGACTCTAAGAAGATTTAAGATTTGTACCAAGAAACAGGCTTCTAAATCTCTTCTACTGCATTAGTTTAGCATCTAAAGAACACCTGTCTAAAAATCAAAATATCTAAATCCTATCCTTTGAGTCAACTTGACTAACACTCAACTTGACTACCTAAAAGCTAGCTAATAATCGCAGCACCTCAGCAGAGCAGAGGTGGAGGGCATAGTTTTATGCACTGAGATCCTATAATAAAAGAAGCCCTATGTGTCAGAGTAATCCCATTTCTGACATATTATTTAATACTTTTTTTTTTTTTTTTTTTTTTTTTGAGACGGAGTCTCGCTCTGTCGCCCAGGCTGGAGTGCAGTGGCGGGATCTCGGCTCACTGCAAGCTCCGCCTCCCGGGTTCACGCCATTCTCCGCCTTAGCCTCCCAAGTAGCTGGGACTACAGGCGCCCGCCACTACGCCCGGCTAATTTTTTGTATTTTTAGTAGAGACGGGGTTTCACCGTTTTAGCCGGGATGGTCTCGATCTCCTGACCTCGTGATCCGCCCGCCTCGGCCTCCCAAAGTGCTGGGATTACAGGCGTGAGCCACCGCGCCCGGCCAATACTTAATTTTTCAAATCACTTTACAATCATATTTATTATTCCCTACAATTCTCTAAAGCAGGTTATTCCTTTAGTCCTGCTTCATAGGTGAAGAGACTACATATCATGAAGATTAAGTTATTTACCAAAACAAGTTAATGATAGACCAAGGATTATTACCCTCAGACTGTCTCATTGATTATACTCCTCTCTATCCTAAAGCTACACTTAAAGCTTTCATTCAAAGAAAAAGGAAAAGCAAAAACACCATCATATATGCTCTTTATTAAATGCTTCAGAAACAACAGCTCTGCTTCATCACTACAAAGCCTCCTGGTCCACTTCTGAAATTCTTAGTGACCTAGACGTGTACGAAATTTGAACTTTCCAAGAAGTATCTAGTTGGTGCTGAACAACCCAGTACTATTTTCGGGTGATAAATAACCTTGTTCTCTTTTTAAACATCTGCGATTGACATGTCGACTGACTGTTAACAATGAACAAAGACCATATTTTTCTGAAGCTCATCATCTTCCTAACCTTTTCTTTGAAAACAGATGTAGTTCATGTACTAGTTTTTTGGTGAAGGTAAAAATCTTTATTCAGATTAGGCTCAGAAAAAGAAGGGGCTGCTTTCCGTTCAACAAATATGCACAAGACACCATCCCACTGGGAGCATCAATCTCAGAAGCAGTAAAACACAGCCTCGGCCCTCAAAGGACTTTCTGAACACCTTTGGAGTGTCATCCGTTTAATATACATTATTTTAATTAATCCTATTAGCTGGATAATTTCATTCCCATTTTATTGGTGAGTTCATATAGCAGAGCTGGATTTGAATCCAGGATTACAGAGCAGGGCTCCAAAGCCCAAGTTATTTCCACTAAAGGGTCTGAAGAAATGTAGAATCTAAAAGTGTGGGTGGGATGGGGAAGATATGATTTGATTCCCTTTCCTTGGTCCAACCGTGTTAGAAACATCCAACCATAAAGAAGCTTTCTAAGGAAGCCCTTTGAATTGACGTATCCACTTTTTCTCACCCGCCCGTGCCCCACCCCCAGCCATGCCAAAGGAGCAGCAAATGCTGCTGCCAGGTTGGAGGAATTGGTGATCGTCACACCACATTCCTGGGTCTGGACACAGCCTGAAACAGCAGCAGAGCTCCGCGCCTCGGAAAGAATAACAGCAGTTGAGATTTTTAAATCATGTGCCTCAGCATGCAGCCACACCAGTTGCCCTACTTCTCCTGCCTCCACCTTTCAAAGACGCGAGCAGCACACCCGGCTCCTCCGGACTTTCGGTGGGGTTGGAGTGTCAAAACTCAGGCGCGCCGCAAAACCCCGTCCCCATCCAAACCAAGCCCACACACCCGGCCCATGTGCCGCCCCCTGGCAAAGGCGAGGCTGGCTGCGAAGGTGCAGGCCGTTTGGCTTGGCGGCCCTGCCCCCGCTCTCCACGCCAGAATCTGGCACGCCTTCGCTCAGCCCCTCCGAGGCCCGCCGTCGGCTCTCGCTCGACCCCAAGAAACGCGGAACCTGAAGGGCAAAACTGCCCACCTCCCTGCACCCTGGCACTACGAAAAAGGAGTTTCTGAGACTTGCTGCCGGCCTCCCTCCTGCCGAGGAGGCGTGTGAGGGGTCCCGGGCCGCGGGGAGCAGAGGCGGCGGGGAACCCCGGCGGTTGGCGGGGAACCCCGGCGGTTGGCGGGGCACCACGGGAGGGGCCCCCGGCGATGTCCAAACTCTCGGGAACCCAGCGAGTGGCCTCGCTCCGCGCCGGCGGCCGAGCCTGGCCTTCCCACACAGAGAAGGACCGAGGGGGAGAAGGGTCGCCCCAGGTGGCAGCCCCGGGCGCCGCGGACAGCGCCCCTCAGCCCGATACTCACCATGCGCGGGGGTCGCGCAGCACAGCCAGAGCGCCAGCAGCGCCCACAGCAGAGCGGCGCAGGGCGGGCATCTTCTCGGTCGCCGCCTCCTCCGCCGCCGCCGCCGCCGCCGCCGCCGCCTGGGCAGATCCACATGGGGAGGGGGTCCCGATAGAGGAGCCCCACTCTCTCCTCCCCTCCTCCTGCTTCAAAGGCTCAGGCCCTGGCGCTACGGTCCGAAGCACAGGCGCAAATGCCTCGACTCCCCGCGCCCCGAGTCCGCCGCTCCTCGGCCGCCGCCTCAGCCGCCGCCCGAAGTTTGGCTGAAACTTTCTCGGGTGTGCAGCGAAGCAGCCTCGTGTGTCCTTCCGCCTCAGCCGCCTCCTCCCACCGCAAGCCCCGCCCCACTGTCGCCGCGGCCTCGGCCCCGCCGCCTTGGGCACCCAGGGGTTTCCCGCAGGAAGAAGCGCCGGCCCGAGCTCCGCGCGGAGGGATCTACTACGAGTCACTGGCCCCGTCCGCATCCTTCTCCAGCAGCCTTAACTCGATCAGGGCTGCAGCGGCTCGCTGGCTTGACCAGTGCAGAAGGGGCGTGGAGGTGAGGGGGGTGGGGTAGGACTCTGAACTTCAAGCACTGGAGTTTGCCGGGATCGTGAACTTGCAGGGAGAGGCGGTCCTCATCCAGTGAGGTCTGTATCGCCACCTACACCCACACATCCACACACTGCTTTGCTAGCTAGAGGAATGCTCTGGAGTAGGACCAGTGCTGTCAAAGAAGGAAAGTGGGCCAAGGCGCCAAAGTCCATTAAAAAGGAATAGAGCCATCACGGAGTGGTGCTGCCCCATTCATTCATTCATTTGTTCATCCGTGTAGCGAATATTTCTTAAGTGCCTTACTTTGCGTAGCTGTGTGCTTGGCAGTGGGATGATACCAAAGATGCACAAGCAACTTTGAGTACCAAGACTTTGCCGCTGTGGGCTGGGGGATTCAGGGAAGGCTTTCCCAGAGGAGCTGGGATGAAAGCAGGATCTTGAAAGGTCAGTAAAATTTGTATAAGACAAGGAGACCAGCTAAGCTAAGGATATTCGTTGTAACACTGTAATAGCAAAACCTTGAAAACAACATAAATGCCCACCCTTAGAGGAATGGATGAATAATGTATGGTATATTTATAAAATGAAATGCAACACAGTAATTGAAAAGACTATAGCTATTTATGTCAATAGGGATAAATCTTAAAAACTAAATGATAGTGAAAATAATCGCAGAGGGAGACAAAGTATACCATTTATGTATATTTTTTTCAAGACAATACTACACATTATCTGTGGATGCATATATATAGATATAGATATAGATATTAAGAGACTATAACCAGAATAGTAGTTACTTCCAGGGCAGGAGAGTAGGGGGTGTGATCAAACCTGGGTACAAGTGGGCTAAGAAAAGAGCTAAAAGTAAGAACAACAACAATAGTTGTATGGACATATCATTCCAGGAAAGAGCCCTCGTGAAAGCAAAGGTACAGTCAAAAGAGTAAGTAAATGAGTTCTGTCTCTGTTAGCAGTGAGAGGAGTCAAGGACGGAAAGGGGGTTGGGACCAAATTATGCAGCCTTGAATGGCAAGCTGAAAGGGTGGGGAGGCAGCTACCTCTTAGGTCACATAAAACTATTGAAAGTTTTTGAACAGAGTTGAGATTGATGGAAAGGAAGATTGCTCTGATAGTTCTGTAGAAAATTGATTGTTGGGAGCAAGAGGTGAACTGGAGCCCCAGGACCAGTCAAGAGTTGGTGAACAGTCCAGGCACAAATTTAAGAAGACCTGAACTAATAAGGTAGATTTCAGAAGGAATGAATCTGAGACAATGTTAAAGAAACAGAAAAAAAAATGGAGGTGTGACTAATTGGATGTGGGAGTTTACAATCCTGTTGGGATGGGAAATCCTACCCATAGAACCTCTCCCTGACTCCTATAGGATAAAATTCAAACTTCTAAACATGGTACATACAAGGCCTTTTCGTCATTGGGCCCCATCTCCTGTCCTCCCTGCCCCTGTTGTGAACTTCACACAATAACAGTATTGGCTAACTTGAGATTCCCCCAAACATATCTTGCTGTTTCTGTCCCTGTATCTTTTGTTCCTTTGGCTTGGAATGACTCCTGTAGTCCCCTTCCCTCCTCCTCTTAATGAACTTCTAATCATAATTCATCCTTCAGTCCAAAGAAGGCTTTGCCGACACCACAATAAATTCCTCCCTCTAACAGACAGTCCCTCCACTGTCTTCCACTGCCGCTTCTTTATCTTAACACCAATACTTATTTTTCACACAGGACTCTTTGTATTTCTGTGTTCTCAACTAAGTTTTGAGGTCCTCATGGGCAAAGACCACAGCCTATTAATCCCCAGTGTCTATCACATAATAGATGTTGAACTAGAATGTAAAACAACACTAAGCAAGTACAAGTCAGTATGGGCATAGACCTATGAAATTCCAAAACTGCATGTTAACAAGCACTTTAGGTAAGCAAGTATCATTAGTGAAAGTAGTCACATTGAAATACTGGAAACCCTTTTCAAAAATAACGTAGTCAAAATATTTTTGGAATTTGTCTTGTGCAAGTATGTTCAGAGAAAGATAACATTATTTTTCAGTTGTTTACCCACAGTGTTACCAGTTCGATCTTCCTCTTTACTCACTAAAGATAATTCATAGTGACTTGGCTGCATACAAATTTTAAAAATCACCTGCAAAGATAAGTTTTGTCACTATTAAAATATATTCAGAAGAATATAAGATAGTTATCCCCAAAGAGCAACTCTAGAAGCGACTGTAGCTATGACAACATTATTAAAATAAATGTGCAGGCCAGGCGTGGCGGCTTATGTCATAATCCCAGCACTTTGGGAAGCTGAGGTGGGCAGATCACCTGAGGTCAGGAGGTCGAGACCAGCCTGGCCAACATGTTGAAAACCCGTCTCTACTAAAAATACCAAAAATTAGCCGGGCATGGTGGCGAGCACCTGTAATCCCAGCTACTCAGGAGACTGAGGCAGTAGAATCACTTGAACCCAGGAGGCAGAGATTGCAGTGAGCCAAGATCGTGCCACTGTACTCCAGCCTGGACAACAAGAGTGAAACTCCGTCTCAAAAAAAAAAAAAAAAGAAAATAGGTATGCAGTTTCTCAAAGTAACCGTTTTAAAGAAAGCAGCTATTATGTTCACATATAACTTTTGTTGAATGTGTTACAATATGAAAACTTACTGCATACATTCTGGTAAGGACAAGAGAAGTAAAGAGTAAATATGAATGGAAGTAAGGGAAAAATATGACTGAAGACATTTTTTAAAGATAAGTTTTAATGATAGAAAAATATGAATAAGGGCTACCAATTGTTTTAGTTTTAATCAAAACTAAAAATATACATCTATGTCTTTACTGATTTAAACTCACATAAAACTGCCTTCCAAAATAAATGCAGAATTGGGCACTTATTTGTTCTCATGTCTGTCCTCTCAGAGCCAATAAGCTGTAAAAAACTCTCAAAATAAAACTCTGTTTTATTTTCTGTTTTGCCCCGGTTTCTATCACATAAGTGCTCAATAATATATGCTTTACATAAATGCTGAATGAGGAACATATATATCTATATAAACTGGGGAGCAATGCAAGACTGGAAGAATGTCTTGATGTGTTGGAGAAGTTGAAGAAGAGATTGTGGGATAGCTATGACACATAGATTGAGCTACACCACGAATCTCTCCATGTAACCCAGGAACCCAAGGATATGTGATGAGATGTTTGTGGAAGCAGGAATTAAAAGGAAGATTTCTTTTAATAATGCCTTGCAGTTGCGCAGTGATTTAGACCTTCCAAAAACACTTTTAATTATATTATCTCATTTGATCCTCAAAACAATCGTGGGAAATAGGCACCCCAGTCATTATTATCCCCATTTTGCAGATGAAGAAACTGAGATAGAGCTTTAAGTATCTTGCCCAAGGTTAAATAAGTAATTAGTGAGCTGAGACAAACCCCCCACTATTTCTGTCCTCTTACTCAGTCTCACTCCACTGTACCTTTGTGCAACAATGTGAAGCACATCCAAGATGATATTTAGTGTGGGGACCTCTGCGTAGAGGGACACCAGTTTCTTGTCACTTCCATATTAGCACAGAACAAGCTGACCCACTGTAACTAGGAAACATAAGTGAATACATTCTTTTAATTTAAAATTTTTTTGAGAGCCTGTTCTCTACAAAGCACATACTAGGCTCTGCGGCAATGCAGAAATAAATAAAACCTAGTCCCTGTTCTTTGGAGATCACAGAGCAGTGAGGCAGGCCAACATACAAATAACATAACTACAACAGAGATAAAGCACAGGGATATGGGAAAGTAGAGAGCACTGGGATTAATTTTGAGTCCACTTTCCTCTCATCCAGTCCCCAGCCTGAAAGATATGAACTGTGGTGGCCCACACAGCGGGACTGTAAACCATGTGACAAGAGTCATTTCTTACCCCTTATTCATGTTTGTAAACTCCACAGTAGTTGGTTCTTTGCCTTGCATAGAGTATGTGCTCAATAAAGACCTACTTTCTGAAAGGTTCACAGAGTTCAGCCCAACACAGGACAAGTTCTAGAAGGCAAGAAGTTAACCTCAAGATTCAAAGTAGCTCTGAGAATTAAGAACCAGCCAGACCCTTCCACTGAGCCTAGACCCAATTAATTACCTCTGCTCTAATTAAGGGAATCAGTAATGTAAGTAATTGTAATATGGGCGATATAGTTTGCCTGTGTCCCCACCCAATATCTTATTTTGAATTGTAATCCCCATGTGTCAAGGGAGAGACCAGGTGGAGGTAATTGAATCATGGGGGCGGTTTCTCCCATGCTGTTCTCCTGATAATGAGCGAGTTCACGAGATCTGATGGTTTTATGTGTTTGGTAGTTCCTCCTGCATTAATTTTCCTTCATGCTGCCTTATGAAGAAGGTACCTTGCTTCCCCCTTTGCCTTCTGCCATGATTGTTAAGTTTCCTGAGGCCTTCCCAGCCATGCTAAACTGTGAGTCAGTTAACCTGTTTCCTTTATAAATTACCCAGTCTTGGGCAGTTCTTTACAGCACTGTGAAGACAGACTAATACAGTGGGCTTGTTGACATAGTTTTGCCCTTTTATGAATGTGATTATCTCAATTTTATTATGTTAAGGAAGGACACAGTGGCCCACACCTGTAATCCCAACACTTTGGGAGTCCAAGGCAGAAGGATGGCTTGAGCCCAGGAGTTCAAGACCAGGCTGGGCCACAAAGTGAGACCCTGTCTCTACAAAAAATTAAAAAACTAACTGGGCATGGTGATGCATGTCTCTAGTCCCAGCTACTCGGGAGGCTGAGGTGGGAGGACCACTTGATCCCAGGAGGTTGAGGCTGCAGTGAACCATGTTACCACTGCTGCATTTCAGCTCGGGTGACAGAGCAAGACCCTGTCAAAAAAAAAAAAAAAAAAAAACTTACCTAGAAATTTCAAATCTTCTGCTATGCTTGAGATATGCAGGAAAATTCATATAGGAATGCTCACTGTATCACTCCCTTAAAATCTTCTTTTAAGCATTTTATGCTAGGAGGTATTACACTTCAATTCCTAAGTAGGTGTGTACTTTTTGTATATAATGATGTATGAAAGGGTTGACCTGTATGCACCAAGATGTCTCCCCAATTTAACAGTATCATAAATTCACAACTGTGTAATTATCAAACCACAGTATTATTGGATGAGTCTCAGTGCTTTAGTCACTAAAATGGTTATGCAATTTTGAATATTTATTGACGTTGTTCTCAGGGACTGTTGAATTGTTTTTACTCACATTCTTATATTCTTCCTTCATGATTAGCCAAGACATTCTTGACAGCAAGATTCAGGCATACAGAAAGTTTCTACTTCAAAATATGGAAAATCTTCTTACCATCTAGGTGCAGATCATATCTAAGTCCCCCAAAGAAAAAGAAAATGGAAACTTTTCTTACTAAGTGGAATTCAAAATGGTTAACTAAGTATGAGAGAGGGGACATCAAAAGTAAGGAAGAGAAATCCCATTATAAAAAGTGTGCACAGGCCAGGCGCAATGACTCACACCTGTAATCCCAGCACTTTGGGAGGCCAAGACGGGAGGATCGCTTGAGGCTAGGAGTTCAAGACCAGCCTGGGCAACATGTTGAAACCCTAACTCTACAAAAAATACAAAAATTAGCTGGGCATGGTGGTGCACGCCTATGGTCCCAGCCATTCAGGAGTCTGAGGTGGAAGAATCACCTGTGCCTGAGAAGTCAAGACTGCAGTAAGCCGTGATCACACCACTCCACCACTCCAGTCTGGGTGACAAAGTGAGACCCTGTCTCCAAAAAAAAAAAAAAAAAAAAAAAAGCATTAAAAATCTCCTTCTAAGTAAGTAATTCATTGGGAGATAATTAATGGCTGGAAACAGGTATTTATAATGGAAGCATACATGGCCTTAATGATAGGGTTTGCTTCTGAAAACACTCTAATTAAAAAGGGGAAGAGTAATTTTATAGGAAAGTACAAATCAGTGGTGTATATGTCTACCAGTGTGTGCAAAGAGACAGAGGTGGTAATTGCTGGACTCAGACCAGGTATCAGCAACAACTAAACATAATGACCTTATAAATATGCAGATAGGATTTCTGACAAAGCTAAAAGTACATCATTATTATTATTCATCAATGTGGAATGGAATGTGAAATTGGAATCAGCAGGTGAGGGGTGGTTGTACCTGAATATCCTGGATACCAACTTGTTTTTGTTTTTAATCATTCTAATCTCTGTTAAGAATAATGTCACATGACTACTTTATCCTCTTTCTCAGACCACTGATCCAACCATTTTTCTTTCACACTTTTGCCTCCTTTCCTCTTATAACAGGTACTAACAGTCTAAGCAGAAAAAGAAGAACAGATGGTGGTAAGACCTAGAATGTTTACCCCATTAAGATCTATATCTGAATCCAGAAGGAACACCTCATTGCTGAGAAGAGCCCTGCAGACAGTTCACACCTCTGTTTCTTTTGCAAGATATAGCTACCTCAAAAAATCCTTTCTTGATCAAACTCTTATGGCCTGGAATCCTTGCGTTTCTGCTGATGACTGTCATTTTAGAGTACTTACTAAAGACAATGGTTGGGGAAATAGATATTTTAAAAATAAGGGAAGAAGTGGGTAGGGTAAACCCAGGCTTACTTATGTAAACTCTGAGTGCTGAAGTTAGAAGACAACCTTTAAGATTAAAAAAAAAAAAAAAAAAAAAAAAACGGCAAAGTTAGAACACACAAAAGATAGTATAGTTCCTTACCCATCCACCACTTGGTTTTGAGGAGAAAAGGGAAGTAAGAAGAGTTGAAGAGAAGAAAAACAGAACAGAAGAGTGGGAAAGGAAGATGAAAGGGTGCTCTGGAGTACTATGCACCTGTTTAGAAGTGGGGAAGTAGCACAAACACTAGCAAAAGAAGAACCACCATGGAGTTCCTCCTTGCACATCTCTCTCCCCTCCTGAAGGCCTATGGTGAGCCCACAGCATTGTTCCAGCAGTGAGGGAGTCTTCACTGCCCCGAGACTCTCTCATGGCTCTTAAGATACCTCCCTGAAGTCCCTCCAAAGAATTCAATGTGCCCCTAGTCTAAATCACTTTCCTCCATCATAAATACTCATAGATGACGCAACAATAAAGCGTTAATAACGATAATGGCAATTTTGTGTGTCAAACATTGTATTAAGCACTTTACCTGCTTTATTGTTTGTAATGCTTCAACAGCTTATGAGAAGGTATTATTATTTCTACTTCACAGTGCAGAAAATGAAACCTGAGTAAGTTGTCTTAGATCACACAGCTGCTAAGCAGTGGCACAGGGATTTAAGCCCAGGTCCATCTGATCAACTCCGATGGCACATAATTGACCTCTGCATTGTCCCGCCTGCCCACAGGTCACTGCCTCAGTGATCCAGTCCCATCCGTTGTTTAGATAACTGAATAAGTTATCCTCGAATCATTTATTGTAAGCCTAGTCTCTCAAGTTTACTGTGAGTCAAGGGCTAGGTCATATACCTCTTTTGTGCTCTTCTATATCGTGGCATCCAACCTCTTGCTTGTCAGCTTCCAACTCTGGATCAACTTAAGGACTTCTTTTCCTGGCATCTGCCCCTTATATGGGAGGTGTTCTTACAATTCTACTGATTGTTTTCACCTTACAACTTTTTATTTTGAAATACTCTCTTCTAAGTGTTCCTAGTAAATTTTTTAAAGCCAGCAAGGAAAAAAAATTCTATTTATTGCCAACTAATTATAAACATTAAAACATCAATTTAAAATGTAAAGGAAAAATGACCTATAATACCACCACTAATAGCATTTTCATGTGTTTTATTCATTTGTTCTTCATATGTATGTTCTTACAGAGTTGTAATCAAGACATACATATAGTTTTGTTTTGTTTTTTTTTTTAAGATGGAGTCTTGCTCTGTCGCCCAGGCTGGAGTGCAGTGGTGCGATCTCGGCTCACTGCAACCCCCGCCTCCCAGGTTCAAGTGACTCTCCTGCCTCAGCCTCCCTAGTAGCTGGGATTACAGGTGCACGTGACTATGCCTGGCTAATTTTTGTATTTTTAGTAGAGACAGGGTTTCACCATGTTGACCAGGCTGGTCTCGAACTCCTGACCTTAGGTGATCCACCTGCCTTGGCCTCCCAAAGTGCTGGGATTACAGGCGTGAGCCACCATACCTGGCCGACATACATATAGTTTTTATCCAGATTTCTTAGGCAATTCATATACCATAAATATTTTCCTTTGTTGTACATAGTTGCCATACATAGCATTGTTATTGTCTGCAAAATATTCCAGCCTTAATTAATATATAGAGCTAGAATACTTTCTATATTAGTATTGGGATCTGTATCCAGAAGTTGCCCATCTTATTTCAAAGACAGCCTTTGGGGACAATCCCTCCATACTTCTTTTATTGCCAATCACAATTGGATGAATAAGTGGACTCTTTCTTTGTCTTGAATCAGGGAGATGGATCAGCCCAAAAGAATCCCCTGCTGTTGTTCTCCAATCCCCTCCCTAGCATTTACAAGTCTTCACCTCTCTGCTGTAGCCTCTTTCCTTCTTTCTGTTCCCCATTTTCTTCCCAGCAAAAGGCTTCACTTCCTACTTCACTAAAGACATCTCCTAGTTCAAATATCACCTCCCCTGCAAAACCTTCCCTAGCCCTCACCATTTCTACACTGACAGGCCATCTAAGGACTCCCTACCATCTCCCATCTCAACCTCACAACTCATCACTTATGTATCCACCTTTACTTCCTTGGGTTGTATCTCAGAAAAAAAAGAGTCTTTCCTTCTTTCAATGCTAATTCTTCAGCATTGGCCATTGATTTAATTCCCTTCTGCCTTCTCCAGGACCATTTTGCATTCAATACCCACTGATTCCCACTGTCTCATCATTCATCTTTCCCTCTCTACTGGCTTAATCCCTCAGCCAACAGTTTTCTTCCAGACACACACACACACACACACACACACACACACACACACACACACACATTTTCTATTGTATTTCTATTTCAAATTCATCTTTCACTTCCAAACCTCTTAAAACAGTGGTTTGTCCCTTTCTGTTTTTATTTCTGCAATTTATTACAGCTTCCTCTTCTTACATTTATTGAGCACTTAAGATGTAAAAACAATATGGAAATAGAGATCGATAAAGCAGTCCCTACTCCCGAAGAGCTTCTAGTTAGTAGGGAAGATAGTAAACCAAATCAACACAACAAATAAAATACATTTTATGACATAAATATGTGCACAAGTATCCATGGGGGGCTGCCTGGAGGAAATTGGAGAGACTTCCTAGGGAGGTGACATTTGAGTTAGGCCTAGAACAATGAGTTCAATATTACCAGGCAGAGACTGTACATATATTGCACATGACTGACAGGAACAATTTATGCAGATAACTGAGAAACCATATTAATGATTACTTAGGAAATATCAAATAATTGAGGTGTCATCAGAGTAAGGAACGTCTGGGGAAGAGATGAAGAGTCATTTAGGCTAGTTGTTCTCAAACTTTAGCATTTATCAGAATCATCCAGAAGACTTGTAAAAATGCCAATTGCTAGGCTTCATTCCCAAAGTTTTGAAAGGGGTGTGGGTTGAGCCAGATAATTTACATTTATAACATTCTCAAGTGATGCCAGTGCTGCTGATCTAGGGACCACACTTTGAGAACTACTGGCTTAGTAATCCAGCTTCTGCTTCAGTCGTTATAGTGAAATTACTTTTAGATGTCACCAAAGATCTCCAACTGTCAAATGCAATGAACTCATTCTCAGTCTTCATTTTCCTTGATGAGTTTGCAGCATTTGACATCATTGGCAATTTCAGTGAGCTCTTAACTGTCTCCCAGCTTTTAGCCTCTCTTTTAGTCCATTCAGTACTCTGAAGCCCACAGGATTGTCCAAAATACAAGTATAAACCCATCACTTCATACTTAAAACTCACCAATGGCTCCCCATTCTCTACAGTTAAAGCCCAAACTGGACAGACTGGCATGGAAAATCGTTGGCATTCCGACCACATTTACCTCTCCCCCTGCTGCTGCCCAGGATTGCATAGCCTTTGTTCCAGGCACATCAAGCTACCAGCCAGTCCCCAGACATGCTGTGGGCTCATGTCCTCTTCACCTTCATATGTGCACTTCCCTTTGCCTATAATGCCCTTGCTGCCTCCCCTCCCCTATCCCATCCTCCCCTGGATCCATAGTGATACAGTTGACCCATAGTGATATATGGTTTGGATGTGTGTCCCCTCCAAATCACATGTTGAAATGTGATCCCCAATGTGGGAGGTGGGGCCCAATGGGAGGTGTTGGATCTTGAGGGCAGATCCCTCATGGATGGCTTAGCGCCATCCCCTTGGTGATAAGCAAGTTCTCACTCTTTTAGTTCACAGTAGACCTGGTTGTTTACAAGGAGCCTGACACCCTCCCCTCTCTTGCTCCCTCTCTTGCCATATGACACACTGGCTCCCCTTTGCCTTCCAGAATGAATGTAAGCTTCCCAAGGCCCTCACCAGAAGCAGATGCCAGCACTCTGCTTCACCTACAGCCTGCAGAACTGTGAGCCAAACATACCTCTTTTTTTCTTTTTTTCTTTTTTTTCGTGACAAATTCTTGCTCTGTTTCCCAGTCTGGAGTGCCCTGGTGCAAGCTCCGCTCACTGCAACCTCTGCCTCCCAGGTTCAAACAATTCTCATCCCTCAGCCTCCTGGGTAAGTGGGATTACAGGCTTGTGCCACCACACCCAGCTAATTTTTCTATGTTTAGTAGAGACAGGCTCTTGCCATGTTGGGGAGGCTGGTCTCAAACTCCTGACCTCAAGTGATCCACCCGCTTCAGCCTCCCAAAGTTCTGGGATAATAGATGTGAGCCACCAGTCCTGGCCAAAATAAACCCCTTTTCCCCTTAAATTACCCAGTCTCAGGTATTCCTTTATAGCAATGCAAAATGGACCAACACCTATGGAATTTTGGGTGAAGGCCTAGCTCCAATGTCATCTTCTCTCCAAAGCCTTCCTCAGCTTCCTGGCTCCTTTCCCTGAGGTCCTCCACGGTTGGTTTCTATGTATTATATATACCACTTAACAACTAGTTGATCATGTGATTACTATATGCGGACTTGCTTCAGTCTCTGAATCTTACTCTGAATCTATCTTGTTATTTTTGTTATTCTCATAAAAGGCTTTCAATATAGGTGTATTGAATGAATGTTGGGAACATAGTACACATTTGATAAATAATGATTTGAGTAGGCACTTGCTGCTTACCCAGTGGAACAGGCAAGCAGGCAAAGAGGAGGAGGAGGACACAAAGAGAAACTATGTTAATGAGCAAGAATCAAATGTGCCACCTCACAGCCTCCTGACTCCCTGCCTTAGAGGGTGAACCACAGGCTATTTCCCATGATTCCCTCTTCTTTGATGACACAGTGATTTGTCAGCTCTGTGGACTGGAGAGTTATGCAGCTGCCTTTCTCGCTTTCAACAAAGTACTTGCTGGAGGACTTATCCAAAGCTGAGAAGCAACACCTGTGGGGACTGGGCAGGAAACACTTTAGTAGTTTGTCTTGGTGCATGCACCACAAGCAGACAGCCATTTGCCTTCCCTTTAGTTTCTGCAACTGAAGGAATACTGGGGGATTCTCTGCTGCCAGGAAGAAGAGAGCCGCCCCCCCCCCACCATCCATTCTTCCTCTCTCTCTCTTCCTTAGTCTTACCCCTGCACATTCTGATTGTTGTGGTGACCAGATCCTGCGGAAATAAAACAGGCCTGAGTTCCTATGTGGCTGGGCTGTATCCTCCTCCTTCTCTAATAAAGCTATGATGTTAAGGAAGCCCTATCAACTGATGAGCTCAGAATGCCCATGCCTTTTGTCACCTAGCCTTTCCCCATCTCTGTGCAAATGGCTACTAGAACAGCCATTTATAAAGTGACAACTATGTGTTGGGTGTTTTGCATACATGATCTCATTAGATCCATACAACATTCCTGCAAGAAAGATATCTTTATCTCCATTTAACAAATAAAGATACTGATGCTCAAAGAAGTCAAATAACTTATCCAATGTTGACAAGCTAACAAGTGGTAGGGGTCAGATTTGAACCTATGTTGCAACCATTTTAGAGTCCTATATGTTTTCCATTATTTATATCATCTTGGAGAACTAAAAAAGGTGAAAGTTACAGAGTCAGCCAATGTCATAGCAGGAATTAAATTCAAGGTGTTCTGATTTCCAGGGCAGCCTACAAATATCCACCATATTGAAAGAACTGTTTGAATGGATATGTTTAATGTTCCAAGAATTTATGAAACTTAAAAATATATGTTGATACTACAGTTTGAAAAGGACCCAGAATTGGAAAAGCTGCTTGTTCATGAGTGTCCCTTGTCTCTACTGTCCTGTAGTCAGTGCCCCCTCAAAGTTGGATGCATCTGAGTGGAGATGCTTTTCTGTCACCTAAAGTCACACATTTACCTTTGATCCAGACCCTCCCCAGAAGCAGTGCTTTTGAAATCTCTTCTCCTCTTCTTTTTGACAAAATATAAATGATAGTTTATTTCTAGAACGATGCCAAATTCAATAAAGCAATGATGGAGTTGTGTTTCGTTTTCTGGTCAAGTTGACACCATAAAGTGGGTTTTCCTGAATATTTCCCTGTTCCACTGGTGTTCTTGGCATTGTGAATAAACAGAGCTGATGATAACATCCATCATAGAGTTAAGCACATTGAGTGGGTGATAAAGTCAACAAGAAGCTGAAACAAGAATTACCACGGATAAGCTGCCAAGAGTTGGCTGTAGATTCTAAGTGGACACTGTGGCTCATTCATCTTCGCCCTTCAGCTTTCCACCCCAACATCATCCCTGCCTCAGCACTCATGACAAGAGTAGGAAAGTAGGAGAGAAGGAAAGCACAGGGATCAAGTACAGGGGACAAATACATAGCATTGATCTGCCTGAGATAAAATCTAAAGACGCAGTAGTAAATTCTTAATGAGTACTGAGAGAGAACAAAGAAAAATGTTGTGGGTTTTGTTGTTGTTGTTGTTGTTGTTTTTTGAGACAGAGTCTCCCCCTGTCGCCCAGGTTGGAGTGCAGTGGAGCGATCTCGGCTCACTGCAAGCTCCGCCTCCCAGGTTCATGCCATTCTCCTGCCTCAGCCTCCCGAGTAGCTGGGACTACAGGCGCCCGTCAACACACCTGGCTAATTTTTTGTATTTTTAATAGAGGCGGGGTTTCACCATGTTAGCCAGGATGGTCTCGATCTCCTGACCTTGTGATCTGCCCACCTCGGCCTCCCAAAGTGCTGGTATTACAGGTGTGAGCCACCGCACCTGGCCGAAAAACACTTTTTAAGTCAAAATGAACCAACTAACAAACAAAAGTCATCTTCCAGAAGTGCAAGTAGACACAAATGATCACTGGGCTTCTTTTAAGCAACATTCTGTTTTCTTGTCCTAACCTATCTCAAGCTAAGGAAATTCTAGGGTCTACTGTTCAAAGACTTGAAATGTTTTCCTTGGATTATTCCCACTCTTATATTTTTCTTGCCTCTTTCCAAAAGTGCGTTAAAAATGTCCAGGTTTTTTAACTCATTAAGATGCTCATCAAGCATCTTAATGAGTTAGTCACGATTACAACTGCATCTTTTAAATTACCCAAACTGTTGAAAGGCTGCCATGAAAGGAGCTTCTACAAACAAAATCTGGGCTGTATTTCTCATTATCTTATGTTGCAAAAAGTGAATGAGGAGTTACTTCCAAAACAGTAATTAGCATAAAGGCTGCTGAAGCAGAGGAGAGATAGGTGCGCTACTGTCTCAATGGAAAATGTCACTGTTTTTTCTGCAAGGAATATGTACATTACTACTAAAGGAGAAGCTCTTTGCTAACAAATGTGAAAGGGTTTCACACAGTTCATGGCACATAATAAGTGCTCATAATTTGTTTGCTTCATCGGAATTCTCTCTGTAGTCTACTTCTCAGTCAAATAACTGTGACTACCTCCATTTCCTCACAATCCAGTCTCCTTATGTTCCTTCTGTTACAGGAATTGCAGCCTCATCACCTATCACAATATTTCTCAACCCTTTTCTTTTCATTATTGCCTTCCTAAGGAGGCTTTTCAGATGTTTTTAAAAATTGCTCTCCTCTATCAAATTTTCGTACCATAGTGTGATGGTTAATTTTGTGTGTCAACTTTAGCGGGCTACGGATTGCTGAGATCACTGGTAAAACATTATTTGTGGGTGTGTCTGGGAGGGTGTTCTTGGAAAAGGTTAGCATTTGAATTGGTAGAGTGAGTAAAAGATCACCCTTGGCAGTGTGAGTGGGCATCATGCAATCCCTTGAAGGCCTGAATAAAACAGAGAGGTGGAGGAACCACAAGTTCACTCTCTCTTCTGGAGCTGGGACATCCATCTCCTCCTGCCCTTGGATATCAGTAGTGTTTCTGGTTTTGGGGCCTTTGGACTTGGACTGGGACTTACAGGATTGGCTCTCCTGGTTCTCAGGCCTTCTGGCTTGGACTGGAGTTATAATACACCAGTAACTTTCCTGGGCTTCCAATTTGCAGACAGCTGATCATGGGACTTCACAGGTTCCATAATTGCATGAGCCAATCTCTCGTAATAAATCTATTTCTGTGTATCTATATATAATATATGCTATCAGTTCTGTTTCTCTGGAGAGCCCTAATACACGCAGATATATTGTGATATCGGTTTATGCATTGTATGTATATCTGCACTTTGTACATTTAAAAAATTAAGTTGTTTTTTATCCCCCAAGATCAATTCTCACTCCCATTGAGAATGTGCAACCTATCAGACCACAGCAGACTGATTCAGACACAGCAGAAGCAGATCACAGAAATAGATGCTAGACAATTGATTTGGGCAAAAATCAGTGCAGATGTCCGGCATAGAAGTTTGTCTAGATCAGGCTTTGTAAAGGTAAAGACAGACAGTTGGCCATACAGGTTAGCCAAACAAGACACAGGTTGGAGAATACAGCTGACAGCAGTGTTGATGGAAGATAGGAGGGCAAGGTTCAAGGCAGGCAGAGATGTGAGAAATATTTGTCCACTGGGTCAGAGAATGCTTTATATAGAGAAATATCATCATCCAGAAAAGTTCCGTGAAAGAGAAATTATTCTCAGTTCTGAAGCCAGATTTAGACATTTTGCCTTTGTTCCTCAGGAGCCTGGACCACCCAGCCAACTGTGCCCTATTGATGAAAATCTCTGATTATTATAGGGGAATACATTATGTTGGCTTCTGTATTCCCTGAGAACCATCTACATCTCCTAGTACTTTGAAGTCGTGGTATCAGATGAAAGAACCAAGCCTTCCAAACTGACTTGGAGCTGTGCTGAGGTGTTCATGGCCTCAAGCATTCAAGCAGGTTGATCGGATATGAGGTGTGATATTCCTTTTCCTCAAGTCATTTATCCTCTGGAGATCCTAACCTAACCTAATCTCTCCTAACCTAAAAACAGGAGCAGACCCAGGGTCCTGACTGGGCATTCTCATTATGCTTCCTAAAACCATTAGGATCTCTTCGTGGTCACATCCAACAGCCTTTCTCTTTCTCAGGCCTGCAGCTCACTGCATGTGGTGCTGCCTCTCACATTCTCCTCTTTAATTAGAGGTCAGCCACTCTAACTCCAGCCTTCATCACACTCTGCCTCTAGGGTCTTCTGAATGCTGTCTTTGAGGGTCTTCTCAGTCTCTTCCTTCCTCTTTATCTTTTATCAAAGGCACTCTTTTAATCTTTTGGTTCCTTTCTGTTGCCCCTCCATTCTCATCTGTTTATATGTTCGCTTTAAGGTCATAAACATTATTGAGTGCTTGCTATATGCCTAGTACTGATATAAACAAGATATGGCTTTTGTGCATTCTTGTGATGGAACAGATACATATATAAAACCAAGCAAAACACAATGTGAAATATGTAATACAGATCTGTACAAAATGTCTTAGCAACTCAAAAGAGGAAGTGATGAATTCTGTCTTGAGACAAATAAAAGGCATTGCAGAAGGAAAAAGTTTTGATTTGTGCTTTGAGAATGAATTAGGGATTTATGAAAAGAAAAGTTGGAGGAAGGGCATTACAGACAGAGAGATGAGGATGGGATAGGAACAGCATGACCAAGGAAGGTTAGAAAGGCCATGTGACTGGAGGGGAAGCAGACAAGCGTGGGCAGGGAGAGTGGTAGGCAACGACCCTGCAAAGTTAGGAATGCACCGCAACTGTAGTCACCATTTAAACCTACATGTCTAGTTAACATTCAAATGGATCATTGCACTGCCTGGGACATTCATTTTTAAAAAGTATAATTTAGCTCCTACTACTTGCTATATACCATGTAACATGCTTACCGCTGGTAATACAAAGATAAATAAGCTGTCCCCTCAAGAAATCAAAATATAATAGAGAGGTAGATGTGTTTTAAAAGTTATTATGTGCAATACAAGCCAACCCATGCAGTGAAGGTAGTATGTATATGACACAAAATAGAGAGTGATTAGCTCTGAGCAGAACATGTTTCAGAGAAAAAGTGATAGCAGAGCTTTAAGAGATTAATTGGGGTTGGGTGGTGCAGTAAGCAGAATAATGGCTTCTCAGAGATATCCACATCCCAAACTTGTAAATGTTACTGTACATGTCAATGAGGACTTTGCAGATATGACTACATTTAAGGAAGATGGGAAGATTAGATTATTCAGACGAACCTGATGTAATCACAGGGGTCCTTATAGAAAAAGGAGGCAGGAGTGTCAGAGAAAGAGATGTGACAATGAGGGACCATCAGCCAAAAACAAAAACAAACAAACAAAAAACAAAAACTATGGTTAGAAGCTGGAAGAGGCAAAGAACAGTGTCTCTCCTCCAGCTCCAGGAGGTATGAAGGTCTGCCAATGCTTTAATTTTAGCCTCATGAAATAGCCTCATTTCAGACTTCTGACCTCAAAAAGAGTAAGTTTGTGATAGTTTGTTACAGCAGCAACAGGAAATGAATACAGATGGAAAAGCAGCCAGGGTGTTGGGAGTGAGAGCATTTCAGGCAGAAGGAATAGCATAAGCAAAGGCACAGAGGCATGAAATAGCATGGCAAACCCTTGGGGCAGGGGTTACCAGTTGTTTAGTGTTGGTCTGGTTTAAGAACCACCAAGTAAGGAGCAGAAGAATGCACTGGCATGCAAAGCAAGTGCCAGATGACACAAGGCCTGGTAAGGAGCAGCCCTACCATGGAGCTTAGGTATGCTGAAGCTTAGAAGGTAAATCAGGAGCCATTTCATGGTTTCACACAAAAAAGGAAAAACACTGAATTTTCAATTTTGGAAGAAAAGCTTAATGGGGAAGAACCCAGGGCAGGGAGACCATTTAAGGAAGCTATAACAAAGTCCTGGAGGGACGTGGTGGGGCTTGAACTAAAGCAGTGTGAATAGCAGGAGAAGGCAGGGTAGCGATATTTAGGATTCAGAGAGTGACCAAATATGAGGAGCAAGGAGAAAGAGAAGAGTCAAGGATGACCCCACATTTCTGATTTGGACTTTGATGAATGTCCATGTGCTTACTGACATGGGAAAAACTGGAAGTTCCTCCCAATATTTCTTAGATTCATATTTTCTGAATCTCTGTATCCACTAGGCTAATCCACCCATCAACCTATGTCTAGACAGTCTTTAAAGTCTTCCTAGCCACTTTTTCTGATTCTAGCCTTTACCCTTCTCAAGCTATTCTCCACGATGTTGTTAGAACAACTAATTCAATATTCATAAAATATTTATTTAGTGCCTGCCATGTTCCAGGTTCTGATATAGACTCTGTTCATATCATAATGAACAAAACAATTTTAAGAATAAGTTAGCTTGCATTTAATCTAGAAGATCCTTATAGAAGGTAATTTTGGGTAGTTCCATCTCCAATTCGTATCTTCTACAATGGCTTCAAATTTCCCGTCACTTTATATCTAAATTTTTTGGTGTATGCTCAAGCTCTCTGTCAACTTCCTTGCACCAAACGAGCTGTAGGGCCTCTTAACTTACAAATGGGTTGTGATCTAAAGCAGTGATTTTCAAACTATCTGTGTGGTTAATTTTTTTTTAATTTCCAAGCTTGTGGTCTAAGGGTCTTCCTGCGTATGACTAGTGCACAGGTCATGCCACCTGTGACTCACTATGAGAATTCCACAACACCCAGACCAGTCCATACCCTGCTCATTGACATGAGTCCACTGACAATGTGCTTGTATGTTACAGCATTCTCGATTTGCTCTAAAAATTTCTAAATGCTTACTCTCAATTTTAGCACCATCCACATACCACATTTGAAATCTCCATACTTAGTAAGCCCCTTACTAAAACACTTTTGAGGGATTTGGAACACATTTTTTATAAGTGCCTAATTGTATCATGATGGCATTTTTTTACTTTTTTTTTTTCCTTCAACTTTTAAGTTCAGGGGTATATGTGCAGGATGTGGGGGTTTCTTACATAGGTAAATGTGTGCCATGGTGATTTGCTGTACAATTCATCCCATCACCTGCTTATTAAGCCCAGTATCCATTAGCTATTCTTCCCGACACTCTCCCTCCCCTCACACCCCCCTCTGACTGACCCCATCATGTGTTGTTCCCCCTATGTGTCCATGTGTTCTCATCATTCATCTCCCACTTATAAGTGAGAACATGCAGTGTTTGGTTCTCTGTCCCTGCGTTAGTTTGCTGAGGATAATGGCCTCCAGCTCCATCCATGTCCCTGCAAAAGATATGATCTTATTCCTTTTTATGGCTGCGTAGTATTCCATGGTATGTATGTACATTTTCTTTATCCAGTCTGTCATTGATGGAAATTTAGGTTGGTTCCATGTCTTTGCTATCGTGAATGTGCTGCAATGAACATAAACATGCATGTATCTTTATAATATAATGATTTATATTCCTTTGGGTATATACTCAATAGTTGGATTACTAGGTCAAATGTTATTTCAGCCTCTAGCTCTTTGAGGAATTGCCACACTGTCTTCCACAATGGTTGAACTAATTTACACTCCAACCAACAGCATAAAAGCATTCCTTTTTCTCCACAACCTCGCCAGCATCTGTTGTTTTTTGACTTTTTAGTAACAGCCATTCTGACTGGCATGAGATGGTATCTCATTGTGGTTTTGATTTGCATTTCTCTAATGATCAGTGATTTTGAGCTTTTTATCATATGTTTTTGGCCACATGTATGACTTCTTTTGAGAAGTGTCTGTTCATGTCCTTTGCCCATCTTTTAATGGGGTTTTTTTTTCTTGTAAATTTGTTTAAGTTCCTTGTAAACTCTGGATATTAGACCTTTGTCAGATGAATAGATTGCAAAAATATTCTTCCATTCTGTAAATTGTCTGTTCACTCTGATGATAGTTTCATTTGCTGTGCAGAAGCTCATTAGTTTAATTAGATCCCATTTGTCAATTTTTGCTTTTATTGAAATTGCTTTTGGTATTTTTGCCATGAAAGCATTTTTTTTTTTTTTTTGGCTCACCCATTAAAACCTATATTGGCCACGCTAGCTTATGTTTTTCCTGTAAACAGACCTTAGACTATGTGGAGGCAGGAGAAGGAAGAGCTCTGGGACTACTCTTTGGTACACCATTTTCCTTTAAAGAATGAATGCTTCTTATTGTGCCTTCCTTTTCATGTTTTTCTTTTACTTCTCCTTAACCATCCCATTTCATGCAAACGAAGATTAAAATTAACGTGAAAGACTCTCAAATTTTTATCAAGTTCTTGCCAGAGGTATTCCAACCACTTCAATTTTACCAGCCCTAATTAGATAAAGCTATTTAGCATAAATCATAGTTGCAATTCAACCTCAGGCTTATGAACTGGCTGGGACTAAAAAAGAGAAGGAGCCTTTTGTCTCCGATTCACTGGCTCAACTCTGGGGCTGGCTTATGTTGGACTTCCTCCAGCCCCCAATGAGTATGTTTGTAGCCTTATATTACAGTTCTTTCAGGACCTTTTTTTCAATCTATATCCTTTCTTTGATTTTTAACACTACAAACTCTTTCTTCCCTGTGAATAAACTCTTTTTCTATGGCTCTCATGACTCCACATTGGATTTCTTTGTTGTCTCCTTCTCCTCTCTCTCCTCCTTAACCGAGGGCCTCATTCTAGACCTTCTCTCGCCCTCACATGCTCTCAGATGCTCTCATCCTCTCCTATGGAATCAGTTATTACCTAGAGAGACTCATGCCCTCAACTCTTTCCTGAGTATGAGACATGTAATTTCAACTGCTTTCTCAACATTTTCATTTAAGTATCTCGAAAGCATCACAAACTCAACTCGATGTTATTTTTCTGCATTCCATATCAGGACAACGCCATCTGCTTAAACATTCAAGATAAACACTTGGGATCATTTTTGACTCCTCATTTCCCTTTATTCCCCATCTTCAGCTGATTGCCACTCACCATTCCACCACTGCTGTGTTTATTTCTCCAATCATTCTCATTTTCTCCATCTCCACTGCCTTGCCTCAGGCCCTCATCAGTTTTCACCTGGACCATTCTCAGTTCTCTGAACCCTCAGATCAGCAATGCCCCACCCAGACTCTAAGATGCAGTCCCACTCCTCCCTGGAGCAATCTCTCCTGGTCACTGCATTGTCCTTTCTCTCTGACAGGCATATCCAATCATCCCTACTCTTGAATACTGACCTTCAAAACTCTTCTTTCTTTAGCTCTTTGTAATATAATCAAAACTCCTTTCTCAGCATGAATTGCCAGGCCTTTTAACACACAGCCCCTGACTAACTCATAGCCTCTTCTTCTGGTTTAACAATAACAATAATAACAGCAAACCACCACATCCCACAGTGCATCCTCTCAGGTATCCTCAAATTTCCCAAACCTGCCAACCTTTCCACCACTTCTCAGGCCCCTGTACCTTTGAGCATTCTATTCTGGCGACCAGCTATGAACCAACCCTTGCCCTGCCCTGATGTTCCTCTATTTGGTATACATGCTTCAGCTTCCAAGGCAACTCCTCCAAGCACAGTTCACTGCTCCTTCTGTTGCATTCCCATAGCATGATGTAAGGGCCTCTATGGATGGTTCATTCAATGGAGTTGTTCTGAGCCAGGCACTGAGCTAGATTCTAGGGGTACAAAGATAAAGATGGCCCTTACAAAGATGGCTCTTAAGGAGCTTATCTTCAATTAGTAGAGAAAGACATAAGTGTAAATGGCAAGTACATTTATGTATTTTAAAACAATCGGCCGGGCGCGGTGGCTCATGCCTGTAATCCCAGCACTTTGGGAGGCTGAGGCAGGCGGATCACGAGGTCAGGAGATCGAGACCATCCTGGCTAACACGGTGAAACCCCATCTCCACTAAAAATACAAAAAATTAGCCGGGCATGGTGGCGGGCGCCTGTAGTCCCAGCTACTCGGGAGGCTGAGGCAGGACAATGGCGTGAACCCAGGAGGCGGAGCTTGCAGTGAGCCAAGATCACGCCACTGCACTCCAGCCTGGGCAACAGAGCAAGACTCTGTCTCAAAAAAAAAAAAAAATCAATGTTACAAAGCACTATAGGTGCTGTAGGAGAAATATGGGCAGGACAAATAAACAAAGGAAGGAATGGTTAATTCTGTTTGTGGGGTTGGAGGTGGAAGGAGAGAAACCTAAGGAAATCTATTACAAGAGAGATAACCCTCCTGGAGGGTAATGAGAGGAGGTCATTCCAGGCAGAGAACAGCATAACAAAGGCCTGGCAGGATGAAAGGGCCTGCTATATTTAGGGAAAAGCCTGCTATATGTAGGGAAAAACAATTGGTTCTCTATGGCTGGATCCTGAGCATCAGCATAGACCCATTTAGACAGAAGGCTGGAGAACAAGGGGAAAGCTTTACCTTACAGGCAACAAGGAGCCACTGCACGGTTTTACACAGGGTTAGATACATTACAATTTGTATTTTCAGAAAGATCATTCTAGCAACAGTGTACAGAGTACAGTAAAATATTGGAGGGTGGTCTACATGTGTACTTTTCTTATTGGGTTGTGAGCTCCTAGATGTCAAGTATTGGGGCTCTTTAATTTCTATCCTCCCAGTGCCTAATACATTTTTTCATCAAGCAATAAGAGAGAGGATCTTCAGCCTGGCCAACATGGTGAAATCCCGTCTCTACTAAAAATACAAAAAAATTAGCCGGCTATGGTGGCAGTATGCCTGTAGTCCCAGCTACTGAAGAAGCTGAGGCGGGAGAATCTCTTGAACCCGGGAGGCAGAGACTGCAGTAAGCCAAGATTGCACCACTACACTCCAGCCTGGGCAACAGAGTGAGACTCTGTCTCAAAAGAGAGAGAGAGAGAGGATCCATGATGTTGGTGCTGGCATGTGGGTCTGGGACACAGGGGAATGTAGCTCTAGGCCAGGCTGTGCCAGCTTGGTGAAGCATTAGCAAGTCACTCTGTGCTTTTGTTTCTTCATCTATAAAATGGTGGCCTGCACAAGATCATCTTTCAGTTCTCTTTTGCTCTAACGTTCTGTAATTGTATAAGGGAGGTTCCTTTTTCTTCCTTTTTTTTTTTTTTTGTTTGCAGTCAATATTTGGTAATACAAATAAAAGTTTACAGAGGTAGATGTCAAGAGGTAAGTGCACTGTGAAGCACAAGTTGGCCAAAAGTTTACATGAGCTATTTCCTGAAGAGTGGGCAATGACTCTGGTTCAATTATTCACACGGTAAAAGGATGCATTTTTCCTGTTGTGGGAGTACAGAATTGTCTCCTCAAGTGTTGACTCCTTTTAAAAGGAAATAAACAGAACTTGGACTAGTCTTCTTCTTATTATTATAAGGCTTTAAGTCTTCAAATACATTTTGAAAACATTAGAAGCCTGAGAGACACCCAGCAGTTTTGTCCACCTTAAGTTAGTTGTCTATTTATTAATTCAGCATAGTACACAGAGCTCTACCAGGTTCTCCATGTCCCTCTCATAACTGTTGCCTGTCTTTGACTTGGTAAAATATGCTGTGACATTTCTGCTTCATCAGCATATTACTGGCCTGATCACCAGAATTTAAAATTCAGGATCTCCAGCAACAGAGCCAATTTCTATTGACCACCCGCTCAAAAAAGCACAGGTTTATTTTAGCCTCCATGCTATTTGATCTTTACCTTGATGATGCTATAGCCTTCAACCCTCTTGATAAAAATCTTTTTTTGCTGATATATTACTATCTTTTACCCAGAAGTTTGTTTTCTTAAAGAACAAGTTTTCTCAATGTACTTCACTACCATGAACTGTCTGCAATGATATTGAAATGGAAATATTTAAATTTAATTTGTTAGAGATTTTGTGTTCAACTTTTAAAATTTAATGATGTATTAACCTTTTCCTAAGAAATAATATTTACTGTCTAGTATCAAGCTCAACGATATAAATCTAATTTTGTAATATAATATCTATATTTATTCATAAAACCAAAGAAAATTCTCACTTTGACCACATTTTCTTAATAAGCTATGTCCCTGGGTTTCTTTTTACAGTAAAACATAGCTGCTAAATTTATGCCAGAGCATAACTTTCCAGAGTGGCTTGTAAACCAGCCACAGTAATTTCAAGATATTTCAACTGAGTTCAACCTCCTTTATAAAAAATGTTTAGAGGAGGAAAAGAGACTGTTATTATTATAATTTGGAGAACAGAAAGAGAAAGATAGTGGTGACACCACCCATCTCTTATTCTCTCACAGACATTGTCATGCTAAACATTGTCATGCTCCCACTTATAAGTGAGAATATGCGGTATTTGGTTTTCTGTTCCTACATAATTTAGCTTGGGATAATTGCCTCCAGCTCCATCCATGTTGTTGCAAAGAACATAATCTTATTTTTTTATGGCTGTGTATATTCCATGGTGTACATGTACCACATTTTCTTTATCCAGACTACCACTGATGGGCATTTAGGTTGATTCCATGTCTTTGCTATCGTGAATAGTGCTGCGATGAACATATGCGTGCATGTGTCTTTATGGCAGAACAATCTATATTCCTTTAGGTATATATCCAATAATGGGATCGCTGGGTGGAGTGGTAATTATTTCAGGTTCTTTGAGAAATCACCAAAGTGCTTTGCACAACGGCTGAACTAATTTACATTCCCATTAGCACTATATAAGTGTTCCATTTTCTCTGCAACCACGCCAGCATCTATTGCTTTTTGACTTTTTAATAGCCGTTCTGATTGGTATGAGATGGTATCTCATTGTGGTTTAGATTTGCATTTCTCTAACTATTAGTGATGTGGAACATTTTTTCATATGCTTCTTGGCCACATGTATGTCTTTTTGAAAAATGTCTGTTCGTGTCATTTGCCCACTTTTTAATGAGGTTGTTTTTTGCTTATAAAGTTCCTTATAAATTCTGGATATTAGACTTCTCTAGGATGCATAGTTTGCAAATATTTTCTCTCATTCTGTAGGTTATCTGTTTACCGTGTTCACTGTTTTGTTTGTTTGTTTTTGGCTATGCTAAAGCTCTTTAATTAGATTCCATTTGTCAATTTTTGTTTTAGTTGCAATTGTTTTTGGCATCTTTGTTATGAAATCTTTGCCAGGTCCTATTCCAGAATAGTATTTCCCAGGCTATCTTCCACGGCTTTTATAGTTTTAGGTTTTATATCTAAGTCTTTACTTCATATGAGTTGATTTTTGTATATGGCATAAGGAAGGGGTCCAGTTTCAATCTTATGCATATGGCTAGCCACTTATTTCAGCACCATTTATTGAATAGGGAGTCCTTTTCTCATTGCTTGTTTTTGTCAACTTTTTTCAAATATCAGATCATAGGTGTGCAGCATTATTTCTGGGCTCTTTTCCGTTCCATTGGTCTATGTGTCTGTTTTTGTACCAGTACCCTGCTGTTTTAGTTACCGAAGCCTTGTAGTATAGTTGAAATTGGGTAGTGTAATGCCTTCAGCTTTGTTCATTTTGCTTAAGATTGTTATGGCTATTCAGGCTCTTTTTTAAGTTCCATATGAATTTTAAAAGTTTTTTTTTCTAATTCTGTGAAGTATATCACTGGTAGTTTCATAGGAATAGCATTGAATCCATAAACTGCATTGGGAAGTACAGCCATTTTAACAACACTAATTCTTCCTATCCATGAGCATGGAATCTTTTTCCATTTGTTTGTGTCATCTCTGATTTGAGTAGTTTTGTAATTCTTTTTGTAGAGATCTTTCACCTCGTTATCTATATTTCTAGGTATTTTTGTGTGTGTATGGCTATTGTGAATGAGATTGCATTCTTGATTTTGACCCTCAGATTGAATGCTATTGGTGTATAGAAATGCCACTAATTTTTGTACATTAATTTTGTATCCTGAAACTTTGCTAATTGTTTATCAGATCAAAGAGCTTTTAGGCAAAGACTATGGGGTTTTCTACAGAATCATATTGTCTGCAGAGATAGTTTGACTTCCTCTTTTCCTTGGATGTCTTATATTTCTTTCTCTAACCTGTTATCTCTGACTAGGACTCTCAGTACTATGTTGAATAGGATTGGTGAGAGTGGGCATCTTTGTCTTATTCTGGTTCTCACAGGGAGTATTTCTAGCATTTGGCCCATTCAGTATGATGTTGGCTGTGGGCTCATCATAGATGGCTCTTATTTTGAAGTATGTTCCTCTAATGCCTAGTTTGCTGAGGGTTTTTAACATGAAGGGATGTTGAATTTTATTGAAAGCCCTTTCTGCATCTATTGAGATGACCATGTGGTTTTTGTTTTTAGTTGTTTATGTGATGAATCACATTTATTGATTTGCATATGTTGAACCAAACTTGCATCCCAGGGATAAAGCTTGCTTGATTGTGGTGGATTCGTTTTTGACATGCTGCTGGGCTTGGTTTGCTAGTCCAGCAAATTGAGTCATTGAGGATTTTTGCATCTATGTTCCTCAAAGTTATCCATATTCAGAACTCTATTTTTGTCATGTCAGCCTGGTTAAGAACCACTGTTGGGGAAATAGTGCAGTTGCTTGAAGGTAAGAAGGCACTCTGGCTTTTTGAGTTGCCAGAGTTCTTGTGCTGGTTCTCACCTGTGTGGTCTGATGTTGCTTCAACCTTTGAAGTTGCTGTTTCTTGGATAGGTTTTTCTGCTTTTGTCTTCTTTGATGCCCTTGGGGGTCTGAATGTTGCATATAATGGGCTCAGCCAAGTGGCCTCATTTCTGGAAGATTGTAGGGGCCAAGGCTGAGCTCAGCACTCATGAGCTGTGTATTCTAACTCTGAGGAGGCTGGTACTGGACCTCTGGCTTTGTTTTCTAGCCCCTCAAGGTTAGGAGCCTAGCAGGTGTCTTAAACTGTTTTCTGTTGCGATAATAGAACACCTGAGAGTGGGTAACTTATTAAAAAGAGTTTTATTTAGCACTTGGTTCTGTTGGCTGGGAAATTCAGGATCAGGCAGCTGTATCTGGTGGGTTCTCATGACTGCCTCATGCTGCATCAAAACATCATAGAGAAACAGAAGGGGACCGAGTTTGTGCAAACAAAAAGTGCAAAATAGAAGAGGCAGCATTGTTTTATAACAACTCACTCTCTTGGGAACTAACCATTCCCAGGAGAACCCAGTCTCAGTGTCAAGAGAAAGATGTTAATCCATCTTAGCAACCTAATTACCTCTTAAAAGTAGCATCTTCCAACACTATTACATTGGCAATTGAACTACAACGTGAGTTTTGGAGGGGCCAAACAACATCCAAACCATAGCAGCAGGTTTAAAGGCAAAAGGATGGGAGAAAAGTACACAGAAAGATATTCTGGAGAAAAGGCACAGAGTGAGCCAAGGCACAAGGTAAAATGTTTGACTGGTTAGAGACGCTAGATTATTTTGTGTGGCTAAGACAAAACAAAGCTGGTGGGGAGTGGCAGGAGGTAAGTCTAGAATGGCACAATGGGGCCAGACTGCGAATGGCAAACTGAAGTATGTGATCTTTTATTCTAAAGAAAATGTAGTATGATTAGCACAAAAAAAAGAAAAATTATTGGCCGGGCGCAGTGGCCCATGCCTGTAATCCCAGCACTTTGGGAGGCCGAGGAGGGTGGATCATGAGGTCAGGAGTTCAAGACGGTGAAACTCCATCTCTACTAAAAACACAAAAATTAGCCAGGAGCTGTGGCAGGTGCCTGTAATCCCAGCTACTCAGTAGGCTGAGGCAGGAGAATCACTTGAACCCGGGAGGTGGAGGTTGCAGTGAGCTGAGATCGCGCCACTGCACTCTAGCCTGGGCGACAGAGCAAGACTAAAAATAAAAATGAAAAAATTATTATCCATGGTATTATCATGGTAGTACTGACTAAAAGAGGGACACGTGTAACAAAATCAGTAAGGAGGGTACTCCAAGAATCCATGTTAAAGTTAATGAGGGCTCGAACCCAAACATAAAGGATGGAAATGATGTAATAAAACCCCACCTTTTGAAAGTTATATTTAAAAATTTTTGGTTAATAGTCTAGTTAGAGGTGAAAGAAGAAAGCAGAGGAGTCTAATGCAATGCGTGACTTGTAGCTCAGGTAAAGGGGTGGCAGGTGACGCTTAAATACTAGAAATATAAGAAGAAGCACAGGTTTGGTTTTATCTGTGAGAACAATGGAGTGGAGGTATGCTTTAGATGCAATTATTTATGGGATATTCAAAACAGATATCTATGAAGCAAAAAACTTGGGCCCAAAAAACAAGTTTGAAGGTATATTTGGGAGTTACCAGTAATATAGGTAACTGTTGAAGCTCTAAATATAGAAGACAAACTAGAGGAGCTTGTTTCTTGAAGAATTCTTGTCACACTTGACATTTTTTACAGAGATTTCTTAAAACAGGGGCATATCTTCTTTGGCTAACATATGCAGACTAAAATGAAAGAGTATAGTATATTATAAAATCAATAAAAGGTAAGATAAATTGAGGCCTAAAAATAAAGAATAAATACACTCAGTTGATTCTGAAGCTCTAATTTACAGATGCAAAATTGTACCAGTACATTAACTCATATGTCAAAACAACATCTAGAGAAACAAAAAATGAAAGTAAAATGGAAAAAGATAAAAGAAGAGAGGCAAGGAGAAGAGAATGGGCAAAAGGAGATAGGAAAAACAGGAATTTTTTTTTAAAGGGCTAAAATTTTAGTGAATCAGATGTGGAAAACAGTTGGATTAACATTGAGATCAAATGAGAAAGGAGCAAATAAGGAAAGATGTATTACAAACCAAGAGTAAAAAAGGGAAAACAAAATAACAAAAGCAAAAACTATTTAAAAAGAATAAAGGAAGACGTGATAATGAAGTAAATTTAAAAAGTACGGAATAATAAAAAGAAATTGCAAAAAATACCTTTTGAAAATAAACATACTAATAACTTGACAATAAAGTGAAATGTGTAAGACAAACATATCTGTGTCATTATTTAGGAGTAGTGAAAAGTACTCTTAAATAATAATTTGGTATCTAGCAGGCCTGGATTTGAATCTACTTTAACTTGCTAGCTATGTGACCTTGGGCAAGCAAAGAAACTCCTCATAACCATTGTAATAATACCACCAAAATGCCTTACACTTACGGCTCAAAAAATGAAGGAAATGAGAGAAAAAAGTATAGATTACTATATGGAAGTCAAATTTCTAGTGACTTTTCTAATCCAAACATGAATTGTTACAGTACTTGAAATAAACTTTATGAGAACTGAGTGACTACATTGCTTCAGATAGTTTTATACTGCTAGGTCAACGCTGCCTGACAGTAATAAGAACAGGATGTGGGATTCAATATGCTCATTCTATCTCAAACTCTGTCACACATACAATGACTGCTATTTACCTTCCTCCTGAGCCATCTGGGAAAAAACCAACCAACCAAACAAACAAACAAAAGAAAAACCCACCAGGTAGGAGTCAGTTAGTTCTGCTAACTAACTAACCAAAAACCTTAATTGTATGGCCACCAGCACCCTAGCCCTTTGTCATGAAAGCTACCAATAAGGTGGAAATTTAAAATATGAAATATTTCATTATACATGTTTTATTAAACCCTACATGTGCAGAAATGATTGTCCATTTTCCTTCTTAACTTGCTTTTGTAAGACTTATTAAGTAGAAAATATAAATCTCAAGCTCCTTAAATGTGATTTTGAGGAACTGAGACCAAAACAATTTTTTGCTGTGGAACCAGATCCTTGAATGCACTACAGGAAAATATTATTTGATATGAAATTTTTTTGGTACACACAATTTTTCAAAAATATATCTCTCTCCACAAAGTTAATTCAAATTGTAGAATTCTTCCAAGTCACAAATGGAGTTTTCAAGGCTCTGGGTACTTACCTTTGAGTTCCACATCCTTTATCTCTGGAGCTCTTAACTGAGGGAACATGGACCATTAGGTCATGAACAGACTTTGTAGTCTTTGAACAGCCTGAAACAGTATGTGATACTTGATGTGCATGTACACAGGAACATTTTTCTAGAGTAATGGCACATACCTTTCATCAGATTTTCAAAGGTTTCTCAAAATGCTCAAGAACCACTGTTAGATATTTAAATAACCAGAGTGTACAGTGTCCAAATATTTCCAAATTTTGACACTTGTAAGATGTCTTAATTAAAACAAGCCATGAAGTTCAGCGTCACAATAACCAGAAAAGCACTTGTGAGAGTAGTTCTATGTCTTTACTTCCTAGTGGTTTACACACTCTTTAACCCATATGGCAATCTGGCTTCTGTCTCCGGTGCTCTGGAATTACTTCTGCCTGTATGATTAAGTTCCTCATTGTTAAATTCGAAAATACATTCTTTGGTATTTATTTGACCTCTTGGTGGTAATATAGTGTAAGAGCACAGACTCTGGAGCCAAACTGCCTAGGTTCAAATCTTAGCTCTATTACTTTCTAACTCTGTGACTTTGGGCAAATGACTTAACTCTCTCATGCCTCAAAGCAGAATCCTTTGTAAGGTTTATTTATATAGTGGTGTAAAGAGTACTTACTTCAAAAGCTTTGGTCAGTGTGAGAAATAAGCTCCTAACAAAGAAAGTGTTATGTAATAGTTATTATCTGGTACCTCTGATCACATCATTTTTGAAAATCACTTGAAATCTGCCTAAGTTTCATTCTGCCTTTGATGGCTCCTTATTTTCATCTCCCTACTTCAGGCTTCCTCCCTAATATATCTTTTATGCCAATATTATGATCACTTGAAACTATAAATCTGATGCCATCCTTGGCCACTACCATTAAGATGGTCTAAACTCCTCAGCATGATAGACAAGTCCCTTTATGATAGTGTACCCATCTAGTTCTCATTCCTCAAGTCTCCTCTGTTGTCTATGCTTACCCTATGGGCTAAGCTGAATCAAGCTGTTACATTTCCAAAACATGCCTCACTGTCTTTATTCATGCCTTTGCACATGCCATTGACTCTTCCTAGAATGCCCCATTCTCCTTCTCTAGAAAGTCTTCTCTTAACATACTTCTTCCCAAAATAAATTAGGTGTCCTTTCTTAATATGCCTCCAATAACCCCATACAGTATTTATCCCATTCTATTTTAGATGCCAGTTTGGTTGATGATACATTTCATCTAGTCAGATCTTCCCACTGCCTCTTATAAAGAAAACCAGGAGCCATATTATGATATTCTTGTTCTCTAATTTTTCTGCTGCCCTGATCTTAAACCACTTTCTTCTCCCTTTGTTGACAATTACCCCACCCCTTATTTCTTAATTAGCTCAACAAGATTAGATAGAAATGTATCTACAAAGGATATATGTATATAAATTAACTAGATAACAAAACTTCACACTGAAGTGAACATTCTACAAGTATTTCTTTCATTGCTGACCATTAGGTTGCAGCATGCAACTCTCAACAATGAGCTGCCCCTCTCCACTCCTATAGAAGCTCCAAATACTATGGTACCACTATGTAGGTTTTCAGCCTTTCAAAGGCTTTTATTATGAACTTCATCATTACTTCAGCAGGAGCCTTTTAGGGACTTAAAAGCACTGATTATCTATAAAAAGTAACTTCATATTTCATGCACAAAATTCCCAATTGGCAGATTTAGGTCCATAAAAGAAAGGAAAAAAATTATTCTAGCTATATAAATTATCAGGAATAAAATAGCATTTCTCCTTGCCTTGTTATAAGGAAATAATATATTTTTCCTTACCAGGAATCAGGATAGTATCTTTGATGATCCCTCAGGGTTATAAAATTGCTTACTGGTTAAAGTTTTTTGCCAAAGATATTAAGAAATAAAAAGTTCGCTCATTTTCCTGTGCAATTTAAAGAAATATTTGCAGTATGTACAGGAATTTTAAGTTATATTGCAGACCCTGGCAATAATATTTAAAAGGCCTATTTTCCCCATTAAAAAATTTACCCCATTAAAAAAGGTAAAAGGAAATCTCCATCATCCCTGAGCAGAAAAGGAAAAAATCATGGGTACTTTAATTAGTTAATAGAAACCACTGTAAATGAGTTATCTATCTCCAGAACATTCTCAGAGAATTTACACGAACTAAAACAGGAATGAAGTGCTCTCAGAGACTTTTTCTCAGGTAAATGTATTTAGTAGTTTGAGTAGTTGATCTGCAGAAACTTTAACTTTAATTAACTACATAGATGAATATTTTTTATTTTGAAATTTGAGAATGTCCTAAGAGGATGTCTACAGGATATGAAACTACTGGGTGCAGGAAAATTTTTTAAGTGTTAGCAAATTGTGGCAAGAGGAAAACAAACAGCGGAGAAAACTGTGGTAGAGAAAGTAAAGAAGGGGCAGGAGAAAGCTGTAATTATAACCTGGGCCTGCCTTTGTTCTCATGAAGCCAGGGGCCTCTCCATATCCTATACTTGCTCTTACACTAATAACAAACCAAATGCTGCAAAATAAAAGTAATAATGACCCAAACTAATTTAAGTCTTTTGTTTAAGGAGTAAATGAGAGAAACATTTTAGCTTCTTAATCAAGGAGTGCTATAATTTCAAGGCATCTTAATATAATTCACTTACCCTAAAGCAATTGTGCAATAAGCAAATTATAAAAGGAAAACAACAAAGGTTAACTTTCTACAGGGGCCAATAGACAAGATCTGTGGAGCACAGCAATTAACCTTCACATACTGGAGTCTTGTTTAAAAGGCCATCAAAAACTCAGATTACTGAAAATCACAAATGTCACCAACAAAAGGAATGTTGATTAGAGTCAAAAAAAAACAAAAAAACAAAAAAACAAAAAAAAAAAAACACCTTCCCAAAGGACTGCCTTCTTTGAAGGAATTTCAGAATGTTGCTAGCACAGGTTGACTAAGTTAAATCTCATTGATGGCTCCATCAGAGAATGAGAATGCCCAGCCAGTGCTGTTTTTAAAATGCACTGGGAGGGAAAAAACGAAATAACAATCTACTATTCCCTAATATATATGGCTTGGCACCCAGAGAAAGCCTCTGCCCCCGAAAGAGACTTTCTACATAGGGTTAAGCTTCATTAAATGAGGTGCAACCTTTCATTTTCAGGACATCTCTTTTCTTGCAAGGTCTTTAGAGGCAGAAGTTCCACTTGGATTCTAATACACATCTCTGTGAGCTCAGTTTCCTGAAAATATACACCTACTGGGTTCTAGGTTCTCCCTTACCAGTGACTGTATTCATTATTTCACAGCCACCAGAATCGGACATACACTATTAACATGATGAAAAATACAGCTACTGCTGCAAGTTTGGCATAAGTGGAATGCATGTTCAAGTACTTCGCATCCTGGCGGTATTTCTTGGACAGACTGGACAAATTGTTAGCCTTTGAATCCAATGCTGTCAAAGAGGAAAAAAGGAAAACATTAATTAGTCCCTGGAAGTATTTTACCGAAAGTATTAAGGCATTAAAAATAACCAAAATGAGCAGCACTGCAACAACCATGAATCTTAAATCATCATTTTTATTTTGAGGCTAACATTGCATATACTAATTAACTGATGATGCTGATCAGATTATGTCTGAATTTTTGAGGCTATATAGTAAGGTGGTTAGAAGTGCAGGTTCTGGCCTCAGACTCTTTGGTTCAGATATCACCTGTACAAGTTATGTGACATTGGTCAAGTCATGTAACCTATTTAAAACCTAGTTTCTTCATCTATAATTGGGGATAATAACAGTAACTATGTCATAAAGTTGTATGTACATGAGATTGCCTGTAAAGTGAGCAACAATGCCTGCACATGATAAATTATAATAATTATTACATGTTAATAATTATTATCTTCATAATCTTCTAATGGTCTGAATCATATTCTCTTATATTTTGAAAAACGATAATGATAATCCATGTAAAACAAACTCAGATAACCAGAAAATTCAATTAACCAAACACAGTCTTAAGCTATACTTCAATGATGACTGCTAACATTTCTAAGATTCTCCACATAGTAGAGACTACTACGAAGTTAAAGCTATCAGGATTTATATTTCAATAGACATAGGAAAGTTGTAACTAAAATACAATAAGTACTACAAAAAAAAACGCAAGTAAATTAAGCTTTTTAGTATTTTCTGGCAAGTTTTTTCACCCCCAAGGACATTTGTAATGTTGTTATCTTCTTATAACAGTTAACTAAACACTTAGAGAAATAGCCAGATAGACACAAGCTAGACCATATTAAAATATAGGGCATATTTTAATAATAAACACAAACTCTCCATTTGACATAATAAATTCTGATCAAACTTTTCACTTCTTGAAATTTCAGAAAAAACTATTTTGCAATCCGGCTGTTTCTTCCTTAAAGAATGCTTTTGGAATATTTGGAGTTGCTTAATAGAGACTGGTTTTGATTGGGAAACATGGCGTTACTTAATAACACAGGCATGACAGCCACGTCTGAATTAGCAACTGATCACATGAGTAAGAAAAACATCTAGTGACGGAAGAAGAGTCAGGGACTGAGAAATAACCATGACAATGCACAGGGCATCTTTTTACAGAGCCTACAAGAATATACACTTCACTGGACAGGGATTTTAAATTATTGTGTTTGCTGCTATATCCTGAATGCCCAGAACAGGGCCTGGTATATAGTTAGTGCTCAATAAACATTTGCTAAATGAATCTAAATCTGCTGAGAATAACTCAGCAGAGGAACAATTATTAGACCCTATGAAACAAGTCATAGTTGAGAGAATTTATATATGAACGTTTTGAAATACAGGATAACATAAAGACAAAGCTATTGCTTGGAGAAGTCATTTAACAAATATTTATGTGACAGGCACCATGTGAAGTGCTGAGGATACAACAGTGATCAAAATATACATGATCCCTGCCTTTAAGGAATTTAGAGTCTTGCATGAGTGATACAAGAAAAATTCCTGTGCTAGTCTACTTTATCCCATATAGGAATTGCAAGTCTGTATGACAAAACCTTACACACTCACTCACTCAAAATTTGGTATTTAAAGAGTGTGAAGGTAAATGAATAACTGCTCACTACTCAAAAAAAGGTTAAAGTTTGTAGTTCATAATAAAAGAAAACTCACTTACTAATGAATATATAGCATGGCTGAATTCAAAAATACTTATTAAGGAACCTATTTGTGACCATTTCTGTGGGGGATATATAAGGAGTATGTGAAACAGATATAAAATACATAAGCACTATCTTTAAAGAGCTTACATGTCCACATTAAACACTTAGGTAATATTGAAATATCAGGTAAATATACATATACTTTTAACCTAATTTTACCTAATTACCTACACTTTTAAAATTATATAAAGGGCTGGGTGTTGTGGCTCATGCCTGTAATCCCAGCACTTTGGGAAGCTGAAGTGAGTGGATTGCTTGAGCCCTGGAGTTTGTGACCAGCCGGAACAACATGGCAAAACCCCATCTCTACTAAGAAAATACAAAAATTAGCCAGGCGTGGTGGCACATGCCTGTAGCCCCAGCTACTCAGGAGGATAAGGTGGGAAGATCGCTTGAACCCAGGAGATGGAGGTTGCAGTGAGCCAAGATCGTGCCATTGCGCTCCAGCCTGGGCAACAGAACAAGACTCTGTCTCAAAAAAATATATGAAATTATATAAAAATATTTAATTATCCAAATATGTTTGCCTACTTTAATATAAATATATGAAACATATACTTATGTTATATGGAAATATATTTAATATATATTAAATATATATTTAATATGGTAAGAGGTATTTAATAAATATATTTAAGGTAAATTAGGTAAACACACATACATGTAATATGTGCTAAAACCATTATGTTACTAAGTGCTTTAGGAGTTTAAAGGACAGAAGAGATTAATGTGATACAGGCTATAAGGATCAGAGAAAGGTTCTTTAAAGAGACAGTTCTTATGGAGGTCTTACATACAGAACAGGTCCAGCATAAGGCAGTATTCTGTTCTAAGGACCACTAAGGATAGTAAAGAAGCTGGTGTGGCTACAGAAGAATGTTTGTGAACTAGAGAATGACAGACATTTGCATCTTCCTTATTTTCCATATGTAGAGCACAACGCCTTACAAATAACAAGCTCTCAATAACAATGGCTGACTGACGGAAAAATAAGTCAGACTGGATCTTATCTTGTAGTCCCAGATTTAAAAGTTTTTCAGAGAGGAATGCTTTGATGAAAATGGCATTTTATAAAGATTGATCTGGCAGCAGTAAAGTCTCCCAAAGAGGCTACTCAAAAAACCACTGCAATACATTGTTGAGTTTTCTCTCATTCATTTCCCTTAATTTATACAAGTTATATAATTTAATTAATTTTGTGAATATCTTAGAAATAATCATTGCTTCTAATATGGATGAGTCCTTTACACTGTTCCAACTCAACAAAAACTAATCATGCTAGGAAAAAAAATATATTGGAAGCATTGTAATGTAATGTACTTCTGGGAGATAAATTCTTAACAGTTCTAGGTAGAATCTAATAGCATAAAAGGCACTGCAAAATAAGCTATCCTTGTCTATGGAATGAGAACCATTTCTTCATAAGACTCATTGCTTTTAGATACCTGAGAGTGCTTCTCCTCGTTGTAACACTTCTTCGATATTGGCCACCATGATCCTCTGCACATCTTGCAATTCAGTGTTGATGGAGCCTAGGTTTCTTCGAGCACAACTGTCAATGTAGAGCTTCTTGGTTTTCTGAATGAAAGTATCTAGAATGATGAAGAAAACTGACCATTTCTTTCATGGCCATCAAAGTACTGAGGTAGGAAATTAAAAGTTCTGAGTTGGCCAGGCACGGTGGCTCACACCTGTAATCCCAGCACTTTGGGAGGCCAAGGCAGGTGAATCATGAGGTCAGGAAATCGAGACCATCCTGGCTAACACAGTGAAACCCCGTCTCTACTAAAAATATAAAAAGTTAGCCAGGCGTGGCGGCACACGCCTATAATCCCAGCTACTCAGGAGGCTGAGCCAGGAGAATCACTTGAACTTGGGAGGCAGAGGTTGCACTGAGCTGAGATCACACCACCACACTTTAGCCTGGGTGACAGAGCAAGACTCTGTCTCAAAAACAAAAACAAAAAAACCAAAACAGTTCTGTCTTTATTCCTGGATTTGCCACTGTCCATGGTTAACCAAACTCTTGGTTGAATATCAAAATCTAGGCTTTGATTATTTCATTTGTAAGATGTAAAGGTATAATTAGACGACCATTCAGGAGAAATGTCCTTTGAATACCTTTAAATTAGAAGTATTTGCTATCTAAGGCTGCTATCAGAATCCTTAGAGAAATTAAGACCCACTATAGTAAGCCTTTCCTGAAAACAGAAATTTTCAAACAGTATTCTGAGGACCCTTAGGCTAAGTGTTACTTACCTCTACACATTCCTTAAAAGGATGCTGGTAACACTCTAGCATTATTACAGCCTAACATGGCAAAAGGGCTCATGATCATTAAAAAGCTGAGAAACTTTACCTTATTTTCTCTAATATACATTCCCAGTTTCATTCCATTCTTAAACCTCAGGTAAAGCAAGTATGTAATAGGGAGTTTTCCAAAATACCAATATAAAACTGAACTGAAGTCTCGGCCAGGTACTGTGTCTCACACGTATAAATCCCAGCATTTTGGGAGGCCAAGATGGGTGGATCACTTGAGGCCAGGAATTCGAGACCAGCCTGGCCAACAAGGCAAAACTCCCATCTCTACCAAAATTACCGAAATTAGCTAGCTGGTCATGGCAGCGTGCACCTCTAGTCCCAGCTATTCAGGAGGCTGAGGCACAAGAATCACTTGAACCTAGGAGGCAGAGGTTGCAGTTAGCCAAAATCATGCCACTGCACCCCAGCCTGGGCAATAGAGCGAGACTCTGTCTCTAAGTAAATAAATAAATAAATAAATAAAAACTGAAGTCTCATCCATCTTTTGCTCATATCAGTATTTCTCAAAACTATAGGAAGAACGACTTATTATTAAAGATATTTTCAACATTTGGCAAAAATCTTAATTTAAGTGTGCTGTACCCCTTTCATTTGCCTCTTTAGATCTCCTCTCTGCCCTCCTGCACCTTGCTTTCTGCACTGGGAAGCTGACTTGGATGAAGCGCCTCAATAGACTCCTTGCTCTGTGCCAGTTAGGTTCAGGCAATGAAGAAGCCCCAACAGTAGGGAAGAAGGAGAACAGACAGTGAGTGATGTCCGGGTATTTATTCCCCTGGCTTCTTTCAGAGAAGGAAATAACCTTCTTCTGGAAGTATCCCTCTACCAAAAGTTACGCTCCTCTCAAGTTGGCCTTCTCTAGAAATTTTCTCCTTTTCAGTTTCAGAAACTGCTCCTCCCCCTTATACATTCAGGCCTAGGGATGGTAACAACCAGTATGCTACTGGTCAGAGGTTACTGTACCTTGTAATTCTCCTACAGCCTAGTCATATCTTTGTATATAATCCCTTAAGCTAATTTGGGTGTGCCATCTGTTTCCTGTATGACCCTGATACATTTGTCTTCTTTTTGAGGGAGGTTTATGGGAGTATTACTGTCTATAAAAATAAAATTTGAAAAACTGGACATTATATAAAGCAGCACTTGGAGAGTATATAGTTATGAAACACTAGAGTGTTTTTCCAAAGCAAGATGACCCATTTATCTAGCAAACTTGAAACACTTCAAAAATTCTAAGCCAGTAAAACCAATTTCTCTTTTAACTAAAAATTGCAGCGATATAGCCTGATCCTACTTGTTCTCACTCCCTGTACTTACTGTACTTAGGACATTTCCTTTGATCCCTTACCATCAGATACTTTACCAGGTCTGATTAGTAATTGGTCTTTCTATAATTCTTGTACAAATACAGACACCTATGCTCACCATTCCTGAATGTAGTAAATATTATACCCCAATACCATGAGTACCAGGTATCTTCTATTTCTTTGTTCTGTTTTGTTTTTTTAATTAGAGGATCTTATTCTACTAAAAGAAACAAAACATCATTCTTTCTGATTTCCCAATTCTGATCTCCATAAAATGAGCCTTATTGTGAGTGTGAGTCTGTGGACTGGGGTAAAGAAGAACTCAGCCATTATATGCCAATCAAGTAGATCTTTAGCAAAGTTCCTGTCACATGTGACTCTAAAGAAGAATCAAACCAAATAACAGAAAGGGCAAAAGGCAACAATTTCTATGGAGGAAAGATCAAAAGACTAGAGAAAATTACTTTTCAGAACAAAGCCTTAGTCACTCAAAAAGACAAAAAGAAGTGGAATGGAAAAGGAAGCAGAAGCTAAAACTTCAGCAAGTAAACATCAGAAAAAATGTATAAATATTATATCAGTGTAACAAATAGCTTCTCCATATTGTTTGCTCCCTTGATAGAGAGAAGTGAGGGGCAAAAACTTACCAAATTCAATAAAGGAATAGGGTCGGGACACAGTGGGCACCTTCTTTCCATGCTGTTCATCAAATTCTGAGTGCAAATCTTCTAGGTAGGCAAAAGCCAACGTCTTAGGGAAGGCAGCTTCACATAAAACCAAATCACACACCCCCTGCTCAATAATGTAGCTGGTGAGACATAAAAAGCAAGACAAAGTTGTCTGTAAAGTAATAGCACTGACAACAGTTTAAAGCAGAATCTCTGTACCATGCAAACTTTTTTAAAAATCTAGCCTAAATACTTTGAGGCTGGCTAAACGAGAGTCAATTTAAAACCGCAAATCCTTGGAATCAGAAAGCAAACATCTTCCCATTATTAGATGTATATTCTTTTTTTTTTGTTTTTGGTTTTTTTTTTTCTTTTTTTTTGAGACGGAGTCTCGCTCTGCCCCCGGGCTGGAGTGCAGTGGCATTATCTCGGCTCACTGCAACCTCCGCCTCCCGGGTTCAAGCCATTCTCCTGCCTCAACCTCCCGAGCAGCTGGGACTACAGGCGTGCGCCACTATGCCCAGCTAATTTTTGTATTTTTAGTAGAGACGGGGTTTCACCACGTTAGTTGGCCAGGATGGTCTTGATATCTTGACCTCGTGATCCGCCCGCCTCAGCCTCCCAAAGTGCTGGGATTACAGGCGTGAGCCACTGCACCCAGCCTATTAGCCGTATATTCTAAAAGGAGTATTTAGACATATTTATTATAATTTTTCATCCATTAGATTCTCTTTTTTTTTTTTTTTTTTTGAGACAGGGCTCTTTCGATCACCCAGATTACCCAGGCTGGAATGCAGTGGCATGATCTCAGTTACAGCAATCTCCGCCTCCCAGGTTCAGGTGATTCTCACGCCTCAGCTTCACAAATAGCTGGGATTACAGACACCCACCACCACACCCAGCTAATTTTTGTATTTTTAGTAGAGATGGGGTTTCACCATTTTGGCCAGGCTGGTCTGAAACTCGTGACCTCAATCGATCCACCCAATTCAGTCTCCCAAAGTGCTGAGATTACAGGTGTAAGCCACTGGACCCAGCCCATTACACAATTCTTCAACTAACATTTTAAACTTTTATTTTAGCTTGAGGATGTATATGTGCGGGTTTGTTACCTGGGTATATTGCATAATGCCGAGGTTTGGGGTACAAACAATCCCGTCACCCAAGTACTAAGCATACTACCTAATAGTTTTTCAACCCCTGCCCCCTCCTTCCCTCCTCTTCTAGTAAGTCCTCAGTATATTTATGTCCATGAGTGCCCAATGTTTAGCTTATAAACTTATAAATGAGAATATACAGTATTTAGTTTTCTGTTCCTGCATTAATTCACTTAGGTAATGACTTCCAGCTCCATCCATGTTGCTGCAAAAGACATGATTTCATTTCTTTTTATGACTGCATAGTATTCCATACTGAATATATACTACGTTTTCTTTATCCAATCCACCACTAACATGTACCTAGTTGATATCTTTGCTATTGTGAATAGTGCTGCAATGAATATGCAAGTGCATGATTTTTGGTAGAAAGATTTGTTTCCTTTTGGATATAAACCCATTAATGGGTTTGCTGGGTCTAATGGTAGTTCTGTTTTAAGTTCTTTGAAAAATCTCTAAACTGCTTTCCACAGTGGCTGAATTTACATTCCCACGAACAGTGTATAAGCAATTCCTTTTTCTCCACAGCCTCATCAGCATCTGTTGTTTTCTGACTTTTTAATAATAGCCCTGTGACTGTTGTGAGATGGTATCTTATTGTGGTTTTGATTTGCATTTCTCCAATAATTAGTGATGTGCATTTTTTCATTAGTTTGCTAGCCTCTAGTATGTTTTGAGAAATATCTGCTCATGTCTTTTGTCCATTTTTTAAATGGGGTTATTTGTTTTTTGCTTAATACTTAAGACTTTTTCCTGAAAAATTCAGAGTTGTGACTCCATCCACCCTTTGATTCTATATGGTAAACTAGCATACACATATTTAAACTCTTTCCAGCCACAAAGGAAAACACTGTAACTGGAAATTTCTGTGGATAGAAATGTAAGGTTAATGACATAATGTTTACTGGGTACAAGACTAATAAGACTCCTTAATTTACAGTCCAGGAGGACTCTGTAATCAACTGGAAACTTTTCAACAATGGAACTGACTTTCTTTTGTGATGATGAGCGCCCATGCACTCTGGAAGGGGCTATATGATTACACATCTGAGAAATTCTTAGAAAAATGTTAGGCTACTAAGTGGTTTTCCAACTTCTTTTTAGCCATAGTATACACACACACACATGCAAATATATATATTTATATATGGAATATGTATATATAACAAGCAAAACTTATATTCAGAAGGCCAATGTATATATCAGATAAAATCAGAGGTTCTTTAGTTTAAGTAGGAGTTTGCAAATATTTTCTCCCATTGTGCAAGTTGTCTCTTCACTGTGTTGTTTCCTTTGCTGTGCAGAAGCTTTTAGTTTAATACAGTCCCATTTGTCTACTTTCTTTTCTGTTGCCTATGCTTTGAAGTCTTTTCCATAAAGTCTTCGCCCAGGTTCATGTCCTGAAGCATTTCCCCTATGTTTTCTTCTAGTAGTTTTATAGTTTAGGGTCTTATGCTTAAGTCTTTAATCTACTTTAAGTTGATTTTTGTATATGATGAGATAGGGATCTAGTTTCATTCATCTGATGAGGAACTAATATCCAGAACATACGAGGAACTCAAACAACTCAACAGCAAAACCAAAAATAATTCAATTAAAAAGTAGGCAAGGAACAGAATTGACATTTCTCAAAAGACATGCGAATGGCCAAGTATATGAAAAAATGCTCAACATCACTAATCTTCAGGTAAATGCAAATAAAAACCACAACGACATATTATTTCACCCCAGTTAAAATGTCTATTAAAAAGACAAAAGTCAATAAATGCTGTTGAGGATGAAGAGAAAAGAGAACTTTTATACACTATGGAAAACAGTATGGAGGTTTCTCAAAAAACTAAAAACAGAACTACCATACAATCTAGCAATCCCACTGCTGGGTATTTCTCCAAAGGAAAAAAACTCATTATGTTAAAAACTTATCTGTACCCCCATGTTTACGGCAGCACCATTCATAATATCTATGGATAGATAATCAAGAGAAATGTCCATCAAGAGAATAATGGATTTTAAAAGTGTTTTTTACACACACACACACACACACACACACACCATGGAATACTATTCAGCCATAAAAAAGAATGAATTTCTATCATTAGCAGCAACATGGATAAATCTGGAGGACATTACGTTAAATAAAATCAGTCATGCACAGAAAGATAAATATGGCATGTTCTCATTCATATGTAGGAGCCAAAAAAAATTTTTGAGCTCATGGAAGTAGAGAGTAGAATTGTGGGTATTAGAAGTAGGGAAAGGTAGAGAGAAGGGGAGGATGGGCAGAGGCAAGTTAATGGATAAAAAATTACAACTGGATAGGAAGAATGAGTTCTGGTGTTCTGCAGAACTGTAGGGTAAATATGGCTAGCTATAACTTACCACGTATTTTCAAAAAGCTACAAGATTTTGAATGTTCACAACACAAAGAAATGATAAATGTTTGAGGTGATGAATATGCTAATTACTCTGATTTGATTACACATTGTATACATGTATTGAAATATCACTCTGTATCCCATAAATATGTATAATTATTACATGTCAACTGAAAATAAAAGGAAAAAATTTAAAACATAAGGAGGAGTTTAGGGGCCCAAAGCATTATATATACTCCCATCCTTGCCCTTTCTATGTGGCTCCTGAGGCATCCTAGGGCTCCATAAAGGATAAAGACTATTATATGATCTCTCAGGTCCCTTAAAATAATATTAATAATACAGCTGTCTTATTCCTTGCTTGGGCACCTGAGTTAACTGGTCTCTTTGCTTTTAGTCTACACCATCTTCTATACCATCAGTTTTATTCCCAGAGACTACAGATGACCATATTACCCTGCTTACAAACTCTAAGGGTTCCCTAATACCTACAAAATAAAATCATACTCCATGGTATTATATTTACAGCCTTTCAAAACAAGTGTAAGCAACATTCTATCATATATTTTAATAAACCAAATGGCGGACTGTTTTCCAACATGCTAGGTTCTTTACATATTTGTGGACTTCTGCTTATATTGTTTTTTCTAACCATTAATGCTCTTTTAAATACCTGGAGAAATCCTGTTCATTTCCATATGTTCAATTCTACCATAATTTTTTCTGTGAAACTTCTTTAAATATACTCCCCTCCTCTGTCCCGTTTCTTCAAACTTACCCCCTACAAATGGGAATTTGTTCCTTCCTTCTCTCTGTTCCCAAAACATTTCATTTAAATCTAATTTACAACATCTTTTCAATGAAGATATTATAGTATACTTGTTTGAGTATATGTCTCTCTCTGTACTAAGAGAACAGTGTTAAAAGGTATGGACATTAAATGCAGGACTCAATATAAGGTCCGGCAAAGAATAAACCCTTAATAGCTCTTGGATGGAAATAAAGGATGATATGAGATTATGAATGTCCTAAAGGAATCAGGCAGAAGAAAATCTCTTCTCAGTTCCATGAGAACTTTCCTAGGTCTTGGTTCTCTAAACCATGGTGAAAATGAGGATACTAGATATTAAGTGAGTGACTATTTTTGGTGTTGAAAATTAGAGTTCTAGAAAATATTTCAGATATTATAAAAATTAATACATCATAAAACATAATGTCCAACATTTTCTTAGCCAATTGCCTAGGGTTTTATTTTTGTTTTGATGTACTTTTTACTTGTCTTTTATAGGTAGAGAATTTTTGTTTTGTTTTTTAAAAGTAAACATAGCAGCTTCCTCCCTGGCCTAAGTTATCTTACTATCTAAGTCCCTAAAATAGCAAAGATTATTTAACTAATCCGTTTTTATTTTCCTCTGATGCTCTTGTACTCTTTTCCTTTTTAATCCTTCCCATTTTGTCAGCTTCAAACTTGGCATGTATTAAACATTAAATACCAATTATTTGTAGATAATTTAAAATCCAATAATGTTCCTTTGAGTCCTCTATCAGCTGTATCGTTTATAACCACTGATTAAGATGCTCTTATCTTTTATAATTTTCTTTTTTCAAAATAATAATAACTAATAATTATTGACCCTTCCCATGTGTGTCAGACAAGATGCTAAGTAATACACACGGATTCCCTCACAATCCTCTCAAACCTCCTATGTTTATTTTCACTACTTTATAGAGGAAACTGAGGCTTAGAGAAGTTATGTGAGCTGCTCAAAGTTACACTGTTAGGAAATGTTTGAGCAAGGGTACTAACCTACACATATCTGGCTCCAAGACAGTCCTAAAGCAAGAAGTTATCTATTATTGCATGATGGGCACAGCATAGACACATGTTAACAGGTTAAATTACTGTAAGCATGCTGAAAAAACCAACAAGATGTCCATTTTGTAGAATTAGAGCCAGAGAAGTTGCTCCTCCCAAAAGACAACATTTTTAAGTAATCTTTACTTTTTAAAAATTATTATTTTTTATCAGGCATTCTGTTACTGTATTTCACACTTAAATGATCATAAAGAAATCAAGATTACACTCACTGAAAAGTCATGGCTCCTGCTTCCAAGGTACATCTGGTAGGGGACTGTTCATTCAACTTTCGAAAGAGTTACTTAGCCTGACTCTGATACTGTTGAAGGTCCCGGCCAGACTGAAAGAAGACATCTTCATTTAAGAATTTTCCACAAAATGCTGTATCAATTAGTGAGAAGCACCATATTATGAGGACACTCTGAATGAGGTCCTTCATTTACAGGTAAGTAAGATTCATTTTAACGGAGGAAAGACAACCTACTTTCAGAGTACAGAGGAAGACCTAACCCCTACTTCTTCAAGATGATCGCATTAGTTATTTGCTAAGAAGCAAAAGCATATACCTCAAATACACTTAAGCACTCCTAACTTTCAATCCAGTCTTCTTTCCACTATTAGGACAGTACTCTCCTCCTAACCCATTTCATTTGCAGTTATTGGCACAGAACTACACAGCATGTGCTATACTCAGGGGAATATCCTAGGAACAAGATTGGTGAATTTCATTTTTATGTTGGAATATCCAGCAGAACCTTCCACAAGTGTTACAGTTTTTAGCATTTAAACAAAACTAAATGTGTGTACTAGTGACTGCAAATTATTATGAACACTTTGACTGCAATTACATAAAAATGACCAAGGGTAGAGACAAAGATTAGCATGTCAGATACCCTTTACTGAAGAAATCTATTTGGTTCCCAAGTTTGGACAGCAAAAGTTTGAATATCGAGGGATATATGCAGACAAAAATGAAAATAATAGCATTCACATGTTATAATTACAGGTAATATTTTCCTGAACAATTTCTAACTGCTTTTACAATTATTTTTGTTAAAAAGAGGGGGCAAATCTACTGGAAAAACCAGCAGTGTCATTTCAAAAGAAGAAAACCATGCATCTCCAATCTACTAGATCCAACAGGGAAAGGAAGTGCCTGAAGAATGGGAAGCAAATAGACATTGTTTTTCCATCCACATGTGGGGTAGGGGAGCTTTCTGCCAGCTACCCAGCTATAGTCTGAATGTTTGCTGGTATCCCCCACAAAATTCATGTTGAAATCCTAACCCCCCAAAGTGATGGTATTAAGAAGTGGGACCTTTGGGAGGTGATTAAGTCATGAGGGTAGAGCCCTCATGAATGCGACTAGTACCTTTATAAAAGAGACCCCAGAGGGCTAGCTTGCTCCATCCACCATGTGAGGAAACAGCCAGAAGGTGACATCTATGAACCAGGAATAGGCCCTCAATAGTCACCAAATCTGCTGGTGCTTGATCTTCACCTTGCAGAACTAGAAAAATCAATTTCTGTCATTTATAAGCCACCCAATTTATGGTATTTTGTATAGTAACCCAGACTAGGACACTGCCATGTGATGCAAAGAAATAATCCTATTTTGGAATTATTTATTTTACATAGAAAGAATAGCCTCCCTTTGGCAGATGTTTAATAACTAAATATTTAAGTAGAAAAGTATTTATGCTAGGGTCTCCCAGGATCTGAGGTCTAACTTTGATAAAGTACAAAGTGATATCTTAAAATTGTAGATAGTGTACTGCTAAGCTGATAATAAAAACAAGGAAGCAACAATAAAATGATAAAGTGGCAGATCAGCAAATGTACAATTACAGGATAATAAGATTCTAAGCTATATGTAAAAATGGTGAACTGGAAATTTCAGTATGAATAAGAAGGTGAATAAGCATGAGGTGAACCAGGGGAGATAGGCAGAGTCCAGTCGAGGTATTAGTTTGTAGATTTATCTTGTTTAATACCACTGTTATGGCAATTATTTGTTTTATTGACATATATTTGTTATATATTTGAGAAATAGTTCTATATTAACATATGTATGTCTGTATGTATGTACAGTTTTATATATTAAACAGTACTTTATAATAATTATATCAAAATTATCATATTAAACAGTACTACTAATATATGGCCAGCCAGTAAGAGTGAATACTGTCATATGCTTTTAGCCAATAAGAACTAGTGCCCAATATTCTATTTTCCTAAATTTGAATGGTACTTACCAATCTTTTTGTTTCCCCAGTGCCATTCTGAAGAGATCTGAACCCACAAGAGTAGATAAAAAGCATGCAAATAATGTTGGGAATGCTACTCAAGTGCCAAGAAAGAATATCAACATAGATCGGTGATTTTCAACCTTGGCTTCACAATAGAATCATTTGGGGAAATCTCAAAAACAAAACTACTTATGCCCAGTCTCCACCACCAAACCAATTAAGTCAGCATCTTGGAGGTGGGGCTGTGACATCGGTATTTTTTACATAACTGCAACCACAGGTGTTAAATATATGTTCTTTGCTAAAGGCAGGTGAGAATCTTAAAAGGACTAGTTGAAGAAACATGGAAAAAATTGCCACTCAGATTGGTACAAATCCTTTGACTTTACAAGAGGCACTGTAAACATTACTGTAACCTGAGAAAAAGACTAACAACTGTATCAACTATAAGAAACTGGCCAAAAGCATTCTGCAATTTCAGGAATTTGCAAACAGCAATGTAAAGACTGCCAATATACAACACTGGGGATGTATTTATAGGGATTATGGTATGCCAACCAACACCTTACCATGCTGGTTCAGTTAGCATTACCATCCTTGAGAACACAATGCTAGCACAATCTTCATGGTTAAATAATAATCTTTCTGGCATATTCATACAATGGAATACTATGCAGCCATTAAAACAATGCTGTATAGAGTTTAATGATATGAGAAAATATTCATTAAACACTGTTAAGTGGAAAAAATTAGGTGAAACAGTCTTACGGTATTACCTATTATTTAATGTTATACACACATACATATGTTTAAGGTCATCCACCAAAATGGATATAATTTGAGTACAGATTATAGTTAATAAACACTGTTAACATTTTGGTCATTTTGCTTTTATGTATTTACTGAACTTTCTATAATACGCACAAATTAATTTTGTAATGTGAAAAATCATTCATTCATTACATATTTGCATCCAGTGTATCGATTATGTGCAGTTCTGATCTGTGAACCTTTAAGAAAGGCAAGATGAGGCTGGGTATGGGGGTTCACGCCTGTAATCCCAGTACTTTGCGAGGCCAAGGCAGGTGGATCATGAGGTCAGGAGTTCAAGATCAGACTGGCCAAGATGCTGAAACCCCATCTCAACTAAAAATACAAAAATTAGCCGGGTAGGGTTGCAGGTGCCTGTAATCCCAGCTACTCGGGAGGCTGAAGCAGGAGAATCGTTTGAACCTGGGGACCGGAGGTTGCAGTAAGCTGAGATCACACCACTGCACTCTAGCCTGGGCAACAGAGTGAGACTCCATCTCAAAAAAAAAAAAAAAAGAAAGGCAAGATGGAATTAGAAAAGATTCTTCAGAAATGATCAAATGAAATTATTAAGTGTTCACTTTCTGCCAGCCACTGTTCTGAACACTTTACATTATTTAACTCGTTTATTCTTCATGAGGTGATTAGAATTATTATGTCAATTTTTTACTTGAGAAGTCAAACTTTTTAGCCTCTAAGCTAAAAAGGGAGGAACTAGGATCTGAATGCAGGCAATCTGGCCCTGGAGCCCCTACTCCTAAGCATTATGCTACCCTAACTCTATAATTGAAATTGTTTCAATAGTAGATCCACCTTTTAGGTGAAGTCTTACTATGTAATTCTAACTCATTGGAAATGCTCAAGAAACCATGGGGCAGCTCTGATCTAGATCTCACAAAACAACCTAACCACTGTTTTACATACTGACCTTTAGTTTGCTTTCAAGATCAAAGTCACAAAGGGCCCACAGTTAGCCAGTCCACCTAAAAATATTTAGATATCCTCATTGTGTTTTCTACTTCATCTAGAAAAGATTAATGAAATTTGTATATGATATAATTATGAGATATCTATTAGTAATCCAATAATGCAGTGGATCAGAATAACTGGAAAAACTGTGAAACAAATTTGAGGTTATCCAACAGCAAATGTAGGATTTGGATCTATATATTACAAAAGATAGAAGGTAGTAACTTGACACACAACCGCAATACTTTTCGTTGCTGTCACCTAAGACTGCTGAACAACTAGTTGTATCAATAACAACTTTTGCCTTCATAGCTCTTATCATTTTCATAGCTGAGTTCAGTGGGTATCAATACCCACTGAACTCAGCTGGTCAAAGACCAGCAGCACCAAGAACCAACCACTTTCCTCTAAAAGCAGTTACAGTAAGTGGATTAATCAACCCTCAGTGATTGGGAGCGTGAGACAATTTAACTGTATAACATGTTATCTATCTGCTTTCTTGGAGCTTCCTGCTGCCTATTTGGTGAGATCTAACACTTTCTTCAAGTCTGGACTGCCCTTCACGATGCCAGAGGAAAATGAAAGAAAATACAATAATTTTGAGGCAGAACAGAAAGGTAGATAAAGAAATTGCAAAAATCCTAAAAGGAGAAACATGCCATAAAAGGAATGAGGAAAAAAGATAAACAGGGTATCAGTTAGGGAGTCCACATTTGAGAAGAAAAGCTCATCTCTCTTCCTGCCCTAAGTCTAAATTTTCAGTTAAACACAGAGGAAACACCCTGTATAAAATACTCTGTCTACATTATTTTGTAAATTTTACTCTCTATTGTATTATCTGAATAACTGTCCATCTTCGGTAATATGGCAGCTTGTACAGGCACCTAGTAAATACCTAAAATATGATATCTATTATCAGTGTAAATACTGAAAGTACACTGATAAGAAAACAAAAACATACAAAAATGAAAATACATTGAATTATCTGGCCTGGACAATTAAGGTGATTAAATATAAAACTGTTTGGTTGAGATATCTGTTTATTAAAAAGTTATTCCTGGACTCCTAAGAGGTAAGACATCATTAAAAGGCCTTAGAACAAGGCAGTAAAGTACAGTGGTTAGGCACTAAAGTACAGTGGTTATTAAGTTTTTGTCTGAGTCGACAAAAACTTAATAAAAACCACTGGGTCTCAATTGGGGTGATTTTGCCCCCATGAGACATTTAGCAATGTCTAGAAATATTTTTGTCGTCATACAAACAAACAAAGTGGGGAAGGGTAGTGGTACTACTGGCATCTAGAGGGTAGAGGCCAGGAATATTGCTGGACCTCCTACACAATATACAGAACAGTCCCCAAGAACAAATAATTATCCATCCCCAAATGTCAACAGTGCCAAGGGGAAAAACCCTGATGAAAAATTTCATTATGCCACTTATTAGCTGTGAATTTAGGCAAGTGATCTATCCTCTCTAAGCCTCAGAGCTTCCTTATCTATTATTGGAGATTTTAATAGTACCTGTTCTAATATGGTAGTATGAGGATTAAATAAAAAAATGAATTTAATAGGCTTAGCACAGTGTTTGGTATGTAGTAGGTGCTTTTATAAATGTTCTGTATACTATTAAAATAGTAAAAGTAAGCCTAAGATTCAGATCTTTACAGACATTAAAAGTTTAGGCAAACTTTATTATTCAAAGTCAAAATTCCTAAAGGAAAATACTATGGCACTACAATCACAAAAATATTTGTGTGTAAAATTTCTTTCCTTGTCAATTAAACAAAGCATCCCATCTTGATAAACCAATATGAAATCAATACCAAATTTATAATTAAAAAACAATAAATCAATTAATTTTTCAATAAAGTATCATGGCAGAGAGTAGGGGCCACTAATATTAAGTAGACTTTCAAGTTCACTTTGTATTCTTTGCTAACACTGGAATTCAATGCAATAATTTAAAAATTGACCAGATTCCATCCCCCCTACCCCCAACACACAGCCACCCACTGTAGGAAAACTATTTTTTAGTCAAACTACACATCCTTCAAGGATATTCCCCTGCACTATCTACTTTGTTCAAATCATATTCCTAGGTTCATTTGAACAATTACACTCCTTCTGCAGGATGGTCCTAGAGTATTCCTGAAAAACATTTCACATTAGCAAATCGGGGTATGTTAAATTGTTCACGGTTTATTTCAAAGATTAGACTTTGTTTTTATGTAATGAATAGAATATATTTCACTTAGCATGACCTGCAACTTTATTATCTGTATCACCACTCTCCTAAAAGTGAAAGTAACTATATTTCCAAATCAAACCTAAAAAGGCATATAACCAAATAGAATAATAGTTCCTTACTACTGGATCCTACTGTTACCTTAGTGTCATACCTTCTGGGAAGACTTTCCTGATTTCCTAAAACCAACTTAGATATATTTTCCATGTTCAAGCACAAAACCCTCTTCCTTCTCCTTAGCAGTTAAACTACATTTTAATAGTTTGTTGGTTATCTGATTTTTCCACTAGACTGTAAGCTCCACAAAGGTAGAGACTGTGTACTCTAACTCCCTGCATTAACACTATGCCTGGCACATTTGATGTGCTCAGTAAAAATTTTTTGCATTAATATATGAATGAAAAGTCCAACAGAAGAAATGTGCAAACTATTTTTTCAATATCTCATCTTTTTTTAAGGCTCAAGGTTTTACTTAGACTGTATGGAAAAGTAAAATAAAATTGATCACTTTAAACAAATTATATAAATTCCATTCTCAGCTTTGTCTTCAGAACCTCCCAAGCTTGCTCCAGAAACTTGTCTTACTTCAGAAATTTCCACTGCGTTTCTAAAACACAAAACAGCTTTCTTTTAAGACATCTGGAATTAGTGCTGTTTTTAATCAATTCAGTATACTTTTGAGCACCTACCAGCATAAAGCAGCTATCGTAAAAGGTATGGATAACAAAGAGATGATTAAGACCCGTCGTTTGCCCGCTAGGAAACTCAAGTTATTGAAAGACAAAGAAAAAAATAAGTTACAATGTATTGCAGGAATGTGGTACGGCGTATTGGAGAAGGTGGGAACTGGGGATAATCCTGAAAGAATGTGATGTACTGAACTTTTAACAGGTGCCACTGTATCTGGACCAATATCTATCGATCTGGACTGCATGCATCAGTATGGCTGTACCAGCTATTAAAATACTGGAACATTTCTTACAGATTAGTAAAAAAGCTATTGCCCTGAGCATCCCCTTCTTGAGCCCCTTCTACCCCAACAACATGCAAACGCTTAAGATTCCTGCTCCCCACAGTTCTGCCAGATTCCATTGTCTTTGGCGGTTTTCCATGTTAGTCATTTTGAAAAGCTTCGCCTCCAGGCATGGCCATTAGCTACCCCCAGGGAATTAGAACGACCCCCGCCTTCCGCCCTGGCGCCTGCCCTCCGGCCACGCCTCCGGTGGGCTGCAGGGCGTAGGCCCTGGTGGGGGTTGGGAAGCAGCGCCCCAGGCAGGTTTACTGACACCATCTGCACTGGTGATTAAACACGAGTTATTTTGAATTACCATCCCTGATTAAACCTCCTCACAGTGCGAGCTGCGTGAAGGCAGGACTTTTCTTTATTCTTGAATTTTCACAGCCCTTAGCTGTGTCCTCCGCACAGTGCATCCAGTCAGAGAAGTGAAAGTGAAGGGTTAGAGGGGAAGGGGGAATGAGCCGGAAAGAACAAGGTGCGCTTTGGAAGTCCCGTGAAAGCCTCTGTTTAAAATAATTACGACTTTGGCCGGGCGCAGTGGCTCACGCCTGTAATCCCTGCACTCCGGAAGGCCGAGGCGGGTGGATCACTTGAGGTCAGGAGTTCGAGACCAGCCTGGCCAAAATGACGAAACCCCGTCTCTACTAAAAATACAAAAATTAACCAGGTGTGGTGGCGGGCGCCTGTAATCCTAGACACTAGGGAGGCTGAGGCAGTAGAATTGCTAGAACCCAGGGGGCGGAGGTTGCTGTGAGACGAGATTGCGCGCCACTGCACCCTAACCTGGGTGACAGAGCAAGACTCCGTCTCAAAAAAAAAAAAAATTATGACTTTAAATAGCCTATTTCAAATATCAAGCCACAGCAAAGCTATCTCTTGCCTTCTAGAGGAAGCTATTTCATGAAACTGTAATACTTCTTCCAACATGTCTGTCTGGTTTCCCTACTTTGTCAGGAAAGCCTAGCAGAGAGCAGGCCCAGCTGGTTCACGCCTTGGGGCTTGGGATGTGTGGGGTGAGTAGGATAATTGGGTGTAGAAAGTAAAAAGTTTCCTCTTCAGAGTTTCCCTTCTTGTTAAAGAATAAATCATAAGTGTTAGAAATAATAGTTTCTTTTAAAGACTAACTTCCTTCAATCCTCCTTGCTTTGTGCTATTAACTCTCTGTTAAGCCCTATCCTATGTAGCTATTAGACATAAAGGAATAAGTACATTCTATGTCCTTGTACTTTAACCAAAATATTTGTGCTGGAGGTGCTCACGGGCATGTCTCAGCTCACAGCCTATGCCCCTTCCTTATTCAGGAATATTATTACTTTTCTAAGTCCTTTCATAAGCAACTTCCTCTTTTCCTTTGTCTTTCCATTGCTTTTACCTATTTAGAAAAGTTTTAAATTATTAGCCAGTCAGGTTTTAGTTTAGATTGTGCAGTCTGGCTCCAGCCAACGGAGACAGGACACAGCAGCAAGGACAAGCTGCGTAAGGGATAAAAATTTCTTCCCTCCATTGTTCAGGTGTGCTCTCGCCATTGTTCCATCTGCGAGGAGCACTCTTTCTGCAGAAAGTAAAATTATCTTGCTGAGAAAACTTTTTGTCTGAATGCTAATTTTTCCTTGCAGTACCGATTAACAAGCATTCTGTTTCTAAATAAACATTTTACATATAAAATTGGGGTAGTTTTGATAGCACCTAAAATATTGTATGGAACTTAATTTTTTTAAAAAACATATTTCTTCTACTACTAATCTCCAAACTCTTTCAGGACAGAAAAACTAGTTAGTTATTCCCAAGGGTCTAGTATCCTGTACCTGGAACCTAGCAAATGCTCAATTACTGTTTATGGACTAAATGACTGAATGAATGGCATGTCTCATGGGTTGAGATGATACTCATTGGTTGTATACAGCACGATTCACAGTTGGTATTGTACTTAGTGAAAACATGTCCAACCCCCATTTCTTTCATTCTTCCAATTAGTTATTCAACAAATATTTATTGTTCAACTACTATGGGCTAGGAATATCAGGCACTGAATTATACAGAGGTTAACAAAAGGAACATGATATATGTTACTGGAAATGGGTCCCTATCCAGACCCCAAGAGAGGGTTCTTGAATCTCCTGCAAGAAAGAACTGGGGGCAAGTCCATACAGTAAAGTGAAAGCAAGTTTACTAGAGAAGTAAAGAAACAAAAGAATGGCTACTCCATAGACAAAGCAGCACCAAGAGTTGATGGTTGGCTATTTTTATGATTATTTCTTGATTATATGCCAAATAAGTGGTGGATTATTCATGAGTTTTCTGGGAAAGAGGCAGGGATTTCCCTCTTTTAGACCGTATAGGGTAACTTCCTGACATTGCCATGGCATTTGTAAACTGTCATGGTGCTGGTGGGAGTGTCTTTTAGCATGCTGATGCATTGTAATTAGCATACAGTGAGCAGTGAGGACAGCCAGAGGTCATATTCATCGCCATATTGGTTTTGGTGGGTTTTGGCCAGCTTCTTTACCACATCCTGTTTTATCATCAGGGTCTTTATGACCTTTATCTTGTGATACCAGTCCTGCCAACCTCTCATCTCATCCTGTGACTGAGAATGCCTAACCTCCTAGGAATGCAGCCCCATAGATCTCAGCCTCATTTTACCCAGCCCGTATTCAAGATGGAGTCATTCTGATTTGAATGCCTCTGACAGTTACATTCTAGCTGGCTCTGTCTCTCTTCCATTATCCCCAACCCACCTCCACCCGCATTGCATTCCCACCTCTCAATCTGCAACAATAAAAGCTTTGGATGGTGACTTTTTTAACTCTGAATATACAACGAGATTGTCCTTCAGACCGGCAGCTTTATTATCTTTCTGTGGAGTCTAAATGGATTTGTTTTTTCCTAGCGGCCATTATAGTTTCCTCATCTTACCTGCTGTCTCAACAGCTTTGCTGTAGCTTGGCTTCCTCCTCTAATAGTCCTCCAGCTCCTGCTCCTTTTATTGGACCATCTCTCCTCTACTCATAGTGGTGGTTCAGTGTTTCAGCAATTAGTGAAAATTTCCGTCTCAGACTGACTTTTCTTTACAATCTTAAGGATCTTTCAGTTTTCATTATTAATATTAGTAGTATTTTATTTTATTTTCAATTTTTTATGATGGGGTCTCCCTGTCACCCAGGCTGGAGTACAGTGGCATAATCTTGGCCCACTGCAGCCTTGACTTCCTGGGCTCAAGTGATCCTCCCACCTCAGCCTCCCCAGTAGCTGGGACCACAGGCACACATCCCCACATCCGGCTAATTTTTGTTTTTTTTTTTTTTTTTTTTTTTTGTAGAGATGAGGTCTCACCATGTTGCCCAGGCTGATCTTGAACTCCTGGGCTCAAGTGATCCACCTGCCTCAGCCTCCCAAAGTGCTGGGATTACAGGTGTGACCCACCATACCTGGCCAGATCTTTCAGTTATTACTAGTCTTTGCTATCGTTCCTGGGAAAAAAGTTTAGGCAAATTCATTCAGCTCTACCTGCCAAAGAATTAAATCTAATACGACATTAAAGGTGACAAAGTGGGTCATAATCTAACTTGCTGTTGTTGTTTGCTTGTGGTGAATTCTCTAGCTTCCAAAGATGTAATTTTTGTTAATCAGTCCCTCTTGGTTCTTCCCCTAATCCCTGGCCCATCCTCTTACTCCATCACTACCTGATATGAGACCTTTTTCTTTGTTTTTTATTAGGGAGCATGATCCTCTGGTTCTGGAAATCTGAAGTCAGGCCCCAAACTCTGTGTGCCATTTCTCTACGGAGGTCTACCTCCAAGCTCTCGGGCAGATAATAACCAAAATTTCAAAGTTCTAGGAGGAATTTCCTTTTTAAAAAATCTGCTATTTATGCAGACTGTCACTTCTTGAGAATATTACAATGAAAGCTTTGAGTTGAAGTTTTAGGAGCTCAAGACATAATCCTTTCTTCCTCTTTTAAGTTCAGATCAAATTGGGAAATAGAGAAGTCAAACAGAGAATTAATAATGCTACAGTACTTTTATTACTGATCAAACTAAGTGGAGAACTTGCATTTAGATCTGTGATGATGCAAAGGTCCTGCTAATATTTCACTCCAGAATTAGGCAGACTTCACTCCAGAAACAGCAGGCCTTTCTCAAATGGGCAGGCTGACTGGCTTCTTACCACATGGCATAGGGCAAACCAGAATGACCTACTCTGAGGCTGGCATCTTAAGTGTTCAGCTATCACCACAAGACTTCTCAGATTCTCAGTGAAGAAGGGAACAGGGTGCAGTCCAACACAAAGGAGGACCCACCTCCTACCAGAGAGCAGAAATGATCTTAGTACCTTTGTGTCCCTTGGCCAGCTCCAGTGGCGGTGGTGATCTCAGAGACTTCCAGCTGTTCTCTCTCTCCCAGCCTTTAGCTGGGAAAAGGGTTTGTCCCTGTAATACACTTTTTGTGGAGGACCTCACTTATGTGAATTTCATGTGACACAGTGCCTTTCTTATGAATTTCCTTATTCTGACTGTGTTTGTGTACTCCAGTTTATTGCAGTTGCCACACCAAAAGAAATACTAGATTTTTATATTACTTGTGGGATAGGATGTGCATTTTTATTGGTATTTATCATTTTATTTGCCACAAATGACAAAACCTTATCTAAAATTGCTACACTTGTGTTTGGATTTTGGACAGGTTTTGTGTGGCTGCTTAATTTCGTTCAATATGCTCTATGAATTGCTGCTGAGAAAACTTGAAAATACTGATACGAGATAAGCCTTAATTGAACTTCTAAAATACTTCAAGACTTTGGAAAATAGAAGTAATGGATGATGGGTGATGTATCAAAATTTGCATAATTTTTAAAGGACATTTTTTGAGCAGTGATGATCAAGTCTAGTCTGAACACAAGCTATCATTTACCACAAATTACACCAGAGGCATTTTGTTTTAAATTTGTCTTTGTTGTAACGTTGTAACTGTTGAAATTAGTCTCAGACAGAATTTTCTGGAGGTTTTGTTTTTTATGGAGGGATACTCGTGGGGACACAAACTTTTCCTTAAAACACATGGATCAAATCAGAAATGAAAGAGGGGACATTATTACCAACCTGTGGAATACAAAATATTATAGAGGAATATTATGAGAAGTTATATGCCAGGAAATTAGATAAACTAGATGAAATGAACAAATTTCAAGAAAGAAACAAGCTACCCAAACTGATTCAGGAAGCAATAGAAAATCTGAATACCCTATAACAAGTAAAGCAATTCAATTAGTAGTAATAATTTTTTTTAATGTTCCACAAAGAGGAGCCCAGGTTCAGATAGCTTAATCTGTGACTTCTGCCGAATATGTTTATAGGACACAGACTCTTCACCCCCTGAAAAAAAGGAGAAGAAGAACACTTCCCATCTCATTCTATGAGGCCAGTATTACCCTGGCACCAAAACTAAGACTTCAAGAAAGGAAAATGACAGGCCAGTATACCTTTATAAATATAGATGTAAAAGTTCTCAACAAACTTTATTTGGCAACATATGAAAAAGATTATACATCATGACAAAGTGGCATTTATCCTAGGAATGCAAGGTTGATTCAACATATGAAACAATAAATGTAATGCACCATATTACAAAGGACAAAGGACAAACTCCATATGATCATCTCAATAAATGCAGAAAAAGCATTTGAGAAAATCTAGCATCTTATCTTGTTAAAAAACAATGAACAAACTAGGAAAGAAGAGAACTTCTTCAACCTGATAAAGGGTATCTATGAAAAACCCACAGCTAACCCCATACTTAAAGGGGAAAGACTTGAAAACATTTCCTGTAAGATGAGGAATAAAACAAGTATGTCCGCTCTCACCACTTCTAGTCAACATAGTACCTGATGTTCTAATGAGGGCAATTAGGCAAGAAAAAGAAATAAAAGCACCCCAGCTGGAAAGGAATAAGTAACACTATTTCTATTTGTAGATGACTTTATCTTGTATATAGAAAATTCTAAGGAATCCACACAAAAATTTAAGAATTAATAAATGAATTCACCAAATTGTAGGGTACAAGATCAATATACAAAAAAATTTGCAGTTCTATGCACCAGAAATGAACAATCCAAAAATGAAACTGAGAGCACAATTCCATTTACAAGGCATCAAAATAAAGCTGCACATCTACACCATCTGATCTTCAACAAAGCTGACAAAAACAAGCAATGGGGAAAGGACTCCCTATTCAATAAATTGTGCTGGGATAACTGGCTAGCCATATACAGAAGAATGAAACTAGACCCTTACCTTTCACTGTATACAAAAATTAACTCAAGATAATTAAAAATTTAAATGTAAGACCTCAAAATATAAAAATCTTAGAAGAAAACCTAGAAGATACTTTTACCAACATCAGCCTTGGCAAAAAGTTTTTGGATAAGTGCCCAAAAGCAATTGCAACAAAACCAAAAATTGACAAATGGGACCTAATTAAACTAAAGACCTTCTGCATAGCAAAATAAACAATCAACAGGGTAAATAGATAACCTACCGGATGGGAGAAAATATTCACTAACTATGCATCCAACAAAGATCTAATACCTAGAATTTATAAGGAACTTCAGTCAATAAGCAAAAACAAATAATCCCCTTAAAAATGGTCAAGGGATATGAACAGACACTTTTTTTAAAGAAGACATATAAGTGACCAACCAACATATGAAAAAATGCTCCACAACACTAATTATCAGAGAAATACAAATCAAAACTACAATGAGATATTACCCCACACCAGTTAGAATGGCTATTATTAAAAAGTCAAAAATGGCTATCATTAAAAAGTCAAAAAACAACAGATGCTGATGTGGCTGCAGGGAATAGGGAACACTTACACACTGTTTTTCGGAATGTAAATTTGTTCAGCCGCTGTGAAAAGTAGTTTGGAGATTTCTCAAATAACTTAAAGCGACCATTTGATGCAGCAATCCCATGATTGGGTACATATCCAGAGGACAATAAATCATTATACCAAAAGACACATGCATTTATATGTTCATCACTGCACAATTTACAATAGCAAATACATGGAATCAACCTAGGTGCACATCAAGGGTGAATTGGATAAAGAAAATGTGGTACATATACACTGTAGAATACTATACAGCCATAAAAAGTGAAATAATGTCCTTTACAGCAACATGGATAGAGTTGGAGGCCAAAATCCTTAGCAAATTAATGCAGAAAAAGACAACCAAATACCACATGTTCTCATTTATAAGTGGGAGCTAACCACTGAGCACACATGAACATAAACATAGGAACAATAGACACTGTGGACTACTAGAGAGGGGACCGAGGGAGGGAACATGGGTAGAAAAACCTCCATGGATATGTAACAAAGCTGTACATGTACCCTCTGTATCTAAAAGTTGAAATTTAAAATGAGTAAATAAATGAAATGTTTAGGAATAAATCTAACAAAAAAAGTGTACACTAAAAACCACAAAATGTTGTTGAAGGAAATATTAAAAGACCTAAATAAATGGAAAGGAATTCCATGTTCATGTTCCACATTCATGGATTGGAAGACTTAACAGAGTTAAGATGGCAGTAATCCCAAATTGATCTATAGATTTGTTGCAATCTCTATCAAAATCCCAGCAGGATCTCTCTCTCTCTCTCTTTTTTTTTTTTTTTTTTTTTGTGTGTGGCAGAAATTGACAAGCTGCTCTTAAAATTCAGGTAGAAAAGCAAAGGACCCAGAATAATTAAAACCATCTTTAAAAGAAGGAAAAAGGTGTGAGAAGGACTCATACTTCTGATTTCAAAACTTAATAACAAGCAACATAATTAAGACAGTGTGGTATTGAAATCAGAATAGACATACAGGTCAATGGAATATAATTGAGAGTCCCAAAAATAAACACATGCATATATGGTCTAATTAAAAAAAAATAAGGAAAGGAGAGTATTTTCAACAAATGATGTGTGACAACTGGATATTCACATGCAAAATGATGATGGGCTCTTACATCACACTATATATAAAAATTATCTCAAAATGGATTGTCAACCTATGAGCTAAAACTATATATCTCTTTGAATGAAACACAGGAATAAATCTTTGTGACCTTTGATCCAGCATGGTTTCCTAGCTATGACACCAAAAGTACAAGCTGCAAAAGAAAAAAATAGATAAAAAGACTTCACCAAAATTTAAAACTTATTTTCTTCAAAAAGCACAAGAAAGTGAGAGGACAACCCTCAAAGTGGGACAAAATACTTGCAAATCATATCAGGTAAAGGAATTGCATCCAGAACACACACACACACACACACACACACACACACACACACACACACACACACACCCCTTACAACTCAGTAATAAAATAAGAACAAACAACCCAATTGAAAAATAGGCAACAAATTTGAAAAAATGTTTCTCCAATGAAGATATACAAATAAATACTAAATACAAGACAAGATGCTCAACATTATTAGCTAGGGAAATACAAACCAAAACCACAGTGAAATGTCACTTCACACCCACTAGGATGGCTATAATAAAGAAGACACATACTAACAAATGGTTAGAATGTGGAAAAACATTGAGTTACTGGTGGGAATGTAAACATTATGAGGCCATTTGTAAAAACACTTTGGCAGTTTAAAAAAAGTTAAACAGAGTTGCCATATAACCCAGCAACTCCACTCGTAGGTATGTACCCAAAGTAATTGAAAACATATGTCCAAAGAAAAACATGTACATGAGCGTTCACAGCAGCATTATTCACTATAGCAAAAAACAAACAAACAAAAACCACCTAAGTGTCTATCAACTGACAAATAGGTACATTAAATGTGATATTTCCTTACAATATAATATATTTTCAGCAATAAAAAAGTGAGTGAAATATTGGCATTCGCTGTAAAGTGGATGGACCTCAAAACACCATACTAACTGAAAGAAGCCAGACATAATGTGCTACATGTTAGATGATTCCATCTATATGAAGTGTCCAGAATAGGTAAATTTATAAATATAAAAAGATTAGTGGTTGCCAGGGGCTGGGGAGAGGAACAGCCGGTGGTAGAAATGGAAAGGGTAAGTGAGTATGGAGTTTGTTTTGAGGGTGATAAAAATGTTCTGAAATGACACAGTGATAATGATTGCACAATTCTGTGACTATACTAAAAAAACAGATGAAAGAATAAAAAACAAGCTAAATACATGGAGAACTGGCTGGGGACGGTGACTCACACCTGTAATCCCAGCACTTTGGGTGGCCAAGGCAGGCGGATCACTTGAGGTCAGGAGTTTGAGACCAGCCCGGCCAACATGGTGAAACCCTGTCTCTACTAAAAATACAAAAATTAGCTGGGGGTGGTGGCGGGTGCCTGTAATCCAAGCTACTCAGGAAGCTGAGGCACGAGAATCGCTTGAACCCAGGAGGTGGAGGTTTGCAGTGGGCCGAGATGGTGCCACTTCACTCCAACCTGGGTAACAGAGTCAGACCCTGTCTCAAAATAAACAAATAAATAAACAAAATAAATGGAGAGCTCTTCCATATTCATGGATAAGAAGACAGTATTGTCAAGATGTCGATTCTTCCCAACTTGACCCATATATTCAATGCAATTCTAATAAAAATCCCAGCAAATTATTTTGTGGATTTTTATAAACTGATTCTAAAGTTTATATGCAGAAGCAAATACTCAGAATAGCCAACACAATATTGAAGTAGAAGAACAAAGTTGGAGGACACTATGTGAGTAAACAAGACAGTGTGACATTGGCAAAATAATAGAAATATAGATCAATGGAACAGAGTAGAGAGTGCAGAAAGAGACCCACATAAATATAGCCAAAAGACATTTTGCAAAAGAAAATATACAAATGACAAATAAGCATATGAAAAAATACTCAACATCATACATCATTGGGGAATTGCAAATAAAAACGATAATAATGTACTACCACATACCTATTAGAAAGGCCAACACCAACACCAAATGCTGGCAAGAATGCAGAGCAGTCGAAATTCTTATTCATTATTGGTGGGGAATGCAAAAATGGTAGCCACACTGGAAGACGAGTATTTCTTACAAACTAAACATACTCTTACTTTACCATCCAGCAACTGGGGCTTCCTGGTATTTCCCCAGAGTTGAAATTTTACATTCACACAAAACCCTGCACATGAATGTTTATGGCAGCTTTTTTCATGATGACCAAAATTTGGAAGCAACCAAAATGTCTTTTAGCAGGTAAATGGAAAAACAAACTGTGACACATCTACACAATGGAATATTATAAAGTGCTAATAAGAAATGAGCTATCAAGCCATGCAAAGACATGGAGGTACCTTAAATGCATATTACTAAGTGAAAGAAGCCCATCTGAAAAGGTTGCATATGGTATCATTCTGACTATATGACACTATGGAATTGGCAAAACAGTGGAAACAGTAAAAGGATCAGTGGTTGTCAGGGGTTGGAAAGAGGGAGGGATGAACATGTGGCACATGGAGGATTTACATGGCCATGAAACTACTCTATTTGTTACTATAACTGTGGATACATACCATTTTATATTTGTCAAAATCCATAGAATGTACAACACCAAGAGTGAACCTGAATGTAAACTATGGACCTTGGATGATAATGTGTGTCAATGTAGGTTCATTGATTGTATAAATGTACACTCTGGATTTTGATGCGGGGGAGGCTGTTTGTGTCTCGGGGGCAAGATGTATGTATGAAACCTCTATCATCTGTTCAATTTTGTCCTGAACCTAAAACTGCTTTAAAAAAATAAAGTCTACTTTTTAAAATGTCAATTTCAAAGTCTTAGAGCTAACCAAACAAAATGATATTATCAGAACCCAGTGCAATATTTGGAACAATTCAGATTCATAGTTGCTTCCAAACTCATAGCAGAAACTCAAGTAGACAAAGAAGAGGGAACCTTTTAGTGTTAGCCTATCTGGTTTGACAAACATTATATGCCAATTATCTGAGCCTGTGACCTATAACCGTAAAGTCAATTGAGATAAATGTTTACTGTGAAGAGGTTAATCATACTGTGTTTAATATGTGGCAAATGGGGGTTGGAAATCACTTAATAACAGGTCTCCTCTCTCAGAGAGCGACACTTGAAATCTTGGTACTTCATTACTAAATTTAGAAAGTTACAGGTTGGCAGGTTCAGTTTCCAGTTACTATGGTTTAGTGAAATTATTGGTTTTGATTTCCCACCAGGATAATCAAAATCCATTAATTTCCATTTATCTTTTGAATCCCTCTTTTTTTTCTGGCACTAAAGGGCTGATTTGAGTGTGGGTTCTGTTTATTATATAATTTTCACACTGTCTTCTTTTTATTTATTTATTTATTTTATTTTATTTTTTTAGACGGAATCTCGCTCTGTCACCCAGGCTGGAGTGCAGTGGCGAGATCTCAGCTCACTGCAACCTACACCTCCCAGGTTCACTCCATTCTCCTGCCTCAGCCTCCCGAGTAGCTAGGACTACAGGCGCCCGCCACCACGCCCAGCTAATTTTTTGTATTTTTAGTAGAGACGGGGTTTCACTGTGTTAGCCAGGATGGTCTCGATCTCCTGACCTCGTGATCCGCCCGCCTCGGCCTCCCAATGTGCTGGGATTACAGGCGTGAGCCACCGCGCCCAGCAATTTTCACACTCTTTTCTATGTGGACATTTCAAGCCCATACCACCGTGACTCATGCCACTGTCTAGTGCTGTAGAACTGCTTAGACCTATCAAACCTGCCTCTCAATCAAGAGTTCTTCCTTAGTTTCAACTTAAGAATTGTCTTCAGCAAATATCTAAATTGAAACTGCTTCTAATATTTCTGAGCGATAATGGTCTTTTGTTCTTCTTGGGGTTGGCTGAACTTCTGGCATCTGAGAGGTCGATGCCTTTTATCAGTTTTAGAAAATTCTTGAGCTTTGTCTCCTGAAATACTGCTCCTCTCTTTCCTCTCTCTTTCAGGGACTGCAATTAATCACTTATTAGACATTTTTACTGTGTTTTTGAGGTCTGTTATGTTCTTTTCCTTTTTCTCTGTCCTTCAGTTTGGATATTTTCTACAGACCTGTCTTCCAGTTCATGAATCCTGACTTCTGCTGTACTCAGACTGTTGTTAAGCACACCCAAAGGGTTCTTATTTCCAGTTATTGTAATTTTTTTTTTTTTTGAGACAGAGTCTCTGTCTGTTGCCCATGCTGGAATGCAGTGGTGTGATCTTGGCTCACTGCAACATCTGCCTCCCAGATTTAAGCAATTATCCTGCTTCAGCTTCCTGAGTAGCTGGGATTACAGGTGCATGCCACCACGCCCAGCTAATTTTTGTATTTTTAGTAGAGACGGGGATTTCACCATGTTGGTCAGGCTGGTCTCGAACTCCTGAGCTCATGATCCACCTGCCTCAGTCTCCCAAAGTGCTGGGAATACAGGCGTGAGCCACCGTGTCCGGCCTGTAATTTTTAGTTTTAGAATATTTGTCCAATAATTGTTTTTACAGATTCCAATTCTATACTGAAGTAAATTACCCATCTTTCATCTTTGTCCACCTTTTCTTCTATTTTCTTAAAACTATTAATTATAGTTATTTAAAGTCCTGGCCAATTCTAATATCTAGTTCTGTTTCTATTAACGTTTTTCTCTTAGTGTTTAGTCATTTGGATTTGATCTTTTGCATGGCTCATAATTATTTTGTATTGGATCCCAGATATTGTATAAGACAAAATTGTAGACTCTGGATAATGTTACCTACCTCCATAGAGTTTCTACTTTCTACTCCTGGAAAGTAGAAAGAATAGTGGCAGATAACTTTGATCCTGAAAAGGCTTGGTTTCAAGCTTTGTTAGATCTATTTTATTTCAGTATTATATTGCTCTTACTCCAAGGATGTGCTGAGATCTCAACTGAAAACCCTGGGTATCTAGGTACCTTATCAAGGCTTGAAGTCCAACTTCTGTTGGATGCTGAAATCTTCACTTACCTCATTAGACCCTAAACTGCTGTTTTCTGATTTTTTTTTTTTTTTTGGCATCTTTCTTTGTGCATGCTGAGTGTAGGAACTTAGATCACTATCATGATGGCAATTTGCATAGATTGTTGAGCTCCTCTGCAATTCTCCCCTCTTGGAGTTTGCCCTCAATCAGAGGCACTTTGGTAGCCCTCAACTTTGGCCTTTGATATGATTTGGCTCTGTGTTCCCACCCAAATCTCATGCTGTATTGTAATTCCCACTGCTGGGGGAGAGACCTGGTATTAGGTGATTGGATCATGGGGGCAGATTTCCCCCAGGCTGTTCTCATGATAGTGAGAGTGAGTTCTCATGAGACCTGATGGTTTCAAAGTGTGTGGCACTTCCCGCCTCACTCTCTTTTTCCTGCTCCACCATGGTAAAACGTGCTTGCTTCCCCTTCACCTTCCACCATGCTTGTAAGTTTCCTGAGGCCTCCCAGTCATTCTTCCTGTTAAACCTGAAGAACTGTGAGTCAATTAAATCTCTTTTCTTCATAAATTATCCAATCTCAGGTAGTTCTTTCTGGCAGTGTGAGAATAGACTAATACAGCCTCTTATTCTTCAGCCCAGAAAAACTGCTGTATTTTTTTTTTTTTGGCTTTTATTGTCTTGCACTTAGTTTTGAGCATTCCCTCAAGAGAAATATTCCAGGGTAAACACTGAGTTCACCTCATGTGCCTTCTCTCCAGGATCATAGCTTTAAGTTCCGCCTGGTTTAGTTACTCTTCAATGCCTCCAAAGAATTATAGATATAGATATATAGATACTCCTAGGCTTATGATGGGGTTATATCCCAATAAACCTAAGTTGAAAATATTGTAAGTCAAAAATGCACTTAATACACCTAACCTACCAAACATCATAGCTTAACTTACCTTACCTTAAATGTGCTCAGAACACTTATGTTAGCCTACAGTTGGGCAAAATTATCTAATGCAAAGCCTATTTTACAATAAAGTGTTGATTATGTAATTTGTTGAATACTGTAGTGAAAATGAAAAATAGAGTGGTTGTATGGGTATTCAAAGTACAGTTTCTACTGAATGTTTATCACTTTCACACCATCATAAAGGCAAAAAAATTTAAGTCAAACTATTGTAAGTTGGGGACCATCCGTATATGTATAAAGTCATGTATTACTTAATGACAGGGATACATTCTGAGTAATGCATCATCAGACAATTTTACTGTTGTATGAACATTCAGAATATATTTACACAAACCTAGATGGTATAGCCTACTACACACCCAGCCTATTGCTCCTTGGCTGGAAACCTGTACAGCATGGTACTGTACTAAATATTGTGGGCAATTTTAACCTAATGGTAGGTATTTGTACATCTAAACTTGGAAAATGTATAGCAAGTCATATGCAACTGCATATGACCACCAGTTGCATATGCAGTCTGTCTTTGATCAAAACTTGGTTATGCATTGCATGACTATATATATATATACACACACACATATAAATATATACAAATATGTAAATATTTATGCATATTTTATCCCACTTTCCCCCTGAAGTGGGAGGTTTAGTTTGATATATACTACTACATCTTGGCTGGAGTTGGAGGTCTCAGTACTTCATAGCAGTAATGAATGCTGTGGGTTTGCAGTAACTTCACTGAACTGTTTATCTGCCACAACTACAAAAGATGGCTTATTCTCTTTAAGTTATGGAGCCCTATTCCTTTTAATTTGTGTGTTAGATAAAATCTACCACGTGTCTATGGGCAAAACCAAAGTCTGAATCTCTAAAATCTAAGGCCATAATCAAAACTAGGTAATTTATCAATCTAGAGTCATATAATGGGGATTCCTCTTCAGCCTGCATTTGGATAAACCGCATGAACCCAAGAGTTTAGCCCTACCACTCAAGGCCATTGTTTTTAGTTGTGCAGGCTTCAGTGGGTAAGGTGCTATTTATGTAGGTTAAATGGCGGTTGAGTGCTCTGCAATGTGGTGGCCTTGATACCACAGGTTTTTTTTTTTTTTTTTTCTTAGATCTGAATTCGTTTGTTGCGGGGAGAAAAACTAGGGGCAACTGATCTGGCATTGCCTACCTATGCCTGACATGAAATTCGCCAGGACCTCTGGGAGAATACCTCTAGTTAAGCAATAGGATTAGAAGCCTGATTGCAGAAAATTAGGAGGTAAAGAATGATTGGGAAGTCAGAAAGTGTGGACATCAAATGAACACAATATATTAAACAAATTGGATGTGAAGGGAAGTGAGAGATATGGTGATAGGTAGAGAGGGAAGGACTTTGTTTTAAGAGTGAGGAGAGTTAAGCATGTTTGTGGGCTGGGGATGAAGCTAATGGAAAAGGAGAGGAAGAAGATACAAAACAATAAGAGATAATTAAGAATTTTCTGGTAGAGGTTGTTAGACAAAGAGCCCAGATAAGACAGATTGGACAAAGATAAGGAGAGGTAAAGATGAAGCTTAAGTTAGGAGGCTTAAAAGAAAGAATGGGCCAGGTGAGTGGCTCACGCCTGTAATCCTAGCAATTTGGGAGGCTGAGACGGGAGGATCACTTGAGGTCAGCAGTTCGAGACCAGCCTGGCCAACATGGCGAAACCCCATCTCTACTAAAAATACAAAAATTAGCCAGGCGTGGTGGCAGGTGCCTGTAATCCGAGCTGCTCAGGAGATTGAGGCAGGAGAATCGCTTGAACCCAGGAGGCAGAGCTTGCAGTAGGCCAAGATCGTGCCACTGCACTCCAGCCTGCTGGGTGATAGAGTGAGAATCCGTCTCAAAAAAAAAAATCTATCTATCTATCTATCTATCTATCTATCTATCTATCTATCTATCTATCTATAGAGAGAGAGAGAGAGGGAGAGAGTAAAAAAGTAGAATTAATGACTGGATGAGATGGGTAAAAGAGAAATAGGTCCCTGACAAATTCTAGGTTTGGGGATTGAGCAGCTGGGTAGATAGGGCTGGGGTTAAAACACAGAACTGAGCAACAGATTTGGAAGGATGAGCTGAGATGAATTCAGCTTTGTCTGCATTCAGTCAGTCAACAATAATAGCTGTTGCCTATGAACCTTGAGATCCACAGTGCCCAACTACAAAGACAAACCTTGCTCCCCCTCCCCTGCTGAACTTATGCTATATGCAATAGTGTTGCAGAAACATTTTGCTTTGCTGGATACAAAAGCAAACTAGTCTCTGTTTTCAAGGACATATGTAGGATATAAGAACTGGATTTTCAGAATGAATATTTATGGGATAATTTATTTAACTGACCAACTTTAAAAAAAGGTTAAAACACTTTCTTGGTTTATGGTGGATACCAAGCTATATATGCTTTATTATGAGTTCATGGAAAACTGCAATCAGTCTCAACTGAAAGGAAAATGTAGGTTGTTTGGGAGAAAGTTTTTACAATTGAAAAACTCAAGGGAAAATTGAAAGGAAAAGATTTTAGGAAAGAGAAAGAAACAGGGAGAGGAAGAAAAGAGGCTAGCCAACAACCTGCAGTAGTGATTCTGAGGAACTAATAGGAGACGAAAAACTGGATAAATTATAAAAGGATGACTGATACGGGGGCACGGGGAGGAGGATGAAACCGGGGAAAATATTGAGAGAGACAGAAAGAAAAGGAGAAACTTATCTGAGGTTGGAAATAAAGAGAAGGTGACATTGGAGCGGATAGAAAGGAAGAAACGGCGTGGGATCTGGGAATGAGGCAGTGGGTGGAGAGAGAATGGGGAGACGACAGAGGATGAAGGGCAGCTGAGTGTGTCTGCGGGAGAAGGACCAAAGCAATCTGGGCGGAGCAGGTGGCAGAGGCAGCCGCGGAGGAGGCCCAGGGAACTGACGGGGATGCTCAGCCAGGCCCAGAGGATGCGCCCTGGCAGTCCCGGAAAACACCAGGAAAACAAGCAGGAACCGTAGCTAGGACTGGGGTGGCCAGGCCCAGGAAATCCATGAAGGGCACAGACAGCGGGTCCTGCTGCCGCCGCCGATGCGACTTTGGCTGCTGCTGTCGCGCGTCCCGCCGGGCTCACTACACGCCTTACCGGTCCGGGGACGCGACGCGAACCCCTCAGTCCCCACGGCAGACCCCGAGCCGGGAAAGACGGCGCCCGGAGCCAGCCGGGAGCTGGGCAGCAGCGGCCGAGGAGGAAGAAGCAGCTGCGGCGGCCACACCCTGGATGAGGTGAGAGCATGGCCAGCTCCTGCCTCTGGAGCCCGGGAGGCTGAGGAACGCGATGGGGGTGGCAACGCACGGTGCGCTGGGCAGGAGAACCGCGCGGAGGGCTGGGGCCCCGGACTGAAGATCCCGACGCCTGAGAGGGGTTGGCGCTGAGTGACTACTGCTTGGAGAAGGGTAGGGAGGTAATGGGGCCCGTGGTGGAGGCAGGAGGAGGGACAGTGTTGAGTTGCCCAGAAATAAAGGTGTGCCCCTGGAAGGGTTAAAGCATAGGAAGCTCTATCTCGAGGTCTTTGAGACACAGACATTTGCTGTGTTGACGGAGGTGAGATTGCAGGCTGTGTCTGTTGGGTTGAGCCAAAGGAGAGATGAACACATGACTCAGAAGGCTATACCAGGATGGAAACATCAGAGATGGGCATGAAAGTTGAAGGATCGGGAAGTGCACCCGGACGAAAGCACACACTGCCATCTCTTATAGCTCTTCTTTTCAGGGTTATTTCTCTTAGATACAGATCGCAGGGTGGGGTGGGTGGTGATTCCCTCTTCCTGGGCTATCTCTTTTTCCCCTGCAGAGCTGGAGCCCTGCCTGATGGCTGGATGGAGGCCATGCAGGACAAGTTCCTTCTAAAATCAATCCTTTGCTTTGGCCTGGAAGACCGAACATATTAGGCTCAATTTTCTTCGTGTAGCAGCAGTAACATAAAAATCTGTCATACATACGATTTTTGGGAGAAGAGATAGATTGTGCTGCAGGCTTTTTAGAAATAAACATGTCCTCATCACAGCATTTTTAGCTTTTTATCTCATGGAAGGTAGTACTCATAAATCAAACTACCAGGCCTAGTGATTCCAGCCTCTGAGCTAACGGGTCTGTAAAAAGTTACTTCATTTCTCTAGGCCTCAGTTTCCCATGCATAAAATTGGAATTTGGATTAAAACAGTGCTAATTATAAAACTAAATGTTCATTGGATCTGTATTCTATGTTCAGGATAGCTATATTTGTGAACTATGAAATTTAGCCTATTCACTGACAATTTTATTTTTTCATAACACTATCCACTGTTTATGTCAGAAAACAGACTCACATTCAGTTAATAGAGCTTAAATAAATCACATGTCTTCTAAGGAACCCATAATAAATTACTGCTCCTAAGAAAGAATTAAGCAAAAAGTATTCATTGTTTGATTTTTTTATAAAGTAAAATTTTTATTGCCTTATACAAATTACTTTTATAGACATAATTACTTTTTTAAAAAAGCATATCTATGGGATGTTAATTATTTTATAAAATACTTTGAAATTTTATTTAAAGCTTAGAACAAAAAAATTAATCTGAATGTGTATTTATAATTCCAAGGCTCCTTAATCACCTTACGCACACGGGGTGAATTCTTCTTATCTGGAAAGCAGCATTAATCCTGCAGAATTTAAAATGAATTATGACTCCTTATCACAAGAGTATGATTTTTCTCCCTGTCTTTGGTTAAAAAAAAGTTTATAGGGTTAGAATTTGATCCTCTAAATTGTGGTTTAATTGTGAAAGTAGATAGCAAACATTCATGGTTTCCTTAATAGTTACTCATCTGACAAACTACACCTATATTCATCTTCGTTGATGTAATGATAAGTCTTGAAATGTTTTTAAAAAATTTCACAATTCCCAAATGAAACACTTACAGCAACTTGACTGAGGTTAGTGCTACTTTGCCCTTTATTTAAAAATCAATTCCCCAGTTTAGCGTACTTTAAAAAATGTAACAACTTTAGCTATAGTGTTAGAGGTTTAATGAATGTTAGCGTATTAGAGGTTATACTTGGGGAGTGGTGTTTTTGGTACGATTTTCTAACTCTCAATCAACTAAAAAATGTAAAAAAGCAGCCTTGCACGTTATCCAAATTCAGTTCAGTTCAGTGTTACTTATTGAGCAATGATGGTGGAGGCCAGCACAAACTGGATACAAAACTACCCTCAGGTAACTCAGAATCTGTAGTTCTATAATGTGCTTCAGTAACTGGAGTATGGAGTAAGTGCTGTAACAGAAAGATGAACTGTAGACCTCTCTCTCTCTCTCTCTCTCTCTCTCTCTCCCTCTCTCTCTCTCTCTCTCTATTTCTCCAAGGAAAGCTGACTTCCCTAACAGGCCATAGAAAGTGGCATTATCTTGGAAAATATGTTGAAATCTGGTCTTTAACTTGTTAAGTCTGTTTCTTTTCTTTTTCTTTCTTTCTTTTTTTTTTTTTTTCAGAGATGGAGTCTCACTGTGTTGCCTAGGTTGGAGTGAAGTGGTGCAATCATAGCTCCCTGCAGTCTCCAACTCCTGGGCTCAAGGGATCCTCTTGCCTTGGCCTCCCAAGTAGCTGAGATCACAGTTGTGTACCACCATTTCCGGCTACTTTTAAAAAATTATTTTGTGTAGAGATGGAGTCTTGCTATGTTGCCTAGGCTGGTCTCAAACTCCTGGCTTCAAGCAATCCTACCACCCCACCCTCCCAAAGTGCTGAGACTATAGGCATGAGCCACTGCACCCAGCCAAGTCTGTTTCTTAAACTGATAAATCACAGGACTACTATATAAACCCAGAATAACAAATTACTAATTTATAATGAGAATTTTAACATCTTAGGGAACTAGACTCTCTTTTATGATCCCAGCAAAATATCTCTTGGTATATGTGCCACATTTGAGAGCCAAATTACAGCCAAAAGGTTGTTTTTGAAACTTGAATCTAGAGCAAGAGGAATTAATTAGTGGATTCTAAATTTCAAATAATTTGATAGCTTCAGAGCATCAAGGTGTACACATAGGTTCTTTTTTCCTGGACAGTAAGTGTCCACTGATGATTGTCCTCCCTTCTTAGGTACATCTCTTTTTCTATCTCTGATATGCTAATATTTTCAGTCAGATTATAATCTGGTTTGGGGATCCTTGTGACTGTTTCAAGTGTCTACATTTATTCTCTAAATCAGTTTATCTTAATTGTAAAGTTTAAATTCTAAGTGGCAAGCTTATTTTCTTTAAGAAAAAATAATGATGGGGTAGGGAGGTGGGGCTGGGGTACCATATTACAGCCCCTACATGCTGGCAATATAAACCAGGTGGTTAATGGCACCTCTCTATGGTGCTAAAAGGCAGATGAGGCCGGTCACGGTGGCTCATGCCTGTTAATCCCAGCAGTTTGGGAGGCCAAGGCCGGTGGATCACTTGAGGTCGGGAGTTTGAGATCAGTCTGGTCGACATTGTAAAACTCCATCACTAATGAAAATACAAAGAATTAGCTGGGTGTGGTGGTGCGCCTGTCATCCCAGCTACTCAGAAGGCTGAGGAAGGAGGATCACTTGAACCAGGGAGGCGGAGGTTGCAGTGAGCCGAGATTGCACCACTGCACTCCAACCTGGGTGGCAGAGTGAGACTCCATCTCAAAAAAGAAAAATTAAAAAATTTAAAAATTTAAAAAGGCAGATGATCAGAGACGGCTTTATACAGGAGGTGAATTTTTGTCTGGCTTGACAAGATAACAAAGCCAGGTTGAGTGGGAAGAAAATTTTGCCAAAAGAACACAAGCAGATTTATGACAGTGGGAAGATGCTTTATTGAAGTGAATCCCATGCTGTGATAGAAATTTTCTGTGAGGATTTAATTCAAACTCGATCCTTTTTCAAGTATATAACTATTTAAAAAGAGAAATTAAGTGAATTGTCAGCTGTTGGCCATCTGCCTCAATGTGTGCTTTTGAAGCCCAGCAGATTGCACATTCTGTGTAGGTGGATAGCTTGAAACCTGCAGACAACTGTCAGAGGACAATGACTTCAGAGAAGATTCAGTGAATTTCTAACATCAAACTTCAACTACTGTAATATGCTTGTCTAGCCATCTCTTTGTTGTTGCTGTTCTACAGCTTTATTGAGATATAACTGACATACAATAAACTGGGCAAATTTAAAGTGTGCAATTTGAAGTTTCAACGTATGTATATACCTGTGAAATCATCACCACAATCAAGATGACGAACTTATCCATGATCCCAAAAAGGTTCCTTCTGCCCTTTTTAAATTCCTCCTTCCCGCCCCTCTGCTTTTGTCATTATATATTACTTTGCATTTCCTAGAATTTCATATAAATGGAATCATACAGTATCTACTCTTTGTTGTTGTCTGGCTTCTTTCACTCAGCATAATTATTTTGAAACTTATCTATGCTGTTGTGGGTATCAGTAGCTCATTTCCTTTTGTTGCTGAGTAGTATTTCATTGTATGAATGTGCTACACGTTATTGATTCACCATTCGTTGAGTTGTTTCCAGTTTTATGGCTATTACAAATAAAGTTGCTATAATTATCTGTGCACATGTCTTTCATTTCTCTTGGGCACATTTCTCGGGGTATATAACACTAGGCATGCTTTTAAAGAAACTGCCAAATCGTTTTCCAAAAGGGTTGTACCTTTTACATTCCCACTAGCAATGTATGAAGGTTCTCATTTCTCCACATCCTTCTCAATACTTGTTACTGTACATCTTTTATATTATAGCCATTCTAGTGGGTGTGAAATCTTATGGTTTTTTGACTTAAATTTCCCTAATGATTAATGATATTGAGCTTTTTTTTCATGAGCTTGATTATTATCTACATATTTTTGGTAAAGTGTCTGTTGAAATATTTTGCCCATTTTCCATTGAGTTGTTTGGGTTTCACTGAGTTCATTGGGTTCATTTCATATTCTAAATGCAAGTTTTATTATATATGTTCTTTGCAAATATTTTCTCCCACTGTGCAGATTGTCTTTCCATTTTAGTAACAGTGTCTTTTGAAGACCAGACATTTTAAAATTTTGCTGTGGTAAATAAACATTATCAGTTTTTTCTTTTATGGTTCTGCTTTTAATGTCATATCTAAGAAATCATTACTTAATCCAGATTACAAAAATATTCTATTTTTTTCTAGAAGTTTTATAGTTTTGCATTTTTACATTTAGGCCTATGATCCATTTGAGTTAACTTTTGTATATTGTGATCAAGGTGTTTTTTTTTTTCTTTTTTATCTTTTTTTTTTTTTGCATGTAGATGTACAGTTGTTCTAACACTGTTTGTTAAGAGCACTATCCTTTTTCCATTTAATTGCCTTAGCACCTTTGTTCAAATCAATTGACCACATATATAATCGTCTGTATCTGGGTTTCTATTGTGTTTGACTGATTTATTTATCTGCCTTTTTTTTTTCCTTTTTCTTTTTTTGAGATGGAGTCTAACTCTGTTGCCCAGGCTGGAGTGCAGTGGCACAATCTTGGCTCACGGCAACCTTCGCCTCCTGGGTTCAAGCAATTCTACTGCCTCAGCCTCCCTTATCCATCTTTAGACTAATACCAAACTGATTTGGTTACAGTAGCTTTATACGTTTTGAAATCACGTAGTCAAATTCTTGAGCTTTGCTCTTCTTGTTCAAAATTGTTTTCATTGTGTTAGGTTCTTTGAATTTCCATATACATTTCAGAATTCACTTGTAAATGTAGACAAAAAGCCAGTGGGGTATTTGATTGGGGTCACATTGAGTCTATAGATCAACTTATAGAGAATTGATATCTTAACAACATTGGGTCTTCTGATGCATGAACATGACATATTATTTCATTTATTTTGGTTAATGGTTCTCCGCTAAGGGCAATTGTGCATCACAAGGGACATTTGACAGTATCTAGACACAAACAACTAGAGCATCAGAGCCCCTTTGCTGTACCCACAGTCTTGTATTTACAGTCTATACTTCCATTCTTTCAGGAGGTTTGCTCCCAGAACTGGTGATATAAAGAAGGAAAGTAGCAGTATGAGCACTTTGAGGGCTAAGCAATGGGATAATATCTTTCTAAGGGAACAGTTAAATCAACTTCATTTGGTCTTCCATGGACATGAGTTTCAAGTGGCTTTCTGGCCTTTCTTCTGTTGGCCTCTTTGCTATTATGTGAAGACTTCATTTATACTCAATCTAATTCAGCTACCATGGGCCATATCACCAGTGCCCATTGTGTTCTATGCATCCTAATATTTTCATTAATCTGAAGGGGAGAGGGTTTTAACTTTGAAGGATACTCAAGAGGACTTTCTTATGAACTCAGATGGAAAGTGTCCTGAAATTTGTCCTTTTAAAAATATCTGTGCATTTTTTTGTGCTATGACATTCTTACATGTATCATTCTGTGATCAAATCTCCAGCTTACTATAAATGATACCTACATTCTAAAGAGCCAATTCTAGTTGTACCAGCATGGCCTTAGAGAAAAGTAAGGGAATACAATTTGTATTTATCTTCTATTTGGTCGGAGTTAAGTATTTAAAACAGTAAGGTAGATCTCAGATCCACCACCATTAAAAATAAATAAATAAATAAATAAATAAATAAATAAATAAATAAAATAGTAAAGTAGAAAGAAGAGACAAAGATCCAAACCTTTCAAAATGAAAAATGAATTTTAAATATAAGGTTATATTTTATTACCTACTGCTGAGACCATCATTGCATAAATGAATAAATAGAACTAAATAGTCCAGTCACAGTGGCTCACGCCTGTAATCCCAGCACTTTTGGAGGCTGAGGCACGCAGATCACGAGGTCAGGAGACGGAGACCATCCTGGCCAACATGGTGAAACCCTGTCTCTGTTAAAAATACAAAAGTTAGCTGGGTGTGGTGGCATGCGCCTGTAATCCCAGCTACTCGGGAGGCTGAGGCAGGAGAATCGCTTGAACCAGGGAGGCAGAGGTTGCAATGAGCCAAGATCACACCACTGCACTCCAGCCTGGTGACACAGCAAGACTCTGTCTCAAAAAAAAAAAAAAAAAAAAGAACTAAATAAACTCTTCTTCCCCCACAAATTTACCAGTTTAGCCATTTTAAGTGTACAGGTCAGTAGTTGCATTAAGTACATTCACATTATTATGCAACAAGTACCACCATCCATCTCCAAAATTTTCTCTTTTTCCAAAACTGAAACTCTGTATCCATTAAACAGTAGCTACCCATTCTCCCTCCCCTACCTCCTGGTAACCACTATTCTACTTTCTGGCTCTATGAATTTGACTACTCTAGCCACCTTTTATACGTGGGATCATATATTTGTTGTTTTGTCTCCAGCCTATTTCACTTGGCATAATCTCTTTTAGGGTCATCCGTGTTGTAGCATGTGTTGTAATTACGTACTTTTTTGTGTGTGAGATAGTCTTACTCTATCATTCAGGCTGGAGTGCACTGGCACAATCATGGTTCAATGCAGCTTTGACCTCCTGGGCTCAATCGATCCTCCCACATTGGCCTCCCAAATGGCTGGGATTACAAGCAATTTTTTTGATATTTTTGTAGAGATGGGGTCTCAGTTTGTTGCTCAGGCTTATAATGATGTACCTTTTAAAAGGCCAAATCATATTCCATTGTATGTTTATACAACATTTTATTAATCCATTCATCTGTTAATGGAAATTTCAATTGTTTCCACCTTTTGCCACTGTGAATAATGCTGCAACAGATATGGATGTACAGATGTCTCTTTGTGTCCCTGTTTTCAATGCTTTTGGGTTGCAAAAGAAGAGGGATTATTGCATATATGGTAATTCTATATTTAATTTTTTGGAAAGACCATACTGTTCTCTACAGCAGCTGCACCATTTTACATTCCCATCAACAGTGTACAAGGGTTTCAGTTTCCCCATATCTTCATGAACACTGATATTTTCTGTTTTTGTTTTTTAAAATAATTGCCATCCTAATGGGTATAAAGTGAAATATCATTGTGGTTTTGATTTGCATTTCCTTACTGATTAGTGATGTAAAAGATATTTTTAAAGTTTCATATTTACTGACATATTTACCATTTCCAATATTCTTCATTATTTTCATCTGGTATCATTTTCCTTCTGCCTGAAAGAATTTCTTTAATCCTTCTTATTCTTGTGCAGATTTGCTGGTGGGAAAATTCTTTCAGCTTTTGTATGTGAAAAAGTCTTTATTTCACCTTCATGTTTGAAAGATATTCTTGCTGGTTATCAGGACTGACTACATACTTTGTGGGGCTCAATGCAAAATAAAAATGTAGACCCCTCTGTTCAAATATTATTAAGAATTTCAAGTCATCAACAACAGAGCATTAAACCAAGCCAGTCCTTCTGAGTGCAAAGCCCTGTGTGACTACACGGGTTGTATGCACAAGAAACCTACTCTGCTGGTTGTAGAATTCCAGGTGACTGCTCTTTTTTTCCTTCAGCTCTTTAAAGATGTTGCTCTGTTGTCTTTTTTTTTTTTCTGAGATGGAGTTTCGCTCTCGTTGCCCAGGCTAGAGTGCAATGATGCCATCTCGGCTCACCGCAACCTCGACCTCCCGGGTTCAAGTGATTCTCCTGCCTCAGCCTCCTGAGTAGCTGGGATTACAGGCATACGTCACCATGCCCAGCCAATTTTGTATTTTTAGTAGAGATGGGGTTTCTCCATGTTGGTCAGGCTGGTCTCGAACTGCTGACCTCAGGTGATCTGCCCTCCTCAGCCTCCCAAAGTGCTGGAATTACAGGCACGAGTCACTGTGCCTGGCTTCTCTGTTGTCTTTTAATTTTCAAGTTATGCTCTCATTCTTATCCTTGTTTCTCTCTATATAATGTTCTTTTTTCTCCTGAATACTTATAAATTTTTCTCTTTATCACTGATCTTAAGCAATTTGATTAAAATGTGCCTAGGTGTGGTTACTTTCATGTTTCTCGTGCTTTGGATTTGTTACGCTTACCGGATCTGTGTGTTTACAGTTTTCATTATACTTGGACAATTTTCAGCCATTATTTTTTCAAAAATTTTTGTTGCCCTCTATAACTCCGTTCCTTTAGGGACTTCAGTTACATATATATTAGGTCATTTAAATTTTTCCCATTGATCACTGATGCTCTGTTCACTTTTTGTCTTCTTTCTCTTGTTTTATTTTTGGATCATTTTCATTGCTATGTCTTTAAGTTCACTAACTTTTTCTTCTACAGTGTCTAATCTGTTGTTAATTCCATCCAGTGTATTCTTCATCTCAGATATTGTCTTTTTCATCTCTAGAAGTTTGTAACTTTCATGTATTAATTTTTTTTCTTTTTTTTTGAGATGGAGTTTCACTCTTGTCAATGTTACGGTCTCAGCTCCTTGCAACCTGCAATCTCTGCCTCCCGGGTACAAGCAATTCTCCTGTCTCAGCCTCCTGAGTAGCTGGGATTACAGGCACCCACCACCACGCCTGGCTAATTTTTGTATTTTTAGTAGAGATGGGGTTTCACCATGTTGGCCAGGGTGGTCTCAAACTTCTGACCTCAGGTGATCTGCCCACCTCCTCCCAAAGTGCTGGGATTACAGGCGTGAGGCACTGTGCCCCGCCCATGTATTAATATTTTACTTCATTTTATCAATCTTTGTTCTACTTTCTTGAACATTTAAAATACTATAATAACAATTCTAACATTTGTTCAGTTCTGAGTATGTTTCTGGTAATTGATTTTTCTCTTCATTTTAAGTACTGTTTCCTGCTTCTTTGCACACCTGGCAATACTTTGATTTGATACCACACATTAAACATTTTACATATTGGGTGTTAGATAGTTTTGCATTCCCATAAACATTATTGAGCTTTATTCTGGGTCACAGTTAAGTTAGTTGGAAACAGATCCTTCTTGATCTTAAGCTTCATTATGGGGAACCCAAGCAACTTTTTAAAGATGATTAATTTTCCCCATTACTTGGGTGATACCCTTCTAAGTACTCTAGCCAATATCCTGTTAATTATGAGGCTTTTCCCACTTTAGTAGATGATGAAACAAACTACTTCCAGCCTTGTATGAGCCAAGAGGATTGTTTAATCTGATTCTCTTGTGTGGTTCTTACCCCAACCTTGGTAGTTTCCTGATATACCGATCAGTATTCAGCTGAATATTCAAGGAGACTCTCCACAGATCTCTGGAATTTTCTATTCTTTCTGGTACTCTTCCCCATGAACTCTACCTGCCTTGGCCTTCTCAAATCTCTGCATGATCTCTTCAACTCAGGCAGATCACCAGGCTCTGCCTGGATTCCCTCTCTGTGAGCTCTGGGGCAGTTAAGTAGGACAGTTGTATGGCTTACTTTGCTTGTTTCTCTCTTCTCTTGGATAACTTTCCTATGTTGTCTGACATCCAGTGTCTGAAAATAATTATTTTATATATCTTGTCCTATTTTTTAGTAATTTCTGTCAGGGGTGAAGGGGAATGAATACCAACCCTATTACCGCATGCTGTCTGGAAGTAGAAGTGTCTTTCTAGCCACGTTATAAATTAGTAGTTTTCAACCCTGACTACATATTAGAATTATTTGGGGGAGGTCTTTAAAAAGCTGATGTAAGGCTTCATTCCAGACCAATTAAATCAGACTTTTTCAGATTGAGGTCTTAGCATCAGTGTTCTTTAAATGCACTACAAGTTTTCTCATGTATACCAGGGTTAAAGAACCTCCATATTAAAGAAAAGGTTGCATTTATAAATCATTCTGAGAAACTTTTGTATTCTGTCATTTCAGCTAAGACACAGAGGCGGTTGGCTTTTATTTTTGTAGACAGTGTGGAATTATAGAAGCTTTTAAAGAAGAGTCTGGCAGACATAGATCTTTGTTTTAGAGTTGTAAGTGTGGCAATCGTGTGAGAGATGGGCTTAAGTGGATTGAGTGAAGATCACTGAGAAACTGTTGCAAGTGGTTCACGGCCAAAGGTAATAAGGGCCTGAACACAGGCATTGGTATTGGGAATGGCGAGGAAGAGATAGGTTGGAGAATTTGAGTTAGAACTGATAGGATTTTTTGATTAATTGAGTGTGGGAAATGAGGGAGATGGTGGAAACAAATGTTATTCTCCAGTTTATTACTCTAGACAAGTAAACTCTGTCTAAACAAATTCCTAGGCCAGTCAGAGAGTAAATAGTAATTTCATTAACTGAGATAGATAATATGGTATGAGAAGCAGATGTCAGGGAAAGGAGAGAATTAATTTAGTTTGGGATATCCAAAAGGATATCTCATGGAACTGTCTCCTGACCTCTAGTTTATTCTGAATCATAGGACAGAGAAGACATTTAAAAGCATATCTTTTTAGTATGCTGTATAATTTTGAACAGATTTATCTTTCTTCTTTTATTTGACTTAATATTGAAATCTGTTTATATCTTTTTTTTTTTTTTTTTTTTTTTGAGGCGGAGTCCTGCTCTGTTTCCCAGGCTGGCGTGCAGCGGCGCGATCTGGCTCACTGCAAGCTCCGCCTCCTGGGTTCACGCCACTCTCCTGCCTCAGCCTCCCGAATAGCTGAGACTACAGGCGCCCGCCACCACACCCGGCTAATTTTTTGTATTTTTTAGTAGAGATGGGGTTTCACCGTGTTAACCAGGATGGTCTCCATCTCCTGACCTCATGATCCGCCCGCCTCGGCCTCCCAAAGTGCTGGGATTACAGGTGTGAGCCACTGAGCTCGGCCGAAATCTGTTTATATCTCTTAAACAAACATCAGTTAATACTGCAAGAAAGTAGATGTTGGCCGTGCGCGGTTGCTCACGCCTGTAATCCCAGCACTTTGGGAGGCCTAGCGGGGCAGATCACCTGAAGTCAGGAGTTTGAGACCAGCCTGGCCAAAATGGTGAAACCCCCTCTCTACTAAAAATACAAAAAATTAGCCAGGCGTGGTGGCAGGCGCCTGTAATCCCAGCTACTCAGGAGGCTGAGGCAGGAGAATGACTTGAACCCAGGAGGCGTAGGTTGCAGTGAGCCAGATCGCGCCACTGCACTCCAGCCTGGAAACTCCATCTCAAAAAAAAAAAAAAAAAAAAAAAAAAGAAAGAAAGTAGTTGTCTTCTAGATGACAAAATGTCAAGTCAGAGATTATTGCAGACTTTTGTTTGGTTTTGGGTTTTTGACTGTGGGTGTGTCCATTCCTCCCTTCTTTGGACAATAACCCTACTTTTTTTTGGGGGGGGGGTGGCTAGAATTGTCTTCTTTGCCATGGTTTATAGTCTTGGTGGGAAGTTTGTTTAAGGTATCCCGAGCTAAATGATAATCTTAAGACCCACACGAGGATGATCTGATTATTTATTTATTTATTTATTTATTTATTTATTTATTTATTTATTTTTGAGGCGGAGTCTCGCTGTTGCCCAGGCTGGAGTGCAGTGGGGCGATCTCGGCTCACTGCAGGCTCCGCCCCCTGGGGTTCACGCCATTGTCTTGCCTCAGCCTCCAGAGTAACTGGGATTACAGGCACCCGATACCTCGCCCGGCTAATTTTTCGTATTTTTAGTAGAGACGGGGTTTCACCGTGTTAGCCAGGATGGTCTCGATCTCCTGACCTCGTGATCCGCCCGCCTCGGCCTCCCAATGATCTGATTTTTTGAGCATTGCATCATCAGTGGAACAACATAAGAGTAGCAAAAAGTGGCCAGAACCAATCGGCCCCTTCTTGCTACCTAGATCCTAATTGCTTCCCCTGTTCCTGCCCCTCCCTATTCCTGCCCCTTCTGAGCCTGTTCTTTTGAGTCTTCAACTGTTCCTTTGATTCTGTGGGTCTCCTCTTCCAGTAAATCCTATTTTAAAAAATAGCTGGAGTCTGTTCACTGATCTTTCCAAAAGGTATATATGGAATGGCAGGCACAATACTAGGTGCTAGAATAAAATGAGGAACAAGATTATTGGATAAAGGCTCAGTGAGGACGTAGACAGAAAACAAATAAATAAATATACAAATAAAGGGATTTCTGATATTAATAAAGTTTATTTTAAAAAAACTTCGTTAGAGAGGAATTAAAGCAGGAGGTGAAAGAACTGCAAAACCCCTAAGGTAGAAATAAGCTTAGTGTGTTTGAGGAAGAAAATGGCCAGTGCAGCTGGAGCATAATAAATAAGAGGAGGGGGCAGAGGTGAACCTGAGCCAGGTCACCTGAGACCTCATAGGCCGTGGTAAGAAGTGGATGTTATTCTAAGGACATGGGGAAGCCAATGAAGATTTAAAACAGGAACATCAAATGATCTGAAAAATGTTAAAAAGTCACTTTGCTATTGGAAAACAGACCTTAGGAGGCCAAGAGTGGAAGGAAGGGAGCTGCTTTGCTGGCTATTGCAGTAAGTAACACCAATGTGAGATCATAGCGATTTACATCATGGCGGTAGCAGCGGGGCTGGTAAGAAGAGAAGGACTGAGCCTTCTAGCAGATAACTTGGTACCCTGCAGATCCCGAAAACAAAACCAACAAAGAAGATAACCGGGGGATAAAAAGAGACAACTTCATGGTTGGAGTCTTTATATTAAGTTTTGTTTGAAGCCTCTGTTTGAGGTTTTTTGCTTCACCCTGGTGGAGGTTTTCTCCCCACTCATTATGAGGGTGGGAGTTAGATGGTGGGACAAAGAGATAGAGGTCACTCAAATGAAAAGGACCCTGGATAGTATTAAGAATATCTTCACACAGGGTTGCATATGGTGACCAAATGGTGGTAGCGCCCACGGTGGGAGGGGTAGCAGACATGGTGATGGTATTTCCCTAGAACAGGGGTCCCCAGCCCCCAGAGCATGGACTGGTACTGGTTCTGGCCTGTTAGGACCCCGGCTGCATAGCAGGAGGTGAGTGGCAGGCCAGCGAGCATTACCCCTGAGCTCCACCTCCTGTCGATCAGCAGACCAGCAGCTGCATTCAATTCTCATAGGAACGGGAACCCTATTGTGAACTGGGCATATGAGGGATCTAGGTTGCCTGCTTCTTACGAGGATCTAATACCTGATGATCATTCCAAATCCATCCCCCACGCTGTCCATGGAAAAGTTGCCTTCCTTGAAAATGGTTCCTGGTACCAAAAAGGTTGGAGACCACTGCCCTAGGACACTTTAACCTCTTCATGAAGTTGCCTGTTCTCTTAGATTTATTTGCTAGAGCAGCCTCATAACTATAGGTGATTCATACTAGGTCTCACAGGAGTTCCAAACAGAATTCTGTAATGATTTTATATTGTGAAACCTGACATCTCATGGCAGCAACATTATCATTATCACCATAATTACATATATAATTACATGATTAATATTTATCGAGTAAATGATAAATGCTAGGCCCGATCTTAAACATTTCATAAGAATAATATTATTTAATTTTCACTATAATTCTGTGAGAAAGATGCTATCGTGATCCCGTTTTATAGAGAGGTTAAGTAATTTGACAAGATCACACAGTTATGAAATGGTAGAAGTTGTGTTTAATTGGCAGGTGTTGATTTTCTGTTTCATGTGTATTAGAGTAATTGTTTTTGTGCATCTTGTATGTTTTTAAAATTTTTTCCTAGGTTTGCTTTTTGTTAAAAAGTAAACCAAAACAAAACAAATGAAGACTATAAAACGAAAACCTTTGGTAGAACTTGGGCAAAAATGGTCTGGTCTTCAAGTTAGCATACCAAGTATGAAAATGTCATCTGTTTAAAAATACTAAGCTGCATGATTAAAATTTGACCTTGTGAAAATTTGCTTTCTAATTTATATGGCACACCACCTGAAGGCCAGCACAGAGAAATATATGACCTGTTTAAAACGAAAGGAAGTGTACCTGGGCACGACCAAGAATCTATCAAAAAAGCATCAGAAAGCTCCATATTAAGGTTAATAAAAATAGGTGAACCACACATTTCAAAGGAGAGTCTGGGACACTATTCAAATAACAAAGACTTAAAGCAGGCTGGGTTCACTGCCCAGAATAATAGGCACACGCATTTACAGAATGGGGGGATTTTGTCCACTGTACGCACGCTCATTCACACTCACATCTAACCCTACAACACCAGCTCCGAGAAAGTGGATGCAATGAAGGAAATGTTAACATGAGCAGTGACCCTAGTGTACAAACAATATCAAATTTTAGATTCTTTTTGTTTCCATGATAGTCTAATCTGTATTATCTTTTGGCTATATCAACCTTGACTTTGAAATCTCCAAATAAACATTTCAACCAAAATGTACGGCTGTATTGTAATTTCAGCAAGAAGGGTTTTCATTGTTTGCACATATCTTCAAAAAGAAAAAAAAGTGTGCTTGGTAGTAATCAAAAGCACATTCTCGAGTGAGCATGCTTTGGTGGTATATTCTACAGACTGGGAAAGGTCCTACTTATCACTCCCAAATTTTCAGCATACATCTAGTTTCCTGATGTGCAGCATTAAAAAACTGCTCTGACTTCTTTGTCTTTCTTTACTGTAGAGAGAATAATAGCTTCTTTGTGAATGGGAGAGCTGGGTCTCTAACTCCACAGAATGACCTTGGATTGGGGAAAGGTTCAGAAGTCTGTGTGTTTGTTACTATTACTATTGCTGCATAGCAAATCACCTCAGTGGCTGAAAACTGCAAGTATTTAGTACTCACAGTTTTGGAGGGTCAGCAATCTGGGAGCAGCTTAGCTGGTTAGAATTGCCTCAAGTTCTCTCATGAGGTTGCAGTCAAGCACTCAGCTGGGGCTGCTGTCACCTCAAGACTCGACAGGGGCTGAAAGGTCCGTTTTCAGACTCACGCACACGGTATTTGGCAGGCTTTAGTTCCTGTCCACACAATAGGTCTGCTTATAACACGGTAGCTTAGTTCCCCCAGCACAACTGATCTAAAAGAAAGAGAGCATGCATACTCCAAATGGAAGCCACAGTTGTTTTTGCTTTTTAAAAAATAATCTAATCTCGGAAGCAACATTCCATCACTGCTGCCCTACTGTATTCATTACAAATGAGTACTAGATCCATCCCAGACTCAAGGCGAGGGAATTACACAAGGGTTTGATGACCAGGGATCACTGGGGACCAACTTAGAGACTGCCTATTACAGTCTGCATCCATTACCTGAGCTCCTGGACACCAGAGGAGCAGCAGAATTAGTTCTCCCTTTCTTCTTCTGGAACAAGACTAGTACAAACTAAGCACAAAAGGGAAGGGGGAGTATAACCAGAGCTGAGGCTGAAGACTATGCCAAGCTATGTAAGCCTTATTAAAGATTTTTGTCTATATCCTCAGAACAATAACAAACTCAGACTCTGCTTGCCTCAGTCATCCCTTCAACCACCGCTGGAAGACATTGCTGGCAGTGACTGGCCCTGGGGACTTCAGTGTCTTCTTGCGTGCCTTAAAGGCTAAGGTTCACATCTATGGCTCCAGTGTCCTACCCGAGGGTAGGTTAAAAGAATGACATGGGTGACTCAAGACTAGAGAAGTGCCTGGCCCTGTGAGGCAGACATATTAATAGTTTGAGAGGCAAGAAGTCGGGCCCCAGGTTCCCACCATGAGGAACTAGGAAGCCATAGAAGGAAAATGCAAATGCCACACACCTGCAGGTGCCTGGCGGGTAGCATAAATAAGTGAACCTGCTTAGGTGTAAGGGCATAGGGAATAGTGTTGGTGACTGTGACTGTGACTTTCTGGACCATTGACCAAACAAAATACATCAGTGAAGGCAAGTCTCTAGGATAGTACCACCAGCAGGGGGCACCTGCAGATGGTTTTCATTGTCACAAAATTAGGTTTGGTACTTGGGGATGAGCAGCTATTCACAGTAGAGAAGCTCCAGTTTGAAGTATCCTACACTACTTGAATTCACTACAGGCTGCATGGAGGAAGCAGCATGGCCACTTTGATTTCCAGAACTACCCGTACACAATGTGAAAAGAAGAATAGAGGTGAGGTGGATTTGGTTTTGGAGGTGAGTGAGCAGGTGCCTCCAAATAAGAGTTGGGGCTCAAGGTTTTCTTAAAAAAGATAGACTCTTGAAAAATTGCACTCTAGTTACATTAGTGCCAACTCATGAGGTCACCTGTTCTTTTTTCCCTCTCCCATTATCTCCCCTTTCTACCCCATTCTACCCTCTCCCTGATGCCCTATACATCACAGAAACTTGCCCTTGAGACGTAAGACTGTTTGGAAGGAGGTTGGAAGAGCTGGCCTTGGCTCAGAGAGTTGCTTTTACCTTGTGGTATCTTAAAGGTGCCACCTGATGTCCAACCATTCATAACAGACAGAGAGCTGTTGCCAACAAGGTCAGCAGAACATAGCACTAGAGAGCACCAGAGGAGACACCTAAAGATGTGGCTTTTGGCACATCATCTGGGGATGAACAAGTTGGGCCTGGACTAGGACGAAGCAAGTAAGACACTCCCTGAATCATGAAAATGCAGGGTCAGATCCTGTCTTTATTTAAAGTTTTGATATTTTGTTCATTGCGGATTTTTTTTGCATTACTATTTTTCTAAAATATTGCATTAAAATATGATTTATCTTGATTACCGAGATTTTGGCACGCTTTAAACTTCGCACCTCAGGTGAGTGCCTTGCTCCTCTCATCCTAGTTCCAGCCCTGAATACCTTAACAGTTGAATCAAAGTTTGAACCAATTGATCTGGTCCATCAGCACCAGACCCTTCTGGTTTTGATTTTTTTTTCCCTCCCTCTATCTCCTAAGAATGTACCGAAGCCAGCAAATAAAGGATGCAATAATTCTCTTCTGTATACCACAAGCTCTGAGCCTGGGCCAGCTTGGGTATTTCTGTACCTCTCTGTCTGTTATTATTATATCACACGCATAGCCTAAAACTGGGATACTTTTATCTGAATAAAAGATTATTCTGGTCGAAAGGAATTGTGATGGTTAATGTTGGATGTGCTTGTTCTTTTACCAAACTGATATAATGTTTTGTTTTGGTTTTTGAGACAGCGTCTGGCTCTTTCACCCAGGCTGGAGCGCAGTGGCACAGTCTCCACTCACTGTGACCTCTGCCTCCCAGGCTCAAGCCACTTTCCTACCTCAGCCTCCTGAGTAGCTGGGACTACAGATGTGCACCAGCACGCCTGGCTAATTTTTGTTGTATTTTTTGTAGAGATGGGTTTCACATGTTGCCCAGGCTGGTCTCGAACTACTGTGCTCAAGCCATCTGCCTGCCTCACCTCCGACAGTGCTGGGATTACAGGCATGAGGCGTGGCACCCTACCCCTATGGCATTAACTCCTAAAGCCACTTGAACTTTGCAAAGATAAAGGACTGTTGAGTTTTGCTCATCTTTTGTCCAGAATTGCCAGATGTTTGATACGGTACTCAACAGCTCAGTATTTTGACATTTTATATGCTAAAATAAAAATGAAAACAAAAGCGAATACAGAACGTGAGATTTTTCTCATTAAAATTTCTTCCTCGTGTGAAGCTTTCTGAGGCTGTATCTTGATATTTTTGAACCTTTGCCAGCTGGAAGAAAGGACAAAACAGCTGTTCTAAACTGCCAAGAAATTGGCTGGTGCATAGAAGAGGGAATTTGTCTTTGTTGTATATTTTGCCTTTGTCCTGGGAGTGATTATTTTGATCAGCACTTTTGGTTGTACAGATGTGAGCCAAATATCTAGCAGAGGGTAGCTCCTGATTTTAGTTAAGTAATTCACTGCTGAGACTTCAGATTATGATGTAAAGTGTTCTGCTTAATAGTGATAAAAGCTGACCTGAAAAGGGTGTTATATTCTTTTTTTTTTTTTTTTTTTTTTTTTTTTGAGACAGACTCTCACTCTGTCACCCAGGCTGGAGTGCAATGGGACGATCTCAGCTCACTGCAAGCTCTGCCTCCCGGATTCACGCCATTCTCCTGCCTCAGCCTCCCGAGTAGCTGGGACCACAGGCACCCGCCACCACGTCCAGCTAATTTTTTGTATTTTTAGTAGAGATGGGGTTTCACCGTGTTAGCCAGGATGGTCTCGATCTCCTGACCTTGTGATCCCCCCGCCTTGGCCTCCCAAAGTGCTGGGATTATAGGCGTGAGCCACCATGCCCGGCCAAGGGTGTTATATTCTTTTACATAATACAGTTATGCAACGATTTTAAATATTCTTAGGAGATACACATTAAATATTTAGGGGTGAAGAATCTACATCTTACTCTCAAATGGTTCATCAAAATAATACTAATGATTGTGTCTGTGTGCTTGTGTGTGTGTGTGTGTGTAAAGAGAGAAAACAAATGTGGCAAAATGTTAACAATCTATGAAGCAATTGAAAGATTTACAGGACTTTATTGTGCTAGTTTTACAACTTTACTATATGTTGAAAATTTTAAATTTTTCAAGCTGGAAAGTTAAAAAAATCAGTGTTACTTTTCACTCATATGTGTGTATGAGTGAAAGTTATTATATATGGCTTCAGGGACCAGCTAGTAGATGGCATGATACAAGAAACAAAGGCAAGGACCATGGATATATATGGCTATCTTGTCCTTAGAGGTATTTTTTCTTTTTTTTAAGAGACAGGGTCTTGCTCACTGTCACCCAGGCTGGAGTGCAGTGGTGTGATTACAGTTCACTGTAGGCTCAACTCCTGGGCTCAAGTGATCCTCCCACCTCAGCCTCCAGAGTAGCTGGAACTAGTGGTTTGCACTACCATCCCTAGATAATTTTTAAATTTTTTTTTGTAGAGACAAGATCTCGCTACGTTGCACAGGCTGGTTTCGAACTCCTGGCCTTAAGTGATCCTCCTGCCTCAGCCTCCTGAAGTGTTGAAATTATAGGCATGAGCCACTGAACGTGGCAGCAATATTTTTTTTTTCTAATTCAGAATCCAATCCAAGATCTGAACTAGGATCATGCATTCCATTTAGTTATTGTTATCACTATGGATTTTTAAAGCAGTCTAGATTGATTGACACATGCTCCTTTGACTTGTACTGGAACTACTTGCCCCATCCTGGAAAATGACTCGGATTTTAGTGATGGTGTGATTGTCATGAATGCCTTGAAAGCTATTTATGAATTTATTCCAGTATTGTTTCTGGTCCCAGAAATGTATTTATTGACCCTAACATCAGTCCCTTCAATTTTTGAGAACTGATACCTATGTTCAAATCAAGGAGAATTATTCATGTAATTCACACAAGTCTTCCCTCACTATTCCAACCCCCTTTCCAGAAATTTACATACCATATTTCTTGCATGATTTCCCCTCTCCCAACGTCAGATACAGATAAATAGTGGGTGTTGAAAGGATAAAGGGGATTGTGTGAGTAAATTACCATCAGCTGTCTGAAGGCTTGGTTGTAATTTCTTTCCTTGAGGTTTGAGGTTTTTGTTATGGCTGACAGACAAGGCTAACCATTGAAAGCGATGGATCTGAATAAACACACACACACGGTTCACAGTAATTATTTATTGAATGAATGAATGAATGAACGAATGAATGAGATAATGCATCAGAAATACTGTGTACATTTTAAGGCATTGTCCCAGTTGTCTATTCCTGCATAAACACACACACACACACACACACTCACACACACACACTTCCTCAAGACAGATACAAGATGGGGGAAATGTCCACCTTTTCTGCTCCCTAGACCTCCAGCCAGCAAGTGAGGAAATCCACTTATTCAGCTTCCTTGCCAATGCTTTGGTCTCACATGATAAATCAGAAAGATGAGAAATGGAAAATCTGGGTCACTGGCCTAGCCCTAGGGAGCACTTTGGAGCAGAACTGAAATTAAAATTCATGACTTCTACACAGTATTGGAGTCCTGCCTGGTATGCAAACATTAATGAAAAATAGCTATGATTTATAGAATGCTTAAAATGTGCTAGACAATGAATTAAAAACTTTTCATATATTAGCTCATTTTGTTCTTACAGTGGCCCTATTAGGTAGTTATTATCATTAACCTTGTTTTACAAATGAGGAAGCTAAAGCACAGAGTTTAAGTCATGTCCAAAATTGCATGGTTGGAAATTGACAGAGGAGGAGGATTGGAACCCATGTCCCTGACTGTAGAGCCAGTAATCTTAACTGCTCTGTTGTAATGCCTGCCAGCAACCTCAGCTGCGCTGCACCGCTCTTTCAGATGAATGGGACCTTAGGCACTCACTCACAGGAGACCGGGAATATTTTTCCTTCTACCAGAGAAAAATAAAATTGTTTTCATCAATACTGTTTTTAAGTTAATTTTTTAATTGACAAATAGTAATTGCATATATTTATGGGGTACAATGTTTTGATATATGCGTATACTGTGGAATGATGAAAACAAGCTAATAATATTTTTTAATTTTAAATAAAAGCACTGTATTTTGCAATCCCAATGTATGATAAAATTTTATATTGCTAGCATACTTCAGTACTCTACTCAGATGCTACCTTCTTTAGAAAAACTTTTCTGGTGGAATTTAATTAATCACTCCCTCCTTCATGTTCTGCTTGGTGTAGCACTTTACCCGATCTGGTTTGTATTATGGTTTGATGAATGCTTGCCTGGCTTTCCACACTAGATTTTAACACTGGATTTCTACACTAGATTTTAGCAATGCCTAGCACATGCTCTGTGTTTGTTTAATTAAATGAATGAAGGTAACCACACTGTCCTTGAGTTTTACCAACTGTGGAAATAAAATTAAGTCCCATGAGCATTAGCTGCCTCTGAACTCCTACCTGTTCACTTAGGAAATTAAGTCCCTTACAAATTCCCCTGTACCCCACAAATACTTCTGCTTTTTCCAAGAATTATTTTCTCTTCTAAACTGCTCCTGGTCCTGATTTTGGTTGTTCCGAGTCACAGCTGGCACTTTGCCTACTATGTATAGTCTTCAGAGCCACACATCCTCCTCCAAACCCTCCTGCCCCATTCCACTCCAGCTACTGAAGGGCAGATCTTTTCATTCTTTTTTTTTTTTTTTATACTTTAAGTTCTAGGGTACATGTGCACAACATGCAGGTTAGTTACATATGTATACATGTGCCATGCTGGTGAGCTGCACCCATTAACTCGTTATTTACATTAGGTATATCTCCTAATGCTATCCCTCCCCCGCCCCCCCACCCCAAACAGGCCCCAGTGTGTGATGTTCCCCTTCCTGTGTCTATGTGTTCTCATTGTTCAATTCCCACCTATGAGTGAGAACATGCGGTATTTGGTTTTTTTGTCCTTGTGATAGTTTGCTGAGAATGATGGTTTCCAGCTTCACCCATGTCCCTACAAAGGACATGAACTTATCATTTTTTATGGCTGCCTAGTATTCCATGGTGTATATGTGCCACATTTTCTTAATCCAGTCTATTATTGATGGACATTTGGCTTGGTTCCAAGTCTTTGCTATTGTGAATAGTCCCTCAATAAACATACATGTGCATGTGTCTTTATAGCAGCACGATTTATAATCCTTTGGGTATATACCCAGTAATGGGATTGCTGGGTCAAATGGTATTTCTAGTTCTAGATCCCTGAGGAATCACCACACTGACTTCCACAATGGTTGAACTAGTTTACAGTCCCAACAATGTAAAAGTGTTCCTATTTCTCCACATCCTCTCCAGCACCTGTTTTTTCCTGACTTTTTAATGATCGCCATTCTAACTGGTGTGAGATGGTATCTCATTGTGGTTTTGATTTGCATTTCTCTGATGGCCGGTGATGATGAGCCTTTTTTCCTGTGTCTGTTGGCTGCATAAATGTCTTCTTTTGAGAAGTGTCTGCTCATATCCTTCGCCCACTTGTTGATGGGGTTGTTTGTTTTTTTCTTGTAAATTTGTTTGAGTTCATTGTAGATTCTGGATATTAGCCCTTTGTCAGATAAGTAGATTGCAAAAATTTTCTCCCATTCTGTAGGGCCTGTTCACTCTGATGGTAGTTTTCTTTGCTGTGCAGAAGCTCTTTAGTTTAATTAGATCCCATTTGTCAATTTTGGCTTTCCTTGCCATTGCTTTTGGTGTTTTAGACATGAAGTCCTTGCCCATGCCTATGTCCTGAATGGTATTGCCTAGGTTTTCTTCTAGGGTTTTTATGGTTTCAGGTCTAACATTTAAGTCTTTAATACATCTCGAATTAGTTCTTGTATAAGGTGTAAGGAAGGGATCTAGTTTCAGCTTTCTACATATGGCTAGCCAGTTTTCCCAGCACCGTGTATTAAATAGGGAATCATTTCCCCATTGCTTGTTTTTATCAGGTTTGTCAAAGATCAGATGGTTATAGATATGTGGCATTATTTCTGAGGGCTCTGTTCTGTTCCATTGGTCTGTTTTGTTTACCAAAAATCTCTGTTTTGGTACCAGTACCATGCTGTTTTGGTTACTGTAGCCTTGTAGTATAGTTTGAAGTCAGGTAGCGTGATGCCTCCAGCTTTGTTCTTTTGGCTTAGGATTGACTTGGCAATGCGGGTTCTTTTTTGGTTCCACATGAACTTTAAAGTAGTTTTTTCCAATTCTGTGAAGAAAGTCATTGGTAGCTTGATGGGGATGGCATTGAATCTATAAATTACCTTGGGCAGCATGGCCATTTTCACGATATTGATTCTTCCTGTCCATGAGCATGGAATGTTCTTCCATTTCTTTGTATCCTCTTTTATTTCATTGAGCAGTGGTTTGCAGTTCTCCTTGAAGAGGTCCTTCACATCCCTTGTAAGTTGGATTCCTAGGTATTTTATTCTCTTTGAAGCAATTGTGAATGGGAGTTCACTCATGATTTGGCTGTTTGTCTTTTACTGGTGTATAAGAATGCTTGTGATTTTTGCACATTGATTTTGTATCATGAGACTTTGCTGAAGTTGCCAATCAGCTTAAGGAGATTTTGGGCTGAGATGATGGGGTTTTCTAGCTATACAATCATGTCATCTGCAAACAGGGACAATTTGACTTCCTCTTTTCCTAATTAAATGCCCTTTATTTCCTTCTCCTGCCTGATTGCCCTGGCCAGAGCTTCCAACACTATGTTGAATAGGAGTGGTGAGAGAGGGCATCCCTGTCTTGTGCCAGTTTTCAAAGAGAATGCTTCCAGTTTTTGCCCATTCAGTATGATATTGCCTGTGGGTTTGTCATAGATAGCTCTTATTATTTTGAGATATGTCTCATCCATAACTAATTTATTGATAGTTTTTAGCATGAAGCGTTGTTGAATTTTGTCAAAGGCCTTTCTGCATCTATTGAGATAATCAAATGGTTTTTGTCACTGGTTCTGTTTATATGCTGATTACGTTTATTGATTTGCATATGTTGAACCAGTCTTTGCATCCCAGGGATGAAGCCCACTTGATCATGGTGGATAAGCTTTTTGATGTGCTGCTGGATTCGGTTTGCCAGTATTTTATTGAGGATTTTTGCATCGATGTTCATCAGGGATATTGGTCTAAAATTCTCTTTTTTTTGTTGTATCTCTGCCAGGCTTTGGTATCAGGATGATGCTGGCCTCATAAAATAAGTTAGAGAGGATTCCCTCTTTTTCTATTGATCGGAATAGTTTCAGAAGGAATGGTACCAGCTCTTCCTTGTACCTCTGATAGAATTCGGCTGTGAATCCATCTGTTCCTGGACTTTTTTTGGTTGGTAAGCTGTTAATTATTGCCTCAATTTCAGAGCCTGTTATTGGTATATTCAGAGATTCAACTTCTTCCTGGTTTAGTCTTGGGAGGGTTCATGTGTCGAGGAATTTATCCATTTCTTCTAGATTTTCTAGTTTATTTGCGTAGAGGTGTTTATAGTATTCTCTGATGTTAGTTTGTATTTCTGTGGGATCGGTGGTGATATCCCCTTTATCATTTTTTATTGCATCTATTTGATTCTTCTCTCTTTTCTTCTGTATTAGTCTTGCTAGCGGTCTATCAATTTTGTTGATCTTTTCAAAAAACCAGCTCCTGGATTCATTGATTTTTTGAAGGGTTTTTTGTGTCTCTATTTCCTTCAGTTCTGCTCTGATCTTAGTTATTTCTTGCCTTCTGCTAGCTTTTGAATGTGTTTGCTCTTGCTTCTCTAGTTCTTTTAATTGTGATGTTAGGGTGTCAATTTTAGATCTTTCCTGCTTTCTCTTGTGGGCATTTAGTGCTATAAATTTTCCTCTACACACTGCTTTGAATGTGTCCCAGAGATTCTGGTACATTGTGTCTTTGTTCTCGTTGGTTTCAAAGAACATCTTCATTTCTGTCTTCATTTCATTATGTACCCAGTAGTCATTCAGGAGCAGGTTATTCAGTTTCCATGTAGTTGAGCGGTTTTGAGTGAGTTTCTTAATCCTGAGTTCTAGTTTGATTGCACTGTGGTCTGAGAGACAGTTTATTATAATTTCTGTTCTTTTACATTTGCTGAGGAGTGCTTTACTTCCAACTATGTGGTCAATTTTGGAATAAGTGCGGTGTGGTGCTGAGAAGAATGTATATTCTGTTGATTTGTGGTGGAGAGTTCTGTAGATGTCTATTAGGTCCACTTGGTGCAGAGGTGAGTTCAATTCCTGGATATCCTTGTTGACTTTCTGTCTCGTTGATCTGTCTACTGTTGACAGTGGGGTGTTAAAGTCTCCCATTATTAATGTGTGGGAGTCTAAGTCTCTTTCTAGGTCTCTAAGGACTTGCTTTATCAATCTGGGTGCTCCTGTATTGGGTGCATATATATTTAGGATAGTTAGCTCTTCTTGTTGAATTGATCCCTTTACCATTATGTAATGGCCTTCTTTGTCTCTTTTGATCTTTGTTGGTTTAAAGTCTGTTTTATCAGAGACTAGAATTGCAACCCCTGCCTTTTTTTGTTTTCCATTTGCTTGGTAGATCTTCCTCCATCGCTTTATTTTGAGCCTATGTGTGTCTCTGCATGTGAGATGGGTTTCCTGAATACAGCACACTGATGGGTCTTGACTCTTTATCCAATTTGCCATTCTGTGTCTTTTACTTGGAGCATTTAGCCCGCTTACATTTAAGGTTAATATTGTTATGTTTGAATTTGATCCTGTCATTATGATGTTAGCTGGTTATTTTGCTTGTTAGTTGCTGCAGTTTCTTCCTAGCCTTGATGGTCTTTACAATTTGGCATGTTTTTGCAGTGGCTGGTACCGGTTGTTCCTTTCCATGTTTAGTGCTTCCTTCAGGAGCTCTTTTAGGGCAGGCCTGGTGGTGACAAAATCTCTCCGCATTTGCTTGTCTGTAAAGTATTTTATTTCTCCTTCACTTATGAAGCTTCATTTGGCTGGATATGAAATTCTGGTTGAAAATTCTTTTCTTTAAGAATGTTGAATATTAGCCCCCACTCTCTTCTGGCTTGTAGAGTTTCTGCCAAGAGATCCGCTGTTAGTCTGATGGGCTTCCCTTTGAGGGTAACCCGACCTTTCTCTCTGGCTGCCCTTAACATTTTTTCCTTCATTTCAACTTCGGTGAATCTGACAATTATTTGTCTTGGAGTTGCTCTTCTCAAGGAGTATCTTTGTGGCATTCTCTGTATTTCCTGAATTTGAATGTTGGCCTGCCTTGCTAGATTGGGGAGGTTCTCCTGGTTATTATCCTGCAGAGTGTTTTCCAACTTGGTTCCATTCTCCCTGTCACTTTCAGGTACACCAATCAGACGTAGATTTGGTCTTTTCACATAGCCCCATATTTCTTGAAGGCTTTGTTCATTTCGTTTTATTCTTTTTTCTTTAAACTTCTCTTCTTGCTTCATTTCATTCATTTCATCTTCCATCACTGATACCCTTTCTTCCAGTTGATCGAATCGGCTACTGAGGCTTGTGCATTTGTCACGTAGTTCTCGTGCCTTGGTTTTCAGCTCCATCAGGTCCTTTAAGGACTTCTCTGTATTGGTTATTCTAGTTAGCCATTGGTCTAATTTTTTTTCAAGGTTTTTAACTTCTTTGCCATGGGTTCGAACTTCCTCCTTTAGCTCGGAGTAGTTTGATTGTCTGAAGCCTTCTTCCCTCAACTTGTCAAAGTCATTCTCCATCCAGCTTTGTTCCATTGCTGGGGAGGAGCTGCGTTCCTTTGGAGGAGGAAAGGCACTCTGATTTTTAGAGTTTCCAGTTTTTCTGCTCTATTTTTCCCCATCTTTGTGGTTTTATCTACCTTTGGTCTTTGATGATGGCGATGTACAGATGGGGTTTTGGTGTGGATGTCCTTTCTATTTGTTAGTCTTCCTTCTAACAGTCAGGACCCTCAGCTGCAGGTCTGTTGGAGTTTGCTTGAGGTCACTCCAGACCCTGTTTGCCAGGGTATCAGCAGCGGAGGCTGCAGAACAGCAGATACTGGTGAGCAGCAGATGTTGCTGTCTGATCGTTCCTCTGGAAGTTTTGTCTCAGAGGAGTTCCCGGCCATGTGAGGTGTCTGTCTGCCCCTACTGGGGGGGGGCCTCCCAGTTAGGCTACTTGGGGGTCAGGGACCAACCTAAGGAGGCAGTCTGTCCATTCTCAGATCTCAAGCTGTGTGCTGGGAGAACCACTACTCTCTTCAAAGCTGTCAGACAGGGACATTTAAGTCTGCAGAGGATTCTGCTGCCTTTTGTTTGACTATTCCCTGCCCCCAGAGGTGCAGTCTACAGAGGCAGGCAGGCCTCCTTGAGCTGCAGTGGGCTCCACCCAGTTCGAGCTTCTGGGCTGCTTTGTTTACCTACTCCAGCCTCGGCAATGGCAGGTGCCCCTCCCCCAGCCTCGCTGCCGCCTTGCAGTTCGATCTCAGTCTGCTGTGCCAGCAATGAGGGAGGCTCTATGGGCGTAGGACCCCCCCGAGCCATGCACGGGATATAATCTCCTGGTGCGCCGTTTGCTAAGACTGTTGGAAAAGTGCAGTATTAGGGTGGCAGTGACCCGATTTTCCAGGTGCCGTCTGTCACCCCTTTCTTTGACTAGGAAAGGGAATTCCCTGACCCCTTGTGCCTCCCGGGTGAGGTGATGCTTCGCCCTCCTTTGGCTCATGCTGGGTGCAGTGCACCCACTGTCCTGTACCCACTTTCTGACACTCCCCAGTACCTCAGTTGGCAAGGCAGAAATCACCCGTCTTCTGCATCGCTCACGCTGGGAGCTCTAGACTGGAGCTGTTCCTATTTGGCCACCTTGGCTCCACCTCAGATCTTTTCATTCTTGTATATACAACAGTTTACTTGGACAGCCTGGGTAGTCAGGAACATCCATCCAAGCCACACTTCTGCCTATTAGGTTCCTCTGTTGTGCTAAACAACAATTTGAATTTATAAATTCTATTGAACAGTGTTTCATCAAGTGAAACTCCAGTTTCATTGTACCTAGGAACTTGCTTCTCTTACTGCCTGTTATTTAATCTTTCTAAGACTCTGTTTTCTCTTCTATAAAAAGAGGGTTGTCTTGCTGGGATGCTCCCTTGACATGCTTCACTTATCTTTATCGCCCTTATCACCATCTGGCATATTGTAGTTATTCCTTTACTTATTATCTATCTAAACCAGTAGATTGTAAGCTCCATGAAAACAGGGTCTTTGCTGGCCTTTTTTTAAACTACTGTGTCTCTAGAATAAAGAGTAGTGCCTGACACATAATGGTTCACAGTAATTATTTATTGGATGAATGAATGAGATAATGCATCAAAAATACTGTGTCCATTTTAAGGCATGGTCTCAGTTGTCTATTCCTGCATAAACAATCTACCCCACAATTCAGTAGCTCAAAACAACCATTTTATTGTATCTTATGATTTTGTGGGTCAGTAATTTGGACAGGTCTCAGCTGAGCAATTTGTTTTCCCCATGCAGTATTGACTGGGTCACTTGCTGGTATTCAGTGGAAGGCAGGGCTGCTCTGGAGGTCCCAGGTAACTTCACTTATATTGTGTGCCTGATGCCTTTGAGGACTGCTGGTGGCCTCAAGACCTCTCCTCTCTATAGCTCCAGCAAGGTAGTCAGATTTCTTTCATGGCAGCTCAGTATATCAAGAGGCCTACTGGAAACTGCAAGGTTTCTTATTGCCCAGGTTCAGGAGTTTATGGCCTAGAACTGCATTCTATTGGTCAAGCAAGTCATGAAGACCAGCTTAGATCCAAGGGAGGGGAATTAGATTCTACCTCTGAATAAGAGAAGTAGCAAAAAATTTGTAGCCATCTTGAATCTACCACATTCCTTTTCCTCTGGCCACAGACATTATTACCACAAGCAAAATAAACTCACACTCTCCTAAAGCCCTCAAAAGTTTCCTGACATTTACTGCATCAGCCTAGAAGTCCACTTTCTCACCATCTAACTCAAATTCAGGTGATGATGAGGCTCCTGGCACTCAGCTCCTTGAGTATAGTTCCCCTTGATCTGAAGTCACTGGGGCTCTCACACCCAAGAAACAATGGGACAGAGATAGGATAACCATAATAGGCACTCCCATTCGAAGAGTCAGAGAACACAGGCATACAGCGGTCAGTAGTCCACAGCAATTTTGAAATCTAGCTGAGTACATATTACCAGTTCCTTGATTAGGGCCCAGTCCTGCTCCTGGGAATGATTCCCTCTGGCTATCCATCAGTCCTCTGGGCTCTTGGTTCCATTCTTTGAGCCGTTCTTCTTTTTCCCTAAGAAGTAATCCTTGTTTTTGGCTGGGTAACTTTCTCAGCCTGCTTCTCTGAGGCAGGTTGAGGGTCCAAAGGCATCTTTTCACTTTGTACTCTCTTCATCCTTTTCAGTCAGTCCATGCTGGTATAATTCACTTAAAAATGTTAAGGCGTCTTATATACTAATTGATAACGAACTTTACTAGGCAAAAGCCACACCCACATTTCATTCTGAAGCCAGCTTTTTCACCTTGCTTGGACTAACTGTGAGTCTGACATGGGATAACAGAACCTTAAAATTCTTAGAAACTCTTTTGTCCAATGGAGAGGTACATTGCCCAAGATTGTAGAAGGCTTTTTGTTTAACTGAAAGGATATATGAGGCACCACCTTAATTGAGGTCTTAATCATGGGTCTAGCTGTCACATCTTGGAATTTATTTTTGCCCTGAAGCCATTTCTTATTTTGAAAGCTTTCCCTGTCTAGAGAGATTGAGGATGAGAAGCAGTTTGATGTTTGAACCCAGCAAAGTCTACGGCCATGCCACCCTGAATGCACCCGATCTCTTCTGAACCCAGCAAGTCCTGCCTCTTTATAATTCCTCTAAATTCTGCTTAAAAACCAAATGGCTCCTTTTTTAGCCCACTTTTTTTTCTTTTTTTTTTAATCAATATCTTATAATAATGTGGCTAAAAGAAACCTCTTTGTAGTTTTGAAATTCTGCTGAAAATCTCCTTAGCCAGATCCTCCCATTCATTGGGCACCTTTTCTATTTTCCCACATTATCAAAGACGAAAACTTTCTGCCACTACATAACACAGGTCATTTCTTCAGCCACCCCCCATAGTATTTTCTTTACTGTCCTTCAGTCTCTCCAGCAGTCTCCTCGATGTCCTTCCAATATTCACTAACATTTTTCTCGAGGCCTTTCTAACTTCTGTGGCAACCAGGTACAAAGTCATTGCCATTTGTTTTCAGTTTTCGTTATAGTGAAAGTCCACTTTCAGATACCAAATTTAGTTCCAGTTATCTATTGTTACTTAGTAAACTACTCCAAAACTTAGCACAATAAGCAATTTATTGTATCTCATCATTTTGGTAATCAATAATTCTAGCATGGTTCAGCAGGGCAAATTTATTCCATAGTGGCCACAGTTAGGGTTGCTCAGTTGTGTCCAGCTGATGGGAGACTGCTTCACACATAATGCCTGGCACCCTGATGGGAACTGCTGGTCGTTGTGCTCAGCTAGGCCCCTCCCCTTGTCATGTGGTCTCATGGCCTCTGCACGTGGTTTATCTAGCATGGTAGTTTGACTTATCCAGCAGCTTAGGCCTTAGAAGACATGTCCCAAGAGTCTCACATGGAAGCTACAAGGCTTCTTACTTACCTAGCCTGGCCAGTCAGACATCTCTTCTGCTGTATTCTATTAGTCAAGTAAGTCTCTAAGGGTAGCCCATATTAAAGGGAGGAGAATTAGATTCCACCTCTCAATGGGAGAAGTAGCAAGTAATTTGTGGTCATCTTTAATCTACTACAGACACTGTATCCTTGATCTCAGAATGATGCCTCTTTGTCTGGAAAGGGCATTTGTTTTTTAAGCCCAAGGTTAGAGAGACAGACATGGAGCTGTGATGGATCAAGAAGACATCATGTTCTGACTAACCAGGTGATCACAGGGATCACTGAAGTGACAGATGTTGCAGACATATTGTCCTCCTATCTAAGTCCCAGCCAATGTTACGTGTCAAAATTAGGGAAGCAGTACGCAAAATGGTTAGGCAGGCCATTCTGAAACAAAACTGATTGGTTTCAAATCTCAGCTTTGCCATCAATCAGCTTTGTGAATGTGGGCAGTATAATTTACCTCCCTGTGCTCCACATTAGTCATTTGTAAAGTGGGCATTAACTAGAGCCTACCTCAAAAGACTGCTGCGAGGATGAAAAGAGTTAGTATACACACAATTGTTAGAGGAGGATCTGGCAAAAATATATTAGACATAGCTATTTTTATTATTGATGTATAGATTATGCAGTAAACTATATCAACATCAATAATCCTTTTTACCCAGAAACAAGTTGGAGAGAAGAAAAGGAAAATGAATTTTAAAAACTGAATGAAAGGTAAAAGTATCATTGGAATATTTGGAGCTGACTGTAAAGACTGTGACACCTTCCGATTTTTTGTCCCTTATCATCAATTCAGGTATTCCCTGAAGCACAATCAGTCGACCAAACTAAGAGCAGTGCCCTCAGGAAAGAATAAAATGAATAGTTTAATTTATCAACATCATTTACCCAGGTTATTTGAGTTCTTTTTATTTATTTTTTTTTTTGAGACGGAATCTCGCTGTCGCCCAGGTTGGAGTGCAGTGGCGCGATCTCGGCTCGCTGCAGGCTCCGCCTCCCAGGTTCACGCCATTCTCCTGCCTCAACCTCCCGTGTAGTTGGGACTATAGGCGCCCGCCACCTCGCCCGGCTAATTTTTTGTATTTTTAGTAGAGACGGGGTTTCACCGTGTTAGCCAGGATGGTCTCGATCTGCTGACCTCGTGATCCGCCCGCCTCGGCCTCCCAAAGTGCTGGGATTACAGGCGTGAGCCACCGCGCCCGGCCGGTTATTTGAGTTCTAAGCCAGAAAACTGAGAGCAGACACACACATAACGATACTTGGTTGCAAAATGGAAATAAAAAGCAATGTGTTAGGATAGGCTAGATTATGCTCCAGTAATAAATAATCTCCAAATCTCAGTAACTTAATACAACAAAAATGAATTTCTTGCTCATTCTACATGTTCAATTAGGGTTAGCAGGAAGGCTCTGACCATCACAGTAACTCAGGGACTTAGGTTGATGAAAGCTTCATCTTATTGATCTTCAAGGATCAATAAAACAGCGGAAACTGAAAAGGGCCAATTATGTACTAGCTCTTAAAAATGTCTGCGTTCTTCCCAGAAGTGACCACATGAGACTTCCTCTCACGTTTCAGCCAACGAAACAAGTTACATTTCACTGTTCAAAAGTCATAGCTAAGTTAAAATGGGATGAGGAAGAATAAAGTTACCATGTATCTACAAGGAGAAAAGCTTAACAAAAAGCAAGAAAGCAGCACATACAGTGACTGGTGGATTGCATTATTGTTCCACAAATATTACTCTCCCCTCCTGCACTCTGTGGGCAGACTGTACTTTTCTGCACCAATGACTTTGGACTTGGCCATGTTACTTACTTTGGTGAACGGAAAATGGCAGAAGCGAGACTGTGCCAGTTCTGAGCAGAGACCAGTCATCATGAGTCTCTGCCAACTCTCTTGCACTCCTGCACTCTGCCATGAAAATGACAGACTTAAACCAATCCATACCTAAACTATAGATCCTTGAGGGAGAAATGGATGTGTGTTGTATAATACTGAGATTGGGGAGTTCTTTGTTGAGCAGCATTGTTTCAGCAAAAAGATGACTAATACAGTGACTCAACACAAGGATTTCATGAGACTGGCTACTACACATATGGTTTCCAAGAAAGGATATGAAATAAGACCTTACTAGCTAGTATTCTAAGAAACGTAAAGCAAAATGAGATGGTGTTACATTATTTGTATACTAGCTAGATATAGAACTAAAATATAACTATCCAATTATTTACAAATTAAATAAGAAAAAAAATAAAAGGAGAATTTCTAGTGCTTTTGAGGCTAAGATAATAAAATTAGAAAGTCCTTTTATCCCAGGAAAATCGCCTTTAGTCCATTCCTGCTGCTATAGCAAAATAGCTTAGACTGGGTAATTTGTAAATAATAGAAATTTATTTCTCACAGTTCTGAAGGCTGGACCAAGATCAAGGTGCTGGCAGATTCAGTGTCTGGAAGAGCTTGCTCTCTGCTCCCAAGATGGCTCCTTGTTGCCACAGATGCTGTGTCCTCACATGGCTGGAGGGACAGAGGACAAAAGGGACCAGAGCAATCCTTTCAACCTCTTTTTTAAGAGCACTAATCCCATTCATGAGAGTGGAGTGTTCATGCCTTATCACTTCCTAAGACATATTCCTAAAAGGCCCCACCCTGTAGTACTATAACACTCGGTGTTAAGTACCAATGTATGAATTTTGAAGGCATACATACATTCAACCATAGCATAATTCAAAAAAGGAGAATGATAAAGGCAGAAAGCTCTTCATTAAGGCATTATTTATAACAGTCTAATATCAGAAACAGCATAACTATGCAATAGTAGAATATTTTAAGTAATCTATGGTCCTACTAATATTATAAAATATTGTACACTCATTAGAATAATAACTATGAACTTTCCCTAAAAGCATGGACAAATATTTACTAAGTGAAAGAAGGAGAATATAAACATATACCTAAGCTGTAATCGTAATTATGTAAATAGATATTTAATATATATAGATAATGACTAAAGGGAATTTGGAGAAATTTAAACATTTGTGCTGTAGCAGTGGTTATATGGGTGAATATTTTTCTTCTGAAATCTAACGCAAAAAAATTGTTCTTTTGACAATAAGTATAATTTTTAAAACAACAAGGAAATTTCTCTTCTCAAGAATATACCCATGTGTGTAAGAAAGAGTTGGTGTTTGGATTAAAAGATGCATTTTTTAAAGAGTGGGAAAAAAATGCAACACATTTTTAATATTGAAGATCCCTGGGTATTCTGAGTAATCTATATAACTTTCTGTATTTTTCAAATGTTTTTACAATGAATGTGCTATAAACTTTTGAAAAAAGTTATTTTAAAAATACATGAACGTATTTTCTAGCGTCACTTCTGAGACCCCACAGCTCACCTAGTTAGTGCTATCATTTCTTGAATCCAGTGAGCTGCCTGTAGACAGAGTTCCTCTCCACAACTCGGTAGCCCATAATTTGATTTGAGACAAAGCTAAATATAGCCCCAACTTTGGTATGAAGGATGGGAATCTGACTCTCCCTGCCTTTTCTTCCCCCCCATCAGAGGCAACAGGATATTCTTTTCAAGACAGGTGGCCTGTGAGCCTTGTCTAAGATCAAACTGGACCTTGAAATTTTTCCTGGTAACATTTTGAGCTCTGGAGCAGTGTGGTCCTACCAATAAATCAAGTGTTGGAGGAGTCTAGACTAGGGGCTTTTTAGACAGTTCTGCTAAACCTTCAAATGTTTTGTTATCCTCCCCTCCCCACCCCTACTTTGTACTAGTATGTAGGGGAACCAATCCAAGAGATAACAGACAGATGACAGGTTCCCCCAAGAACACAGACTCCCCACAGTCTCACCAATACCCAGGCATGCCAGGTTCTTCCTGAGTTAAATGCCTAGGAGGCCTGAAAGAATAAATTCATCCTGGAGAAGTCTTGTGGGTCGTAGCTTTAGAAATTCAGGGAACATATCTCTGGGGCCACCCAATGGAGAACACAGCCTGTATCAGAACCTTAGCAGAGACTTTGGGCCTTTTGGGGTCTCAAATTTATCATCTCTGAAACAAGTACAACGAAATTAACATTGCCACATGTGGGCACTATAAAGCCTTTTTCAGATAAAAAAAGGTCAGTGATAGTGCTAATAATAACAGTGATTATGTCATTTAATAAAACGGTCTTATTTGAAAGCTAAAAAGGAGCTTCAGGGTGGCAAGCACTCTAATTATAGTATGTCTGCCTTGTTTAAATCTTGATACATAAGTACATGGTACAGGGCCTGAGGCAATGCCATCTCCAAAGAGGCCTTTTCCATGATCTTAAAACAGTCACAAGGGAGTGTCGAGGTCCTGATGGCTACTGTCTTGAGGCTTTTCTAGTGTTCTGGGAGTCAGGAAGCTTCTCCCTCCTTGAAGCTATTGGTAGAGCCCAGTTGCTGGCGAAACTGAAAAACGAGGAGGTAGAATACCCTAAAACAGGAGATGTCTGGGATACAGGCAGCTAATAGGGCTGTAAGGTTTTGTTGGGATGCTTCCCTTCCTGATGAAGGGTCCTGTCCCTGGATTAATGGTGAAACTGGCATGTCACATCTCTAGGAAGACAACATCGTGTTCCATGACCACGTAGGGTATACATCTGCATTCAGCCGGGATTGCTCCTAAACCTTCCTAGACTCCATCTCTGGCTCTGGGGTTACCTGTGGGTGGGGCGATGCAGACACACAAGAAAACCTCCTCTACAAATTCTTCCTGTAGTTGGTTGATTGTATTCTAAGACCTTCGTTGGGATGGGCGAGGGACGGGGCTTGGTACCGCGTCCTCTAAGCTCTCTGCCCTCTGCCGTCATCATTCATCTGAGCCAGCGAGAGAGGGGTCGGGGAGACGCGAGGGTGGTTCGGGGGCGTGTAACCTGGGCCGATTCTGCCCCAGCACACTGGTTGTCGGGAGCCCCGCCTCCGCTCGCGGTTGACAGCTCAGCTGGTGCCGAGCAACTCGTGCCAGCCAGTCGTGTCTCAGCCTGGAGAGTGCGCGCACCGCGGCCCGGGCAGCCGCTGGCTCCAGCTCACGAAACAGCCCCGGGCGCCGCGCCGCTCTGAGTCCAGCCTCCTACTGAGAACAGTCCCTCCCTTGTGCGGGTCGCACGGCTAGCCGCAGGTTCGGCCACGTCAAATCCATTTTCTAAAAAAGCAGGGAGCAGAGCTCTCTCTTCGCCGCCGACGCAGAAAGGAGCTGGGGAGGAAAAAGCTGCTGCCTTTTGCGCTGGAGATTCGTGGGCAAGGCTTCTCATTTTCCCAGGCTGCTTCCCCTCCCGGGTGAGGAGCGTCCTGAGACTAAGGAAAGAGCCTGGAAAATGGAGCAGACCTGGACGAGGTAGGTGGGCTGTTTCCTTCTCGCCGCGCTCCAGACTTGGTGGTCCTCCTCCCTCCCCTCCCCCAGCGCCCTTAGGGAGAGAGAGGTCGCCCCTCACCACCAGGGTCCCGTGACAGCTTCCCTTTTCTGTAGCCTCGCCCTGCCTGGTTCCCAGCCCACCTCTCTTGGTCATTTTCACATGTTCTGTTTTACGGGGTTTCCCTTGCTTAATGACTCTCCCCTCCACCGAGTCCTGATGTTAAAAATACCCAGGGAGGCCGCCTGGAACTTTCTGTAGAAATGGTTCTCTGTCGTTTCCTTGTTCGTGTGGCTAGAGGGATTCCAGTAGGTCTTCTTGAGAGATATGTTTGATGTCAGATGCTTTGAACAATATCAGGTTTATTCTCACCCTGCCACGTTTTCCTTCTCAGCCTCATCTGTCACTACTCACACAAAGGCAAAGGGACTGAGTGAGCAGAGCCCAGCAGCACTCATCTCCACAACCTCCAGTTGGAGCCCACTTGGGGGAGGAATGGAGAAGGAAAGAGATCAGGGCACCACACTGCTCAGGCTTTATTGAGGCCAGGCAACAGTTGGCTTTTAGGTCAGATTTTGGAGATGGCCTGTGAAACTGCGTTTTCTTCCAGTCCTTCCCCCAGACACACTTTAAAATGAAGCCCCATTCAAGGAAAGGGTAAGGATAAGAGACCATGTATTGAGACAAAGACTTCGTTTCTGTTTTTTAGTGGGTGGGAGGGTAGGGAGACTATTCCAGCGGTGTCTCTATAACAGATACGCTTCCATCTGTGGGATTTAGCTTTGGAGAATTGGGGTGGGGCCAAATGAGCGCTCTGACTCCTGAGAGAGTGAAGACGGTACAAACACAGAAGGTAAATTTGGGGCTTATGCAAAAGACTTGGGTGCTTTTAGTTGATTGCTAAGCTCAACAGGAGTGAATGGTATAATGTGAATATTAAAGAAGGAGCAAATTGAAGCTTAGGGTTTGTTGACAGAAGAAGTAGGCTGTCTAGATTCTGTCTAGATCAAAAGTGATGATTTTACTTTTGGCTCCTTTCTGCTCCTCTTGGGCCTCTCCGAGAGGGCTGTGCTTAGTTCTGGGCATCATTAGATAAAATAAGTACAATCAAGAGACAGGAGGGAACTCAAAGCCATGCCTTGAGGGATGGCCAAAGGAAGGACCTGGGACTCCTGAGTCCGGAGAAATGACGACTGGGAGTGGGGAGGATGTGGTAGCTTCCTTCAAATTTCCGAAGAGCTATTGGTGGTAGAGGGATTGAATCACATTAGAATCTCTTAGGAGGACAGAACAACCGATGCAAGCGAGTTGTTGGGAGGCGAGTTATGGCTCAGTGTAAAGAAAAAGCTTTCTGGCCAGGTGCAGTGGCTCATGCCTGTAATCCCAGCACTTTGGGAGGCTGAGGCAGGCGGATCACCTGAGGTCGGGAGTTCGAGACCAGCCTGACCAACATGGAGAAACCCCATCTCTACTAAAATACAAAATTAGCCGGGCGTGGTCGCACATGCCTGTAATCCCAGCTACTCCGGAGGCTGAGGCAGGAGAATCGCTTGAACCCGGGAGGAGAAGTTTGTGGTGAGCCGAGATCAAGCCATTGCACTCCAGCCTGGGCAACAAAAGCGAAACTCCGCCTCAAAAAAAAAAAAAAAAAAAAAAAAAAAAAAAAAAAAAAGACCGGGCGAGGTGGCTCACGCCTGTAATTGCAGTACTTTGGGAGGCTGAGGGGGGCGGATTACGAGGTCAGGAGATTGAGACCATCCTGGCTAACACAGTGAAGCCCCGTCTCTACTAAAAACACAAAAAAAATTAGCCGGGCGTGGTGGCGGGCGCCTGTAGTACCAGCTACTTGGGAGGCTGAGGTAGGAGAATGGCGTGAACCCGGGAAGCGGAGCTTGCAGTGAGCCGAGATCGCGCCACTGCACTCCAGCCTGGGCGACAGAGCGAGACTCCGTCTCAAAAAAAAATTAAAAAAAAGCTTTCTAACAAGTTAGCTGCCTGGGCAGTATGGGCAGTAAAGAGATTGTTGACCCTGGAGTTACTCAGGCAAAGGCTAGATGACCACTTGATGGTGATGGGAGTGAGTGTATCAGGGCCTTTTGCTCTCTGCCAGTGTTTTTCACACTTGAAGAAAAAAGTATTATTTATTAAGTTTTAAAAATTTTATATTTACATGTAACAATTTCAGACAAATTCAGAAATGATTTGGAAAAATCGCAAATTATATATTTACAGTCCAATTAATTTGACAAACTGAGTATACTCATGGGATGGGCATTCAGATAGAGAAAGGGAACATTACCAGCATCCCTGAAGCCCTCCTGATGACTTCAAGGATAATCATTATCCTAATTTTTAACACCATAGAATAATTTTGCCTAGTTTTGAACTTTATGTAAATGAAATTATACACCATGTACTCTTTCGTACGTGGCTCCTTTCACTCAATCTTTTGCTTTTGGAGTTCTATACTGTTATATGGTACTGTAGTCCATTTATTCTTGCTTTTAAATAGGCTTCTATAGTGTATAAATATATCAAATTTATTTGTCCATTCTATTCTTAATAGGCACTTGGGCAATTTCCAGTTTGGAGCTATTATAAACAGTGTTGCTATGAACATTTCTGTACAGGTCTTTTGATGAACATATGTACACATTTCTGTTGAGTAAATAAGTAGAAGTATGATTTCTGCGTAATAGGAAATGCATGTTCAGATTTAGTAAATACTGCCAGATTGTTTTTTTTTAAACAGATTACAAAAGAGATTTCTAAAGCGGGTATCCAGGCCAGGCGCGGTGGCTCACGCCTGTAATCCCAGCACTTTGGGAGGCCGAGGCGGGCGGATCACGGGGTCAGGAGATCGAGATAGTCCTGGCTAACACGGTGAAACCCCGTCTCTACTAAAAATACAAAAAATTAGCCCGGCGTGGTTGCAGGCACCTGTAGTCCCAGCTACTCGGGAGGCTGAGGCAGGAGAATGGCCTGAACCTGGGAGGCGGAGCTTGCAGTGAGCCGAGATCGCACCACTGCACTCCAGCCTGGGTGACAGAGCGAGCCTACATCTCAAAAAAAAAAAAAAAAAAAAAAAAAAAGAGGGTATCCAAAGGGAAGAACATAGTGAAAAGGTGCTCCACATCACTAGTTATCAGGGAAATGCAAATTAGAACCACAACACCATGCTGCTATATACATATCAGAATGGCTGAAATTAAAAAGATAGAAAGTAGCAAATGCTGGCAAGGTGGACCATTCAGAATGTTCACATATTTTTTAACCACTACTCACAATAAGTAATATATTTACATTGCCACCAAGTACTCTTACATATGTAACAAAGTTTCTTGTAACAATACTTAACTTTACTATGTGTTTTGCACTCTGATATTTGCTATTCTATTCTTTTTCTTTAAAAATAAAATGTTGGCTCTGATTCACTGAATTTATTTCTCCACCTAATGGGTCACAGTTGGAAAAATCCTATAATCACAGATCATGGCTGACATCTCAGATCCTTCCTAACTCACAGATCAGATTAGTTCATAAACACTTATTAAAAATTTGAGGGCCGGATGAAATGGCTCACGCCTGTAGTCTCAACAGTTTGAGAGGCCAAGGCAGGTGGATGACTTGAGGTCAGAAGTTCGAGACCAGTCTGGCCAACGTGCTGAAACCCCATCTCTACTAAAAATACAAAAATTAGCCGGGTGTGGTGCCTGCACCTGTAGTCCCAGCTACTTAGGAGCCTGAGGCAGGAGAATCCCTTGAACCCGGGAGGCGGATGTTGCAGTGAGCTGAGATTATACCACTGCACTCCAGCCTGGGTGACACAGTGAGACTCTGTCTCAAAAATAAATAAATAAATAAATAAATTTTGAGAGCCCCAAACAGGTCAGACGCTGTGCTAGATGCTAAGAATAAAACAATGAATGCAATGAATGAGACTGGGTCTCTGCCTTTAATGGCTTTACATTGTCATCATCTATAATTTTAATAGAGAGACACTAAGGCAGAGATACGCAGTGGCTGCTCTGGGTACACAGTGGATAGGGGATTGAAAGAATAAAAATTAACCATAATTGATAACATTTATTAAGCTTTAATTGTGTGCTAATCTCTTTGAATACTTAATTCACCTAATCCTTACAACCCTATGAAGTAAATGTTATACTCATTTTTAAGAAAAGGAAATTGAGCTTCAGAAAGATTAAATAATTTTCCCAGAGTGACACACACAGCCGAGAAAGAAATATAGCCTTGAACTGTTTCATTCCAAAATCTATGCTTTTACTTTATTTTAGTAGAGTTTTGTAGGTGACTCAGTTTATGACTTGTTTCTGAAGCTAGCTACTTGCTCAATTTACCCACAAAGGACAAGGTGCTTGGTATTTTAGTTCTCAAAGTTAGATATGCTCTACTCCCAGCTACACATCATCTGCCCCTCTACAGCTCAATGGAAAGGTTCCCCCTACCCGCTGGGGCCGTTACCTGACTGTTGCCAAACTCACTGGTTAAATCATTTGGACAGAGCATGGTTGGCTCTGGAATAGCAAATTTTCTATGAATATACTGGCATTACAAAAAGCTGATTTGGTCACCAGCTTTCAGATTTATTTCCGTGAACAGGGCGAGAGTTGTCAAAAGAATAAGCTCATGGAGCTGATGAAGAACTTGATGATGAGGGGAGGTTTTCTCACCCGGCAGGTCCAGTGTCAACCAGGCAAACAGCTTCTACTGCTCTAAATTTTTAGCATCCACCTGTCTGGACTAGCAACTCCCTACACCTTCTGCTTTAAAGATTATCAGTACTTCAGGATTACTGTTTGTATTAATTTCCTGTTGCTGGTGTAACAAATCACCACAAACTTTTTTTTTTTTTTTTGAGATGGAGTCTCACTCTGTTGCCCAGGCTAGCGTGCAGTGGTGCAATCTTGGCTCACTGCAACCTCCGCCTCTCAGGTTCAAGGGATTCTCCTGCCTCAGCCTCCCAAGTAGCTGGGATTACAGGCACATGGCACCACACTCAGCTAATTTTTGTATTTTTAGTAGAGACGGGGTTTCACCATGTTGGCCTGGCTGGTCTCAAACTCCTGACCTCAAGTGATCCACCCGCCTTGGCCTCCCAAAGTGCTGGGATTACAGGTGTGAGCCACTGCGCCCAGCCAAATCACCACAAACTTAGTGGCTTAAAACAATACAAATGTATTGCCTTAAAGTTCTGGAGGTCAGAAGTCTGAAATTTGGTCTTCTAGGTTAAAACCAAGGTATCAGCAGGACTGTGCTCCTTCTAGAGGCTCTAAAGGAGAATTTGTTCCTTGCCCTTCATGGCTTCGAGAGACTGCCCACATTCTGGGTTCATAGCCCCTTCCAGCAATGCCATCACTGGCCTCTGCTTCTATCATCACATCTCCTTTGATCATTCTGACCCTCCAGTGTCCCTCTTACTAGGACCCTTATGATTACATTGGACCCAACCAGATAATCCAGGATAATCTCCTCATCTCAAAATCTTTAGTCACATCTGCAAAGCCCTCTCTTGCTATGGAAAGTGGCATATACACAGGATCTGGGGATTAGGAATGTGGACATTCTTATAAGGCCATTATTTTAGCCTACCACATCGTTCAATGCTGAAAAAGTCATTACTAATTATCTTCCCCATTTCAGTGGAAATGTTCTGGTTTCTAGCATATGAGAAAGCTGAGTAAACATCAGGTGAATCATATATGAACCTTATACAACTTCCCCGAACACATAACTCAAGAAAAGAGTGAACTAGAAATGTTTAAGGGCAAACTGTAAGACTGAAGGTTAAAAAAGGAAAGCAAATTAGTCTGTTTTGTTTTGTTTTCTATTCCCCTGCAATTTGATTTAATAAAATGCAAGCATTAATTGCATTTGCTTGCTGTATCTGTGAAAATTTGGAAAATGGAAGTAACATTCAAGAAAATTAATGATCTGGTTTCAAAATTTAAGAATTTTGACTTTGTTTCTTTTCTGGAGTACAGCCTTCAAGCAAGACAAGGTGTCCATTTACCACAGCTATATTGTACTTAACAGATCTCCATTGATAGCTTATTTGAATTTGTTTTTCTCTATATAAATGTTTAGCCTAGAGGAATCAGGGACATTTATTTTTCTCTGAATTTATGGTGAGTTAGTAGAGAGTCCTGTTTACAAAGACATAGTTACAACCAGAGATATATGGCCACTGAGGTTAAAGTGGTTAAATGATTTGCTGGCATTCACACAACTAGTATGTGTTGTATGAAGGCCTAGTTAATTCCAATACCTTTACTTATTATGGTGCTGGTGCTTTGCATGTAACACTTCATATTAGGAAAATGCTTGTTTTCAGAATTCTATTATTGAAACATCTTTGGAAGTTGAATTTCCTGTTTAATATTCAGCACTGCTAGCAACTAATTATCTGAATTTTAAGAAGGAAATTCTGCCTTGGCAACTCCAGTCTACTTTTAAATGGGCCTATACTTGGATTTCGGCTTGGGGAATTTGCCAGAATCAATGCTTTCACTCCTACTTGCTTATTTTCCACACACTAGATCAGTCTGGACCTGACTCCCCCAACCCCCATTTTTTCAGCTACATGCTAAGACTATGTTTAAAATACCTAAAGACTGGGAAGGGGTTGTTTTTGTCTCAGAAAGGATAAGTAACACCTCATGGTGCCGTCCCCATCCTGGGAGGCTCGCCTGACTGTGGCTGAGGGATCATATTTTCAAGGCTAAGTGGAGCATCCATCCATTCAGTGGATGCCCCAGGACACTACTTCTATTGAAATCTACCCCATTTTATAAATAAAATTCCAAACTGGGCTCAGAACATTCCACAAGTTGTCTCTGGCAAAAATTCAAATAGCATTTAAAGTTAGAAGAAAGTCCAGAATACAAGAGATGTCATATTGACCCAAGGTGGCTCTATGTGATTCTATTTTAAAACACTCAAATGCACTGAGGACTTGTTTTCCTCTGCCTCAGAGCATTTTCTGAGTTCTGTGGCCAGCAAGACAAGCATGATCTGAATTTCTTTTTTCTGAACGCTTATGGCTAAAGTGCTAAATTAGTCATAGACTATTTATAATAAATTGTATAATAATACTGTTTTATTTTCATAGCACTTTCACAGCCTGTGATTCATCTTTCCTTAATCTGTCTCATTATCTTCAGTCCTTTTCTGCTTGTTACATTCCACAGAAACGTCTTTCTTTCTTGTCTTTTCCAAGGCCAGTGAGGGAAGAGGTAACTTGCAACTAGTGTCTTCTTATCATGGTCATGGTGGAAAGGGTGGAAAGAAGCAATAACTTCTGACATATAGAAAGCATTCACTGGCCAGGCACAGTGGCTCTCGCCTGTAATCCCAGCACTTTGGGAGGCCAAGGCAGGAGGATCACTTGAGGTCAGGAGTTCGAGACCAGCCTGGCCAACATGTTGAAACCCCATCTCTACTAAAGATACAAAAATTAGTGGGCATGGTGGGGGGTGCCTGTAATCCCAGCTAATCGGGAGACCGAGGAATGAGAATTGCTTGAACCCAGGAAGTGGAGGTTGCAGTGAGCCGAGATCACACCACTGCACTCCAGCCTGGGTGACAGAGCAAGACTTTGTCGGAAAAAAAAAAAAAAAAAAAAAAAAAAAAACTAGAAAGCATTGACTCACAAAGAAAATTGAATAATTTCTAGCATTTCACACAATTTAAGAATGAATTTATTTTCCACTTCATAATGTGGTATATTATCATTCATAATGTAGAATAACATGCTGTGGATTTACAGTGTCTTTTAAATCATTACGCCTAACCCAAAGGATGTAGACTTCCAATTTTTAACTATTATAAATAATACTTGATAAATGTCTAGGTGCATAAAGCATCTTCTTCCACAGCATTATTTTTTGAATGAGAGATGTTCAGAAGTAGAATAACTATGTCAACATTTCCAGTTCTTGAAAGTACATTGCAAATTACTTAAAGTTATAGTCCCATAAGAAAGATATTGCATTCAATTTAAATATCTTTTTCAAGACCTGAATCCCTGTATTGTAAAGGGGGAAACTGAGGCACACTGACATTAAAGTGGCATAACCTAGGTGAATCAATAGCAACATTTCCAACTTTTACCCTTCTCTAGGGTAAAATGCTTCACTGTTGCTGTTAATCTCTATTACTATCCTGAAACGTTTCCTGAAATGATAATAAACAGAAAATTTTAACATAAGAAAGTAAAAGATAGATGTAAATTACATCAAAACTATGTATACCTATTAGGATGTCTATTACAAGGACAGAGAAAAGAGAAAATAGATGCCTTGTTTGGTTAGGGGATTATGGGCAACATCCTTTATATGCTGCTTTTAAACTAAGTCAACATAGGTTTTTATTGCAGGAAGAAGTTCACATTTGTGTCTACCAAATGACAACATGTAAAGTTTGGAATTGAGTTGGTTTTAGGTTTTTCTGTGTATCACTTGGAGGTTTTCTGTGTATAACTTTCTTGTATTACTTGGAGATTTTCAGGTTATTGGCACCACAGGAGCAGCATTATTGCCAGCAGACCCGGGGAGCTGGTTGGAGAGTCATTGCGACTTAATTTACCCTGAGCTAAAATTATTATGAGTGGGCCTTAATATACCAGTTGTTCCCACCTACACATCTAGCCTTGCCTTTGCTGGGATAAATTTGTATACCCTTCAGAGGTTAGATTCAGAAGTACCTCCTTTAGGAATTATTTTTAGAACCTAGATCTGGGTGTAGCCAGAACACGCTCTGCCTACTCTGTTGTAGCATGTAGCTAGTTGGTTAACTTGATATTTTCCATACTCCAAGTTTATCGGCAGAATGAAACGTTTTTGTCTATAAGTCTTCAGCATCTAACATTGCCTCTAGCACTTAGAAGGTCATCTATTAAGAGCTTTCCAGAGAACATTCCCCAAAAGGCCGATGGGAATATCTGTTTGGTGGGTGTCTCCTTATTGTAGAATGGATACAACAGGTTATCAAACTTGACACCATTATACATTCAGATTGTATTTATCATTGTTTAAGAAATATGTGTCTTGTTTCCTCAGTTACGGGAAAAGAAAAAAAAAAGAAATACGCATCCAATTCCTATGATCTAGACTTCTTTAATGCTGGACAGATGATAGTGAATGATCTAAAAACCCTCCCTTCCAGAGACTGACATTCTAGAGGGGTCACTAGGCATGGACATACATCACTGTTATACCTTGACCTGACATAGCCTTAACTCGAATTCACTTCAGTATGCTATCAGCACAGCCATCTTTTGTAGCTCATCTTTCTTCCAGATTTTCCACCCTTAGGATCCTTAATGCTGAAATTATACTTCTTGACCACAGGTCAAGTCCCCCACTTCCTCATTCTTTCTGAATGTTGTTTACTGCGTCATGTATTCCAGTTCCTCAACTCTCTGTATCTTCCAGGCCATCTGCTGTTTATTCACCTCCATACTGAACCTAGACGTCAGAGTCAGCTCTTTGAATCGTGTTCTCAACGCTGCTTTAGAATCTCTAACTGCCTTAACCATCTCCCGGCTTGGTAACCCTTAGTCAATTTTATTTTAAAATCCTAGAGGATTCTATGAGTGTTGTTTTAGTATGTTATAAAACCGCACTGAGAAGAGAGACTCTAGATTCATTCTTGCTAATCCTCAACAGGTCTATAATGCTGCTGAGAAATTCTCCTCCTCCTCCCACCTGCCTCTTTCTCCTGCTCCTCCTTCCCTGACTCTTTCTCTTCCTCTAAAAATATATTCCTCACAACCTTTGATTTCCGTAGTGTAAATAAAAGCAAGATGCAGAACTGTTACATTCAATATTATTTCCATTTGCAGAATTCACACAGGCAAATAAACTGAAGAACAACTAAATACATACAAATCTTTATCAATGTTGCCTTCAGGTGGTAGAATTTTAAAGATTATTTTTATTTTTCTCTGTACACTTTTCTCTTTTCCAAAATTTCTACGAGGCATGTACTTCTTTTAAAATCATCAAAAATAGACATTGTAAAGAAAAGAAACTGAAAGATTATGTGAATATAAAAGTAGGTGGAAAGGGGAAAAAAATCACCTGTTTCTTAACATTCAGTCTAGGGCTCTAGAAAGATTGAGCCAACTGCAATATACTCCAGTGCCTTGTGGATATTAGTTGTTAATGAAAACTGAGGATTGTAGGGTGCATTGCCAGGACCAAAAGCAAAATGCAAAAGGTAAGTTTCAGAGGTGGGTGGAGAGACCATACACCATCCCTGGGGTAATGTGACTGAATCCAAAGCAGGTTATTTTCATGTCTTCTTTTGAAAGAGTGATACCTATGTCTTGGCTGATGCAGGGGAGGTAGAGGAAAATTTATTAGATATTTGGATATGTGATGACCTCAGAAGGTAAAGTGAGGAAAAATAATTACTTACTTATTAAGGGGTTTCTCTGAACCTTGATGGATAGCATCAAGAAAGTAATGTTAGTTTCCTTATTTTCTTTAGGATGAAGACTTAGTGCTGGACCAAAAACAAAACAAAACAGAGATCCCGAAACTTAAAGAAATTGTTGTGGATGCACGATGATTTTGTAGCTCACTGTAGCTATTGGGGACTTAGCACTCCAGAAAACAGCCTCTCAGAGTGATGGTCACTGTCAGTGAATAGACTTTGAGTGAAGGGTGTAATTGCAGCCTATACTGGAATAAAGTGGATGTTTCTGTATCGGTGCCAAGTCAGCCCACACTTAGTCAGCATGCAGAAGGAGGCTCACCGTGATGCTCTCTCTCCTCTGGGAGCTTTGCCAATTAAGCATCCTCACTTGCAGAGGTTATAATGATAGATCTTGAGATGAGAAAAAATGATAATTTCACTGTATTATATAATAGTCTTAACGTTCTGCATCTGGGGCTTTTACCCTATTTGCATTTGAATATGTGTTTTTACAATTCGGGTGCCACATTGTGGGAGGGTATTTGGCAACATTTGGAACATAGAAAATATATCCAGTGTCTCTCCTTGGCAAGAGGAAAAATACACATCTGAGAAGTCTCAGAGCTTGTTCACTAATGCCTTTTCCACTTTGATTGTTTCTGTTTCCACCACCTTTCCCGCGTTTCAGTTTATTCCCTTGGGTAGGGACAATGCCAAGTGTTATCACGGGAGGGGTTGGAGAAAGATGTAAATATTCTGAAAAAAGTGGGTTAGAGATAGAGAAGTATAAAATGATGGATGACTCACTTTTCACGATAGGACCTATATAAAAAGTCACACTAGCCACTTCCGTTTTGGGATTTTAATTATTTTGTCACATGGCATCTGTTACACCAGTACTCAAATACTCAAGTGTAAGCTGTGCCCATCAGGGATAAGTTGATAGTCTAAGAAACAAATTTGTGTCAGGGTTTGAGACAAAAATCCCATCTCATCAGCACAGCAAACCGTCCACCCTTCCTTTCGCCTCAGCTTCTCAGGGGTGAGTTCCCTGGAGTCAAGGCAGGTACAAAGGAGGTTCCCTGTAAATGTGTGGTTAGAAATAGGGCATATTGGGAAGAGTAAAAGTTTGGAGTCAAATAGACAGTTTTCAAGTTCAGGCTCTGACACCAACTAGCTGTGCGATCTTGGGCAAATTACTTTATCCTTCCAGGCCCCTTGTTTCCTCATCTGTAAACAGGGATTGTATGACGTACTTCACAGGATTCTATGATGACTGAATGAACTGATGCCTAGAAAGTATCAGGCATTCAGTAAATTGCAGAGGCAGCATTGGTGGTGAGTGGTGATGGTTGTCCATGATAATAATATGTTCATTTAATACGAGATTAGTATTGAGGAAAATTCCAGTGCAAGAAAACCTGTGGAATTATAAAATTATGCACCAGCAGTCCAGAAATTGTTAACTGTAGATGTCTTTGTTTTTAAGTTGACACTATTTCTAAAATCTTACCATTTATAAACTGTCAGGGCCAGAGCTTCCCATATTAAAAAATAGGCCACAGTTCTTCTCATTCTGACCCTTTTGTGTTTGCCACAGTTGAATATAGCTGTAAATTAAAAATAGGAAAAATGCATCTTGGAACGTTTGAAAAATTTATTTCATTTGAAACAGAAACCAGCAACTCTTGTTAAATGAGCTCCAAGAATATGGGAATTGGAACACAATCTGCATTTGGTTCAATGCCTACTCCTGTGAGGACCCCAAGAAAGAGCAAACTTCAGCAGTCTTGCTGTCATGCCACACGCCCCTCACTGTTTGAGAGGCCACACCGAGCCGAATCCTTTCCATAGTTATCTTTTATCAAGGTCATTAATTAGGAAGAGCAATGTAAATTCAATAAAAATAGATTATTCAAACTTTTTAAAAATAAGAATTAGCCTTTTGGCAAAAATAGTAAGAAAAAAAGGGGGAGGATGCTCAGTATATTTTCCGCCACTCTAAACCTCCGGACTTTTCATTTCTCTGGGTTCTTTTCTAGTTTGTTTCTATGGGTATTTTCACAATAGTGCAAATCTTAGCCCCTTTCTTTTTTTTTTTTTTTTTTTTGAGACGGAGTCTCGCTCTGTCGCCCAGGCCGGACTGCGGACTGCAGTGGCGCAATCTCGGCTCACTGCAAGCTCCGCTTCCCGGGTTCACGCCATTCTCCTGCCTCAGCCTCCCGAGTAGCTGGGACTACAGGCGCCCGCCACCGCGCCCGGCTAATTTTTTGTATTTTTAGTAGAGACGGGGTTTCACCTTGTTAGCCAGAATGGTCTCGATATCCTGACCTCATGATCCACCCGCCTCGGCCTCCCAAAGTGCTGGGATTACAGGCGTGAGCCACCGCGCCCGGCCATCTTAGCCCCTTTCTTGCTGACATTATTTTAAATCATTTTGGGGGCTTCTAAGCTATAGTGTTTGAGGAGGGAGGTGCAAATGAAGAAACAATTTCACCCTTGGCTTCCCTTCATATTCCCACCTGAGGGTGAGCGCTTGGGGAGGAAGGCTTGAGGAGGGGGAAAGGTAAACAGGAAGTTGGAAGATGTCCTAGGAGGCAGTTCAGGGCTCCTCAGGGTGGGGGGAAGATGGAGCGGGGTGGTTGGGAAGGGGAAAACAAAATGAAAGCCCCCTGAACACACCGTTCATTTTCCTATAATTGGGTCTTTGTTATGTTTCCTTGTGTATTTACACCCATCCTTTAAGACCTAGATTCAGTGTTATCTGTTTTCTGTAAATGTCCTAGACCCCTCCGCCAACCACCCTGTCCCAGCCCACTCCCCACCAGGACAAAATTAATTGCTATCTTATTTATGTTCTGAAATCTCTGTTAAATCTAATTTTTCTAATAATTATCTCTCTGAATCATGTGCCTGCTTCCCTCAATAGATTCTGAGTACTTTAACCACAGGGTATATATACTTTTTCACCTTTGTATTTCCAGTACCTGGCATATAAGCAACTTCTCAATAAATGTTTACAAAATGGAATTATAAAAACCCTAAAAATAGCAATGAAGGCCCAGGTTTTCGCTCTAGGTATTGCTATAGCAGATTGTTTTTTCTCCTTCTGAATTTTTGTTCATAATAATAAAATATATATATATATATAAAGAAGCTTGAAAGCTAGAAAACGCCTCTGGGAGATGGCCCTGGTCTTCAGGCTTAGAAATGTTAAGCAAGGGTGGTGGTTAGTGATGAAGTAGGAGGGCCAGACTATGTGGTTCTCAGAACAAACTAAATACCTGTGATTGGCCTGAAGAGAGGGCCTGAAAATCACCATTCCTTTGGGAGTTTAGACACTCATATGGGAATAAATAACCTTAGGTTAATTATTTTAGTAGGTGAGACTGGAGAGAAGAAAGTATGGAGCCTAGACAGGCATCAGTACCTTAGAAATAGTTTTAGTGGTGATTTTGGTCCTAGAATACAAATATCTCATACTGTTCAAAGACTCATAGAACCTGCTTTGTAATGATGATTACCATCTTGTCATTGCTTTTGAATGAGATGATTCATTCATATGATCTGTTGTTCCTCTCAGTCCACAAATTAGACAGACTAAAATACAAGAAAATAATACCAGAAATAACAGTTTACGGAGAAAGGTCTATACCTGCCTTATAGAAAATATCTCTCTCTGCAGGCTCCTAAGCAAGAAGAAACCCAAGTGTCTACCCCTCCCCACAATGTTATGAGAAACTAGACTAGTGGGACCAATGAGATGCTTGAATCTTGAAAGGAGCTATATCAGTGGCCAGTTTCAAGTAAAGCAAAACTGAGTGTTTTGGATAACCCTGGCCATAAATGAAACTACCATTCTTAGAAAATTACTGGAAGAAATCATCACAGGACAGTTTGAGAATGTCAGAATATCAGGGGGTGGCAGATGGCCTTCAGAGAAGCAATTATTTCCTGATCATTCTCAACTTAATCACCCTGGAAAGCCATAGAAAAACCAAGTAATATGGGATATTGAATGTTGATGTGTTATTTGAGTCTAATATCTTAATAGCTACTTATCAGCAACTCAAGAAAATATGAGTGATATACCATGCAGAAATCAAGCAGGTGAACAGCTTGTGAGTAGGTTGTACTTGGAAAATGCTTGGTACTTCCGAAAGCAAAATAATGTCCTGGTGAGAATATTAATATATGTGGTTTTAGTGGAATTGGTATTGTCGTTAGCAGATTGATGACGTAGGGAGAAAGACAAGGTAAGACATTGAGGAAAAATATAGTTCATTTATACAGAAAAAGCAAAATGTTAAGTGAAAGCATCATGGGAGAAAGATTATATATGGAAATGCAGGAGAGCTAAAAGTGGCCTGGTGAACCACATATTAGCTGAGCATGAGTCATTCATGAATTGATATTTTAAAAAACTAGAGACACTTGAATTTGAGAAACTAGGACAAGGATATAAAATTTTTTTCTGAACTTGGGTAATACGAAAGAATGTACCAACATATATTACCACTTTGTGTGTGTGTGTGTGTGTGTGTGTGTGTGTGTATGTGTGTGTGTGTGTGTGTGTCCATGCTTGGAGTCTGTCTCTACCATACCCCAATTCTCCTTGCACTTTGGTTTATCAAATGTTGTCACAAATTGCAACCCCTTAGACTTATACTCTGTGTTTCTTCAGTCTGAGCCCCTTCCCTTGGGGAGCGTCAGATTCCTTTGTAACTTGTGGAGCAGCTGAGTGAGCCCCTTTCTCTGGCAATAAGAGAGGGAACTTGAGCTGTTAATAGAGCTAAAGTGATTTCTTAAAAATCTCCTGAGACACTGCGAGTATGCTTATTAACTCAGTACCCATCTAAAGTGACCTCTCTATCCTTCCAGTTATTGATTCATATCAGGCAGGCAGTGTGCTCAGAGTGGGTGTGGGTGATGCGGGAAGGGTGAGGTGTCTGGTAGGGCTGATATGTATTGCTGTGTTGTAGCTTGCTCTTGACCTATAATGTGCAATCTGCAGAGCAGAGAAGATTGAGTGAGATCATGTCTGGAAGGTATCCTGGATCCTTGGACAGTATTAAAATGGGTTTTATGCTTAAGCATCTATTAGAATAGAACTGCATAATTACTGCAAGGAACCTTAGAAAGTCATGTCCTTCTTTTATAAATATTAGAGAAAACTAATGCCCAGAGAGGTGAAAGTGACATGCAAGCCAATATAGTAGCTTGTTGCCACAAATTAATTAATTGTGTGTGAAGCCAATGGGTTTCTCAAGACTGTGCCTTAATAAAGCAGAAATGAAATTCTGTCTGCACTTGGTCTATACTGGGGTAACAGCATCAGAAACCTGCAAGATGCCAGGCAAGTATCATAATTAAGTGAATGAGGGACGACAAGGACAGGGAGTGGCAGGGACTGTGGCAAACTGGAAAACACATCCCTGTCCTGTGTAAAGGGGGCAAGTTCTCCCGCTGTGTGGGAAGGCAGGCCCAGTGTTGGCAGACCCACTCATTTCCCAAGAGCAGTTAGAAGTGGGTCAAACTTGTGTGGGCTAAATAAAACATGTCGGATGGGCTGAATTTGGCCTGAGGGTTGACCTTGCTCCTGACAGCAGATGCAGCCACCTTTGTCTGTGGACTAGGCAGAAATGCTCAGTGAATAGCAGCAGCTAAGTATAAATTTTTTCCCCACAGATTTTTTTAAGACATTGTTCTGGTTGATGGTTTTGACATCCTTCTCCTATTTTACCTCCACAGAGGGGAGTGCATACGTAGTACATTCCTCTTTGGCATTGTTTACTCTCAGGGAAAGCTTTTAAGGAGGAGAAGGGAAAGAGGCAGGGGGCCTGGAAGAATCACAAGCTGGTGATCTACTTTTGGATACGAAATAATTGTCAGGTGGCATGTGTAGCCCGATGTGCCCTGTCTGGTATTTTCATGTCCATCTGGGACTTAACAAAGTGAAGATTTCTGCCAAGATCCAGCCCTGAGGCAGGGAAGAAAAAACCACCAATTTCCAAGCAAATGCCAGGTCCTCCTCTGCCTCCCTGTGAATATCTTCTGGCTTTTAAAAAGAGAAGTCCTGTAGGCTGGGCGCAGTGGCTCATGCCTGTAACCTCTGCACTTTGGGAGGCCGAGGCGGGCGGATCACCTGAGGTCAGGAGTTCGAGACCAGCCTGACCAACACGGAGAAACCCCGCCTCTACTAAAAATACAAAATTAGCCGGGCATGGTGGCAGGCACCTGTAATCCCAGCTACTGGGGAGGCTGGGGCAGGAGAATCGCTTGAACCTGGGAGGCGGAGGTTGTGGTGAGCCGAGATCGTGCCATGCACTCCAGCCTGGGCAACAAAAGCAAAACTCTGTCTCAAAAAAAAAAAAAAAAAGAGAGAAAGAGAGAAGTCCTCTACATCTCTGTTTACAGAATTCTTGGGAGCCCCCAAGAGTTTAAAGAATAAGCTACCTATTGAAAGCATCTTTCTGTAGGGTTATTGAAATCATCTGTTTCTGACATCCCCATCAGACAGTCAGTTGTCAAGACAGTAGACAGTCCCCCTTTAAAACATTAGTCACTGAGTCCGTCTTTCTTTTTGATTCACAAGACTCTAGTGGCTAAATGCCTCTCCATGTCTTGAAAGGCTTCAAACAGTCTGCGCCCCCTGCCCAGTCTTCCCATTACTTCCCTGACCTCACCTCCTACTGCTCACCACGTGCTCACTGCACCCAGCCACTAACTAGCATGCTCCCTCTTATGGGCCTTTGCATTTTATGTTCTCTGCTTAGAAGACTCTTTCCCTAGAGACCCCCATGCCTGTCCTTATGGCTTCATAGAGCAGCCTTGTCTACTGAAAATTGCAATCCCCTCTACCTCCTCCTACCTCCAGCTCTCCCTATCCACATTCCCCACTTTCCTTTTTTTTATAGCACTTGTTCCCAACTGCTACTATACAATTTATTTGTCTCCCCTTACTGTAAAAATTCCATGAGTGCAGGGATTTTTGTCTGTTTTGCTCACTGCTACATTTGTGGAGCTTACAACAGTGCCTAAAAGCACTTGTTGAGCATGGGCTTGAGAAGTATTTGTTGAATACATTTTGAGATACTGTCCCCTCTCTGCTAGGGATGGTGGTATTTACTATGCTGAACAGATACACCTCTTGCTACTGAATCATGGTGTTATTAACATTTCCACTCATAAACTTTGTCTGTTTTTCAAGGTTTCTGTGTCAATTCTACTTTCTAAACATATCTTAAATTTTTAAAATTTCCCCTTTGTTAAACCATCACAACTTCCTATTTGGAATATAGATTCTCACCATCCATTTTTGCCCCTCCACAGTCTCACTGTGTAGAGCCAGAATGCAGCTGGAATGACCTATCTAAAATATAAATCTGATCATTGCCATTCTTTCCTTAATTTAAAATCCTTCATTGATTTCCCGTAGCTTTTCACATTAGACTCAGTGGCCTTACCCCATACCACAAGGTCCTGCGTGGCCTGGTTGCAACATTGGCTTTCTTTGTTCCTCTAACAGGCCAGAGTCCTTTCTGACTCAGGGCCTTTGCTGTTCTCTCATGATGGAACACTCTTCCACTCCCATTCTCCCATTCTACACCTGGTTGACATCCTCCCATCTACGTTTAAATGTTCCTTTCCCTGAGTTTCTCTGAGTCCCTGTGCTAGTTAAGTTCCCTCTGCATTTTCCTTCACAACATTTACTACAATAGTAGTTAATTCTTGTGAAATTATTTAATGGCTGGCTCTCATGTACTTATTGAGAATAGGAACTCTTCTGTGGTGTTTGCCTTTGTATCCCTAGCACTTGACACGGTCCCTGATACATAATAGAAGCTTAGTAAATACTTGCAGAGAGATAAATAGAAATGACAAATAGGTAGGTGTCTTCTCCTCGATCCCTGGGATGGGAGCCTTGTGGGGTAGTATCTCATTAATTAATGATGTGTTTGCCTCCACAGAGATTATTTTGCAGAGGATGATGGGGAGATGGTACCCAGAACGAGTCACACAGCAGGTAAGGATGCTGTGGGCCTTGCCTTGTTAAATTCTTTGTTTCTTTTGTTTATTCATTTGGTTTTCTTTTGAGACAGGGTCTCACTCTCTCACTATGGATGTAGTGCAGTGGTGTGATCATAGCTCACTGCAACCTCAAACTCCTGGGGTCAAGCTATCCTTTCACCTCAGCCTCCTGAGTAGCTGGGACTATAGACATATGCCTAATTTTTAATATTTTTTTTTAGAGGTGGGAGTCTTGCTATATTGCTCAGGCTGGTTTTGAATGTCTGACCTGAAGCAATACACCCACTCCAGCTTTCCAAAGTGTGTGAGAGAAATTGGCACTTGGCCAATTCTTGGTTTTCTATTGATCTTAATTCTCTTGAATTATGGCCTCTTTAAATTCATCATGGCAATATCTTCAAACTTTTGTGAATTTCCAAATTTGCACATACTACTGTAGCAATTTCACACGAGAATTATAAGCTAGCTATAATTCTATGTACTGAGAAGCAGCATAGTACAGTAAATCATTACAGATACTTATGTGAATTCTTCATACTTTTAACGATTCTGTAATTGCAAGGCTAAACTCACTTGTACAATGATTAAAATAAATTATGTTACTAAAATGAAATCTTTATCTTAATACACCATTAAAATGGGTATAATAGGCCGGGCATGGTGTCTCACGCCTGTAATCCCAGCACTTTAGGAGGCTGAGGCGGGCGTATCACCTGAGGTCAGGAGTTCAAGACCAGGCTAGCCAACATGGTGAAACCCCATCTCTACCAAAAATACAAAAATTAGCTAGGCATGGTGGCCCACGCCTGTAATCCCAGCTACACAGGAGGCTGAGGCAGGATAATCTCTTGAACCCGGAAGGCAGAGGTTGCAGTGAGCTGAGATCGTGGCACTGTACTCCAGCCTGGGTGATAGAGCAGACTCAGTCTCAAAAAAAATTAAATAATAATAAAATAATAAATAAATAAAATGGGTATAATAATAATGTTAATCTCATAGGTGAGATTGAGAAAAGCTTTTAGTACAGAGGCTATCAAGGAATAAGCACTCTGTATCTTATCTATTGTCACTATTAATGTATTCCTAACAACAGCACAATTATTACTACACTAACATTAGCCAGAGATCTACCTGAATTGCAAAACCAAAGGGAAGATAACATTCTTTTGGGGTCTATTTTCCACAAAACTTGTTCTCGACCTGAGGGTTTTACTTCCTTGCTAAGTTCTTTGCCTTTTTCATAACAGCCTGGAAGCACAGATTGTTTATATGCACAATTTGGAAAAAAGTTTTTAATTTGAATAAGTTAAGAATTTCAGAGTCACTTAAAATTAGTATTTGAAATGTGTGTTAAATCCACAAATTCCAAGGGTTACTGTGCTCAACATTTTAAATGTCAATATTCTACATTTTGAGGCAAAAATTGAAGGACTAGGGCAAAAATGTGAGGGGAATGGATAAAATGCTTACTACATATAATACATGTGGCAAGGTGCTTTTATTATTTTATTTAATCCATATAACAGTTCTATAAAGCAGATATTATTACCCCTGTTTTACAGAGGCAATATATCAGCAAAATTAAGAGATTTGCCTAAATTCCCACAATTAGCAAGTGGTCAGGATTCAAATCCAAGCCTCAAGGCATTGCTCTTTCTATCATATCCACCAATCTAACTGTAATGTATTGTTATTCTGTTTTATCAGATTATCTTCCCCTTAGTAGTATATTTAATTTCACCTAAATGTGGAAGAAATCATTTTTTCTAATTACATTTATTTATTTATTTATTTATTTTTGAGACAGAGTCTTGCTCTGTCACCCAGGCTGGAGTGCAGTGGTGCCGTCTCGGCTCACTGCAACCTCCGCCTCCCAGGTTCAAGCAATTCTCCTGCCTCAGCCTCCCGAGTAGCTGGGATTACATGCGCTTGCCACCACGCCTGGCTAATTTTTGTAGTTTTGGTAGAGATGGGGTTTCGCCATGTTGGCCAGGCTGGTCTTGAGCTCCTGACCTCAAGTGATCCACCTGCCTCAACCACCCAAAAAACTGGGATTACAGGTGTGAGCCACCATGCCCAGCCTCTAATTACTTTTAATTAAAAATTTTGCATTTACGTATAAACATTCAGAATATCACCAAAACAGGGGCAATATCATCATAATTATTTTATTATTATTATTTGCTATCACAGAGTAGTGTACAACTAACAGAACAATTATATTGGGTAAGCTGCACGAAAAACAATTGAAGAGGGAAAAATAATATCTCCATATATATGTAATTGATTTGTACTATGCACTAATAAAGCCTGCCTTAAATTTCTGTTCTAGTTTAAACCCCGAAACAGTACCAGGCAAGGTTAGTGGCTATTGAAAATATCATTAAGGACAGGGTTATCTAAAGACACACTGGATACTACATTAATTTTGCAAAAATAAAAAGACAGTATACAGTGTTCAGTTTAAAAACAAATCATATGATCTTACATTTCAGCTTTTTTTCTTTGAAATCAGTGGTGTAATGCGGAGTTAAATACTTTTAGGCAAAAAACAAACACATACACACACACTCACACAAAAACAAATTAATAAAACAAAAGCCTCTTTTAAAACCACCCTATTGACCATCATCATTTTTTTCTTCACCCTTTTCATCTTTCTATTCACCAATGTCTTTCCAGTCCTTTTTTTCTTTTCTTCTTTTTTCTTTTTCCAGTTTTTCCAACTTCCCCTTTCCCTGCATCAGACTTTCTTTTATCCCAGAATACAGCAATAGCCTTTATATCTATAATCTTAAAAGCCTTTCTTTCCTCAAGGCTGTATATTATCTGCAGCAGTAATTCTTCATTTCTTTCATTTCTCTCAGTTTTCTTACATCATCGCCAATGAATTAGCCAAGATGTTCTCCTGTGCTCTTTTGGTGAAATTTTCAGAACAAAACAAGAAAAAGGAGATCCCTTTGGTACATTAGAATCCTGGAACTTCTTTCTTCTCTCTCTTTCTCTCTCTCGTTTCCTTGTAGACAGAATATAGATTTTTGTTTCTTTCTTATAATGGGCCTGTTCACCTTCACCCTGTCTTCCAATTTTTTCTTTCTCTTTAGCAGAAATGAATTTCCATCTTTTCTGAACATAAAAAAAAGAAGAATTCTAAGAAGTTGACTGAAGCATCTGGGTGCTTTTTCTTGGGCTCCTTCTGGCAAGTTGGCAGAACGAAGGAAAGAAGGCAGGGAAGGAGGGAGAGAGGAGGGAGGGAAGGAAGGAAGGAAGGAAGGAAGGAAGGAAGGAAGGAAGGAAGGAAGGAAGGAAGGGAGGGAGGGAGGGAGGGAGGGAGGGGGAAGGGAGGGGAGGGGAGGGAAGGAGGCAGGCAGAGAGGTGGGGGAAAAGAGAAAAAAAAAAGAAAGAGAAAGGAAGAAAGGAAGGAAGGGAGAGAGTGAGAAGGAGAGAAAGAAAAAGAGATAGGAAGAAAAGCATGCAAAGGCATTTTGCCTCTTACTCCCTTGGATCTCCTTTCCCCAAGTGTCTAGTTAACTTTTCCTCAGCCAGGCAGTCACCCAGTACCTGTTTTGCTCTTACTTGCCCTGACACTGTCTGTAGCGCTTAATGCTTTGCCATGACTGTCTTCTTATTTAAAAAATAGTTCCATAATAAAAGTTCATTATTTCCTTCTGTCAGCCAAGAAAGTATGTAGCTTTCTATGTTTTCTACCTGTCTGTAACTCCAACCCTGCCCCAACATGAGGTCCTCTGTGTACTTTGTTTGACAGAGGCTTTGCTTTCTCATTCTTTAACAATGTTACTTCTCAAAAGCAAGCATAGGGTTAATTACAGCTTAGACTCCACTAGGTTCTCCCAAAGCAATGCTTCCATTGGTTAATGGAGTGATTGAGTCTCTGCCTCTTTACCTGTTTTCCCCACTCTCAGACCTATTGCAATCCCTTTAATTGCTAAAATAACACAGTAGTAGCATACTGCTAAGAAAGACAGATGGAGAAAAGATGGGATTGGTTCTGCCACTTTTTAGCAATGTGATCTTGGTCAAGCAAACTTTCTGAATCTTTACTTATTCATCAGTAAAATGGACTTAATAATCACTTATGTCTATTTCACTGATTGCAGCGACTTCATAAATGAAATAATTCATGTGAAACTATTTTGTAACATGTAATGCCCTTTAAATATGTTGGCTGTTATAATTGTTACTATTACTAAATAGTAACCTGAAAAATTATCGGTAGAGATAGTTTGCTAGCAGCTTGGTTCTTTCCTTTAGACTGTTTTGGTTACCTTTTGTTATGTGACAAACCATCCCAAAACTTAGTGACTTAAAACAGGGGTCAGCAGCAAACTACAGCCCATGGGCCAACAGTCAGTTTTTATAAGTAAAGATTTATAGCCACACAGTGACACTCATGCATTTACACATGGTCTGTGTCTGCTCTGTGTTACAGGGTAGAGTTGAGTACCTGTGCCAGAGATGATATGACCCACAAGCCTAAAACACTGTCTGGTCCTTTAAGAAAATGTCTGCCCACACCTGGCTTAAAACAACAATGATTTATTATTTCTCACAATTCTGTTTTGGCAAACTGGGCATTATCGCTGCTGGTCTCACTTGGGATCACTCAACTGGCTGCAACTTTCTGATGGCTTGACTGAGACTGAAGGTCTCAGACAGCCTTGCTCACATGTCTGGCAGGTGGTGGCTGTCAGCTGGGGCATCTTCACTTCCCTGAACAGCCTTTCCTTCTCCAGTGGGGTAGACCGACTTCTTCACAGCATGGTTGTCTTGGGATGCTAATAAGGCAAGAGCAGAAATGCAAGGCCTCTCAAAGCTAGTCTCTGGAACTCATACAGTAGCATTTATATCATATTCTGCCAGTCAAGGCAAGCCACTTTGCCAACCCAGATTCAAGAGTTGGGGAAATAGGCTCTACTTCTTAATGGCAGGAGTATCACATTGCAAAGGCCTATGGACCCAAACTAGTTTGATTCACTGGGGATGGCTATTAATATGATCTACCACAGACTACTTTAAGTAAACTGTTTCTATGTGGCCTAGATTGAGTTTGTATTTTGCAGAAACTGAATTCTGCTGGAATGTGCCAGTTAGAATGATCCTAGTGCTGTTATTATATAAACCTTTTTTTTTGTTGTTCTGTTTCATTGACAGCTTTTCTTAGTGACACTAAAGATCGAGGCCCTCCAGTGCAGTCACAGATCTGGAGAAGTGGTGAAAAGGTCCCGTTTGTGCAGACATATTCCTTGAGAGCATTTGAGAAACCCCCTCAGGTACAGACCCAGGCTCTTCGAGACTTTGAGAAGGTAAGTCATGTGAGTGGATAATTGTTATCCCAATTAGAAGCAGTACTATGGAATAGTGATGCCTGATAAAAATATGACCCATGGATTGGTCCGGATTATGGATGGTATTATCATTATGGTGTCTCTTTCAAGAGCATGTCCCAATAAACATATGCTCTGTCAGCTGTGTGCTGGGGGGTGTGGTTATGGACCCTTGCCTGTACAGCAGTCCCTCCTTTGGATGCCTCAAACTGCATAGTACTGAACCCTATATTTACTATGTCTTTTTCTATACATACATACTTAGGATAAAGTTTAATTTATAAATTAAATGTTAATGAGGCTAACAGTAGTTAATAATAACATAGAACAATTATAACAATATACCAGCATTACTACTCTTGCACTTTTACATTGTTAAGTAAAATAGGAGTTACTGGAACACAAGCGCTGTGATACTGCAACAATCTGATAACCCAGACAGTACTGAGTGACTAACTGGTGGGCGATATATACAGCCTGGATGTGCTGGACAAAGGGATGATTCAAGGGTGAGATAGAGTGGATGGCACGAGATTTCATCATGCTGCTCAGAACAATGTGCAATTTAAAATTTATGAGTTGTTCATTTCTAGAATTTTCTATTTAACATTTTCAGACTGTGGTTGACTGTGGGTAACTGACACCATGGAAAGCAAAACTGTGGATAAGGGGGGACTAACTGTACCAGTAAATGCTGCCTCATCACCTACACCCTTGGTTTACTTCTCAGATAAACTCAGGAAGTTTAAATGGCATTCTGAGAATCTGTAGCTGCAACATAGTGAGCCCAGGAGTCCCGGTCCAGCAGCTAGTATTAAATTCTCTGTTGCTAGCTTGGACCTCTCTCGATATCTAGGAATTGTCTGCAGTGTGGGGTGGCACAGTAACAACCATTTGTTTCTCAACAAGAATCTGATAATGTTGCTTGAACCTCCTGAACCAGTGCTGCATGCTCTGCTTCTTCATATGTTTGTCCTTAGATTTGACCAAAAACAATAACTGATAATGTAATACAGATTCCCCAGCTCCCTGTGAGCTGGGTTGAGCCCAGGAAGTCTGTACAAGAGAGCATGTCTACTGGGATTTAAATAGCCCAGAAACAGGCAGCCGGAATTTCTTATACTCTTGTGCTCTAAAAAAAAAAAAAAAAAAAAAAAGGAAGAAAGAAATAGCTCTTTGGTGCCCCCTCAGGGATACCCAGCAAGCAGGTCCCACATAAATAATGTGTAAATAGTCTGTGAGATACTGGGGTTTCTCTCATTCTGGAATTGGAATTGATAACTTTTGACAGAAAAAAAAAAAGTAAAATTCTAATCTCAAAAAATTTTGTGTTGACATGGGTTTACCCCATCTTCCCTCAATTTGTAAGTAGAAATATTTCACCAATACTTTCTGTACATCCTACCAGATATTTCTGTGGGCAAAGAATATGCACCATATAACGTGTGCCTAAGAATTAACAGCCTATTCTTCAAATTTTATGCTTAGCATTCTCATGTATACTGTGTGTATGTTTTTTTTAAGACATGGAGAGTTTGCATGGTAATCAAGAGGCTTTTGAAGACTAAACCTCCGAACAGCTGTGTGGTGCTGGTGGGGGAAGCAAGGATGCTAACACCCCAACCCCCTCCTTTTTTTGTTTTTTTTTTTTCACCTTTTGGATCTGCTGTGATGCAGAAAGGGCAAGCAGAGCTGCAGAGCTCCTCAAAACTGTGTGGGGTGCTCTCCAAAGGCCAGCCAGCCTGCATGTTCCTTTTCATTGAGAGATGACTGGAAATATAGAAATGAGGGGTGTCACCTCCATTGAAAGAATGGGTGGCAGATATAAGGCCCAAAGTCCTTTTCTTTTAGAGTTTAGATCTAATATGACAGATTAGTCCTTATTTCTCGATGCTGGGAAACACTGACAGAAACCAAGCTAAGACGCAGGGAAAAGGCCAATAAGAGATAGTTTAAATCTCTCTCTGCTATGTGTCAAATAAAAAGTAAATAAAGAGGCTACAACCCACTTCAGGCTTGATCAGAAAGTCATTGCCGGTAAATCATGCAGTGTTGTGTCACACGTTTGTTCATTTTCATATCCGTTCATCCATCCTGTGGACTCTGAATGACAGCACCTAAAATACAAAACGCCTCCATGAAAGGGTTTAAAAATTAGAGAAAACATTGGTTAGAAAAAATACAGGAGAGATAGGAACACATTCCTATGCCCTACCCTAAAAATGGTAAAATACTAAATAACATGGTATTTTCTGTAAAGTTTAAAATATGCATTTGGTAGCCTTGGGATATAGGATAGGTAGCAGTACTCAGAGAGAGGAGGGGACATGCTAAATGTTTTTTGCCAAAGTAGGGTCGACTCCTCCAGGGCTTAAAGACAAAGGGAGACAGGCCTGGAAGAAGCAGCCAGGAATCCCTTCTTATTTCATTTATCCATGCAACAAACACATGATCACATTAAATGAGATACTTTAGTTCCTGCCCTTAGATAGTTATAGTCTATTTGGAAGTACAGACATTGCATTAAATACAATATAGCATGGCAAGTGCTTTCATAGAGATAAGGACAGTACACTCTGAGATCTTGAGAGAAAATGTCTACTTTTATTAAAGGAGTAGGGAAAGGCCTCTTACCAGAGGACATTTCTCCTGGGGGCTTCACGTTGAGCAAGGTCTCCAAAGCTGAGTTAGATTTTACTAGTCAGGGAAGTAGAGTATAATATTCCAGACAGAGGGGAGATTTGGGGGAAGGAAGAGAGATATGTTCAAATAAGAGACTGGACTATAGAGAGGTAAGAAAAAGAGAGTTAGAACAGGAGAGAAGTAATACTAAAAGTACTCAATCTGTCAAAAGTAATTATAATTGTTCAGTAATGCAGTTACCTCTAAAATGTTTGCTGATGTAGGAAATTCTAGAGAAAAAAGGCTCTTTGATTACAGGGAAAGAGATAACAGACTAAAAATGCAAATACTGGCACATTATGGAACCAAAACATAATTAGTCAATTAACAAGCGAAAGTGACAATTATCATTTATGTTGGTGTAGAAAAAAGGGACAAAGAAAGCAACATTTCCAACATACAACAGTGTTTCTTTTCTTTCATTCTCCACCCACAACCAACAGCATGGTTGTATGTGTATACAAACTCCAATTGTATGTTTGTCAGGTTGAGGTCAATAGGTATTACACTCCATGATGAAAGGAGGGCATTGCTTAGCATATATGCTTCATTTGTATTTTTGAATGAGTGAGTGATTTAATTAATTTCCCAACCTTACCAACTTCGTTATGTAGGCGCTTTTCCCCACTCAGAGAATCCACTGATGAAGGGATTCTCTGTGGGTTTAGTGTATTGAGCAGTGGGTTTAGTGTATTGAGCAGTGGGTTAAGTGTATCTCATAAGTTGTTTTATTTTGTCTTTATAAGACACGGAACAAGCATCACTCTCCCCATTTTTTAAGTGAGGGAACCAGGACTCACGGAAATTGTGACTTTTTCAGGGCCATAAGTTTATGTACCATGATCATAAATCTGAACACATTATTGGATCAGAAATAAATTTTACCTACAAATGGTCACAATGATGTGTTGAGAAAAATCCCTTGCCCTATGCTTTCTCGCTGATCACAGCACCCAGCTGCAGCATCTCTGGAATGAGCAAGACTTCAGCAGCACATACATAATACTGGCTAGCATTTGATGATCACTTTCTATGTGGCAGATATTGCTCTAAGTATGTGACAGCATGATCTCATTTACAACAACCTTGTGAAAAGGCATGTTCACCAGTTAGAATGGCGATCATTAAAAATCAGGAAACAACAGGTGCTGGAGAGGATGTGGAGACATAGGAACGCTTTTACACTGCTGGTGGGAGTGTAAATTAGTTCAACCATTGTAAAAGACAGTGTGACAATTCTTCAAGGATCTAGAACTAGAAATGCCATTTGACCCAGCAATCCCATTACTGGGTATATACCCAAAGGATTATAAATCATTCTACTATAAAGACACATGCACACGTATGTTTATTGCAGCACTATTAACAATGGCAAAGACTTGGAACCAACCCAAATGCCCATTAATGTTAGAATGGATAAAGAAAATGTGGCACATATACGCCATGGAATACTATGCAGCCATAAAAAAAGAATGAGTTCATGTCCTTTGCAGGGACGTGGATGAAGCTGGAAACCATCATTCTCAGCAAACTAACACAGGAACAGAAAACCAAACACCCTATGTTCTCACACATAAATGGGAGTTGACTAATGAGAACACATGGACACAGGGAGGGGATCATCACGCACAGGGGCCTGTCAGGGGCTGTGGGGCAAGGTGAGGGATAATATTAGGAGAAATACCTAATATAGATGACGGGTTGATGGGTGTGGCAAACCAACATGGCACACGTATACTGTGCAACAAACCTGCACGTTCTGCACATGTATCCCAGAACTTCAAATATAATAAAAAAAAGAAAAGCCATGATTATTATTCCAGTTTACAAATGATGAACTAATGGCAAAAAGAATAACAAAGGAACTTGTCCAATAACTCATGATTGAGCCTGAAAACACCTGATGTCTTTGTGACCTAAAGATAGTGGGCATGTCCTATGTTGGGGAACTCAGCTGGTGAAAGTTTGGTGCTAATGAAGGTGTTGGCTTATTTGGAAATGGAATCACTAGTTCCTCCTATTTAGATTGATGCAGATTGAAATCCTACCAGATTCCTGCCTCTCTAGGTAAACTGTAAATCCACTTTTGTCTTCCAGTATTCTCTATTACATGATTTTTACTCTATTAATTCTGAACTGCTTGCAATTCAAAGCTGTTTCATACTTTCATTTATTTGTACCTGCTGTTCCCTCTGCCTTGAAAACCTTTTCTCTCCTATTGTTTATTTGGTTAAAGTTTACTCATCCTTCAAGATTCAGCTCAGGTGCCTTTTTAAATTTATTTATTTTTTAATTTTAGGATGCCTTCTCTTACTCTCTAATCCCAGAATATATACCAAGACTCTAAGCTCCTTGAGGGCAGAAAACACCTCTTGCCCATTCTTTTCTAGTCTCTAGAATATAGCATAATGTAGTACATAGTAAGTGCTCAGTAAATATTCATCAACTAAACTAGCTGAAAAGTATTAAAAATTAGATATCCTATTGGATTTGTATCTCTTCTGCCTCTACCTGGTATTCACAATAAGTTGAATAGTTTTAAGGAGGGTATTGGTGTGTTAGTTGATTGGGTAGGATGGGAAACTAGGAAGTCAAGAAATGTACATTTCTTTTCCACTTTATTTTTTTATTGTTCATTTTTTTTGAGAAGGAGTCTTGCTGTGTCACCCAGGCTGGAGTGCAGTGGTGCAATCTCAGCTCACTGCAGCCTCTGCCTCCTGGATTCAAGCAGTTCTCCTGCCTGAGTAGCTGGGACTACAGGCTCCCGCCACCACACCCGGCTAATGTTTTGCATTTTTAGTAGAGATGGAGTTCCGCTATGTTGGTCAGGCTGGTCTCCAAATCCTGGCCTCAAGTGGTCCACCCTCCTTGGCCTCCCAAAGTGCTGGAATTTCAGGCGCGAACTACGCGCCTGGCCTCTTTTCCACTTTAAATGGAATGATAAAACTAAAAATGAAAAGGACGGGAGAGAAAGAGTCTTTTTGAAATAATATTTGACAGGATTTATTAAGAAGATCACAATAGTAGCTAATAACAATAAATACTATTTGAGTGCTCATTATGCACCAGGTACTTTTCTAGATATTTGACATATTTAATTTAGTGTATTTTCAGTTCATTTTCCTAACTTATGAGATAGATATTATTTTTACAACCATTATACTAGTGAAGAGATCAAGGTTCAAATAACTTGCCCAAAGTTATATAAGAATAAAGTAACGGAACCACTGTAACTCCAATGATTCCAAAGCTCTTGGGGAAATGAAAGGACTCTCAGAGAAGGAGAGCATTACATTGGTGGAATGCCTGCATTTGGGTTTTTTACATAGAATCAACATGGCAGACGGTACAGAAAAGCCACGGAAGGGTGGGAGTCTTTGGCTATAAAATCAAGAGGGGGCCTCCACTGCCCTGTCCTGTTTACACATTTTTCTAATAATGTTGTCTTTAACAAGAAAATATCATCAAAACCAGCTGTAGTGTATGCCTAACTGTACTCTGCAGCTTTCCTTGGCAGTCTGAATCTAACCGCAGTGAGTCAGCCTGTTCAGGTCCCACCCATCCTGGTGAACTTTTCCACTTGAATCTTGAAGTCTTTGGGGAGAAAAAAGAAAAAAAAAAGTGCTAAAAGCAGAAGGCTTTTTCATTTTGGGGAGTTTCTGGAGCTCTGAGTTATCACAGTCTGGGTAACCTGTGCTAATTTAGGTTAATTGGGGTCCTGTCACTGCCCTCTTTATGTTCCACAATTTTGGTGCTTCTCGAGTGTTTCTCTCTAATTACAGCCTTGGAAAATGAATACTACTAGTGAAGTGCATTTTTATTTAAAAAAAATGCATTCATTCTTCCAAACCACAGTGTCCCAAACATACTGGTTTTGTTTTCACTGGTATCTTAAGACATTCAAAAAGTTACTAGGAGGCAGGGGGTAAATATTAAACTTTCAGCAATCACAAGTGCAGTTTGTTTTCCCTTTTCAATCTCATGTTTAAAAAGGGAAACAGAAGGCTTCCACACACAGGCATTCCACAGACTTTCCATGCAAAGTTTTCTTTCCTAAGCAACATTACCAAAGATATGAATCAAATCAATTACTTTTTTTCTTATAGAACTACAGAGTAAAAGGAATGCTTCTGAGTGCTGTAGAATATACAAAGATGGACATGAGATTCCATTCTCAAAGAATGTACAATCTGATTGGGGCATAAAAAAATTTAAATTATACAAGATTTAATTTAAATAACATCTAAGGCAATATTGAAAGAGATATTTCAAGATGGGAGTACTTGCCAAACTAATGTATGTTTTTAAAACTTAAATATGGCGAGGTGTGGTGATCATGCCTATAATTGCAGCACTTTGGGAGGCTGAGGTGAGCGAATACCTGAGGTCAGGAGTTCGAGACTAGCCTGGCTAACATGGTGAAACCCCATCTCCATTAAAAATACAAAAATTAGCTAGGCATGGTGGCACATGCCTGTAATCCCAGTTACTCAGGAGGCTGAGGGAGGAGAAGCGCTTGAACCCAGAGGGCAGAGGTTGCAGTAAGCCGAGATCGAGCCACTGCACTCCAGCCTGGGCGACAAAGTGAGACTCTGTCTCAAATAAATAAATAAATCTTAAATACTGGGATAGAACATTTTTTCTAATTTGTGCACGCGCGTGTGCGTGTGTAAACTTTTCAAAGTTGTAAATATTAGCTTACATTTGGTCATGCAATTAATAAAGAAACTTTATCAAAAAGAATGAAATTACAAAAGTTGGACAACCCTGAACATTCTGAAAGGTATGATTACCAACACAGAAAAGAGAGCAACCACTTTCACAGAGAATGTAGCACTTGAATTAGAATAATTCTTTTCGTAATTTTAAATTATCTCCTTTCTGTCTCCTCATTAAAACTTGTTTTCTTCTCTTCTCCCGTTGTTCGAAGAGAAGCCCTATCTTTCTTTCTGTGGACTTTGCAAAGTTTCCATTCTAATGATAATTTCCATTCCAATACTAAATTTAAAAAATAGCAACAAAGATCATGATACCAATTAATATTTGTAAGTGCTTACAGTGTGCCAAGTTCTGAGAATGCACTTGACCTTATTATCTTATTCAGTTCTCCTAATAGTCTTTTGAGGTTGGTACAACCATTGTCTTTGTTTGTAGAGAGACACTGAAGCTAGGAAAACACTAGTAATTGATGGCAAGTGCTGGAGCTGGGATTTGGACATAAGTGTACTGGTTCTAGTGCCTAAACTCTTAGCCACAATTTTATTATGCTTACTGATAGCTGACCCCCTTATTCATTTGTTTGTTAATCCACTCATCCATTTATGAGTGCATCGTGTGTGCCAGGCCATGTTCTAGCTGTTAGTTGCACAATGATCAAGAATGAATGTATGAAAATATGTATTTTCGGCCGGGCGTGGCGGCTCACGCCTGTAATTCCAGCACTTTAGGAGGCTGAGGCAGGCGGATCACCTGAGGTCAGGAGTTCGAGACCAGCCTGGCCAACATGGTAAAACCCTGTCTCTCCTAAAAATACAAAAATTAGCCAGGTGTGGTGGTGCACACCTGTAATCCCAGCTACTCAGGAGGCTGAGGCAGGAGAATCGCTTGAACCCAGGAGGCAGAGGTTGCAGTGAGCCGAGATTGCCACTGTACTCCAGCCTGGGTGACAGAGCTAGACTCCGTCTCAAAAAAAACAAAAAAAAGAAAATGTATGTTCAAGGATGAGTGTTTATATTTCAGTATTCTCTATACCAATACAATATTAGTACTCAAGGTGAGGATTATTTCAAGTGTGGAATATATATACAATAGAACATTATAGAGCAATGTACTGACTTGGGAGGATGTCCATTATAACAAATTTAAGATTAAACAAAACAACGGCAACAACAATTTGACTGAATATTACAAAAAATAAGATCTCATTTTTGAGGGAGAAAAGATGGAAATGTCTGGAAGGATACATACCAAAACATTGATATTGATTATGTCTGGATGATGGAATTAGCCTATTGCCTTCTTTATAACTGAGTATTATATTTATTTTAATTATCTATTCATTGAAAAAATATTCTAGTGCTTTTACTATGTGCAGCATACCTTAAGCATTGCAGATACAATATTGAATAGGCAAACATGGTTCCTGCCTTCATAGAGTCTACAGATTAGCAAATTCCAACAGAATGTAATTATTATTGTAATAGAAGTAAAGAGTGCTATGGAATATATAACTGGGCACTTACTCAATCTGAAGAGATTGGGGGATTCAGGGAAAGTTTCCTAGAGGAAACTGCATCTAACCAGGGTCCTGAAGAAGGAATAAGAAGTAGCCACTAATAAGGGGGTGGTAGTGTGAGAATGAAGAATGTTCCATGCATAGGAAATAGCTTGAATCAAGATCCCGATGAGAGAAAGAACCATAGTCAGTATTCCTAGAGAATGGGATGTAAGGAATGCAGAGAACTGAAACCAGAGAAAAGAGAGAGGAGTCATCATACAGAGTCTTGCAAGTTATGTAAAGGCTTTTAAATTTTATCTGAGCTCAAGGGAACTGCTGAAAGCTTTTAGACAGAGAGGTGACATGATCAGATTTTCCTCTTAGAAAGATCCTTTTGGCTTCCTTATGGCCTCTGCATAGGAGGAGTAGTCTAGAGGCAGAGAAAACAGTTGCAGTATTCCAGGCAAAGGTTGGTGGAGATGCCAGTATAAAAATTAGAGAAATGGACAGGTGAAAGAAATTTCAGAGGCAGAATTGATAGAGCTAAGCCATTGACTGGATGTAGAACCAGTGAGGCTGAAGAAACCCAAAGACGACTGATCACCAATTCATCTCTTCACTCACATCCTACCCACTGTCACCTTGTCGTAAACTTCCAGACTACCTTCACCTCTCTCTTCAATAACGTGAGTTATTTGTTCAAAGTCTGCCTTTTCTGTTAGAACATGAGCTCACTATAGCAGGGACAGTGGTTGTCTTTTCACTTCTAGATACAGTGATTAGCATAATGCCTGGTACATAGTAGGCATGCCCTTTTCTTTTCTTCTTTTTTGTTTGTTTTGAACGAATAAATGATGTCAAGTTTTCTTGCTTGGTCAACTACTAGGTTATGCCCTCCACTGAGAAAGAGAACAACTGGAACAGACAGGCACATGTAGTACTTTTATGACCACTGAAGCAACAGCAACACAAACAAAAAACAGTAAAGCGATTTCTGTTTTTGGAAGAAAAGTAAAGAAGATTCTTCCTGTTGTTAAGGAACTCCAGATCTACTGGGGAGAGAGTCAAACAGATAATCCCAATATACTGTGAAATGGGCCACAATAAGAGTAGGTCCGCAGTGCTGTGGAAGCATTCAGGAGAAGCCCTTGCCCAGGCATTAGGGCCAGATAGGTTTCTTTTAGTAGGTAATATCTGACTTAGATCCTTATGGGTGAGTTGGGATTAGTTAAGTGAGAGATGGGTGGGAATTAAAGAGAAGTGAAATTCTAGGCTAATGCTGCTACCCATGCAAAGTCCTGGAGGCAGCATGAGCCTGGTGAATTCAGAAATAGGAGGCTTTCTGTCATGGATGGAGCAAGGGAGGGTCAATCGGGGTTCATGTTGGCTCTATCTTTTCCCTTATCCCCCTACTTCTGGTCAAGGCATTATTGTTGCAGCCATGGGCATTCATGGTATCACTGTGGACTCTTGGTTTTTGGTTTTGTTTTGTTTTTTTTTTTTTTTAGACATGGTCTTGCTCTGTCATCCAGACTTGAGTGCAGTGGCACAATCTTGGCTCACTGCAGCCTCGACCTCCCGGATTCAAGTGATCCCCCACCTCAGCTTCCTGAGTAGCTGGGACTACAAGAACATACCATCACGCCTGGATAATTTTGACTTTTTAAAACTTTATTTTATTTATTTATTTGAGATGGAGTTTCACTCTTGTTGCGCAGGCTGGAGTGCAATGGCATGATCTCCACTCACTGCAACCTCTGCCTTTCGGGTTCAAGCGATTCTCCTGCCTCAGCCTCCTGAGTAGCTGGGATAACAGGCATGTGCCACCACACTGGCAAACTTTGTATTTTTTGTAGAGACGGGGTTTCTCCATGTTGGTCAGGCTGGTCTCGAACTCCTGACCTCAGGTGATCCACCCACCTTGGCCTCCCTAAGTGCCACTGCGCCTGGCCTGTTTTTTTATTTTTTGTAGAGATGGGGTCTCGCTGTGTTGCCCAGGCTGGTTTCAAGCTCCTAGCCTCAAGCAATCCTCCTGCCTTGGCCTCTCAAAGTGTTGGGATTGGCATCTCAAAGTGTTTGAGCCACAACACCTGGCAACTCTTAGCTCTTGTGGCCAGAGCAGGTCGTAGTCATGCCTTCAAAATTGCCTTCACTCCTAGAAAAAAATGGAGAAAGGATTATTTAAAATCTAGAGAAAAAGGTGAGCCCATAAGTCACTCTCTCTGAATTCCAGAAGCTCAGCAAATAATCTGAGTTGAACCAATTGTGAACAAATACCAAGTCCTGCTGATGTTGATTGGACCAAAGTGATGGAGAATCTAGTTTGGAGTCCGGTAATCCTTGGGAGGCCCCAGCATCACTGCAGCTCAACTGTCATTCCTGCCTTGCAGCTCATTTAACTGCCTCTGGCAGCACTATTTCTGGCTGGGCCATCTATTTTTGGTGGCCAGGGAAGTTGTTATTTGTTTCGTTTTGTTTTGATGTGGTTTACAGTGCTCTAGTGTGATGATGAAGATAACATCTGGTTATTCCAGGATTGGGGGTGTTGTGGGTGTGTTTCTATGTTGGGGAAGGCAGCAGGAACATCATCTTAACTCCTTTTCTTTATCCACATGATGAGGCTGCCTAAGACGGGGTTTATTAATCAACCTGATGCAATAGCTCTGTCATTAGTGCTCTTGTTATCAGGCAAGAAAAGGCTGTGTACAGGATGGGTATCAGTATGCTTCTGAGTGTTAGGGGAAAAAATGGAATGGTATTGTTAATATTTTAGCATTTAAGAGACTCTGGAACTTCAGGAATTATGTTAAAATTTCAGAAACAGAGTTTTAGAAGGGTGACTTGTTTGTTGATTGTACAATCCAAAAGAAAAAAGCAGGACTTTGTGGAATTCATAGTCAGTTTTCTGAAGCAGGTATCAGTAGTTGGCTTCTGAGACAAGGGCAGAAACACCATGTTGGCATAAAAGAGTTGATGAGTGGAACACCAAGTTGGTTGGCTCCGGTTGACATTTTCCTTGGTAGAATGTGGTGTGTGAAAATTATACATATTTTTCAGAACAGGCCAAATACGTATGTTTTATGTCAAAACATAGGTCATATGTTTCTGTTTTATCTGAGGGTTATCACAAAACTTTACCTTTTTGTAAAACTTAATCTGTGAATATTCAGTACTGAGAGCCACTTAGAGCATACTTCGTCTGACCCTTCTTTTAGGGCCCTATAATATAGGTAGGATTGGTATACAGAATATTTAGACATGATTCATTCTAAGCCATTTAGCTTTAACTGAACTGAATCAAATTGGACTTTAACTGAGTCTTTATCATTAAAAAAACTCTTATAAAAGATAAAGGATTGGGTTAGTTACTTCTCTCAGCTTTGGTTTATTTCTTTGTCTTCTTTTAAAAACAAAGCTTTATTCAAACGATTAACACGCTATACAGCTCATCTTCTGAAATCTTACAATTCTATGATTTTAGTATATTCAGAGTTGTGCAACCATCACCACTGTCTAATTCCAGTACGTGTTTCTCACTCCAATAGGAAACCTCATACTCATTAACACTCACTTCCCAGTTTCCCTCTCCCTGGTTCCTGGAAACCACTAATCTACTTTCTGCCTGGATTTGCCTATTCTGGACATTTCATGTAAATGGAATTATACAGTATGTGACCTTTTGTGTCTGGCTTCTTTCACATTATCGTATAATGCTGTCAAGGTCATTTGTGTTGTAGCATGTATCAGTACTTCATTCCTTTTTATGGCTGAGTAATATTCTATGATTTGGATATGCTAAATTTTGTTTATCCATTCATCAGTTGAAGGACATTTGAAATACTTCCAATTTTGGCTATTATGAGTAATGCTGCTATGAACATTTGTATATAAGATTTCGTGTGGCCATATGTTTTCAATTTTCTTGGGTATATAACTAGGAAAGGAATTGCTAGGCCACATGGTAACTCTTTGTTTAACCCTTTGAGAGCCAACTTTAGTTTATTCATCTTGAAAATGAAGAAAACAATTTTTTTTTTTTTTTTTTACGTAGATCCAGGTTGTCAGATCCTTTAGGGTCACCACCAGGAAGATTATTTACAGTGAAGGACACTTTTTGAAAAGGTATAGGGGGCCTGAGGTAGAAGAGGGAATACCCAGTTGCAAGTGAATCCCAGGCTCAGAAGGGTCATACAGTCTCATGATTAAGGCCCTGATGCGTATGCAGTATGGGGTCAAACTGTTGGAGTTATAGTCTGTGCTCCTCCGCTTTCTCAGTGAACAAGTCAGTTAACCTCCTGATGTCTCTCTGTCCTAGGCAGTAAAATGGGGATCATCATGTCTTCCTACTTCAAAGGTTGTGGTAAAGATAAACGAAATAATACACATGGAAGTACTTTGTACATTGTCAAAACCAATGTAGATGATTGTTGTTGTGAAGATAGTATAATTGTATCTGATTAATTTTGTAATACAGGCCCAAGTCATTCAAAACAGCCAGGAATTAAACTTTTATTTGTATAATTCAGATTTTATGAGAACAGCATAGAGACGCCTAGACACAGAGATGTATTATAAATAAAATATGTGTATGTAAAATAAACCAGCCGTCTCTTCTCCCTGCCCCATCTCTTCTTGTCTATCCCCATCCCCAATCCAAAATAAGCTGGGCTCCTGGTTGTAGTTCCCTGGGTGCTAAAAAGCAGGAAATACTCCCCAGACATTTGTGTACCCTTCCCATAGGGCTGTTTTGAAAATATGACAATTAGCAAAGTTATAGGTTAAATCGTCTATTAGGCATCATCCTTGAGTCATTGTTACTGCTTTTGTCTTAGAAATATGGCGTCCTTTACATGCACTTACTGCTTCTGTAGCACAAGGCAGCCGGAGCTCTCAGTCTGAACAGGTAGACTCTCATTACCTTTTAGGGCTACAGGAGAGCTAGTGGGCATTCTGAAATTCTTCACAAAGTGATAGTTCTCTCACTGGCCTTTGGTAGGAGCGTTTCTATGAGAAAACGTGTTTCAAGCATAGAATTTCGGGATGGCCAAAGATCTTAAAAGCCCTCTAGAGCTAACTCCTAGCTGATGTGGGAACACTTTTAACAGTATCCCTGAAAGGTGATTCTTGAGTTTTGGTCAAGCACCTTTTGTGACAGGAAGTTTATTTTGTCTCATGATGTATGTACTCAGTAAAAATTTGATGTATAAACATATGGATAGAGTGTGGCAATATCTTTATTACATCTAACTCTACTAGAGAATTCATCCTTATATCTAATTGATAACTGCCTCCCTGTAATTCCTACTTTCATTCCCTTTAAAATAGTTTTAAAAATTATAAGCTGTTTTACAAACAACAGGAATATACAAAGAATAATTAAACACTTGTCCATGTGTTGAATATCTAAATGTTAGAAAACATTATTTTTAGTTTATTTTCCTCAGGTGAAAAAACAAAAGTTACCATTACAGATACAGTTGCAACCTTCTTAGTATCCTGCCCAGATCCCAGTCTTCTGACTGTCTTCCTATACTTAACTATTAAGTAGTTTCCCCAAAATGACCCAATGAGAAAAAAGGAGAGCCGGGATTTGAACGTTGGTCTTCATGGTTCAAAGCTATTGCTCTTTTCACAGTTCCACGCTACCCACCCTAGATAAATATGTATAATAGTGATCATATTTATTGTCTATGTGTAAATTGATGTAAAGTGTCAAGGGTTACTTAAAGCACTACTCTTCTGTTTTTCTATTTGCCGTATTAACTTATTTTTAAAATATTTTTATTTTCAAGGAAGGTAAAGGTAAGAATTATCCACAGATATCAAATTAGTACAGTTAAAATTGTGGAAGTTTGATTATATTTGAAAAGAATGTGTCCATTAAGAAGATTAATCATTTTTTGTTAGTGAAGCTTTATTTTTAGGAGAAAGATTGGTAAACAATTAATATGTTTTCAAGTACATACATTATATGAGCTAGCTGGGGGGTCTGAATATGATGAAGCAAATGTCAAGCTGGGTTTTTTAAAGGCAGACTTGACGGTTGGTTGTGTTAATGGGGCATGACAGGCAACAGCTGGGTGGTAATCCTCCTCCTACTGTTGGCATTGATTGAGTCTTTATTTACGTTGTATTTCTAGTCTGGACTAGAACGTTATTCCAGGGGTGGAATGAAGAAATTAAGGAAAAAGAAGGGGAGAGCCATTAAGGTTTGGAAGAAACATTCTGAGACCAGAGTAAAGATGTTATATGTACTAGGAGAAAAAGGAAGAACAAAGATAGAAGCACTTCCCCTTGCTCAAGAATCTGCAGTGTTTTATTTCCTAAGCAATGCAGAGGTTATCAACATATAGGCCTGTTTGCCATGAGCTAGTAGGTTGCCGTGTGCATCTCAGGTATGTGTGTTTTTGTTTGTTAAAGCTTTTTTTTTCTTTTCCAAGTTTCCACATGCAGCGCTGATGTTTGTTAAAGCTGCAAGAAAACAAATAAGTAAAACGAAACCTAAGCAATACACAAAGAAAATAATCTTCCCAGTCAGCAGTTCCTGGCCCTCCCCACCCCCACTGCCCTCCTCCCCACCTCCACTTCCCTTCCCCTCACTCTTATCCAGATTGAGAGCCAGGATCCTGGAGGGGCAAACTCCAGGCTTCTCACCCTGGCTTTCAAGATCTCCTTGAGACGGCTTTTTATTTCCCCTCATCTCTGTGGCCTATTTCAGGACAGTATGTGCCCTTTGCTTTGGCCTGGTGGGCACACTGCCCTTTCGCTTATGTTCCACCTGCCTGGACTGCCTTGTGTTCTCCCCACTGCCTATCCAAGCTCAACTCATCCTTTGAGACAAGCTAAAGTGCCAATTCTCTGTGGTACCTTCTCTGGCCACCTCTCCTTCCTAATTTTTATAGTTTTTACTTTTTTTTTTTCTGAGACGGAGTCTTGCTCTGTCACCCAGGCTGGAGTGCAGTGGCATGATCTCCGCTCACTGCAACCTCTACTTTCCAGGTTCAAGCAATCATCATGCCTCAGCCACCTGAGTAGCTGGGACTACAGGCACATGCCACCACGCCCGGCTAATTTTTGTATTTTTAGTAGAGACGGAGTTTCACCATGTTGACCGGGCTGGTCTTGAACTCCTGACCTCATGCGATCTGCTCACCTGGGCCTCCCAAAGTGCTGGGATTACAGGCATAAGCCACCGTGCCTGGCCCAGTTTTTAGTATTTGTACAGTTCATATTGTCCTTTATAATTTGTCATATACGATTCCATATTTGTTCGGAACTGTTGTAGAAAGTCCAGATTCTGCATGGTGTATTAAAATGAGTCTGTTAGAATAATTTATTTTACTTATAATCTTTTTATAAGGAGGAATGCTATTAGGTATGCTTTTTATCCTAAAACATCTACATAATCTTGTGTATCGATTAAGTTGTATTACTCCAATGAGAAATAAATCAGCAGGTTAATTACTCATCCATTCTTTAATTCAACAAATATTTATTGAGCACCAGCTATGTATCAGGCACCGTTCTGGGCACTGGTGACACAGCAGTGAACAAACTAAGAAAACATCCCACTTTTCTCAGGAAGTTTACATGCTGGTGGGGAGAGACAGACAAGAAACAAAATAAATAAGAAAATGTATTTTAGAAGGTGATAGTGCTACGGAATAAAAAACAATGAAGGGGGATTCGGAGAGCTGGGATGAGGCATGGGGTGCCTAAAGAGTATTCACTTCACCAAGAAGGTGACATTCAATCAAAGATGAAGAAGGTGAGGAGAGAATCGTGCACCTCCCTAGAGAAAGAGCAGCCAAGCAGAAGGGTCAACAAGTTCAAAGGCCTCGGAAAAGAAAGCTTCTCTTGCTTCCTGTTTTTGAGAAATAACAAAGAGAAACAGTGTGGCTACAGCAGAGAACAGAGGGAGAGTGGTAGGAAGAAGTAGAGGAGGTAATAGGAGAGGCAAGAAGAGGGTGTAGGGCCTCAGGCCTTGCAGTCTGGTGAAGGGACATCACCTTTCACTCTAAGTTAGATGGGAAGCCAGGGGGCTCTCCAGCAGAGGAGTAATCTGACGTATTTTGAAAGGGTCACTGTGGCTGCTGTGCTGAGAATAGACTACAAGGGAACAAGAGTGGGAGCAGGAACACCAGTTAAGGGGCTATTCAGATCATGTAAGGAAAAGATGGCAGTACTGTGGGTCAGGGTGGTAGAAATACCAGTGGCAGTAGTGGTAGTATAACATATATATAAAATATATATATAGTAGTATAATAGTATATATAATATAGTATTATATATTACATACATAATACAACAGCTACAACATATATATACTACCATATATGTTATTAATATATATACTATAATGTAGAATATACATAGTAAGATTTACAGACAGATGATATGTAGGAGAGAGAATGAATCAAGAAATGACTCAAAGGTTTGGGCTCAAAAATCTGAAAATATTGAGTTGTTACAAGTTGAAAAAAGGTGTAGTGAGGGAGGAGCATGTTTACTGGGAAAGATCAGGAGTTCAGTTTTAGATATCACAAGTATGTGATGTCTAAATTCAAGCAGAGATTTCTACTAGACAGTCAGATATCAATTGGAGTTCAGGGAAAAGATCAGGGTGGGCATGTAAACTTAGAAATGTAAGTGAACAAAACGTCATTTTTCTACGTCTTCTAGAATAAGTGTTCTACCAAATATAGTTTATTTAGGACTATTAAAACAAACTTTTTTCATATTATTGGAAATCTATGAGAATAATACAGGTGAGCCAGCCCATATATAACAAAGCAAAACGTACAATGTTTATGGAATATTTTCCTGTTCATTGATTCCACAAATATTTAGGGAGTGCTTCCTGAGTACTATGCAACAAGAATACAAGGACACAAAATATGCCTTGTCAGCTCTCAAAACACTCTAGCCAGGTTGAGGTCATCGTAAACAGACTGTGACAGCACAATGGGATGAATGCTGTTGGAGAGGTCTCAGGTTGTTATGGAAGCTGTAGGAGTTTATGAAGATGTATTAGTTAGTCATTGACTTTTTCCTTGGGCAGCTTCAGACTAGTTGGAAAGATCAAACACACAAAAAGTCGCGTAACTCTAAAAGATGTAAATAACCCTTCAAGATAACAAAAGCCACATCATAAGGCAGCATATGAACACTTGTTGAATGTTAATATCTGCCTTAGAGTTCAAAAGAGGAAGAAGTCTTTCCAGGCTAGGGTAAGAGGAAAGGCTTTGCTTGGGTGGAATTTGGGAACACTCAAGTTGAATGATCTAAGCCAAGAGTTGAATATGTACGGCTAGATCTTGGGTGAGAAGACTCGGTTGGAGATTTGGGAATTGTTTCGAAGGTGAAAGTATAGCCCTAAAAGTGGATAAAACCTCCATGGATAAAAATGTGAAGAGAAAAAAAAGTAGAAGGCTAAGGACTTACCATCATTTAAATACCCACTTTCAGGAGCTGGCAAAAAACACAGAAAAGGATCCAGAGAGATAGAAGAACAAGATATCATGGAGGAAATAAGCATAAATGTCCAACAGAAATCTAGGATGCATAAGAATACCCTGGATTCATACACAGTTTTACTTCCTGTAAAACTTTTATGAAATTATTTTACCTGATAAAGGAATCTAAGTAGACAGCCAAAGCATGATTAAACACTTATCTAAACTCTGGCAGCCTGGCTCCCCTTGAGCAAAATGGAGGTGATATTAACTGGGTTATCACCTTGAAGAGCTTAGACCAGGAAAGGGCCTTAAAAATCACTAATTTTGGCCAGACGCGGTGGCTCATGCCTGTAATCCCAGCACTTTGGGAGGCTAAGGCGGGCGGATCTCAAGGTCAGGAGATCGAGACCATCCTGGCTAACGCTGTGAAACCCTGTCTCTACTAAAACAATGAAAAATTAGCCGGGCGCGGTGGCGGGCACCTGTAGTCCCAGCTACTCAGGAGGCTGAAGCAGGAGAATGGCTTGAACCCAGGAGGCAGAGGTTGCAGTGAGTTGAGATTGCACCACTGCACTCCAGCCTAGGCAACAGAGCAAGACTCTGTCTCAAAAAAAAAAAAAAATCACCAATTTTTAAAGCCATTTCATTTTTTAAGTGAGGACAGTTAGGCTTCTAGAGAAATGGTCTATAACATAGCTATTTAGTAAGAGAACTGGGAATGGAAAAGGATATTTTGAGTTGTTTTAACTTAGACTTTTTTCTTCACTGTCTCTAACTAAGCCTAGTTGGCATTCTCAAATTCTAAGAATTCAGATTTAGTGAAAATAGTTAAATGGATTTTAAATGTGTAGTTTTTTTTTTTCAAATGGTAAATATTTGGGCTTGCCTATTTTGCCTATTTATAATCTAAATCTATTTGGGAGAATGCTTCACTCTAATTATGCCCTCCTGGGGCCACTTTATCCACTCAAACATTTTTTATTTTTCAAGGCAAAGTGCAAATTCAACTCCTAATGAAGCTTTCTCTGATCACCCCAGTAAGAACTGACTACTCTTTCTTACGGGCTCCCCCAGAGTCAACGTTTTTTAAACTCAGGCTGAAACTTATTAGTGGGTCATGAAATCCGTCGGGTGGGTCACTGGCAGAAAAAGAAATAGGAAATATCAGAGGACATCACACATAGTGATGGTGACAATTACTTTTTGAAACATTTACTTCAGTTAAGAGTGTATGCATATGTGCTAGATGGCAATGTAACATACAAAAGTTGAAAAACACAGGTTTGGAGGATCATAATGTAAAACACATATCTTAACATATCATGGCCAGCTGTATGGCCACGTAGCTCTTTGAGGGTTGGGACATTCTTGATCTATATATCCCTCATGCCCAATGTCCTACCTGGTGAGTACTCAGGAGTTGTTGACTGGAATGATTATGAAGGTTTGAGAAGGAATTGGAAGAATGAAAAGCAGGTAGGTTGGGGAGGAAATGAGGGCTTGAATTAAGTGTAAATTTTGTAGTTTCCTTTATCTTGAATGTTAATATATATTTTTTCAACCTAATATTATTGCCACAAAGAACCCGTGTTTGTTATCTGTGCTCTGGGGTTGTCTCCCATCACCTTCAATGTAATGTGGTATAAATAATACTTCCTGCTAATGTTGCAGCTGTCACTCAAGGATCTTAAATTACTTTAGGAGCAAGATCTGGTGATGAGTGCCCGGCTCCACTTGGCAGGTGCCAGAGTTAAGAACCAGTGACTGCCTGAAATCTTTGGGCTCCAGGATGACGGCTCCCTCTCTGTCATCCTCCCACACTCTCTTCTGCCCATCCCTTCTTCCATGGAGGGAGGATCCCTTGACCCTGCCTCTTTCTGAGCTTTGTAACTGGTAAATAGAGTCTGCAAAGATTCCGCTGAGCTAGAAGATTTGCTCTTTCTTTGCGGGTAGCTATGGTGTGTTTCGGGGGAAGGCTCATGGCAATAAAGGCTATTAGTTGAACTGCCTCAGAGCTCAAAAAGCTTGGGGCTGAAAACTGCAAAGGAACTCATTAGAAGTGAGCTCTGGATTATCAAAGGAAATTGAGACTCCTCTGGTTAGAAGCTCTTTAAGATTTGCACTGGACAGGAAGGGGATATTTGACATGCGGTTACCTTTGTGGGCCATTTTATGTACATGGTCTTTTCTATAGCAACTTATTTCTTGCTTCTGGCCACACTCCTTTTGGTCTTATAGTCCAAATCAGCCACAAGTCATTTAAATACCCCCTCCCCACCCTCTATTTCCTTCTCTTCTTTGCAAACCCACTGTCACCTTGAATATCTCCCCTCCCCCTTTCCTGGAAGCTCTTGGGGGTCAGTCTCTCTTTTCCGAGAAGCTGTTAACTGCCTACAGTTGGGCCTGGGAGGCTCCAGGAGGGTGACAGCAGAGTCCTGGCTTGGAGTCGGGTTACACCACTTGTGTCTGAGTTCACGCAGCATGTTCCTCTGTCAGGGATTCCGCAAATATCTCCCTGAGGTAAAAAAGGAAAGTGTGCTGCGCTCCAGCACCCAGAGCAGTGAGCCCAGTCCTGAGTCCCGGAGAGAGCTCCAGCAATAGGGGCCATGTCGCCATAGCCCCAGCCTCTCGGTCCGCAGCCTCAGCAGCGTCCCAGCCGGCTGGCTTCATGCTGCGGTGCAGCTGCACCATGTTCCTGGGTTGAGGGGGCAATCGGGCACGCTCCTCCCCATGGGTTGCCCATCATGTCTAATGGATATCGCACTCTGTCCCAGCACCTCAATGACCTGAAGAAGGAGAACTTCAGCCTCAAGCTGCGCATCTACTTCCTGGAGGAGCGCATGCAACAGAAGTATGAGGCCAGCCGGGAGGACATCTACAAGCGGGTGAGTGCAGGGGCCCGCTTCTCCGAGGCAGGGGCAGGGGCAGGGGACGGTTTGGCCTGCCAGTTGGTCGCTATTCTAGGCTCTTCCTAGCTGGCGCTGTGCTAGTCAGCGAGAGAGGTGGGGTTTCGTCCAGCTCTGGTCACCTTAACAACCTGTGACCTTGGACAAGCTCATTTCACCTCTCTGGTGCCTGCTTTCTGCTTTCCTTCTCTGTAAAGAAAGAGGACTGGAATAAATCAGAGCCTCTCTCAAACACTGACGTGGAACTGTGCGGAACAATCACCTTGGGAGCTGGTTTAAAATGTAGATTCCATGCCTCACCCTAGGGATTCCGATGTAGTAATGTGGGGGAAGGTGGGGGGAGAGGGTGGGGCTGGGGTGGATATTTGCATTTTTAAAATTTATTTATTTTAGAAACAGGTCTTGCCCTGTTGCTCAGGCTGGAGTGCAGTGTCACCATCATAGCACTGCAGCCACCAATTCTTGGGCTCAAGTGATGCCTTCTGGCTCAGCCTCCTGAGCAGCTGGGACCACAGGCACAGGACACCAGGCCCAGATAATTAAAAAAAAAAAAATTGGCAGGGCACAGTGGCTCATGCCTGTAATCCCAGCACTTTGGGAAGCCAAGGAAGACAGAAGGCTTGAGGTCAGGAGTTCGAGACCAGCCTGGCCAACATGGTGAAACTCCATCTCTACTTAAAAAGTACAAAAATTAGCGGGTGTGGTGGCATATGCCTGTAGTCCAAGCTACTTGGGAGGCTGAGGCAGGAGAATTGCTTGAACCCAGGAGGCGGAGGTTGCGGTGAGACGGGATTGCGCCGCTACACTCCAGCCTAGGTGACAGAGCAAGAGTCTGTCTCAAAAAAAAAAAAAAAAAAAATTCGTACCAAAGGGGTGGCACTATGTTGTCCAGGCTGGTCTCAAACTCCTGGCCTTTAGATCCTCCCACCTCAGCCTCCACTGTTGTTGGTATTATAGGCATGAGCCACTTTGCCTGGGAAAATATGCATTTTTAAGCAAGATCCCTGAGGTGGCTCTGAAGCAGATCATCTCCAGGTCATACCTCTCCTAGAGAAAGTGCCCTCCTAGCTCCGGCTTGGTGGGGCAGAGAATGATGCTATGGAGAAAAGGGCAGGGGCTAAGGGTGTTTCCGTTCCTTGAGAAATTCATGTTTGCTTTTGAAGATGACTATGCAGATAAGCTTTTAAGACAGAATCTTAGGCATTTTTAGTCTTTGGAATAGCTTGCCTTAAAATGAAGAAGAGAGTAACCTGTGGGATAGCAGTTGGCCTGGGTGGAGTGGGAGGGGAAATGGCCTCTTCCTTGGATGGGAGGGCTATCTTGATTGATGGGTCAGTGATCAGGGTGGGGAAGGAAGACCTACTGGATTGGCTGAGCTGTGGGTGAGATAGGACAGCACCTTGATAAGAGGACATTGGGCTATGGGTTATGAGGATTAAGCCTCGTAGCTGGTCACCACAATATTGGTTTCCTCAGCCCTCTCTGTGTCTGGACAAGCAGGACCTGAAGTGGCCCAAGTGACCGGGGACTGGTTGCCTCTGACCTTATCAGAGATTCTAACTCTCCAACTGTTTACCCCAGAGGGCTATACAAATACCATTTTCTATGTGTGCTCTGTCCTGTCAAGAGGATGGATGACTGGGAAGCGATACAGGCTGCTAGATAACATCTTGGATCAGGGAAATAGCTGGTGTCTATGAGACCCAAATGATTATTTAGTTAATTCAATTAATGTGTATAGCTAAATCTGGGGGATTTAACTCTATTTCCTGTCTCTCCTGCATTTCCATGTTTTAAGTCCAAATTTTCCAGAAGTTGGTCCAGATTCACCTTTTATCTTTTACGTGGCTATGTAATGAGTGTGCCTCATTGGAGCTGCCACGTGTCAAGAAGGATATTGCCAAGTGAGGGTTGGTAACAGAGAGATGGCGAGAGACGGAGGATGAGTGGGAGGTTTTGCCTTAGGGTTAGGGTAGGAATAGTGGATGGATTTATTCACTGTGCAGAGGGAGGAACTTTCCCCATTAACTGTCTTCAGGGCAAAGAAGGAAAGGACAATTTCTTAGGTAATTTGAGGGAAAGGATTTTGTTGTTGTTGTTGTTGTTCTGAGACAGAGTCTCACTCTGTCGCCCAGGCTAGAGTGCAGTGGCACGATCTCAGCTCACTGCAACCTCCGCCTCCTGGGTTCAAGCGATTCTCCGGAGTAGCTGGGACTACAGACGCCTGCTACCACACCTGGCTAATTTTTGTATTTTTAATAGAGGCGGGGTTTTACCATGTTGGCCAGGCTGGTCTCAAACTCCTGACCTCAGGCGATCCACCCGCCTCAGCCTCCCAAAGTACTGGGATTACAGGCGTGAGCCACTGCGCCCCCACCAGGATTTTTTTTTTTTAAAGCTGAATCAGATGGCTGTCTGAATCATTTGATCTCACTCTCTGCTCCGCCCTAGCGAAAGATCTTTAGGAAACAACTTTGGGTGGGGTGTGAGAAGGCACCATTTCTCACCTGGAGAAGTGTGATAAATGAGATTATAGGAGCTGCACAAGGTGTATGTGGGGGGAGTGGAACACAGCCTATTGTCACATGCAGAGAGGACAACCCTTTTGCTAGACTCTAGTATTGCCATGGGTCCCATACAGGAAGTAGATATGGCCCTGTCTCTATCTAGTCTTACGTGTTAGCAGAGTTGTCAGGCAGCTACTGCATCATATGATTTGAGGGATCTCAAACTACTGTATCCCCTCCTCTTCCTTCTCACCAAATGTTTGTTCAATCTGCCTGTCATATTAATTTTCTCATTTGGCTATGATTATTTGAAAAGCGCTAAAGGCTTGTGCTAAAATGTTCTTATTACTTGGGAAACAGAACACATAAAGCCATTATCAATCATTCAGAGTTGAAATTAGTTTACCACACTATGTCATGATGAGTGATTGATAGGAACTAGAGCCGTTCTGGTTTATTTTATTTTTTGAGACAGGGTCTCGCTCTGTCACCCAGGCTAGAGTGCAGTGGCACCGTCACGACTCACTGCAGCCTTGACCTCCTGGGCTCAAATGATCCTCCCACCCCAGCCTCCCAAGTAGCTGGGACCACAGGTGTGCCACCACACCTGGCTAATTATTTATATATATATGTGTGTGTCTGTGTGTGTGTGTGTGTGTGTGTGTGTGTGTGTGTGTATGTATTTTTTTTTTTTTTTTTTGGCAGAGATTGAGGTCTCACTCACTATGTTGCCCAGGCTGGTCTCAAATTCCTGGGCTCAAGTGATCTCACCTTGGCCTCCTAAATTGCTGGGATTACAGGCATGAGCCACCACACCCAGCCACAGTTCTGTTTTGATGTAAGAACGAGGGATTCGGAAAACACTGCATTAAGACCTATTGTCAACCAGGAGACTTAGTTAGGCAAGTTACTTAGCCTCTCTGAGCCTGTTCCAGCCTCTATAGGATTGACATTAACAATAATGCTACAGATACTGAGAATTATTTTTCTATGAATAAATAGCAGCCATGAAGATGAAATAAGAAACATATCAAAACACTTTATAAACTTAATAACATCACATATATATGAGAGGGTAGTAGTTATATTTCTACTAGTAGTTATAGTTATTATAAAATTTAAATATGGGGACAAGGTTTGACTCTTTATAATCTCCCCCTCATAATTCCCACAGATGTGTCTGATGTTCATTCTTGTTATTCATATTGTGATCCCACGAGATTAGGAAGATTAATTAGCAGCAATGTGCCCAGCATCACATGGTAAATCAGGTGGTTCAGAGGATAATTTAGAGTACTGTTCTGTTACCAAACTTAGTAACAGAAGTTTGATTTTTCTGTTGCTAAGAAACAGAATTTTCTTGATTCTGATTTTTTTCCTTAGCGTTGGAAGGACACTTCTTTAAAAAAAATATTGTAAAAACATTAAATCAAACTCTACTGAGTTAGAATCTGCAATAATTTGAGTGCTGTATGCGTGGTTCTTTTTAAGAAAACCAATGCTTGTGAAACATATGTAATGGAAAGTCTATTGTGAGTAGTAATTATTTTATTGATGTGCATATTTATGCTACCGGGAATTTTTGTTGAGCTGTTTGTACTTAAGAGTGAAAAATTACTCTTAGCGAGAAACAATAAAGTATTTGATTGGCTTCAGGGAAGGGAAATACGGGCAACTTTGGGAGAAGAGAACTGGAGAGTGGGTGCTATCTTTCTCTTTCCAAGTGGCAAGTCTTCTCCTAGGTAGCTGATTGAGGAGACTAAAATAGATATAATCCTTACTTGTAAATGGAAGCTATAAGGATTTTAAATTATAAGAGGAGTTGTCAAAGCTAGAGAGTTATGTTAAAAACCTAAGAGTATCAACCTCAAAGCAAGTAAATAAAAAAGAAGGAGTTTCTCTCTTTTAAGCTGTTCAGAGAATTAAGAAATAATCTTAAGAATCATCCTGGCCATGGATTAATAAAATAATATTAATTCATACATAAAAATTGGTTTCTTGAGACTGGCTACTTTTTTGTTGAGTGTTTATCCTGTAAGCTTCAATTTTTGTAAATCATCATAATAAATTTTTTAAAAAGGAAGAGGCTGCTTACCCTCTGTACCGACAGAGTGGGACATATGCCTACATGACTAGGCACTGCTACCCCCTTTTGGTAGCAAACATTAATTTTAAGTTCAGCTTTTAGGGAAGACAATTTTAAACATATAAAGCAAGCAAAGGAGAAATCATTGCAGTACACTGACTCTGAAGCAAAATAAAGTGAGAAAATGTTGTGAGTGGTCCACAGCTGAGTATGGCCCACTCCTAGGGAGACTGGCTTGTTAGCATTTCTGGACTGCAGCTGCTGTGGTAAGTAATTTTTGGGTGGCAACTTGGCTGACTTCCTCATTGTTGATTGCCTAATCCTGCATTTTCTCATATTAGTCAAGTGTGTCGCTACTGGAATCTTGTCTGACCCTGGAATTTATGAAATCCACTGCTGTGTGGTAAACACCCAGTCTCCAAACAGCACACAAAACCATCATCCACTGGGTTTTGCCCCCTGATGACTACTTGTTCAACTTGTGTGAATTAAGTTTCCATTCTAAGAATGAAATTGAAAAACTGACAAGGCCAGATCTGATAGCAAAAGGGTCAGGAGAAATAAAATGTTGTCGTCCTTGACCAGATAGAGTCAATGTTTAAATATGATGTAATGATATTGGAAGGTTAAAGTGGACTTAGCCCTTAGATATGAGTTGAGAGAGTTGTGTTGCGTTGTTTTATGACCCTTAAGCTGCCTGACTTCTCTGAGATTGAAACTTCTTTGGTTTTCTCATCTTTGAGATTGGATGATACTTTTCCTGCGCAATCTTTGAGGTTTATGCATAGCATACTTCTATAGCTATGGTAAACAGCCTACTGATTTTACTTGCCTACCAAATTGTCCTTGTTTTTACTATTCTGTTATTGCTGGGCATAACGGCTAAGAGCTATAAATTGGCGAGACCTGGGGTGAAATCTTGATTTTTCTACTTACTATTTGTGTTGGGAAAAATACCATAATTTCTCTGAGCTAAAGCAAGGGCAGTAATAACACCTATCTTATAGGGTCTAGAGGAGGATGAAATGAGTCAATTAGCTGAACTCAGCATAATGCCTATCACATAGTAAGCTCTCAATAAATATTTGCCATTATTGTGACAAATTGAGAGACGGCAAACTTATCCAGATAAGTCTTAATTACTGACACATTCATGCTGGACTATTTTTTATTCCAAATCAGTTTCTTTTTCCTCAATAGTGGACTTGGGACCATTTGTCCTATTTGTCTCAATTCTCAATTTTTGTTTGCTTGTGTGTAAATAACATAATATAATCCAAGTGCCCCTATTGCATCAAATTTACCTTGGCATTCTCAGATACAAATGTTCATTCAAAGAAAATAAATAAGAAAGGCTGGGTTGATTAAATTTCTTTTTGGCTCATTGACTGATTTTCTTTGGTCCTAGCCTGATTTCTTTAGGCTTTGGGCAACATGATGAGGAACAATATACCTGCAGACTTACAAGGAAGCTCAGGAACTCCATCAGGCGGTAGGATTTAGGAAGCTGGACTTGAACCAAAGGAAGGCTATTAGAGAAGGATGAGTATCTTGGGGGGTTATCAAAAATGTTGTGATAAAAGTTTTGAACTCTAAGGAAACCTGAATTCTTAACCTGCCTTTTCTAGCTACATGATCTTGGCCAAGTCACTTAACTTCTGTGAACCTTAGTTTCCTAAATTAGAGTCATCAATTCCTGTCGTGCTCTTCTCCCCCATGGGTAAACATGTTTTAGTGTATTAGACGTTAGATAAACAGAAAGGATTGTGATTTCTATCCTGCATAGCTGGAGACACATACTAGAAAGCATGCACCTGCTCAGGTTATTGTCTAAAGTGGCTGTGTGGCTGCTGTTGCCAGAATTAATGCTTGTCTTCTTATATGTAGCAGAGTTTGCTCTTCTTTTACACTTGGATGCCTTATTTAATTAGTGGCTATGTTTTTTTCTCCTATGTTTTACTTACACGAACTTTAAGAAATGTGTATGATGGGAAAGGAGGAACATAAGAGACAGACAAGATTACATTAGCCAAACTATTTTTAAATGGTTCTCTGGAAGCCTAGTATGAACATGGTCCATGTGTGTCTGTGTCTACGCACACTGTGTGTGCCAATTCCCCATTCTCAGCCTTCTGAGGTTCGTGAGGTCATGCTTACCTATTTCTTCTTTCAGGGAATGAAAGTTGGCAGAAATAGAGGGAATCCATCCATTAAATATTTGTAACCAATATTTATGATTTTGGTTAAATATTTTTTCAAACTTCACACTCATTAGGATGGCTATTATACTAAAAATCAAACAACCCAGAAAATAACAAATACTAGTAAAGATGTGGAGAAATTGGAACCCTTGCACATTGCTAGAAAGAATGTGAAATGGTGCAGGTGCTGTGAAAACCAGTATGGAGTTTCTCAAAAAATTAAACATAGACTTACCGTATAATCCAGCAATTCTACTCTGGGTATAACACAAAATAAATGAAAACAGGAACTCAAATAGATATTTGTATTTCTGTGTTCATAGGAGCATTGTTTACAGTAGCCAACAGGTGGAAGCAACTCAAGTGTTCATTGACAAATGAGTGGATAAACAAAATGTGGGCTATATAGACACTGGATATTATTTAGCCTTAGAAAGGTATGAAACTCTGACATGTGCTGTAACATGAGTGAACCTTAAAGATGTCATGCTAAGTAAAGTCAGTCCCTAAAGGACAAATATTTATTATTTCACTTAAATGAAGTACCTAGAGTAGTCAAATAATGAAGACAGAAAGTGGAACTATGGTTGCCAGGGGTTGTGGGGAGGAGGGAATGGGGAGTTAGTGGCTACAGTTTCATTTGGGAAAAAGTTCTGGAGATGGATAGTGATATTTGAACAACTATGTGAATGTACTTAATGCCATAGAACTATATACTTTAAAATAGTTAAAATGGCAAATTTTATTATATGTATATTTTAACACACACACACAAAATGTTTAGGCCTGGCATGTTGGCGCATGTCAGTAATCCCAGCACTTCGCAAGGCCAAGGTGGGAGGATCACTTGAGCCCAGGAGTTTGAGACCAGCCTGGGAAACATAGCAAGACTGCATCTCTGTAAATTTTTTTTTTTTTAATTAGCTGACATAGTGGTGTGTGGCTGTGGTACCAGCTACTTGGGAGGCTGAGGTGGGAGGATTGCTTGAGCCCAGAAGGTTGAGGCTGCAGTGAGCCATGATTGTGCTCCTGCATTCTAGCCTGGGTGACAGAGTGAGACCCCATCTCACACATACACACAGAAAAAAAAATGCTTAAAGCAACTTTCCCCAAAAAAGTCAGTTGCTTATAAAAATAGTGGAACTCTTAACCAAAGGAAACTCTGTTTTCTGCTTTTCCTTAACACAACTTATCTCATTTTTTCAGAGCTTTTAATTAGAATTCATAATACTTGCCTGTTGAGAAATGCTTCTTCCCTTTGAATACTTAGGAATTTTTCTTTCAACCACTGGAAAACAAATCCCAGACTAAATTCTGGGCCCTAATTTAATTCTAATCCACTTTCAGTTATCCCCCTAACAATGTCTACATAATTTATACTTCTGCATGAACTTATTACAAGGCCACTTCTTTCTATAGTGTATGTACATTCAGGTTTATGCACTGATAGAAGTAGCATGTTACACTTGAAAAAAATAGACATTCTAAATTTCTGTCTCAAATGTTTCCCTTGTTTGCAATATCATTTTAGTCATTTTTTTGCTCATATTTGCGCATATGCATTGGTATATTCAGTCAAACGTCTATTGATTATCTACTATATGCCAGCTACTGTGCTAGATTCTGGTGGAGAAGACATCAACAAATAAATAAAAATGGTATAATAAGGGCTACCATAGAGGTATGGACAGATTTTGCTATAGTGCAATAAAATCCACCAGGAAAGGCCTTGCCAAGTGTTTGAAGTTTGCATTGAATCCTAAAAGGTAGTAACATAACAAGAAATGGGAAAAGGCATTTCTTTTTTCTTCTTTTTTTTTTTTTTTTGAGATGGAGTCTCACTTTGTGGCCCAGGCTGGAGTGCAGTGGCGCCATCTTGGCTTGCTGCAATCTCCACCTCCCAGGTTCAAGCGATTCTCCTGCCCCAGCCTCCTGAGTAGCTGGGATTACAGATGCTGTGAAACATACGCTAATTTTTCATATTTTTAGTAGAGACGGGTTTTCACCACGTTAGCCAGGCTGGTCTCAATCTCCTGACCTCGTGATCCACCCACTTCGGCCTCCCAAAGTGCTGAGATTACAGGCATGAGCCACCATGCCTGGAAAATCCAGAAATTCTTTTTTTTTTTCTTTGAGACAGAGTCTTGCTCTGTCAGCCAGGCTGGAGTGCAGTGGCATGATCTCGGCTCACTGCAACCTCCGTCTCCTGGGCTCAAGCGATTCTCCTGCCTTAGCCTCCCAAGTAGCTGGGATTACAGGCGTGTGTCACCATGCCCGGCTAATTTTTGTATTTTTAGTAGAGATGGGGTTTCGCCATGCTGGCCAGGGTGGTCTCAAACTCCTTACCTCAGGTAATCCACCCACCTCGGCCTCCCAAAGTGCTGGGATTATACGTGTGAGCCACCGCGCCTGGTGGGAAAAGGCATTTCAAACAGAAGAAACAATATACAAAAGCAGAGGTGTACAAAAGCAATGTGCACTTGGCACACTGGAATCATTCAGTATGGCTAGATCATGTGGTTTGGAGGGCTTGTGGTGGTGGTAAGATGAGGCTGCAGGGGAGAAATCATGGAAAGCTTTGGACTTATCCATTCATTCATTAATAAACATTAATTAGGTACCTGCTATGTTCCAAGTACTAGAAGTTGGGACTTCAAAGATGAGTAAACCACAGGTGCTAGAGTATAGTAAAAGGCAGTAACAGAGCTGTGTACAAAGTGTAAGGCAACTCAAAGGGGGCACTTCTATCCCAAATGAATAGAGTGGATGGAAAGAAAATCTGCAAAGGATTATTCGTGATGACCCCTGAACTTCGTCTTCAAAGGGGAATAAGCACTAATCAGTCAATGGATGATGAAGTGGAAGGACAGAGTTTTTGTCACAAGCAAAAGCCTTGAGGCAAGAAACCATAGGGTGCTTGCACAGAATTAGAAGTGGTTTGGTGTTGGTGGATTTAAGTACTAGGCGAAGAATGAGACTGATATGACGGACACAGTCTTTTGTGCCATTTTAAAGAGTGTAGACTTTATCCTGAAGAAGACAAGGCACCACTGATGGGCTTTAAGCTGCAGGGAACCTGCTAGATCCCTCTGATGCATGGGAAAGGTGGATTCAAGAGAGTCAAGGCAGGAAGTGAGTGAGAACAGACTTGCCAAGCCAAAGAAGATGAAGGCCCGAATGAGGGCTGTGGCAGTAGGAATAGAGGGGAGGCAACTCATCTTTAAAATATTTAAGAGGTAAAATATTTGTAGGACTTGATGATTGATCAGGACGGGAGAATTGAGGGAAAGGAATCAAGAGGAAGGCCAGGCTAAGGCAAGTCACTTTTTCTGGGCTTCTGGTTCTTTGTGTTTAAATGAGTGGGCTGGACCAGGATTGACGCACACATCCCTCCCAGTTCTGAAGTCCTGTGATTCTGGGCAGCCTTTCTCTGGGCGCAGAGAAAGGAAGCTCTATGATACATGGGTGTTCTCACCACAGCTTAGATAGTTGCTTAAAAGAGACTCATAGTTTCTCAGCTTCTCTGACAGCTTCTCAGGATGGGAGGTGGCAGGCAGAGCTGAGATGGCTTTAGAACTGCCAGCCAATGCAGGGAAATCTAGTGCGGTTACCAGGTAGCCGGAGTTATAATTAGCCTCGTTGCTAGGGCAAGGCTGAGATTCTGTAGGCATGGACTGCCAGCAACAGCTTTTCCCTGCTGGGTGAATTTACTTGTTTGAAAGAACAAAGTGGGTATGGATGGGGTGTTTTTAAATGTGTTTTAGATAATTTAAATTTTGCCCTAGGTATAGGATATGTTTAAAGCAGAAAACAGGTTTGTGTTGGGGCTGATCAACATCTTGCCTGGGGCAGAAGGAGTGAGGAAAAATTCCACTCTGTTATATGTTTGGATAGCTGGAAAGAGACTTACTTTCACCTGAAGGAAGATAAGTAAGAACATAAAATCATTATTCAGAGGTAGAGAGGATCTTGAAGATAATCTACATAATCCTTTCACTTTTTAAGAAAACCATTTATTTAAAAATAATTTTAGACTTATAGCAAAGTTATAAAAATAGTACAGAGTGTTCCCGTATGCCATTCACTCAGCTTCCTCTAAAGAATAAACCCTTCATTTTAAAGATAAGATGACTAAAGCTCAGAATAGTAATTTGCCTAACGTCACACGGTAAATTAGTAGCCAAGCTGAGACTAGAATCCAGGAGCCCTAACTACCTGTTCAGGCTGCTTACAATGACCTCTGGGACCTTCAACAAAAATTCAAGAAATGTAAGTGCTTGTCAGAACTTAGTTTTTCTTTCTTTTTGCATTACTGGGCTAAAATAGAACTCACACAGCAGGAGCTAGAGTAATTCACAGAGAGATGAATCTGCACTCTGTGCCTACTGCCAAAAGAAAAGGTTTAGTTCCTCAGCCTCCTCAGGAGTTTCATCCATATGTTTTCAAAAGTCACCGTGAACATATTTTTCTCTTTTGCCTTGCTCCCTGCTCTGGCTTTTGCCATCTCATCTGATCAAGTTCAACTGCACAGAGAGAGGAGGCTCTATGATACATGGAGTAGGCACAGAGCGGGGCTGGTGCAAACTGGAAAGGGGCCCGCCCTATCATGTTCAATAGCAGCTAATCCACCCACACACCGACAGCAGTGATCCGACTTGGTACATGCCGTTCTGTGGAGAGCTAAGTAATAGTCATGTGGCTTTTTGCCAAGCAACTTTAGAAGTGACATTGGGCCACAGTGGGCAGTTACTATCCCTGTTATTTAGAAACTTGGCTTGATGAAGTGGGGAGTGAATGCAAGGCACAAGCTGCATTGTAATGCCAGCTTTTCATATCCCAGCCTCATGTAAGCCCTGCTGCTGCAAAGGGCTACAGGCCACCTCTTCATGCACACAGGACTTTAGAAAGCCCACCCAGAGGCTTGGGAAGAGGAAGCCCTTCTTTAAGGTGCCTGGATGAGCGGCAGGGAGGCTGCCAGCATGATGGCTATGATCTGGAGCTGCAGAAAGAGGGTCTAGGCACTGGTCAAGGGCCTGAAGTCAGCCAGTTCTTTCAGGTCACTTTTTCTTGGTAAGTCTCAGATCTTCTCCCTGAGACCACACAGGTAGCTTCCTCTCTCAGAGTTACTCCGTCAGACCTCACACTCCAGATTCTCATCAGTCAAGCTCAGTATCTGCTCAACACAAAAGTAAATCTAGTCTTGCCCACTGTGAACTCCGAAAATTTGAGACAGGTCTCAGTAAATTTAGAAAGTTTATTTTGCCAAGGTTGAGGACACGTGCCCCTGGCATAGCCTCAGGAAGTCTTTATGACATGTGACCAAGGTGTTTGGGGCACAGCTTGGTTTTGTACATTCTAGGGAGACATGAGACATCAATCAATGTATGTAAGAAGTACATTGGTTCGGTCTGGAAAGGCGGGACAACTTGAAGCAAAGGCAGGAAAACTTGCAGTGGGGGAGGCGGCTTCTAGGTCACAGAAGAGAGACAAAAGGTTGCATTCTTTTGAGTTTCTAATTAGCCTTTCCAAAGGAGGCAATCAGATATGCATTTATCTCAGTGAGCAGAGAGATAACTTTGAATAGAATGGGAGGCAGGTTTGCCCTAAACAGTTTCCAGCTTGAGTTTTCCTTTTATTTTTTGTATTTTCATTTCCATAGGTTATTGGGGAACAGATGGTGTTTGGTTACATGAGTAATTTCTTTAGTGGTGATTTGTGAGATTTTGGTGCACCCATCACCCAAGCAGTATATACTGCACCCTATTTGTGATCTTTTATCCCTCACCCACTTCCCCCCCTTTCCCCTTGAGTCCCCAAAGTCCACTGTGTCATTCTTATGCCTTTGTATCCTTATAGCTTAGCTCCCACTTATGAGTGAGAACATACAATGTTTGGTTTTCCTTTCCTGCCTTACTTCACTTAGAATGATAGTCTCCAATCTCATCCAGATCATTGTGAATGCGTTAATTTATTCCTTTTATTGGCTGAGTAGTATTCTATCATATATATATATATATATATATATCCATCATATATATATATATATGTGTGTATATACACACCACAGTTTCTTTATCCACTCATTGATTGGTGGGCACTTGGGTTGGTTCCACGTTTTTGCAGTTGTGAACTGTGCTGCTATACGTATGCGTGTTCAAGTATCTTTTTTGTATAATGACTTCTTTTCCTCTAGGTAGATACCCTGTAGTGGGATTGCTGGATCAAATGGTAGTTCTACTTTTAGTTTTTTAAGGAATCTCCACATTGTTTTCCATAGTGGCTGTACTAGTTTACATTCCCACAAGCAGTGTAGAAGTGTTCCCTGTTCACTGCATCCACATACATATCTACTATTTTTTTATTTTTTTGATTATGGCCATTCTTGCAGGAGTAAGGTGGTATCACATTGTGGTTTTGATTTGCATTTCCCTGATTATTAGCGATGTTGAGCCTTTTTTCATATGTTTGTTGGCCATTTGTATATCTTCTTTTGAGAACTGTCTATTCATATCCTTAGCCCACTTTATGATGGGATTGTTTGTTTTTTTCTTGCTGATTTGTTTGAGTTTGTTGTAGATTCTGGATGTTAGTCCTTTGTCAGATGTACAGACTGTGAAGATTTTCTCCCACTCTGTGGGTTGTCTGTTTACTCTGCTGACTGTTCCTTTTGCCGTGCAAAAGCTCTTTAGTTTAATTAAGTCCCAGCTGTTTGTCTTTGTTTTTATTGCATTTGCTTTTGGGTTCTTGGTCGTGAAATCCTTGCCTAAGCCAATGTCTATAAGGGTTTTTTCGATGATACCTTCTAGAATTTTTATAGTTTCAGAACTTAGATTTAAATCCTTAATCCATCTTGAGCTGATTTCTGTGTAAGGTGAGAGATGAGGATCCAGTTTAGTTCTCTTACGTGTGGCTAGCCAATTATCCCAGCACCATTTGTTGAAAAGGGTGTCCTTTCCCCACTTTATGTTTTTGTTTGCTTTGTCGAAGATCAGTTGGCTGTAAGTATTTGAGTTTATTTATGGGTTATCTATTCTGTTCCATTGGTCTCTGTGCCTATTTTTATGCCAGTATCATGCTGTTTTGGTGACTATGGCCTTATAGTATAGTTTGAAATCAGGTAATGTGATGCCTATAGATTTATTCTTTTTGCTTAGTCTTGCTTTGGCTATGCGGGCTCCTTTTTGGTTCCATATGAGTTTTAGAATTGTTTTTTCTAATTCTGTAAAGAATGATGGCGGTATTTTGATGGGAATTGTGTTAAATTTGTAGATTGCTTTTGGCAGTATGGTCATTTTCACAATATTGATTCTACCCATCCATGAGCATGGGATGTGTTTCCATTCATTTGTGTCGTCTATGATTTCCTTCAGCAGTGTTTTGTAGTTTTCCTTGTAGAGGTCTTTCACCTCCTTGGTTAGGTATATTCCTAAGTATTTTATTTTATTTTATTTTTTGCAGCTGTTGTAAAAGGGGTTGAGTTCTTGATTTGATTCTCAGCTTGGTCGCTGTTGGTGTATAGAAGAGCTACTGATTCGCATGCATTAATTTTGTATCCAGAAATTTTGCTGAATTGTTTTATCAGTTCTAGGAGCTTTCTGGAGGACTCTAGGATTTTCTAAGTAAACAATAATATCATCAGCAAATAGTGACAGTTTGACTTCCTCTATAACAATTTGGATCCCCTTTATTTCTTTCTCTTGTCTTGCTCTGGCTAGGACTTCCAGAACTATGTTGAAGAGGAGTGGTGTGAGTGGGCATCCTTGTCTTGTTTCAGTTCTCAGAGGAAATGCTTTTAACTTTTCCCCCAGTCATTATTACGTTGGCTGTGGGTTTGTCATAGATGGCTTTTATTACATTGAGATATGTCCCTTGTATGCTGATTTTGCTGAGAGTTTTAATCATAAGGGGATGCTGGATTTTGTCAAATGCTTTTTCTGCATCTATTGAGATGATCATGGTGATTTTTGTTTTTAATTTTGTTTATGTGGTGTACCACATTTATTGACTTGCGTATGTTAAACCTCCCTGCATCCCTGGTATGAAACCCACTTGATCATGGTGGATTATATTTTTGATATGTTGTTGGATTCGGTTAGCTAGTATTTTGTTAAGGATTTTAGTATCGATGTTCATCAAGGATATTGGTCTGCAGTTTTCTTTTTTGGTTATGTCCTTTTCTGGTTTTGGTATTAGGGTGATGCTGGCTTCGTAGAATGATTTAGGGAGGGTTCCCTCTTTCTCAATCCTATGAAATAGTGTCAATAGGATTGGTACCAATTCTTTGAATGCCTGGTTACATTCTGCTGTGAATCCATCCGGTCCTGGACTTTTTTTGTTGGTAATGTTTAAATTAGCATTTCAATCTTGTTGCTTGTTATTGGTCTGTTCAGAGTATCTAATTCTTCCTGATTTAAGCTAGGAGGGTTGTATCTTTCCAGGAATTTATCCATCTCTTCTAGGTTTTTTTTTTTTTGAGATGGAGTCTTGCTCTGTCGCCTAGGCTGGAGTGCAGTGGTGCGATCTCGGCTCACTACAAGCTCCGCCTCCCGGGTTCATGCCATTCTCCTGCCTCAGCCTCCCGAGTAGCTGGGACTACAGGTGCCCACCATGGCGTCCGGCTAATTTTTTGTATTTTTATTTTTATTTTTTATTTTTTATTTATTTTATTTTATTATTATTATACTTTAAGTTTTAGGGTACATGTGCACAACGTGCAGGTTAGCTACATATGTATACATGTGCCATGCTGGTGTGCTGCACCCATTAACTCGTCATTTAGCATTAGGTATATCTCCTAATGCTATCCCTCCCCCCTCCCCCCACCCCACAACAGTCCCTAGAGTGTGATGTTCCCCTTCCTGTGTCCATGTGTTCTCATTGTTCAATTCCCACCTATAAATAATGCCGCATATCTACAACTATCTGATCTTTGACAAACCTGAGAAAAACAAGCAATGGGGAAAGGATTCCCTATTTAATAAATGGTGCTGGGAAAACTGGCTAGCCATATGTAGAAAGCTGAAACTGGATCCCTTCCTTACACCTTTTTTGTATTTTTAGTAGAGACGGGGCTTCACCATGTTAGCCAGAATGGTCTCGATCTCCTGACCTTGTGATCCGCCCACCTTGGCCTCCCAAAGTGCTGGGATTACAGGCGTGAGCCACCACGCCCGGCAGCTTTATTTATCTTTTCAAAGAACCAGGTTTTCATTTCATTTATCTTTTGTATTTTTTGTTTGTTTGTTTCAGTTTCATTTAGTTCTGCTCTGATCTTGGTTATTTCCTTTCTTCTGCTGGTTTGGGTTTGGTTTGTTCTTGTTTCTCTAGTTCCTTGAAGTGTGACCTTTGATTGTCTGTTTGTGCTCTTTTAGACTTTTTGATGTAGGTGTTTAGGAATATGAACTTTCCTTTTAGCACTGACTTTGCTGTATTCCAGAAGTTTTGATAGGTTGTATCACTATTTTTGTTCAATTTGAAGATTTTTTTAATTTCCATCTCGATTTCATGATCATTCAGGAGCAGGTTAATTTCCATGTATTTGCATGGTTTTGAAAGCTCCTTTTGGAGTTGATTTCCAGTTTTATTCCACTGTGGTCTGAGAGAGTGCTTGATAAAATTTCAATTTTCTTAAATTTATTGCGGCTTGTTTTGTGGCCTACCATGTGGTCTATCTTGGAGAAAGTTCCATGCACTGTTGAATAGAATGTATATTCTGCAGTTGTTGGATGGAATGTTCTGTATATATGTGTTAAGTCCATGTGTTCCAGGGTATAGTTTAAATCCATTGTTTCTTTGTTGACTTTCTGTCTCATTGGCCTGTCTAGTGCTGTCAGTGACATATTGAAGTCCCCCACTATTATTGTGTTACTGTCTATCTCATTTCTTAGGTCTATTAGTGATGGTTTTATAAATTTGGGAGCTCCAGTGTTAGGTGCATATATGTTTAGGATTGTGATATTTTCCTGTTGGACAAGGCCTTTTATCATTATATAATGCCGCTCTTTGTCTTTTTTAACTGCAATTTCTTTAAAGTTTGTTTTGTCTGATATAAGAATAACTACTGCTGGGCCAGGCACGGTGGCTTATGCCTGTAATCCTAGCACTTTGGGAGGCCAAGGCAGGCAGATCACCCCTGCCTGTACTAAACCTATCTGTACTAAAAATACAAAAATTAGCTGGGCATGGTGGTGCACACCTGTAGTTCCAGCTACTTGGGAAGCTGACACAGGAGAATTGCTTGAACCTGGGAGGCGGAGGTTGCAGTGAGCCAAGATCGCGCCATTGCACTCCAGCCTGGACTACAAGAGTGAAACTCCATCTCAAAAAAACCAAAAAAACAAAAAAACAATAGTTACTTCTGCTTGCTTTTGCTTTTGGTGTCCATTTGCATGAAATGTCTTTTTCCACCCCTTTACCTTAAGTTTATGTGAGTCCTTATGTGTCAGATAAGTCTCTTATGTGTTAGGTGAGTCTCTTAAAGGCAGCAGATAGTTGGTCGGTTAATTCTTATCCATTCTGCAATTCTGTATCTTTTAAGTGGCGCATTTCGGCCATTTACATTCAATGTTAGTATTGGGATGTGAGGTACCATTCCGTTCATTGTGCTTTTTGTTGCCTGTATACCTTGGTTTTTTGGGTTTTGTTTTTGTTTTTTTGAATTGTATTTTTGTTTTATAGGTCCTGTGAGATTTATATTTTAAAGAGGTTCTGTTTTGATGTGTTTCCAGGTTTTGTTTCAAGATTTGAAGCTTCTTTTAGCAATTCTTGTAGCGCTGGCATGGTAGTGGCAAATTCTCTCAGCATTTGTTTGTCTGAAAAATACTGTATCTTCTCTTCGTATACGAAGCTTAGTTTCACTGGATACAAAATTCTCGGCTAATAATTGTTTTGTTTTAGGATGCTGAAGATAGGGGCCCAATCCCTTCTGGCTTGTAGGATTCCTGCTGAGAAATCTGCTGTTAATCTGACAGGTTTTCCTTCATAGGTTACTGGGTTCTTTTGTCTCACAGCTCTTAAGATTCTTTCTTTTGTCTTAACTTTAGATAACCTGATGACAATGTGCCTAGGTGACGATCTCTTTGCAATAAATTTCCCAGGTGTTCTTTGTGCTTCTTGTATTTGTTTAGGTCTCTAGCAAGGTTGGGGAAATTTTCCTCAATTATTCCCCCAAATATGTTTTTCAAACTTTTAGATTTCTCTTCTTCCTCAGCAATGCCAATTATTCTTAGGTTTGGTCATTTAACATAATCCCAGAGTTTTTGGAGGCTTTGTTCATATTTTCTTATTTGTTTTTCTTTGTCTTGGTTGGATTGGGTCAAATTGAAGACTTTGTGTTCGAGCTCTGAATTTCTTTCTTCTACTTGTTTGATTCTATGGCTGAGACTTTCCAGACCATTTTGCATTTCTATAAGTAAATACTAACACAGTATTTGGTGTGTCTCCTGGGTCCTGCAGGAGCCATCTGCTTCCTTCAGGGGGCCTGTGGGTCCTCTCAGGTTTTGTAATTTATTCCTCCAGTCGTTCTGGAGCAAAAATTCATGATATGAGCCTCCACATGCTTCTCTGTCCATCCGAGTCGGAGCTGCAATCTAGTCCTGACTTCCATCCACCATGATCCTGAGTTTTCCTTTTAGCTTAGTGATTTTGGGAGCCCAAGATATTTTCCTTTCCCACCCACCTAGCACAGTTGTATTGATGACAACAGGGTTGTCAACTCTCTACTTCAAAAATCAGGAAGTGCTGGGTCCAGAGCTGGATTCCCAGAGTCTTCCTGTAGCAGAAATCAAATGAAGGCGGTGAACTTCTGGGACTCAGAGGAGCAGATCCCTTAGAGGTGGGGAGCAGTATTGTTCTAAGGCTTGTTCTTTCCAACCCCTTCTAGTCTGTGGGATTGTGGGGAAGCTCAGCTTGCTGACAAAACCATTTGGAGCCTCAGAAGACTAGGAGGCAGGTTAGTAATAACCAGTCCCTGCCATCTTCTGTGAAGCTGGGGTGAGAGCAGACAGGTTCCTTCAGCTGTGTGGAAGCTTGGTTCTGTAGGGAGCACATAAAAGGGCTGGAGAGAATTGCTGCAGTTAGAGGATGGTGATGTCAATTAGGAATGGAATTCCACCTGACGCTTTCTGAGTTGGCCTTCAACTGCTAGCTTCCAAATTTCTACCTCCCGTCTCCTTCCTCCTGTTTTCTCTACTGCTGCAAGGGGACAGGGTCTTAACCAGTGCCTAACGTTCTTGATATAAGGTGCAGGAAAATAAATGGTTATAAGGAAAGCAGCCTGAGGACTCCTTCCCTATAATTTGCAGCTACTTTATCTGCAGAAGAGGTTTCTAGACCCAGGTCTTGTCCCATCTTCTGGTATTAAATTCTTCCTACTCTTAGGCCCTTTCTGTCCTTCTTTGCCCCATATCCTCCCCCCACTTTTCCCAAATTCACTCATGCACATGGCAAGTAAACGCTAAATACTTCCCATTTAAATGCTATAGAGGAAGAAATCTGTTTTGTGTTTACTGTGTGCCAGGCACCATGTTATGCATTTTACACATATTTAATTTCAACCATATAATAGTCCTATGAAGTGGGTGTCTTGTTCCCATTTTTCACAGGATGAAATTTGCCATCAATAGGCTCAGGGAGAGTACCTGGTATCCCAGCAGCCGTGTGGCCTCATTCTACAGTTAAGCAAGGCTTTGGTACATTCTTTAGAATTTAGTTAGTAACTCTTTCAAATGCAAATGATGTTTTCCAGTGAATAACTACATTGTGTTATTCACTGGAGAGAAAGAAAGGACTCTAGTAAAATGATATTTACTTTCGTAGTGACTTTTGCCAAGATTGTGGCAGGAAGGGGTGGCATTGTCTCATTGAGGTACCTGCAGTACAAGGTGGCATTGACCTCATTTTTACTCTTAAAACAGGTGCAACTTGCCGTGTGCAATGTGCCTGGGCTGTCCTTATCTGTATAGGTTGCCCTGTTAGGCTTGTGCTGAGTCTGGTTTGGAACTCCAGAATTCAGAGGAAATAGGAAATTCGTTAAACCAAACTAAAAAGGTTAGAAAATGAGGCTTATGTGAAAAGGGCAATGGAATTGGGATTTTTACTTTGGGGGAAAACAGACTTACAGGTGACCTAATAATGCCTTTTAGGTACTGAAGTCTCAATATGTGACAAGTGGTAATTAGTTATTCTCTGTCTCTGCCGAAGATAAGAATAGGTCAATCCTAGTTTAAACTAAACATTAGTCTTCATTCATTTAAAAATATGTACTAAGCCCCTACTGTGTTCTAGATTCTATTGGAGGTGACTGGAGTATATATCAATATATTCATGTATAAGTCTTTGTTTTATTTCTTTCGGGTAAATACCCAGTAGTGGAACTGTTAGGTCATATAATAAGCACATACAGGCATTCCCATCCTCATAGAACTTATAGTCTGTCATGAGTAGACAGAAAATAAACAATAAATATTATAAATAAAGTATGTAGAATGTTGGAAAGTGAAAGTCCTCTTGGGACAGGGGAAGGAGAGCATTTAAATGCTTCCCATTTATTTCTGATCAGCTCTTGATAGAAAAAAAATTGCTCCCTATTTAAATCCTATGGAAGAAGAAATCCATTTAGTGTTTACTATAAGCCAGGCACCATGTTATGCATTTTACACATATTTAATCTCAATCAAGTAATAGTCCTACGAAGTGGGGGTCTTGCCCCACTTCAAAAATGAGCAAAGGTGTGGTGGCTCAAATCTGAAACTCCAGCACTTTGGGAGGCAGTGGTGGAAGGATTGCTAGAGCCTAGGAGGTCAAGGCTGCAGTGAGCTGTGTTTGCATCACTGAACTCCAGTGATCAGACTGCACTCCTGGGCAACAGATCGAGACCTTGTCCCAACTAAAAAATGGGCAAAGGACATGAACGGAAGACATACATGGGGCCAACAAATATTTGAAAAAATTCTCATGCTCAATATCACTGATCATTAGAGAAATGCAAGTCAAAACCACAATGAGACACCATTGCACACCAGTCAGAATGCCTACTGTGAAAAACAAAAAATAAGGTGTTGGCAAGGTTGTAGAGAAAAGTGCTTATACGCTGTTGGTGAGAATGTAAATTAGTTCAGTCACTGCGGAAAGCAGTTTGGTGATTTCTCAAAGAATTTAAAAGAGAACTACCATTTGACCCAGCAATCCCATTACTGGATATATACCCAAAGGAAAATAAATTGTTCTACCAAAAAGACACATGCACTTACATGTTCACTGCAGCACTATCCACAATAGCAAAGGCATGGAATCAACCTAGATACACATCAACAGTAGACTGGGGAGGAAAAATACGGTACATATAAAGCACGGAATACTATGCATCCATTAAAAGAATGAAATCATGTCTTCTGCAGCAAAAGAGATGCAGCTGGAGGCCATTATCCTAAGCTAATTAACACAGGCACAGAAAACCAAATACTGCATGTTCTCACTTATAAGTGAGAGCAAAACTTTGAGACATGGACACAAAGATGGGAACAATAAGCACTGGGGCCTACCCCAGTGGAAGGTAGAAGGGGGGCGAGGGTTGAAAAGCTAACTATTGGGTACTATACTTACTACCTGCGTGATGGGTTCATTCATACACCAAACCTCCGCAACATGCAAGTTACCCATGTAACAAACCTGCACATGTACCCCCTGAACCTAAAACAAATGTTGAAAAAAAATTACAGGAGTGGAGAGCAGGTTGCAGTATTAAGGAGTGGCCAGGAGAGGCCGTGTTTAGAAAGCGATTTAAAACACCCTTCCATACCCAAATGCACAGCCACCCCTACCCCCATCCCTCCTTCACCCCCCAACACATTTATTATCTCACAGTGTGTGTGGGTCAGGAATCCAGGCACCGCTTAGCTGGGTTGTCTGCTTAGGGTCTCCCTAGGCTACAGCCAAGGTATTGGCCAGGCTGCATTCTCCTCTAGAGGCTTGACTGAGGAATCTGACTCAGAGCTCACTTGGGCTGTCAACAGAATCCATTTCTTTGTAGCAGTAGGACTGAGGGCCTTGACTTCTTGCCAGAGGTTGGCTAGAGTCTGTCCAGGGTTCCTTGAAGTCACCTAGTGTTCCTTGCCATGTGAGCTTTCCCCATATGGCCACTTCAAGTCAGCAAGGAGAGGCTCTACAGCAAATCTGCAAGCAAGAGAGCCTTGAAATTTAATATAATCACAGGAGTGACATTCCTTCACCTTTGCCATATTCTATTGGTTAGAAGTAAGTCGCAGGGCCTGCTCATACCCAAAGAGAAGGAGTTACACAAGGGCACAAACACCAAGAGGCGGGGATCATGGGGAGCCACACTGTAGTTTGTGGACCACACTACCTTTTACTTTTTTTTTTTGAAAGGATGGGATGGAAAGGGAAGCAAATAAACATGACAGTTACCAGTGCAGGAAGATTTGTTTCTAGGTTTACCTTCACAGCATTTATGGCCTTCCAAGCTGACCTGAGGCAATGAAAGCATCCTAGACTGGTAGTCTCCATGCCAACCAAGCTCTTTACTCATTCTTTGCACGTGGCAGTTTGCATTGCCACTTGCTATGTGATTTTAGTTTTTCCTTTCATGTTTTGTTTAAATAAACTTTATTAAGTATGCAGTTAGATAAATTTTAACAAATGTATACCACTGTATAACAAACACCACACAATCAAGATAAAAAAATACTTCCATCACACCAAAAAAGTTTCCATATGTCCTACTGGTGCCACGTGTTTCAAACCTTTCATACCTCTGGCTGCAGAAAACCACTGATCTGCTTTCTGTTGATAGATAGTTCTGTCTATTGTAGAATTTCATTGAAAGTGAATCATAAAATACAGACTATAGTATCTGGCTCTTAGAATAATGATTTTGAGTTTCATCCATGCTATTTGTATCAGTAGTACATTCATTTTTATTGCTGAGTAGTATTCCATTGTATGAATATAATACAATTTGTTTATTCATTCATTTGTTGATGAATGTATGAGTTGTGTTCAGTAACAGGCTATTATGGATTAAGCTGCTATGAATATTCATGTAACAAGTCTTTGTTTTATTTCTTTTGGGTAAATGCCCAGTAGTGGAACTGTTAGGTTATATAATAAGTATATATAGATTAAATATCTCTTATCCGAAATGCTTGAACCAGAAGATTTTCAGATGTGTTCAGATTTTGAAATATTTGCATATACATAATGAGATATCTTGGGGATGGGACCCAAGTCTAAACATGAAATTTATTTATGTTTCATATACACCTTGTACACATAGCCTGAAGGTAATTATGTTTTTCTCTTGGGGATGCTGAATAAACTGGGTGTTGTGCCTGCATTTTTGCTGCAACCTTTCATGAGGTCAGGTATGGAGCTTTCCACCTGAGGTATCATGTTGGTCCTCAAAAAGTTTTGGATTTTGGAACATGCTGGATTTTGAATTTTTAGATTAGGGATGCCCAGTCGGTATTTCTGCCTATTTTCTGAATAGATACTGTCTAACTATTTTTCAAAGTGGCTATGCCATAGAAAATAATTTTCAAATAGCAACTTGAAGGAGATGACGAAGTTGGCCAAACAGAGAACTGGGGGAAGAATATTCCAGGCAGAGAAACATCAGGAAAGCCACTGTGGCTGATGCAGCATAATCAAGATTAAGCATGCTGGAAGATGAGGCCCCAGAGGGTATGGGGCTTGTGTAGTAAGTCCCTGTAGATGATTTTAAAGACTTCAGCTTTTACTCAGAGTGACATGGGAACCTATTGAAGGGTTTTGAGCAGAGGAGGGGTCTAACAAATGCCAGTCCTGTCTGACTTGTTGAAATGATAAATCTGGTTACAGTATTGGTATTGCAAATAGGCTGTAGAACAAAAGTAGACACCAGGAGGACTCTTAGGAAGACACTGCAGTAATGTATGTAGGGGCTGATAGTGATCAGACTTAGGTAATAGTGATGCATGTGGGAACAAGTGGTGAAGGTAGCAAATCTAAAAGGATTTTGCCAATGGATTGGATACAGAATGGGAGAGAAATAAAGGAATCAAGGAAAATTCCAGGGTTTTTGGAGTAAGCAACTGGAAGGATGGAGTTGCCATAACTGAGATAGGGAAGGCTACGGATGGAGCAGATTTGAAGGTGGAGAGTAGGGGTTCAGTTTTGGAAATTTGGTGTGTAAGCTATTTGCTAGACATTTTATGTGGCAGTATTAAGTAAGCAGTTGAATACGTAAGTCTAAAGTTCAGGAAATAGAGTAGGGCTAGAGACATAAATTTGGGAGTTATCAGCAAATAGATCATTAAATATTAAATTTAAATATTTAAAGCCATGAAACCATAGGAGATGACCAAAGGAGTTGGAGTTAGACCTTTCCAGGTGGAAGAGAAAAGGACCAGAGACTGGTCCTGTATAGCTCCAACATTAGTAATTTGGAGAAAAGAGGAAGAATCAGAAAAGGAAGATAGAGAAGGTACAAACCAGTGAAGTAGGAGAAAAAGTCTGGAGTCCCGGAAGCCAAATGAAGAATGTGTGTAGTGAAGAGGACAGGATCCACCTTTTGAAATCCTGCTGAGAGCTTGAGTAATACGATAATTAAGAATTGACCTTTGGCCCGCCAGACGTGGTGGCTCACGCCTGTAATCCCAGCACTTTGGGAGGCCAAGGTGGGCCAATCACTTGAGGTCAGGAGTTTGAGACCAGCCTGACCAACATGGTGAAACCCGGTCTCTACTGAAAATACAAAAATTAGCTGGACATGGTGGCGCATGCCTGTAATCCCAGCTACTCAGGAGGCTGAGGCAAGAGAATCACTTGAACCCGGGAGGCGGAGGTTGCAGTGAGCCGAGATTGCACCACTGCACTCCAGCCTGGGCAACAGAGCAAGACTCTGTCTCAAAAAAGAATTGACCTTTGGATTTAACAACATGGATGTCATTAGTGATCTTGATTAAAGTAATTCTGGTGGAGTGGTGAAGACAAAAGCCTGCTTGCAGTGGGCTTAAGAAACAATGTGAGGAGAAGAATTGGAGTCAATGAGGATGAATAATTACTTTGAGTTTTGTTTCAAAGGAGAGCAAAGGAATGGGGCATACCTGATAAGGGTATGAGGTCCATAGGGGATTTCTAGAAAGATAAATGAATAATAGCATGTTCGTATGCCAACAGAATTTTCCATTAGAAAGTGAAATATTGATAAAGAGAAGCAGGGGAGACCTTCTAGGTGTTGCCTTTGAGAGGTAGGGGGAATAGGACTTAATTAATACATAAGTGGAAGGTTTGGCTTTAGATAGGAGCATGGATAGTTGATCTATGGTTATAAGTGGAAAGACAGAGAATGTAACCCGAGATGTGTAGATGGATTCATATGGCGGTAAGAGACTGCCAGTGCTTTCTTCTGGTTTTTTTGTTTGTTTGTTTGTTTGTTTGAGACGGAGTATGTCCCTGTTGCCCAGGCTGGAGTGCAGTGGTGCAATCTCAGCTCACTACAACCTCTGCCTCCTGGGTTCAAGCGATTCTCCTGCCTCAGCCTCCCAAGTAGCTGGGATTACAGGCACACACCACCACACCTGGCTAATTTTTTTGTATCTTTAGTAGAGACAGGGTTTCACCATGTTGACCAAGCTGGTCTCGAACTCCTGACCTTGTGATCCGCCCACCTCGGCCTCCCAAAGTGCTGGGATTACAGGCGTGAGCCACCACACCTGACCCAGGTGGGCCTTTTCTTATCACCACTGCCTGAAATCTTTCCCTCTCTGTGCTCTTCCAGCAATTGCCTACCCAAACCCTAGGCCCAGCCGACTTTGGAGGTCTCCAGTTGAACCTTCACCTTTTACTGGAATGGAGCAGTCTCTGCAAGAGGGGTTGGTGGAAGTAGGAAGCAAAAAAATTGAGAAAAGAAACAGTAAGAAGAGGAAGTTCTTGCAGGGAGAATTGTTTTTCAAGAGAGCTATATTTTTATTTTGAACAGCATCCATTTGTTTGATAAATATATCATTATCTTCTGTGTGTGGGCATTGTGCTAGCAATGCTACAATGGTGAGAAGATAGAGGGAGTCCCTGCCCTCATGACACTTAGAGTTTAGTGTCTGAACATAGTCCGAGCAGCATTGTGATACGCTGACTCCTGTTAAGTACAGTGCCTGTTATCATCCCTGCCCAGTGGTTTTGCTTCACTTATAATTACCTAGAGTCATTTTGGTATTTTGTTGGTTGATGGATGCCAGCACCCCACAAAACTCTCCAAGATGCTATGAGACCACAGGATTAACTGTGATTCAGGTCAGACTATGTCTTAATGCAAAGTACTTAAAGCAAATACATCTTTTTCCTAACATCTTATAGAACAGTGCTGTCCAACGTAAATATAAGCCATACATGTAATTTAAATTTTTCTCATGGCCACATTAAAAAAAGTAAAAAGAAATATGTGAAATTAATGTTAATAATACATTTAAAACATTATCATTTCAACATGAAATCAACATTTTAAAATTATTAATGAGATGTCACATTCTTTTGTTGTAGTTAGTCTTTGAACTCCTGTGCGTGCTAAGTCTGAAATCCTTACAGCACATTTCGATTTGGACTAGTCACATCTCAAGGGTTCAGTAGCCACATGTGGCTCATGCCTGCCATCCTGGATGGTACATCTGTAGAGTCTACAGGGTAAGTGCTGTCTCTAGTGGAAGCAGAGCTTCAGAAGAGTTGCCTGATCATAGGACCTGGCTTCAGGACACAGCCAGGCTTCCAGGGAAGGAGTGACTGCTAGATATTAGAACTTAGTTTCTAATATCTTGTCTGTTTATTGTGTGAGATTCTGTGTAGGAAAAATGGTCCCAGACTTTGCAAAACACCAGTGACTGGCTTTGTCCTTTTTAGAGAACAGATCAAAGTATGTTTCAATCCAGAATTGAAAGCTGAATTTGGGGATAAATGTCAGATTATGTTAGATGTTACAGATAATTTAAAAATATTTAGCAAGTTTCCTATGCAACAATTTATCTATAGAAAAATTAATATAGTTTTTATATTCCAAAGTAAGGTTTTACTTAGTTTCCAGTTCTATAGCTGCTGCCCAAAGAAAACATTTATGTGAGAAGTTAAGGAAGTAAAGGGTGGTTCCCGTGAGCTCCAGTTCCTAAATAGCTGAGAAAAACAAACATTCTGAACATCCCCTTTAGCTCCTTCGGCAGGGCTGGGCTCCTGTCTCCACACAAGGTGTCCTGGGGCATTACAGGGGCTCCAGACTTACCCCTGGCTTTTGCAGGGGGCCTGCCCTTTGCTAAATTAAGCCCAGCCAGGCCTATCTGTGAACAGAGAGGCTCCAGCCGAGTGAGAGAGATTGGTTCTGCTAAGGAATGTCCTGGGGAGGGGAGAGAATCGCTGAGATCATGGGTATTTATGTGTATGTTTTCTCACTGGCCAGCTCAGTTGGGCCACATCAACAGAGGCCTCTGGGACACGACCAAGATTCTAACAGAGTGACTATAGGGAATGAATAGCTCATGACACACTGAGAAGGGTTTAATTGGAGATCAGTGTGAATACCACAGCAGAATGTATCTTGGGAACTCTGTGCTCAGAGTCTAAATAAAACAAGCAGAACACCTCATTTTCCCTCATTTTTCTTTTTGTTTAAAAAAATGGATTTTGTTTTTTATTTTATTTTTTATTTTTTAGTTTTTTAAAATGAGATAGGGTCTTTCTATGTTGCCCGGGCTGGTCTCAAACTCCTGGGCTCGAGGGATCCTTCTGCTTCAGCCCCCCAAAGTGCTAGGATTACAAGTGTGAGCCACCAGGCCTGGTCAGATTTTGTTTTTTAGAGCAGTTTTAAGCTCACGGCAAAGTTAAGCAGAAGAGCCAGAGATTTCCCATTTACTCCCTGCCCCTACATACATACCTGTGTATATACAGCCTCCCCCACTATCCAAACCCAAAGATGTCTCATTTTGATATATCTTTTCTTGGATTCTTAAGCTTAGTGTTGACCAGAAATACCTCTTATTATGATTCATGCATCTGACTATCTTTGGGAAAACTAACATTTATTGAACACCCACTATATGTCAGGTATTTTTTTTTAACATCTTTTCATTTACAACCCTGAAAGGTAGGGGTATTAGCACCATTAAAAAAACTAACAACAGAAGGAAATGAAACTTAGGTTAAAATGATTTACCACTAGAATACAGAGATGAACTACGTGAAACTGTAAAAAAATGATTGAATATCTCCATTTTTATATGGTTCAACCTAATAGAATGTGAGAGGGCTCATATTTGAACCCAGGCCAATTTAGTTCAAAAGCCTATACTTTGCATTGTACTGTACTACTGCCCTAAAATTACTAGAATAGCACTGGATTCTTTATTTTCCCTTGGGGGTGCTGTAGTTTCACATAGATGTAGATTTATATTCCTGCTCCTTAGAAGACTAGAACAGCGATGCTTAGAGAAAGAGCAAACCAAGGTATGGTATATCTTGAGTTAGAGTAGGAGTTGAGTTGAGTGGGAGCCTAAGTTTAGAGACTAAAGCTAGGAGTTATATGATGGACCCGCACTGATTCGTGTATCTGCTGCTATTTATATCTGCCACCTGTGTGCATTTCCATACAGCTGATTCTCGGTTCTCTTTTGTTTGTTACATGCTATGATAATCATTGGTTTAATTAACCCCATAGGCTGTAAATTCTCTGAAGACTGTGATTCTGTCTGTTTTGCTCTTTCTAGTACCTATTAAAGTGTTGGCACATACCAAGTAGGTGCTTACTAAGTATTTTATGAAAAAGCAAATGAATAAACAAATGATACTATCTCAGCTACTCTGTCCTCTGCCCAATGAGCACTGTCTCTGTCTTTGCCTCTGTCTCTCTCTCTCTCTACACACACACACACACACACACACACACACACACACACATACACACACCCTAGCTGTGTCTATCCAAACACCTAATCTCCTTAGCACTCATCCATGGTCCAAGTGCTTACTCAGACATGGGTGTCTGTGTTTGTCTAATCAAGGTAAACCAGGCTGGGAAAGGACTGGTATTGCTTTGAAGCTTTTACTAAGGACTGACATAGGTTGGGCTTGAAATATGACCTGAACAGAGCAGTTTTGCCATTTGAATGTGGAGCCTTATATTGAATAAACTGAAACTTTTCCACTTGGTTTTTTCCATCTCTTTGGAGAACAGGACTGGACACTAAAGCAGGCTCTGGCAGGAGAATGTCCTGGTCTTGCAGAATCTTCTGGTTGCTAAGGCTGAGGACACAGCCCCACTGTCCTTTCTCTGGCAACAAAGGACATTTGTCACATGTTGGGGCGACTTATGTTTCTAATTTGGGACTTAACTGCACTAGTAAAAGACAGCAAATGTGGAATCAGTAGAAAGGTAGAGATTGTGCATTTGAATCAAGACTTTCTTCCACTTCACATTAAAGTGTAAAAACTTAATGCTTTGCATTTGAATACCTTCTGATAGGTGGCTAGGTGTCTCACATAAGCGTAAAAGTTGAGTAATGCAGGTGGTATTATCATTCTTATGGGCAAGAAGGAGAGGCTGTAATTCAAGTTAATTGTATAAAAGCATAAAGCTCTGGGGACGACCAGTTTAAGGTCACACAGGGAGTTAATGTTAGCCAGATATCTAGACCCACTAAGGCTTCATTTTTGCTCTAAAACTTATGAATGGAGAGAAACTCCATTTACAAAAGAATTTACTTGGAAGCTACTAAAATGTATTTCTGGGGATCCTGCAACGACCAGTCCTTTGTCTTTTGGTCAAGACAGAGTCCTTTCTGAAAATGCTCAGTGCTTCTCCCTGTTTTATAGAGTTATGACCTTGCCCCATTGATGTCAGAGAAGCCTGGAGAAGAAATTCACTCTGCATACAAAAAAATACGTATGTACTACACTTTTCCTAGAAGAGATAAGATTCTAAAAATGAAAGGTTTTAAAATAAAACCCATTCACTAATAGTTACTTTTCACTTTGGGTGAATAATCAGGAGTTACATCAGGGTTTCCCTACAAGATTTTGAAACTCTTCCTCCTGCTAAATTATTTTTTAAAAATTCCTTTAGTTTACAGAATTGATTAGTTTGGGATTTGGTCATATTGATTTTTGTCCCAAATAAAGACTCTTTTGTGGAATGCCAGCTCTTCTCTGGCTTGCTTCCTACTATCTTGCAAAGGTGCAGTACCCATTTCCTTCACTCACTGACCTTAACACAACTCTGATTACACTGAGAACTCCTTGAGGTCAAGGACAATGATGCCAAGAAAAGCACTTAGGTTTTGGCAATCTTTAATCTCCAATACTTTCTTGTCGACTTTATCAATGAATGTATGCTGGTATGCTGTCAAGATTTTTTAAAAACTATTTATTTTTTTTTGTTTTTATTTATTCATTTATTTTTTTGAGATGGAATCTCACTCTTGCCCAGGCTGGAGTGCAGTGGCGCAATCTTCGCTCACCGAAACCTCCGCCTCCTGGGTTCAAGCAATTCTCCTGCCTCAGCCTCCTGAGTAGCTGAATAGCTGAGTAGCTGAGGAGCCCTGAGTAGCTGGGCTCCCACCACCACGCCCGGCTAATTTATGTATTTTTAGTAGAGATGAGGTTTCATCATGTTGGCCAGGCTGGTCTCGAACTCCTGACCTCAAGTGATCCACCAGCCTCAGCTTCCCAAAGCGCTGGGATTACAGGCGTGAGCCACTGCGCCTGGCCTATTATTATTTTTTGAGTGGCTGCTCTTAGCCCAGCAGCAAACTTTGAGGGATATAAGCTTGCAGATGAGTTGAAATGCATACACATGAATGCACAAATGTGAAGTTAAATGCCAAAACAAAAATGTAAGCCATCAATTCAAAAGTGATAACAAAGTGTTTATTTCAGAAACTTATACTAAGAGTTACTGTGAGCCAAGAACTTTTATAAAACCTAGAAGGGGAGGCAGACATTTTAAATAAGCAATGTAAGGCAGAGTCGGGTGAGTGCTATACTAAACATCAGATGACCTGGTATGAATCCTGGTTTACTAAGGACAATCTTGATTTTTGCCTGTTGCCCAGAGGTAATTATGATAGCACCTGTTTGTACTATCAGAAGAGTCTCAGTTATTAAATTATAGTCATATAAATTATAAACTAAGTACAGTTGAAGTGAAAAGAAATCATTAGTTCTGACTGGGAGGTTGGGGAAAGGTTTCTATAGGAGAGGATGTTTGAGCTGAACCTAGAAGAACAGGTTTAGAAAGAGAAACCATCATAGGCTGAGAACAGTTCAGGCAAAGCCTTGGTGGCCTCCAAGGACACTTGTATGATTGATTTCTCAATCAGCAAATGCCCTTGTCTTTAATGGAGAGTAGTACCACCAATGGCTAGCGAGGTCTTGGAAATTATCTCACCATGAACTATCATCACTCAGAACTCTAGTTATCAGAAAAAATGGCTGCTAGGTAATGACTGATGTCATTGTCATCCTGTGTCAGATCAGAGGGCACAGTTCAAGTTGGGTAAGGTGAGCAGGTGAAAGGGAGAGGAAGAGAGTGAGTGAAGCAATGTGAAAGTTGAAGAGACTAAAGGATAACAGGTGAAGGGAGAGAACTGTGCTTTTATTGGTTCAATCTGCCCAATTAAAGAAGTTGCAGTTCCTCTTTAAACAAATCTTGTTTTTAATTTATTTCTGCATCTCTTCTTTCCTCCCTGTATCCCATACTCTGTTGTATTCTGAGTCTCCCAAGTTTGAGACGTGCCTAGAGGCAGGCTTAATTTTCTTTATCCCTCAGTATTGGGAAACGGACTCTGCACCACTGAGTCTATGTAAGTCTGGTGGCTGAAAGAAGCTGCCACAGGGAGCCGAATTTTCATTGCTATCTATGACCTGAGTTTAGGTAATTCCAGAAATGAAAATGAAAAAATAAAAAAGAATATGGACATTTACCTTTTTGGGATGAAAATGCCCCTTTTGACTTCTCATTATGTAAGTTTGAAAATTTTCAAATATAAACAAAGACTACGAAAATAGTACCTCCCGATGTATGTGTCCCATTTACCAGGGAGCCATGTTCCCATCACTCAGCTTTAACGGTTCCCAACATTTTGCTGTTCTTTTCAGTGATCTCCCTGCACTGTTCGTTCTCCATCTTGTCCTCTTCCACCCCTTACAGCAACTCTCTGACATCATATAATTTTATTTGGGAAGATATCAGAATATAACTCTCACAGAGAAGGCTTTGTTTTTAAACATAACCACAATACTATTATTGTACCCAAAAAGCTTAAAAATAATTCCATAATACCATCTAATACTGGGTCCATACTCAATCTTCCCTTTAAAAGTCCGTGTTAAGATCTGGAGATTTTAAGTCAGTATTTCTGAGCTCCAATGTAGTGCACAGGAGTAGGATGTTTAGCCCTTCTTACGGAGAGCATGAGCAGTAGAAGAGGAGGCTGGAATCCTAAAGTGTATTCAATCTTCTATTGTCAATGGGTCAATAATATACCTATTAGAGAATATTCTTAGCTTAAAACTGAAAAAGTCAGCCAGGCGCGGTGGCTCACGCCTGTAATCCCAACACTTTGGGAGGCCGAGGCGGGCGGATCACGAGGTCAGGAGATCGAGACCATCCTGCCTAACACGGTGAAACCCTGTCTCTACAAAAAATACAAAAAAATTATCCGGGCGTGGTGGCAGGCGCCTGTAGTCCCAGCTACTCGGAGACTGAGGCAGGAGAATGGCATGAACCCAGGAGGCAGAGCTTGCAGTGAGCCGAGATTGCGCCACTGTACTCCAGCCTGGGCGACAGAGCAAGACTGTCAAAAAAACAAAAACAAAACAAAAACCTGAGAAAGTCTTTATTTATCTACTTATTTGAGATGGAGTCTCGCTCTGTCACCCGGGCTGGAGTGCAGTGGCGCGATCTCAGCTCATTGCAAGCTCCGACTCCTGGGTTCACGCCATTCTCCTGCCTCAGCCTCCCGAGTAGCTGGGACTACAGGTGCCCGCCACCACACCCGGCTAATTTTTTGTATTTTTAGTAGAGACGGGGTTTCACCGTGTTAGCCAGGATGGTCTCATTTCCTGACCTTGTGATCCGCCTGCCTCGGCCTCCCAAAGTGCTGAGATTACAGGCATGAGCCACCGTGCCCGGCCCTTATTTTTTATTTTTTTGAGGTGGAGTTTCTCTCTGTCACCCCAGCTGGAGTACATTTTTTATTTTTTCGAGATGGAGTTTCGCTCTGTCACCCCGGCTGGAGTACAGTGGCACAATCTCGGCCCACTGCAACCTCTGCCTCCTGGGTTCAAGCGATTATCCTGCCTTAGCCTCCCGAGTAGCTGGGATTACAGGCACCCACCACCACGCCTGGCTAATTTTTGTATTTTTAGTAGAGACAGCGTTTCACCAGTTTGTCCAGGCTGGTCTGGAACTCCTGACCTCAAGTGATCCGCCCGCCTCAGCCTCCCAAAGTGCTGGAATTACAGGTGTGAGCCCCCGCGCCCAGCCAAAAGTGAGAATGTCTTTTAAAGACTTCAGATAAAAAGTTTTCCACATAATCTCACAGCATTATCTATTACCTTCTCACTCATTCAACAAACATATCATTGTTAGTCCACTTCCGCCTCTTGTCATCTATTCCTTCTTTGTTCTCTTGTTGGTTCACTCTTTCAAAGCTTTTACTGCACAAAGAGGTGAGAGACACTGCGAGACCTCAGATTAGTCACAGCTGCCGGTTATTTGTTTTTGTTGTTGTTGTTTTTGAGACGGAGTCTTACTCTGTCGCCCAGGCTGGAGTGCAGTGGCGCGATCTCGGCTCACTGCAAGCTCCGCCTCCCGGGTTCACGCCATTCTCCTGCCTCAGCCTCCGAGTAGCTGGAACTACAGGCACCTGCCACCACGCTCGGCTAATTTTTTTTGTATTTTTAGTAGAGACGGGGTTTCACCGTGTTAGGCAGGATGGTCTCGATCTCCCGACCTCGTGATCCGCCCGCCTCGGCCTCCCGAAGTGCTGGGATTACAGGCGTGAGCCACCGCGCCCGAGCTGCGGTTGTTTGTATCAGACATTGTGCTGGGTACTTTACATAAATTCATTTATTCCTCACTACAAACTTTGAGGTAATTTTTGCAACCCCTATTTTATAAGTGAGGAAATTAGGTTGTAAAAGTTGAAGTAATTTACACAAAAAAGGTCCCCCAGTTAGGAAGTGGCAGAAAGGTATGTGAACCTAGGTTTACTTATGCTGAAATTCCTGCCCCAGCATGACAACGCTGAGAGGCAGTATCTTAATAACCAGCGCACCTGGGTAGTTCTGCCACACCATCATTTCCTCTGTCCTTAGGGAGTTTGCAATTTAAAAGGGTAAATAAGACAGGTGTAGAAATATGAAGCATTTACACGGGATGCCAATGTTGCAGTATGAAAAGAATATTTGAAAGCTCATCATGTCATCATGAGAAATTACTTTTAATTTGGAGAGATAAAGTAAGGCTTCACAGGGGACGGAGCATTTAACCATGAAGCTGAAGGGCACACAATGATGTGGCACCAAGAAGCATAGGGCATGTTTGGGAAATCCAGTTAGGCTAGCAGATAATAATGGAAGATAAAGCTGGAGAGGTAGATTGAGGTCAAATTTTGAATAGAGTCTATTATCAGGCCAGTTGTGTATAATTTAATCGCTGTACAGTTAAAAATCGTTAAAAGGTTTTTTCTTTCTTTCCTTTTTCTTCTTTAGCTGGACCTGCATCACATATTAAATGCTTTTTGAACAGACGGAATGAAATAACCAGAGCTATGCTTTAGGAAAAATTTAAGTAGTAGAGGGACTGAGGTTGGGGAAACCAGATATGAGACTATTCATGTACTCCAGTCCTGGGGAGAAGGAAGAAATACCTAATAGAAGTTTAATTTCAGCTTCATCATTGAAACTTTTTCTTGAGTTAGATGGGCGAACACTCCTTTGGAGGCATGAAGAAAGAGAAGTGCTTTCTTCCCATCTCCCCTTTCTTGAGTACATAAATTTCCTTAGATATCTTGACAAAGAGCCAAGAAGACTTGGTGATAAAATAAGCAAATGCACTTAATTTGGAATCTACTGATGCTATAAAAGAATTTAACAATTTACACATGAATATTTAGTAATGGAGAATGAATAAATGTGATAAGCTATATGATGATTTTTCTACAGAAAGAAGGTGCAAGAAGGTTAGACTTTGATGTAAGATTATTGCTTTTAACCTTGAAAACCCTTCTGGATTTCAGCTATCCTAGTTAGAGAGGGTAAATTGTTATTGTTTTTATAGTTAATAATAGTTATCATTTTCTGAATACTGACTGCATGCCAGGCACTGTGCGATGTGATTTTTGTGCATAATTTCATTTAGTCTCCCTAACATCCTTTGTAGATTGGTATCATTGTTATCTCCTTGATAGATGAGGTGAATGAGGCTCTTAGAGAGGGCAGGTGACTTGTCAAGCCCCCTTCTCGCCTTCAGAGCCTATGCTCTTGACCACTATACTTACTGCCTCCATATATTCTTTCAAGACTAAATGCAGCACATTCTCTAATTCTATAATTTACCACATTCTACAAAATCAGACAAAACTGGGCAGTGTTTGCTAAGCTGGTCTCTCTGATAAAAGGCTAAAGCAAGAGTGGAGTGTTGGTTTCAGTTACGGCTTTTACCTTGGAGGTAACCCTTCTGGATTTCAATTTCCTTGTCTTTAAACTAAGAGAACTAGAACACAGAAATGCTGAGGTCTTCAAATCTGTGAATCTTTGGCCAAATTGGTCAAAGCATTGACTTCATTTTCTTCAGTAGGATTTAGAACAGATAGAACGTACTAATTTATGTCCTCTGTTTTTCTTCCTTTTAGATCTAAGTATTTTTCCTGGTAAGGCTGAGGTCTCTGACTGGCACTAGTTAGCCTGGACATGAAGTGAAAGTGAATCAAGGTTGTTGCACAGCTGTGTGCAAGGCATTGTTCTATGCTTATCATGCACATTGTCTCATTCAATCCTCACAGAATCCCTCGTGAATACTTATCTTCATTAAAAAGCAAAGCAACCACACTATACTTATAAGAAAACTGAGGCTCATAGTGATTAGTTAACCTGCCCAAGGTCACCTAGCAGGAAAGTGATAGAGCCAGAATTTGAACCTAATTCTGTCTGGCTTTAGGTTGGTTTCATAGTGCCTCCCACTTTCCCTGTTGTTTGTTTATTTTTATTTGAATATTCAAAGATTCCTCATGCAAAAATAGTATTAATAGTAAGGGACTTTTCAGGGAACTTTCTGTTGATCAGTTTATACCTGATAGAGATTCCCTATGTCACATCATGAGACTAAGAACTAGGCAGAGGACATCCATATAGCTCCAGTCATTTGAGACCTCACGTATTTTTAGATATGAGATTTTTAAAAAATCTGCTCAAGCAGTTTTGGCTTATCTGAGGTGGTTTAGCATATCCAGACTTTTCTGATTTATATAAATTAGCCAGGCATAGGAATATCATTGATAATAACACTTCATAATTATAGATTCCATTTTCTTTCATATGAGATTTAAATAGCTTTTTGCCCACTCTTTGTCATTTTCCAGGTGGAGAAGCCTTAGCAGAATTTTACCCAAGGTCACAGAAGTGAATCAATTGGTGGCAGAAATAATAATAAACTTAGGAGTCCTCTTTCTCAGCACCATATCCTGAACACTGAATCCACTTGAAATATTATGGTCTCATGGAAAGCAAACTGCTGTTCCAAATGATAATGCTGTTGTTCTTGATGATGATGGTGATAATAATATTATTATAATTAAAATTATAGTTATACCTGTGTTAGAAACACTGTCCTAAGTCCTTTACATGTATTGATTTATTTATGCCTCACGATCCTCTCAGGTAGGTTTATGAATGAGGAAAATACAATTATCTGCCTATTACAGATTAGGAAATTGCTCCCTCTTTGCATTTCCCACATAATTGAATGCATATTCCTTCACCTCTATGAAGGGCCAGTAGCTTAGGGACCATTTTTTATGAAGACATTTGAATTCCTTTAAGTATTGACCACAAAGCTGGGGACATAGCAACTGTTTAGCAAATCTTCTATTTTACTGATTCATCAATTGGTACAGATGAATTATTCTTGCAGTGCCAGGCCATGGAACTGATATAGAGATCTTAGACTTGTTCTTCATACAAAATTGAAATATGCGTGTTTCCATTTGTTAATCTTTTGGTATTTGTATTGCAGAATAAAATACAGGGTACTCAGTTCAATTTAAATTTCAGATAAACAACAAACAATGTTTTAGCGTTTATGTCTCAAATATTGCAAAGGATATACTTCTAATGAAACAAATTATTTGTTGTTTATCTGAAATTTAAATTGAAGTAGATATCTTATATTTTTATTTGCTAAATCTGGTAATGCTATTTAGTGTTCATAAAATAATAACTTTAAAGGATATCCTGAAAAGACAGGGCTATCATTCCCTTCTTTTGAAGAAATTAGGATATTTTCATCTCACTGGATCTGAATCTATGTTCTAACCTTGGTCAAAAGGTACCTACTTATGAGGGGAATAAACATTCTTCTCAGTATGTCACAAAAAAGTACTAGTAATATGATCTAAAATGCCTTGAGTCCAACTGCCTTCCAGCTCTAAAATTCTTTAATTCTAAGTAACTCTCAAATATCTAAACCAGGTTTCTACTTTTCCCAATTAGTATTTGTGTTTCGACCACCCTGCATGGAAACATGGGTTATGAAATGCCTTCACAAGTATGGTAGAAAATATGCTGCTATTGTGTGTTGCCTTGGACTTCTAGAAGTCTAGGTGTTGGTGGTTATTATATGGCGATAGTAAAGTAAAATCCTCCCTACTGTTCTAGTACCCACAATACTACTTTTCATACTTTAGCTACTTTACCTTCAGTCTCTCTGTCAACCTCTGATCTAAAGACTTCTTTACTAAATAACATTCTTCTTGCCTAATACTGTATTATGGACTTCATCAGGGAAGGGACTAATCCATCTTTGCATGCTAACGTTTAAGCTGAAATAAAGTAATCCCTCAATTAACATTTTGCAGAAACCTCCTTAGGTTCCCCTACAAATCTGCCCCTATTTTAGTTAATAGAATGCATTCTCACTGACATGCTGGAAATTTCAGCATTGTCTTTGGTCCTCCCTCCAGTCTAATCTGAATCTCACAAGTCATCAAGGCCTGTGGCTTCTGTCTCTGAAATGGCTTTTGAGTCTTTCTCCCTGTACCTCTTGTCCTTAGACAGTCCCCCTCCCTATTCTGGTTAGTTGCCCCTGACCCACCCACCTTCTTCATAATTCCTTCTTCAACATGGACCCGATCATGCCAATACTTTGCTTAAAGCTCCCTGATAAGTCTTTGATTTCTACTGATTATTATCCAGTTTTTTACTTTTTTAATTTTTTTTATTTTGAGACAGAGTCTCTCTCTGTCACCCAGGCTGGAGTGCAGCAGCATGATCTTGGCTGACTGCAACCTCCACCTCCTGGGTTCAAGCGATTCTCCTGTTTCAGCCTCCCAAGTAGCTGGGATTACAGGCGCATGTCACCACGCCCAGCTAATTTTTGTATTTTTAGCAGAGATGAGGTTTCACCATGTTGGTTAGGCTGGTCTCTAAAGCCTGACCTCGAGTGATCTGCCTGCCTTGGCCTCCCAAAGTGCTGGGATTATAGGTGTGAGCCACCGTGGCCGGCCTATCTAGTTGTCTTAGCAGGATTTTCACAAACTAGTTGCAAACTATTTTCTATACTCCTTACCACACACTAAGCCACTTAACCTGCACCAGACACACTTGGGATGTTTTTATTTCCTTATTTCTGTTTCCCCAAATCTTACTTGTTGCATCCTCACCTCAATAAAAATTAATTGTTCCCTGTATAACTTTACCATCAGAGTCCCCTCTCACCTTAAGCAAACCTAATTTATAAAATTCCAATTTTATGATAAAAGCATTGTTTTTAAAAATGTTTACAACCAAATTTCTTTAAATAATTAAATCCCCAGACATTTAAAAGTATTGTTCTATTACTATAATTCTATTAAAAGTATTATTCCAGCAATTTCGTTTTCAGGAACAACCTGTATTAGATAGGAAAAATTTATTTTAATATATACTCTGTCCTGCAATGGTTTAGAGAACGAATAGACTTAAGCAGTGTTCATGATCCAGGGGTAATGATAAATAGGTTGGGAAAATTGATAAGTAGCTCAGGGGAAACCCTGAAGCTGTACAGTTTATTCTTCCTTGACTAGATTGCTGATCCAACTAAATCCCTAATTATGTCAAGGGTCACAAAGAGGGCAGAGATGAGGTGAGAGGCTGTGGACCAAGGCAAGACTCAAATAGGAACCTGGATCCAGGAAAGAGTGTCTGTGGCAGTTAATAACGATTAATGCCTGTGTGTTTTTCAGAACACTGAGCTGAAGGTTGAAGTGGAGAGCTTGAAACGAGAACTCCAGGACAAGAAACAGCATCTGGATAAAACATGGTAAGTTGTAATTTTAAGCTCTGGTCCTTTCCAGAGTCTGTCTTACTAATCTGAGAGCAATAGATTTGGAACCAAATTCCTTAACCTATCTGTGGCATTTGAATCCTGTGTCTGATTCAGGAACTGAAACAATAGATTTTCATATGCTGTGTTTCCCTTGGGCTCTCTCTCTATTACTAGGTCAGATGGACCTTGTCATAAGTTGGTAAATCCACCAGACCTAAGATTGCAAACTTCCTATTAGTCAGCAATCAACTAAATTGAAACAGTGAATGTTTCCACTTTCAGTAGAGACAAATGCAAATAAGCTTTATCAAAAAGTATCAGTCAGCCTATAATAACATCAAGAGCTGAGATAACGTTTGGGGAAAATGGGCACTCTCATACACTACCAGTGAGTGTAAATTGTGACAACATTTTTAGTATGGGATGCTACCTATTATAGTAAAAAAGGAGGATTTCCTTTGATCAAACAATCCCGAGAAGGAATCTGTTTCTTATAAATAAAAGCGTTAGTGTGAAAGGATAAATGTATAAGGATGTTTATTGCATCATTAGTTGTAATGGCAAAAAACTAGAAACAATTATCCATCAATAGGGCATTGATTGAATAAATTTTGGTATTACTACACTGTGGACTATTATGTAGTTATTGAAGAATGAGTTAGCTCTATATTATTGTCCTAGTGGGAATTCCTTGATTAAAGTAAGGGGGGAAAGTTGCTGAGTGATAATTATAGTATATTGAGGAAGAGTGAGATCACAGTCCGTGATAGGGAGAAGACTTGATATTTTTCTTTATATATATTTATATTGCTAAAATGGTTACTTTTGTAATTTACAGTTTTTTAAAAGCTTAGTGTTAAATGACAAGTATTACTAAAATTATTAAAAATATTTTCAGACTTCAATAAAGTTTCAGAATACAAAAATTAATGTACAAAAATCAGTAGCATTTCACCAGGCACGGTGGCTCACGCCTGTAATCCCAGCAATTTGGGAGGCCGAGGTGGGTGGATCACGAGGTCAGGAGATCGAGACCATCCTGGCTAACACGGTGAACACCGTCTCTACTAAAAATACAAAAAAAAAAAAATTAGCCGGGTGTGGTGGCAGTCGCCTGTTGTCCCAGCTACTTGGGAGGCTGAGGCAGGAGAATGGCGTGAACCCGGGAGGCGGAGCTTGCAGTGAGCCGAGATCATATCACTGCACTCCAGCCTGGGCGACAGAGCCAGACTCCGTCTCAAAAAAAAAAAAAAAAAAAAATCAGTAGCATTTCTACACACCAATAACATTCAAGCTGAGAGCCAAATCAAGAATGCAATCCCATTTACAATATCCGCTAAAAAAAAAATACCTTGGAATACATCTAACCAAGGAGGTGAAAGATCTCTACAAGGAGAACTATGAAACACTGCTAAAAGAAATCATAAATGACACAAACAAATGGAAAAACATTCCATGCTCATGGATTGGAAGAATCAATATCATTAAAATGGCCATACTGCCCAAAGTAATCTACAGATTCAACACTATTCCTATCAAACTACCAATGTCATTCATCAAATGACCAAGATCAAAGCCAGAGGCATCACACTATCCAACTTCAAACTATACTACAAGGCTACAGTTGCCAAAACAGCATGTTGCTGGAAAAAAAAAAAGACACATAGACCAATGGAAGCAAATAGAGAACCCAAAAATAAAGCTACACACCTACAGCAATCTGATCTTCGACAAAATCAACAAAAATAAGCAGTGGGGAAAGCACTCCCCTATTCGATGGTGGTGGGATAGATAACTGGCTAGCCATATGCAAAAGAATGAAACTGGGCCCCTACCTTTCAGCACATATAAAAATTAACTCAAGATGGAGTAAAGATGTAAATGTAAGACCTCAAACTATAAGAATCCTAGAAGAAAACCCAAGAAACACCATTCTGGACATTGGCCTCAGGAATTTATGACTAAGTCCTCAAAAGCAATTGCAACAAAAACAAAAAGAGACAAGTCGGATTTATTTAAACTAAAGAGTTTTGCACAGCAAAAGAAACTATCAACAGAGTAAACAGACAACCTGTAGAATCTAAAAAAATTTGCAACTAGCATCTGAAAAGGGTCTAATATCCAGAATCCATAAGGAATTTAACAATTGAACAATGAAAAACAAATAACCCCATTAAAAAAATGAGCAAAAGGCATGATCAAACACTTTTCAAAAGAAGACATACAAATGCCCACCAAATATATGAAAAATTGCTCCACATCACTAATCATCAGAGAAATATAAATCAAAACCACAATGAGATACCATCTCACACCAGTCAGAATGGCTACTATTAAAACGTCTAAAAACAACAGATGCCGGTGAGGCTGCATAATGGGAATGCTTACACGCTGTTGGTGGAAATATAAACCAGTTCAGTCACTGCAGAAAGCAGTTTGGAGATTTATCAAAGAACAACCTTAATGGTTCCACTTGCTAAACTGTATGTCTGGCTCTGATTGGCTAATGCTCTGTGGTTTTAGGGCTGATGTGGAGAATCTCAACAGTCAGAATGAAGCTGAGCTCCGACGCCAGTTTGAGGAGCGACAGCAGGAGACGGAGCATGTTTATGAGCTCTTGGAGAATAAGATGCAGCTTCTGCAGGAGGTGAGGAGTTCCCAAAGTCCATAGGTACGGGTTCTCTTTTATTAACACTCCTTTTCCTACTGCTCTGCCTTCTGGCATTCACCTTTTCCGTCTCTACTTTCCCTCTGAAATTCATCAATGTTCCTGGGTCTTAGGGCTCCTAATCTAGGTAGAAATTTTGCAGCCTCTCAGTTTTTGTTCTTTTTCCAGGAATCCAGGCTAGCAAAGAATGAAGCTGCGCGGATGGCAGCTCTGGTGGAAGCAGAGAAGGAGTGTAACCTGGAGCTCTCAGAGAAACTGAAGGGAGTCACCAAAAACTGGGAAGATGTACCAGGAGACCAGGTCAAGCCCGACCAATACACTGAGGCCCTGGCCCAGAGGGACAAGTAGGTGCCTTCGGTGCTCTTTTTGTCGCTTGTCTTTTGCCCATTCTCAAGGCATACAGCAGCTGTCCTGTTCCCTTTCAAGGACTGACAGTAGGAGCTTCACTATTTCTAAGACTTTATGGGCCCACAACCGAAGACATTCTTTTCAGGGTTGAATTTTCAGTGGTATCCATTATGAAAACTCACTTCATGGATTCAGTGGGCAAATAGCGGCAAGCAAGAGACATGGATTCACTTATTCAGCAAACATTTACTGGGCATGCCACATGCCAGATACCGGGCTAAGTATCTGGCATGTGTTACAGAAACAAAAGACCTAAATCTTGTCACCAAGAAACATGTTACATGATTTTAATAAGTTCCCTGATAGAAGAGCATGGGGTGCTCTGGGGAAATATTGGAGGGTCATCCATTCCACATTAAAAGAGCAAGTTGTCTGCTGTGGTCTGAATGTTTGTGTCCCATCCCCACCTCCCTCCCCCACCAGTTTATATGTTGAAATCTTAACCCTTAAGGTTAATACTTCTGCCTCCAGAAGTATTATGAGGTGGAGCCATTAGGAGGTGATTAAATCATAGACATTGGAGATGGAGCCCTCATAAATGGGATTAATACGCTTGTAAAAGAGACCTCAGAGAGCTAGTTAGCCCATTCTACCATGTGAGGATATAGTGGGAATGCACCGTTATGAGCCAGAGTGTGAACCTTCACCAGACATTGGACCTGTCAGTGATTTGATCTAGGACTTCCCAGCCTCCAAAACTGTGAGAAATACATTTCCGTTGTTTATAAGCCACCCAGTTTATGGTGTTTTGTTATAGCAGCCCAAAAAGACTAAGATAATGCCATTGAAGGTTTCCTAGAGGAAGTGAAATCTGAGCTGAGCTTTGAAGGATGAATAGGAGGTAGAATAAATAGGTAGAAAGTGGATAGGGAAAGGAAATATTCTATACAGAAGGAGAAACTATGGAGGGAAGACACAGGGAAAGGAGTATTTCAAAAACTTTAAATAATTGTACATAATTGGAGCAAGTGAGAAGACAAGTGAGAGGTAAGCTGTTTTGAGAATAGGGGTCTGATTGTGCCAGCTTTGTATACCATTATAAGGAACTTGGACTTTGTCCTGAAGGTAACTGGGCAATTGTTGAGGTCACCACCATCTACTGTCTGGATTACCGAGGAAACTTTCTAAATGTCCTCTCCACTTCCAGTCCTGCTCCTCTCATTCAATCTCAACCTAATAATTCAGAGTAGTTCTGAAATAGATAATTCAACAACAACAAATTGGCAAATAATGTAGCCTCTTAGGTGCATAAGACTGTGGTGGCATAAAAAGCTTTAAGGAGCTTTTAACTGAATAGGCAAAAACCACATGTGCATACCATGACCAATGTGACCTTTCCAAGACATAAATTTAATCGCACCATGACAGAGCCATTTAAGAAGCTTTGCAATACCTTTAGGAGATAAGATCCATACTCCTAATGTGGCCATCAAAGCCTTTTATGATGTAACCTCTGATTTCTCCCACACTCATCACCCACCACCATTCCTTAACTTCATTCATGCCAGGCTAGTAATAATAATGATGGCTAAGCTTTGTTGAGCTCTTACCATACAGCTGAGTACTTTATGTTCTTGTTTAACAGCCCCATGAGATATGAATTATTATACTTTATTAATGAAAAAATTGGTATCTGGAGACTTGTGAAACATGGTTTCAGGGATTGCTGACATCCAAACCCTGAAGCCATACTGCCTCCAGAAGCATAAGAAGCTATGGCAAGTCTCCAGAATTTTGCTCATGCTTTTCCTTCTGTGGGAAACATCTGCCAACTTTTTCCCTTCTAGTGAACCTCACTAAGGCATCAATCGTCATTTCTTTGAAGGCTTTGTGATAGCAGAATGAAGTTTCTGTATTGTTTCTTTTATATATATATATATATATATATATATATATATATATATATATATATATACACACACACACACATATTGTACAATTCTCAGTATGGCACTGTATTTGCTTTCAGATTTTCCCTACTAGGTTCCCCAAGACTGTCTCATATTTGAACCCCAATAAAAAAAAACTGAACTAAAAACCAAAACAAAACAAAACCCCAAGTAAAGCACATGCACATCTGAAAATAAATTGAGGCCACTCATCAGATGATCTTGAACAATTTTGGAGAGTAGGAGAACAGATCCTCTGTAGAGACTAAGGGTCAAAGAGATGAGCAAAGTTTGAGGTTTAAGAAAAGTAGAGATGTTCTAGTGCAGATACCAAGAGGGAATTTCATATGGAGTCCACATTCTTCTTTCTTGTCATCATTGCAGTTTACATTTGTATAATGTTTTTAATTTTTTGTTTCTGTTTTTGTTTTTGTTTTGAGATGGAGTCTCGCTCTGTTGCCCAGGGTGGAGTACAGTGGCAAGATCTCGGCTCACTGCAACCTCTGCCTCCCGGTTTCAACCGATTTTCCTGCCTCAGCCTCCCGAGTAGCTGGGATTACAGGCATGCACCAACACGCCCAGCTGATTTTTGTATTTTTAGTAGAGACAGGGTTTCACTATGTTGGTCAGGCTGATCTCAAACTCCTGACCTCAGGTGATCCGCCTGCCTCAGCCTCCCAAAGTGCTGGGATTACAGGGATTACAGGCATGAGCCACCATACCCAGCCCAATGTTTTTAAGTTTTTAAAGTTATTTCTCCTGGGAGTCATGGCTCACACCTGTAATCCTAGCACTTTGGAAGGCCGAGGCGGGCGGATCACGAGATTAAGACCATCCTGGCCAACATGGTGAAACCCCATCTCAACTAAAAATACAAAAATTGGTTGGGCGTGGTGGCGCATGCCTGTAGTCCCAGCTACTCGGGAGGCTGAGGCAGGAGAATCTCTTGAACCAGGGAGGTGGAGGTTGCAGTGAGCCAAGATTGCGCCACTGCACTCCAGTCTGGCGACAGAGCAAGACTCCGTCTCAAAAAAAAAAGAATCACAACTGGAAACATTTCATTTAGTACCCACCACATTTTCAAGGACCTGGAAGGTTCATGTTCCAATATATACAAACAGAGAATATGCCTAGCACATAGATGATCAATAAGTTTATTTATTTTTTCTTTTTTTTCTTTTATTATTATACTTTAAGTTTTAGGGTACATGTGCACATTGTGCAGGTTAGTTACATATGTATACATGTGCCATGCTGGTGCGTTGCACCCACTAACTCATCATCTAGCATTAGGTATATCTCCCAATGCTATCCCTCCCCCCTCTCCCCACCCCACAACAGTCCCCAGAGTGTGATGTTCCCCTTCCTGTGTCCATGTGATCTCATTGTTCAATTCCCACCTATGAGTGAGAATATGTGGTGTTTGGTTTTTTGTTCTTGCGATAGTTTACTGAGAATGATTTCCAATTTCATCCACGTCCCTACAAAGGACATGAACTCATCATTTTTTATGGCTGCATAGTATTCCACGGGGTATATGTGCCACATTTTCTTAATCCAGTCTATCATTGTTGGGCATTTGGGTTGGTTCCAAGTCTTTGCTATTGTGAATAGTGCCGCAATAAACATACGTGTGCATGTGTCTTTATAGCAGCATGATTTATAGTCCTTTGGGTATATACTTCGCAAAAGAAGACATTTATGCAGCCAAAAAACACATGAAAAAATGCTCATCATCACTGGCCATCAGAGAAATGCAAATCAAAACCACAATGAGATACCATCTCACACCGGTTAGAATGGCAATCATTAAAAAGTCAGGAAACAACAGGTTCTGGAGAGGATGTGGAGAAATAGGAACACTTTTACACTGTTGGTGGGACTGTAAACTAGTTCAACCATTGTGGAAGTCAGTGTGGCGATTCCTCAGGGATCTAGAACTAGAAATACCATTTGAGCCAGCCATCCCATTACTGGGTATATACCCAAAGGACTATAAAGCAACTGCTTTCTAAGTGGGATGGCTGAAGCAAGAGACCTTAAATCACTTGACCGTCTTCACAAAACAGAACTGAAGCAGAACCAGAAGTCCCCTGATAGCCTTTCAGGGACACCACCTACAAATACACCGTAATCCCTCATACTCCACACGCCACTTCAGGGAAAGGGACATGAGGCAGGAATACAAATATATACCATCTGTGACACTTCCTAAGCTCCTGGCTTCAGAGTAGCCATCCTGATAATTATTATTTAAAGTCCACATTATAAATGTGCAAGTTAAGTGAGTTATGGAAATCATTCCAGATACTGGTTCACCAGTAACATCAGTTTAGCCCTAAATATTGTCATAAGTTCTCTGATAGGCTCATGTGATTTAAGCTGGTGCTCTGTCAAGACTAGACTTAGGCGTTTTATCCTTTTTATGACATTATGTATGTTGAAGAGAATATATGAATATATATAAAACCTTCATTAGCACATTATTCTCAATCCAGCATTTTCTCAGCCCCTGATTTTCATGTTAGTTCAGCATTCTTACATCTTTACAGATTTTCATCTAAGACTACATTTCTACTGTTTTATATAATCAGCCCCCCTAAGATCAACATGTCCACATTTTTTGGCAAAGACAAAGCCTACTGATTTCAGGATCATTCTTTTCCTTTTTCAAAAGCACAAACCCAAACTGAGAAATAAATCAAGAGAAATTCTCCTTTTTTCTATGCTAATTTAGAAGTAGAGTCTTTATTTCTTTTCAAACCCAAAGAGAATCAGACATACAATATGAATTTATCTACTTTCGCTTGCTCAGACTGAGAGGAAAGATTAATATTTTCAGGCTGTTAGTCAAAACTGTTCATTCAAATATTATTTAATAAAATCCAAGAACCAGCTAAAAAGTCGCTTAAGCTAAGAAACCTTCACCAGCCTCATGGGAAATTGTGTACAGTTTTCTACTAGAATAGCCTATAAATGCTTACTGAAAATGTCTAAGTTCATATCTTGGTAACTAACATTTTAATTCAATCTGTAGAATAATATATGCTTCTTTAGTGCTAAGATATGAATATTAGAGGCATTCTTTCTTAAAATTTCTATTTAGTTATACTTTCACAAATAACTATAATATTAAAATTCTGCATGTGGCATAAAACATATTTTAATGGAGAAGGTAATGTGTAGGGAGTTTATTTCTGTTTGCTATTAGAACTTATGTTTATTCTTGGTTAAAAAAACTGCACTGATTACAACATAGAAAAAAACAAAAGTATGTTGTATATCTCTTACAGTAGAAGATAAAGAGTAGTTCTAAATTTAGAAAGGAAAAATAAATATACACAGTGAAAATATGTGTCAGTGAGATGTTAATCAAAGATCAACTATTGCTGAGACCAGCAATATTAAATCCCTGCACAATTACTCATATTATAATGAGAATTTTAAAAAGAAAATATGAACACATAACATAATGAAGGCAGAAGTCACTCTCATCCTTCATCTTTGTATTCCCAATTCAGGAAGCTGGTATAGTATCTTCATTATAATTACTATTCAACAAACATTTGTAAAATGAATGAATAAGGAATGAATGATGAGAAAAATGATAAACATCTCCCTCTGTCTCCTGGGAGTTAACTGCACTACTTTCTTTTAAATTTAATTAATCCTCAATGTCCTTGTAAAATAGCCAAAGGGAAAATGTATTTACATTACTCTAAATATTGATGCAATCTACAAAAAGGGTTAAACAACTTCCTCAAAGTAAATAAAACGTTCACAATCCAGCTAGGATAAAAGGATTTAAATCATTTCCTAGGTAGAGGGCTTTCAATTAGAGCCCCTGCTGCATTAACCATGGGAACTCATCTCACTCTCTTCATGATGGAGCCCTGAGTGTTGCTGCTAATCTGTACTCTACCATTCTAATGCTTTTAAGGTTCCTTTTCAGCCCTTCCTCCTCGTAATCCACAAATACTGAGACCAAGGCATTTTTTGGGTCAGTCCTAATTTCAAGCATTCTATCCTGCCCTCCCCAAATGAACTCACACTTATTAGACCATATGTTCCTATATTAGTTCAGGAAGGGGGAAAAAATGTTCATCACACTTGTATATAAGAGATCATAGAAAAACAGTTTACTAACCTGTGAAAATACCATTCATTCTCTGTTTACCTCTGGTCCACAGCTAAGCAATCAGTAGGATATAAATGTACCCTATGTTCACTATTCAGTATTCATAAGTATACTACTTATGAATTGGAAATCTGACACAACATTTACATGACCTAATTTTGAAAATTTAAAATAGTGTAAGGCCCCTAGGCTTAATTTTACAGGGGAAAGATTAAAAGGACACAAGCAAACATATATTCTCTCTCTGTGCTGTGGGACACTGGTAATTTTTTGACTTAAAATATTTGATACTTAAAATGCCAAACTTCTACATTTCTGCAGTAACAAGGCAGTTATCATATTGAATACCATTTCTTTCTCTCCAGTAAGTAAATATTAGCACATGAACTGAAAATATTAAGTGATTATAAAAAAGTCCAAATAAATTCATTAAAATTTAGCTTGGCAAAATGTTAGTTTCATGTTCTTGGTAGAAGTCCTTTTATATTTATATTCAAATGAAATGAACAATTTACAAGCAAAGGAAATGGCATCAAATATTTGACACCCTGCCTCCCAAGGTGTATTGATTCATGCTTTTTGCTCAGATCTAGGTTTCTCCACTCAGGAAAAGAGGAGAATGTACCCATACTTGGGAAAACAAGTTTCCGATGGCACAGCTTTGATCAAACAGCAAAATTCTATCCATCTATGTATTGCCATCTGACAGTATGACAAATGGTCCCATGTGCGATATTCACACTGCATTGTAGTCAAACCTGTAAGTCAAAGGATATGAAATAATAGTAACTACACATTAAGCACAGAAGAAAATGAAACAAACAAAAAGGTTTTAAACCAACCAAAAATATGTCTTATTTTGGATGTTCTATATGTTCTTACATTCTCTCAGGTCTTTTGTGTCGTTATGAACACAATTCTAACAAGCTTGATTATTTTATTTCCATTCACATATTACAGGCAACAAGCTGAAAAAGTAGAACAGGGTGTAGAGAGACAGGACAAAGTACAGATTAGGGCTTGAAGTGCCCCTGACCAGTCGACAGCAACCACATGGAATAATGACTCATGTGCATTAATGATCACACTAAATGATATTTGTTTTTTACCTAGTCCTTCAACTGACAGCTTAAAGAACTTCAGGTTGTTCTGATTCTTGAGTCTCCTCTACAACTTCAGAGAGGACTTTCATTTTATTTTGGATCAAATGCTCCACAACTAGTTGAAACTGGAATTAAATTTTATATGAAGTTCCTAGATGATTTAAAGCTGTAAGAAGAAGAATAATGAATCATAAGAAAACTTGCTGCTACAGATATCAAAAAGGAATGTTACCATCCCTCATGCTAATCCTTTTCATTTTAAATCAACAGGATCTAAAAAAAATAATGCTGGGAAGTCCTAACCACATCAAGAATGCCTCAGATCAGTGACCCAAGGACCTTCCAGAATGGATGAAATAGACCCAAAGCTGAATTCACCTAATTTTAGGGCCAAAAACCCAAAAAACAAAACAAGACCAAAAAAATCTTCAGATACTGGGAGAACAAATCTCAATTGCTCAATTGTATCTTATGAAAACAATTTTTCAAAATAAAACAAGAGATATTTAAGATTCATTAAGTTCTTGTCATTTCAAATTTTAAGAAAAATATTTTCTAATGGAATTACATATATTTATATGATTCTTCTAGTTATATCCATGGTAATAAATACTCTTTTCAGTTGGAAATAAAACCCATTTGTGCTATATTATTAGGGAAAATATCTACATAAATTAGTTTTTAATTTAACTAAAGTCTATCTTTTGAATTCATAAGCATAAAATTTTAACCACTTGCAAAATTTATAACACACTTAAGGTAGTCAGATGCCTTGTCAAGTAGTTTAACAAAAGTGATTTTCACCTGTTTGTTTTAATAACAGTGCATCGATTTTATGAAAATCAGGCATGCCCTCGGGTCCTAACAAAGTATACGAAGCTGAATGGATCTATGCCAAATATGCCAGATTTTACTTTCTGAGTCTGATTTTATACTTCTGTCCTCTTTCTTACCACATGGCTTCCAGTATCACTTACAGACTAACCCTTCAAAAGGAGAAGGCTAAGTTACTAACATTTGGAAGGCTTATGAAAGTGAAGCATAGTTATGAGCCAGCAATGTTTTTATTTAGGGAATGTGTGCAAACCACACACTTAAGCAAGCTCTGGGGAATGAGAGTTGGGGGGAATCAACTGTTTTATTTGCTAATTGGTATTTCCTTTAAAAGATAGAGTTCTTCCAGATTTTAACTGTGTTAATAGTTACTCTAGAAAAATTGGAGATTTGTGTGCATATATTTTATGTTGTAAACAGACACATACCCAGAGACACTGAGAGAGACAGACAGACAGTAAACAGAGGAGCACTAACCACAAACGGTTTACAAATGACCTCTGTGCTCATTCACCTGTCTGTTCCCCACCTTGCCTTTTATAGCAACTATAGCAACAGCCATGAGAGTCATTGTGGAAAGAAATAAAATAAAATTAAAAAATCCTGGAAGCTTGTAAAGAATGTGAGCAAAGGGGAGGAAGTTGTGAAAAAAATGAATAAAGGGCACCGATCCAGAGTATTGAAGAAGGCAGAGTGGAGAGCCTAGTAATGAGTATCTGGTACCCCAGTATCCTCTCCCACAGAATCTGTACAGCTCTCCGTTTATGACAGTTTAAACTTAATTTAAATTATCAAACAGACACTTTCCTCAAACATATAAATGATGAGGCAGTTCATTCAGGCTGTATGTATAAAGTTGTTCCAGCCACCTTTTTCTAACGGCTTCTCTATATCTTTTACATGGAGACAATGAGAGATTTGCTTAGGACAATTTGACTGTAATTTAGAAGTAGGAAATGGGAAGTATTTGTATCTTCTTTGCCTAACTCACATTAGTTACTCAAGTAAGCATTTCTTCCGTTATTGCATTTTCCTGATTACAAGTTTTATGTTTTCTCTAAAACACATATCAAAAGAAATGTCCTAAGCACTATGCAGGGGGAAGCCATGACATTTATCCACCACTGTCAGCAAAAACATGAACTTAGCCCTCAACAGAATATTTCACTTCATTCTAGTGTCACCTCTGCGTCACCTGCACTGGAGTCACCACTTGCCTGTTGGGTAAGACCAGGATGCACCGCTGAAATAAAAAGGGGTCAGACAATACAAGAAAAGCCAGTAGAAATTGCCAAATGTATCAGAATACACACAGGCTTTCTAAGGATATGGCCCAAGAGGAAGGCTCTAGAGCCCACCCTGAAACAGGATTTTTGACTTCACAGAGAAATTATTTAATTTTCAATAACACAATTCAATTAAAGAAAGGGAAATACAAGGCTAAACAAATAAGAAATGAAGACAAAAACCCAACCTTTCAAATCTAAAGAAAATAATCTGTTTTAAAGACACAGATGAAGATCAGGAACCCAAAACAGAAGAAAGGAAAAGCAATTAACGCTGGCATCTGATAACAACGAAAAGTATGGAGTCTGGAGAATCGCTAGACTCTAAAAATTATAAAGGTTTAGACTTGGACTTTGTACACTGAAGAAAAGAAAACTGCATGCATTTATACTGACCAATGTACACTATTGCTGCTTTTTAACTTTTGTGTATATGTAGGGTAGATTTTTTTTTAAGTGAAAGCAAGCTTATTAAGAAAGTAAAAGAATAAAAAGGTGACTTCTCCATAGGCAGAAAACTAGCGTAGTTTTTTTATTAGAAATTGTTATTCAATAATAGTACATGTTACAAATAAATACCATTTTAAACTGAAAAAATTGTAGACTTTCAAATCAGTTAGGGTGGTCACCCTAAAAAAGGGCATTTTTTTCCCCTTAGTCTCCTTGTTCATGTTGCTCACAACAAGAAATGGGCTAATGCTATGAATAATAATAACAAACACTGCCTTCTGTCAGGCCCTGTGCTGAATACCGTCTGCATATGTATAGGAAAGGGTTAACTCAGCAGGTCTTGTTTGCCCAGACTCTGTACATTTCCAAGAAAGGTCTGCCTTTAGGACTGGTCCTTGGCCAGCTCCTGGAGAATGAGCTCTCAGCTTTTAGAAAATTCTATCTGCTAAGAATAGTTTTGCATGTCTCAGGTCTTGGGCCACAAAATATCAGTTTAATCAGATGGTTTATGTTAACAAGTATGATTTATGGCAAACATAGATCTCTAATCTCCATTTCTCTCTCATATATCTATATTTATCTATCCATATATATGTACCTATATATATCAAATATAAAGATATGTTTATAGCAATTGTATATACGTAGAGAGATAATATGTAGTATGAAGAGAGACATAGATATTATTCTTCATTTTAGAATGTTATCTTGGTATGTTTAAAAGGAAAAACTTAAGATGTGTTGCAATTGCAGTATGAGTTTCAGGTATGTACATGTTATGTGTGTGTGTGAGAGACACACACAAACACATTTCAAACATGTTTTATGTTTAAGCTCAATATTCAAACACAGAAATATAACATCTATTCTTAATATGTTTTATGTAAGTACAGCAGCAGCATTATTAAATACTGTATTTCTATGGTGATTGAAAATTAGTAGGCAGAGAATTTTTGTAATGGTTCTTAATAATTTTTGTAATAGTAAATGATTACTTTTTGTTTAGTATAGTTTTATAATCTATACATGAATAAAGTGGATATTTCTATTCATATAGAAATGTGATTTACTCTCATGTACTTATCTACATGCTAAAACCATAAGTTATCAATTTTAGTTCTGTGCCAAGGCACTTTTACTGAATAAAAATAATCAGCTAATTTTATATTTTCCTGATTCAAATTTATATGCCTGTGTAATGTTCCGGGGTTTTTTTTTTTAATTTCTGTAAATCAGAATATTCAGATGTTGAAAAAGTCTTTGCCTTCAGATTTAAAAGATACCTTTGAAATGTAGCATATCCCAAAATGCAACCCAGAGGCTGGCAATGTCAACATTTTTCTGTTTTAAAAAACCTCTTATGAAAACTATTGCCATACTAAATTTTTTACTTGCTGATGACTTACAGCTGGAAAGGATTCTGTACATATAAGACATCAAATATTGAGGATACTGGAACTTTTAAATTAATGGCAAAGAAAGTCAACAAAGGAAGTTCATATGAAATCAAACTAGTAATATGATTACAAAAAAAAAAGTTTAAAATTTTTCTTGGCCCCAGTCTTATCATTTCTGAGCCAAATACAATTCTATCGAAATCACCTGAAACTGAAATCACCATTCTAGGCTGGTTTTCCCATAAAGATGGACTGCTCCAAAAAGAGGAATCAAGAAAGAATTTGGCTCACAGTGAATTATTCACTTTGTCTTAGTTAACTAAAAATAAAATCTGACTGTTAACTACAGAAATCATTTCAAATTCTGTGGTGATAATAAAGTAATGACCGCTTTTCAGCTGGAGGGACTAACTTTTTTTTTTTTTGCTGCATATATAGCTGTGGTACATTTTAATGTGAAATGATGACTGCATCAGCTTATATCCATGGAGCAGATTTTAGCATTCAGCTTGGGTCTCCCAGTCAATATCTACGAGTCTCTTCTTAAGGAGATCGATGACACAGATACATACAGACTAATAAATGTGATACCAATAATCAAGAATTCACTCAGTTAAGATTTTGCCCACTGAGTTCCACACAAGAAACCTAGAATTTACTAGATTCTTGTGCCTGTGAGGCTCCACTCATTTCCCTGAATCACAAAAGCTACAGAGTATTTAGATAGAAATATACCTACTCTTAACATGAACCATTTTAAATATATGTATTACTGTGTCCACAGGAGTACACTTTAAAGCAGGGACTTCACTCTTCAATCTCTCCAATCATGTGTTACCTAAAGTGGCATGTGGTTCCCTAAAGCTTAATAACTGACATTGCCTTAAAAAAGGGGTTTGCTTCCCAACTAATGTGGAAAAAGTCTGAAAAATGATTTTAAATCTTTCACTAAATTTCTCATTTGGTCACGTGGAGGAAAATGATTTCACCAAATAGATACTCTTATTAATTTTTTAATGTAATTTATCAAAGAAATGAAATATTTAGATAAATTCCAGGTTTCCCCCACCATGAGCTTCTCCGAAAGTATACTCCATCACAGACTGCTCACTAAGAAGCTCTACTGCAGTCAAAGTGACCGAATTTAAGGGGACATAATGACTACTTCTGCTACACAGAAACATTATCCATCTCTAACACTTCCCTATGAGACGGAAGACGGACTTCTAATCAGGTACCAGAGAGGGCTCTGCCAACTTCAGGGCTTTGATGAATAAGAATGGTTGAGAGCGCTCATCATAAATGAATTCAGTATAACTGAGTGAGAAAGTGAGAGAACCAGAGAAATAAATCCTCATGTAGAAAATTTAGGGGTGTGAAATGCCAAATGCCAGTTAACCAAAGCTTTCTTTGTCATAAAGCAACTTCTATAAAAATTGCTGAAAATAAATTCTTCATGGCTCAATGTGAATCAGTAATTTCCATTTCTATTACACTGTTGTTTACCCAAAAACTATTTTTAATGACTAAGACTCAGAGTTTGCCAAAGTGTTTTCCACAAAACAACTGTTTTGAGATACTCCAGATCTGTAATCAAGTAAGTCTGAAAAACCCCAAATACCTCACTCACCTCTTGGATATGCATAAAGCACACTAATATATAACGTTCTAAAAAGCCAATCATTAAAACTGTTTTATATTGTTTAAGCATTTCCTAGACATATTTGGCTACAAATCTAACATCTAATTAAACAGTTTGGGAAATGCCATCACATAATGTAGGAATATTACTAGTCATTTAAGAAACTAGAAAATATTTACTATATTCTAGGCAGTTGGCTAGCAGTTGGAGTTCTAGTCTCTAAACAAAATACTGACTTATTTCTGTGACTTTTTTCTTTTAATGTGACATCACTCTTTTAAGCAGCTCTGTGCTTCACAATTTTTTTTTTCCTGGTTTGTTTTCCACTTTTGTCTGTACTTTATTCCTTCACAGATGTGAAAGGCTAACAAATGTAAACTAGTTATATTAATCAGCCTCTGCCTCAGTTCTACACTTCAAATACAGTATATACTCTATCAACAATTCTTGGATAATAACAACCTGTACTTGTTTTTCAAACAATAAAACAGGCCGGGCACCGTGGCTGGCTCACGCCCATAATCCCAACACTTTGGGAGGCCGAGGCGGGCGGATCACCTGAGGCCAATATGGTGAGTTCGAGACCAACCTGGCCAATATGGTGAGTTCTCGTCTCGACTAAAAATACAAAATAATTAGCTGGCCGTGGTGGTGTGTGCCTGTAATCCCAGTTACTTGAGAGACTGAGACGAGAGAATCGCTTGAACCCGGGGGGCAGAGGTTGCAGTGAGCCAAGATCGCAACAACTGCACTCCAGCCTGGGCAACAAGAGCGAAAACTCCATCTTAAAAATAAAATAAACAATAAAACGATGAAAACACAAATAACTACAGCACTTCAGAATTAGTTGACAAATCCACCTTTTCAATCTACATTTCAAAATGTTCAGAAAGACACCATCCTAGGGGAAGTCAACCAGCAGCAACCTCTCTGCTAATTTTTGTACACAGAAACTTGACCTGACTGCACAAAGGTTTCAATAGATGTCTCCCTCTAAAATTAATATTGAATGATTTGTCATCTTCCATTTAATACCAAAAGGGTATCAGCCACAAACTGAAATATCACTCATATGCAAATAAATAACATTCAAGACTTTTATCGTTGTGGTTATTAATCTTGTAATGGATGGACATAAATCTATTCACATTCTCATCCTATCCTCAAATTTCACTATTCTCTCCTCTCATTCTTACTTTGTTCTACTCATATTCTCACTCTATCCTCCTACGCATAAAATATTATGTATCCTAATGAACAGAGATACCATTCGTGGGCAAGGAAAAAACACAATGAACTGCTCTTTATAATAAAAACCATGATCTTGACACAGATATTATCAATCAATAAACTTTACACAGCTTTACACTAAATTAATACAAACTGCTGATGAATGGGTGGGGGGTGGTCACTAAGCAAACAGAAGCATGTAGGTGTTAGGAAGCACGAGAAACATATATCAGTGGGTAGGGAAGGCAGCTCTCAAAGGCCAAGAATATAAGTTTTAGGTCTATATGGAAAAAGCTGTGGTCACATTCGAAGGCTTCTGAACAGAAGAATGATTAATTTCATGCTTAAAGAGTTCAGGTGTAAATAAACTGGATGGATAAGAAACTCAAAATCAAGAATTTTAAGACACTGGGTTAAGGTGATTGAGCTAAGTCAAAGCCAACAGGGCATGGGCTAAATATTGACATGGGATGGGATGAAGAGGCCAACAATGTTTCAAAGCAGAGGTTGCCGGAGCTTCAGGAACCAGAAGAGGAAGACTTGAGGTGAAATCTGAAACTGCAATCCCCATGCCTGGCTCAAAAGATGTGATACTGACTAGGAAAAGGCTGGAGAGAGAAGCTTCTTTTAAAGAGGTAATAAGGGATTGTTTTGATGTGCTGGGTTGAGGTGAAAATGACAAATATTCAGGTGGAAGTGTCCAGCATTCAAGTAGGATAACTTGGAACAGAAAGCCCAAATTATGTCATGGTGAAATGAGGATAATGTCTTATTAATAAAAACACGTCTTACTAGTCTTTCCTGAGGAACATGAAAGATAGAATTTCAGAAATTTAGAGAATGAAAAAGGAAAGATTACAAGGCAATAAGTTGATTAAAATAGACTAAACTAATCAGTGGCAGCTATCTTAAAGCAAGATATATCTTCTACAGCACTATCTACCCAAATGCAAATCTGGGCAGAGAAATACAAAATATTTTTAGGACTGACAAAATTTCAGCTATATGTCTTTTTAAAAATGCTGCAGAGAGAAATTTAGATGGATTGGACAAATATTTGCATAAGGATTCCACAGCCAACGTACACAATTTTCCAACTACTATGGTTAGCACTGGGCTCAGGCACTACCTTTGCCAACCAGTAGATTTTCAGTATTGCCCCTGGCAGACATCCCATTAGCAATCTCTCCCCATTCCCAAACATTCTCAACTATTCTAGTCATGCCAATTCAACCAATGTCTCTTAAGCCTTACATAAACATTGACTTACACCGAAATGTATCCTATGGCTCTTACTAACTGTAACTTACTTAAATCACCCAAGCCTCTGATTTCCCTGCTATAAAATGTAAAATAGCTGACAAAATACCTATTTGTATTTTTTGGAAACACGGGATAAAGCAAGGCAAGCAAAAAGAACAGCAGAGACAACGCTTAATAAATATCCTAGTAGGATCACCTTAATCCATGAAGAAAATGGAGTTTAATTTTTTTAATACAAAAAAACTCAATGAAGTTATACTTACGTTAAATTGGTGGTTATTTTAGGTCAGTGGTTTTAAAACTCAACAATGAAACTGTTTTCAAAAAGAGTTGTTATACAGAACAGAAAAAAGCAGCCACAATTTTAAAAAAGATATGAAGACCCAGATTCTCACTAACTCATTCAGCTCCCTTCATACTCCCTCCCCACAGCCACCTCAGCTCCTGAGGCAGGTTCCCAGGGCTCCAAGGAACATACTTTTAAAAAATCAGTATTTTGAATATATAATAAGTGATGTAACTTAAAAGTATGGTGAGAAAGTCCCATTGCCAAGAGAAACATGTTAATTTTTTATTTAAAAAACCATCACTCTTTTCATTGTGACATCTTGAAGAACGCTGAATGGCTTCAAAATAACTGCATATGCCAAGATTTCTGGAGTGGGCACGTTTGGTCTTCTTTCATAATGAAAACTGACAAACCTTTTTAAGGGGATAGTATTGTTTCTTCACTCTCCCCCCTCCTCACCCCTGCACACACATACATTTCTCCTTCCTGGGGAACTCCAAAGAAAACAAAGGCCCTTTAGCAATCAAGTAGATTGTCTCTCTTGATGGCATCCCATGAGTTATGGAATTACATACTGCAGGCCCAGGTGGATTAGGGCCCCTAGAAAGTTTGCTTGATCAACAGAGTGCTGTTGATTTTTTCAACTGAATTAATTACTCTTGGAGTCCAAACTCTCCAGTGTGCCACAGTCTTCATCACTTCCTGTATCTTAAATATTGCATTATCTGTCTCCTAAAAGTATTTGAACATGTGACCCAGAGAAGAGGACTTACAACTTGACTAGGCAACTTCTGTCACACTGGATTCATATGAAATTCCACTGCAAGTGACATCACCAGATCGGGGACCCTGAAGTGTTTGAGTATCTTCTCCACATCTGGTCATTTAGGCTAAGAAATTCCTTCTTGTCTACCAGGTCTTTTAGCATTCATTTTGTAAGTCATTCAACACCTACTTACTGAGAAGGAATACTGGGCTAGACAGTGTGCTAGGGCCTGGGGAAACCGCAATGCATAGGAGAGAATTCCCATCTCCAAGAGGCTCACAGTCAAACAGACATAAATAGGTGATTACAATATACACTAACAACATAGTTTTAGAAACAACTAGCAGAATTATATAGACGAAGATGCCAGGAAAGGCTTCTCAGAGAATCTGGCTTGGCAAATATCTCAACAAAGAGGGCTGAGCAGGGATGAGCCGAAGGAGAGGATGGAAAGTAGGTTGTGGGTGAGTTTTCCAGGCAGCATGTGCAAAGGTCCAGGAGAAAGAGGAAGGAGCCTGTACTTGGAGGAATATTCGATTACTATTATCAGTGTCACATTTGCTATTCATCTAGACAGAAGCTCCTGAAACAAAAAGGATACACTTCAAAAGATGCCAATATATCCATGACCACACAAAAGAGTGTCTAGTCATATAATAAAGGGTGTACATATGCAGGCAACTCACATCCTGCCAAATATTAAATTTCTAATTTTATTATAATTTCTAATAAAACATTAGATTTATTATTATACAGAGTCATACTCCTTGATTGGGAAACTCTCAACTCAATAAACATTCTTTAGTCTCATGTCTTTTCTAAAGGAAAGAAATTAATGTTATATTCTTGGGTGAAAAAAATGTGAGGTCTCAAAAGAGTATAATACAATTTGGGGATGCATATATATTTTACATGTATATAGACACATAAAAATCTAAAAGAATAAATTTTAATATGTTAACAGAAGACAGAAGTCATGTATTTTTTACTTTCTTCTTTTTGGCATATCTCTTTTTCTAACTTTTTTTTTTTCTTTTTACAAAAAACAATTGTTATTTGTGTACTTTTAAAACCTCACAGTAATATTTTCACACTACCTTCTTGGCTGAAAGTTCACACTCGGAATTCCAGAGCAGTCCATGGCCAGGCCCACTGGGCTCCCCTTGCTCTCTCCTTGGCTTTGGTAACCACTGGCCCCAGGGACTCAGCCTGCTTTCCTATCCATCCCCTCAGTAGCTGTCACCATGCAGGTTACCCCTTCTGTTTCTTCTACCACTAACTCCATGTCTGACTGCAAGTGAAAGGAACAGAAGCCCAAACCTTTGGGTTTTAAGGAGTTTATTGCTAATCTGTAAAACAGAAAGAGACAGGAGATAAGCATGACAAAATATAGGGAAGAAATGACTTTTGCCTAAACTTCCAAACTGTGTACAATTGAAGCCTCTGCTTTATAGCTCTTAGCACACCTCTCAAATAAGAAGGCAGTACTGGGAAGGCTCTGAACCTGTGGCAGAACCACTGATAGCTGTGGAGCTATTCCAAGGAGTCTGGGAATCAGGGGGATTATCAAGATCATTGTTAGAATAAATTAATCTTACTGTATATATAGCAGAAGTTTTCAAGCATATGTAAATGCTACTAATAACCAAATAATTACACCTTGTTTTTCTTTAAACTGTAACTCTCAAGTATGTCTCTACATAATTTTTTGATGGTAGTGTCTGCATGCTCAAAAAGCTTGAAAACACTACTGGAGAAGAAGGTCTCGGGAGTGTGATGAAATACGTTTACATGGCAGCTTCATCATTTAATTGGTGAAAGTGACTATGTGTCTTAAACTCTCTGAGCCTCAGTTTGCACATCCAAAAGCAAGGATATAATTCCATGAACCTTTCCACCTCAAGTCCACAAGGCAGAATAGCAAGATGTTAACTGCCACTCTGAGGACCACCAAATAAAAGGACAATTTATTAGGCCACTTGCCAGCATGGACACAATCGACTCTTGGCATTTCTTATTATCCACAGAAAAATTAAAAGTATAAATGTAGAACAAAATTAACGTGTTTTTTTTAATAGTAACATGTAAGATCAATCTTTGTCTTTAAAATACCGTGTATCTCATTCTTGGAAAGCGTCAAAATGAAAATGGTATAGTAAGTTTTATCTACAACTTGAATTAAAATTATTCTTGAAATATGTTCTGAATGGTTAGATGAAATGGTAATTAAATACAAATAGAGATAATCATATACTCTCTCTCCATAAGGCTCCCACCTCCTTCAATGAAGTCTAGTTCACCTAAAATGACACTATTAACATTAATTCAATATTATAAGTTGATAAGCACATTAAATCAAAACACAGCAAGATTATTTTAAGAGTCTGACTGGAATGTCAGGATGAGAAATAGATGAATAAATATTGGCTTCTAATGTCGGTAATGAAAACAAACACGTTATTTTCAGAAAATAAAAGGTCTTCGCCATTAGGTACAAATCATAAAGGGATTATCTACGGTTACTACACTGTAACAACTTTTTACATATTGTATTATAGAACAAGCTTTTGAGAAGACAAAGCAACACATCAGCAGTTTAACCAACTGTCTTTCTCTTTTAACAGGCTGGTCTACATTAGATTAGATATAAAAGGCCCAGGTATTACTTGTGTTCGATCTTAGCCAAATGGCTGAGAAACATCCAGGTACATTTAAATCAGTGACAAAAGAAAACATTATCCCTTAGTAAAATTACATAAAATAGGAAACATCTCTTACTTTAAGAGCAACCATGGTACTTGTTCCTATGGTGAAAACTGATGTTATCTCGATTAGTTAATTATTCATCCCAACACCTGGTCTTGCTCCCTTTTCCACCTCTAGCTATGTTAACACTAGAGTTCAGTAATTTGCTGATAAAGAATCTTAACTGCAGTATCTAACAGATCTTAGTGATTAAGCATATGACTTACCCTTTGTACAGATAAGTAAACTGAGGCCAAAAGAACTGAGGTATCTTATTAAAAATCAGAGAGCTAGTTAGTTGAAAAGTCCACCTGTCCTTCCTTTCCACATGTCTCACCAGAAAAACAGCAATGGTGAAAAGTCAACTCTGTTTTTAATGGGCCACTTTGTATATTTTAACTGTTAAAATAATCCAAGAGGATAGTAGTCATATACGAAGATCCTTTAGATATAATGTGTAGGACCAGCATTAATTTAATCAGCCAAGTCTCCTCTCATTGAATTGTTAATTCATAATTACAAAGATGACATTACAGTAAATTAAGAAATACTGTAATTTCATTCTCTCCAAAAAGTATACATTGAAGTTTGGTGAATACTGTTATATTTTCAACTAGTAAATCAATGTGCCAATTCTGGGTCTTAGGCATATTGTATATACTGGAATGATATTCACTTTAATTAAATTTGTTTTGAGATGTAGAATGTAATACAGATCCTACGTGTTTTTAAAAGTTCACATCAATTTCAAGCTTTTAAAAATGTATGTACACAAGAAAGCTTCTTTTGCAATTTATATGTTTACAAATGTTGCCATTAGCTAAGCTATATTTTGGAATGTGATCAAACAATATTGAATGTCAAGTCTTAACAGCAGGGCTGGTCTAAGGAATTCCCTCTAAGCTAAATCTGATCCTTTCATATGTGGCTACTGCTCTTTTAAACTACTGTATCCCTAAAGGGCTAAAAGGAAGAAAATCCTAACTTAATAAGTGAAGGCAGCAAGGCATAGTATTTGAATGGCTACCTTTCATTTTAACTCTACTTCTTAAATTCAAAATTGGATTTGGGTTTGTTTCAAGTTGTTCACAATTTACTAACGAAATGTGCATCTCTCATTCTTCCCCCAAAAGAAAGAAGTCATCCACTCCAGCTACATATAAGTCTCCAATTTCTGTCTTACAACTAAACGTGAAAACCGAAATACCACTCATTGAAAAAAAAAAATGTACAGAGAATTGGCAGGCTGCATGTTTATGTGAACCTTCAGAAAACATGGAAACACGCAGCCCCAACTCACCAGGAAAATCAACACTTGTGATCAAACTATTTTGTGACATTTTATGTCTTTTATACATTTCACTTCATATCCAGTATTCCAGTTTTGCACCGGCTTGCCTGTATCAACCCCAAATCGCCTGAGAGCAATCTAGTACTGTAGCAGAACCGTTTCAACATGAAGAGTTCTGCTCATCGCCTGTGGCGTGGTCTTCGAAACACCTGAATCAAACATTGATTCCCCTCCCCCTGCTATTTAAAACCGAGGGACGTCAGGCTTGGGTTGTAGGTAAAGAAAAGCCACAGTAATCAAACAAGCAACCAAAATACCCGAACACGGAACACGCTAAGAACAAAGGAAACACAAGAGTGTGAACAGGAAATGAAGCAACTCTACACCCATAAATACCTTCTGGGGCCGCCAACATAGGTAAAAGTAAAGGTGGAGTCTGAGTATCTGAAATCTGAAACAGAAAGTCCTGTCAAAAGCTACCCATGGAGTGGATTTGTTTTAACCCCGATCAGGACTTGGGCCCTCCATTTGGTGGAGTCAGGGGAGGCCTGGCCGGGCGGGAGGCGAGGGCTAGAGGGCGGCGAGGTCTCTCCGCGCAGCGTCCGAGGGGATGCGGCGCGCCCCCGACTGGGTGCAGCGGCAGGCCGCCCCCGGCAGCAAGTGCCGGGTGCCATGGCAACGGCGGGAATTTCCCGGTCGGGGAGGCCGGAAGCAGCCCCGCCGGGCTCGCGGCAGCGAAAGCAAAATCCGATCTCTCTCCCAGGGGAGCAAAATGGACGAAAGGCGACCCCCCCAGGCAGGGGCGCTGGGTGCCTTGGGAATCCGAGGAATCCCTTCTCTTTGCCAGTCGGAGGGGACTAGATGGAGCCGAAGGGGCCGGAGATGGGCCGAGCGCTGCCCCCCGGGGGTCCTCGGCGCCGGGCGCAGCTTACGAGCGCAGCGCAGCAGGCTCCATTCCCGGCCGCCACCGCTCAGCCCATTACGCAAACCTGGCGGGTCCAACCAACCCCGCTCTGCCGCCGCTGCTGGAACCCAGGAGGCGTGCTTGCAGGCTTCGGGCACTACGCGGGGCTGGAAATACCACGCACTGCCCCTTCGCCTAGACCCCCGCTCGGGCCACGCGGGTTCTGCCCTCAAAGCTGGTAGCTGCCCCAGACTTGGGGGTGGGGGGAGGGGAAGGGGCGAGGCTGGCGCCCCCTCCCGCTTTTGGCTCCCGCGTTCGTTGCAGCAGCTGTTGCCAAATGAACCCCGGAATGCGGACGTGCAAACCCTCCACCCCACCCCCAGCCACACACGTCGCGGTCAGAGAACTGGGAAGGGGGCGCGGGGTCCGAGGTTCTGGAAAAGCAAGAACTCACCTGCAAACAGGCAGTCCTCAGCTCTGGACTTCTGGATCACGACGTCGATATCCTTCTGAATTCGGTCTTGCCTTGAACACATCCCCATTAAATAAATCCTTGGAAAAGAAGCAGCCGCTATTTCCACCCCACCCCCCTCGCACGCTTTCAGCTTTGGTAAATATTCAGTTAAAAATGAAACCTCTGGCCGAGGCAGGGGCTGAAGGCCAAGTGGTTTCGGAAGTGATCCTGGGTGAGAGGAGGAGAAGGAGGAGGAGGAGGAGGAGGTGGAGGAGGAGGGGGAGGTCGGCTTTCCATTTCCAGATGTTACCGTCCAGCTGCTGCTCGCCGCTGCTGGATTCCAGTTTCCTCCCCTTCTGGCGACGGATTGGTGATGACACCGAGTCTCACTTTCTCCTTCCCCCGCCCGGACCAACCGCCGTGGGGGGCCGAGGGTGCCGGGGACGGCCGGAGAGCGATCACCGGCTGGGCGGCGGGAGCCGACGAGGGGCGAGCCCCGCTCCGGCTCAAGCGCGCACACCCCTCACGGCCCGCACTCCGGCCTTCCACACCCGTGCACACTCTCGCCCGCGGGCGGCGGCAGCCGTGCCCAGGCTGCTGCAGCGCCACCCGCCCGCCGCGGACCCTCCGCGCCCTCCGCCTAGTCACCCGGCCCGGCCGCGGGCCGCCGGGGCTCGCAGAGTGTCAGCCATCCCGGGCAGGAGTCGCGTCTCCCCACCCCGACCTCCACTCGCGCCGGGAGCTGAGCGGCAGTGTAGGTAGTGAAGACTCCCTGGGGCTCCCAGCCTTCCCTCTCCGCGCTCTCCCCCCGTCACTTTTATGAATTCGACTCCACTTTCTAAAGGAATTATGAGTCTTGTGGCAAACACAAACCGGAGTGGCCGGGAAGGGGAAAAGGGGGGAAAAGAAAATCTTTAAAAATTAAAAAAATAATACAAACGAACAAATCTTTACTTGTTGCCACCTCAGATAACACGGAAAAAGCCTTGAAATTACTCCAGATGTGCACCCTCCCCTTCCCTCAGTGCCTGAGTCTTTTTCCTCCAGATCGAAGTATTTCAGCCCTTTTGGGGCGCCGTTTGCGAAACACAGCCCCTTTTGAGGGACTTCCTCCTCTTGAAAAGACTCACCAGTTCTCCCTTCCTAGGTGTTTCTGTTCATGAGAAATTGTCGGAATCAACTGGCACGTTCCAGGGTCTTCCTAAAGGATGGAAACCTGTTTGGCTTGCTTTTTAAAACCACCTCCTTTGACAGTCAGTCCAGGGAAAGCTACCATCCAGGTGTTCAGAAATGAGATACTGCTCTGATTCTCACTTTCTGTTCTGCCTAAGGACACCTCAGGCTGACGTAGCTGCCCCACCTCTATATTGGTTTATGCCCTAGGAGGGATCTCCAGCAGGCACTTTTCTTGTTGATCTTTTCTCCGCTGAGAAGGCTCCCGCCAGTAGACCATGACTCGTTTTGCTTTGCATTCTCAGTGCCACGTACAGTGCCTGGAATACAGGAGGGTGGCCTAAATGTTGGCTGAATGCATGAATGGTCATTTCTTGCAGCCTCTTTTCATTACCCTGTCTCATCAGCTTTCTTATCAGAATAAGTGCCCAAGAGTGCCAAACTGTTTCAGACCCTTAATCAATTTAGTTCTGATTCTGACCGTGACAACATGATGTTCAGCACGGTAGGAATGACTGCCATCTCTGAAGGAGTCTTAAGATTCTGTAGAATCAATGAAAGATTCTATGTTCTAACGCCTTTATCTTTCAGGAAAGAAATTACAAAATAGTTTCATTGTCCAGTCATATTCACTATGAGTTATAAGAGGAAACATTCTATCTAGAATTAGAAATACCATTTGACCCAGCCATCCCATTACTGGGTATGTACCCAAAGGACTATAAATCATGCTGCTATAAAGACACATGCACACGTATGTTTATTGCGGCACTATTCACAATAGCAAAGACTTGGAACCAACCCAAATGTCCAACAATGATAGACTGGATTAAGAAAATGTGGCACATATACACCATGGAATACTATGCAGCCATAAAAAAGGATGAGTTCATGTCCTTTGTAGGGACATAGATGAAATTGGAAATCATCATTCTCAGTAAACTATCGCAAGAACAAAAAACCAAACACCGCATATTCTCACTTATAGGTGGGAATTGAACAATGAGAACACATGGACACAGGAAGGGGAACATCACACTCTGGGGACTGTTGTGGGTTGGGGGGAGGTGGGAGGGATATCACTGGGAGATATACCTAATGCTAGATGACGAGTTAGTGGGTGCAGCGCACCAGCATGGCGCATGTATGCATATGTAACTAACCTGCACATTGTGCACATGTACCCTAAAACTTAAAGTATAATAATAATAAATTTAAAAAAAAGAACAAAACATCACATTGTACCACATAAAAAAAAAAAAGTTGGATTTTGCAAGGAAGATAGACATCTGACTAAAGTTTGTCCTAGCAAGGAATCTTTGTTAGTACTACTTCTTGTTTAAGGAAAGAAGAGACACTCATCTTTCCTTCAAACAATATAAGTCTCTTTTCTTGTTTGATCACCTTTTATTCATTAAGGACCAGTTGAATCATCTGTTGGGACTTGGTAGCAGAGGATATTTCCTGGATAGTGTGAGCTATCGGGCCTTTAATGTGGGAAGTTTAGTTTCTATAAAAATAAAATTAAAAAAGATTAATAGTTGGAACGAACTATAAAGACAGTTTCTGAGCCCAGAGGGCAGCTGGTCAATAAGATTTCTAGATGCTGGGCTTGTAGTATCTTCAGCTGGAGTGAGAAGAGGCATTGGATTAGTTTGCAGTTTGAATGTCATAAAGATGGGCCACACACAAGCTGTTGTGGTAATTTTTCTGAAGCTTATGTCAAGTCATCCAGTTTCAGTTTGAAGGACTTCAAGAAATGAAAAGTTTATAATTTTAGTGATTCCAAGCCAGAATAGCAGGAAAAAAATGAAATATTAATTTGGAGTGTTGTAGCTAAATATTGTAGTAAACTAGAAAAATTGAGGATCTATTGCAGATTGCAGGCAGATAATAAAACCTCAGGAAAAAAAAAAAAACAGCTAGAATCTAATATTGGGTGCACTGCAGTTTTCTCCCGAAACATAACTTTTCTCTCTATATTCACTCTCATTTCTGTCAAAGATAATCAAAGTCAGATTGATTTGTTTGCTAAATAAGTTTAATCTCATTAAACTTGTACTGGTTATGTACACAAGTGCAGTTAAGAGTAGTGATTGACCATTTAGGCTCTTTTAAAGGTTGCGTTTGTCAGATAAGAAATCTCAGATTAAACTTTTTGTTTTTGTTTTTTTAGACAGAGTCTCCCTCTGTCTCTCAGGCTGGAGTGCAGTGGTGCGATCTTGGCTCACTGCAACCTCCGCCTCCTGGGTTCAAGCGATTCTTCTGCTCAGCCTCCCGAGTAGCTGGGATTATAGGTGCGTGCCACTATGCCTGGCTCATTTTTTGTAGTTTTAGTAGAGACAGGGCTTTCACCATATTGGTCAGGCTGGTCTTGAACTCCTGACCTCGTCATCCACCTGACTTGGCCTCCCAAAGTGCTGGGATTACAGGGGTGAGCCACTGTCTCCAGTCAGATTAAACTTTTAAAAGCCACTTGAGGCTGGGATACAAGCCCAAAACTTGTCATTAGTCTGCACCTGTTACATTTATAGATTTAGATAAATTTCTCTCTTCTTGAGGTCCCTAAAATATCCCAAGGTTTCCAGACCCACCAAGCAGTGACATTCTTTACTTACTTGTAAGTCTGGGAACCCTAGAGCCAGTTTTTCCAAGATGGTACTTTATTGGTTCCATAAAGCCAACTTTAGTCCCCTAAAGCCTTCTGGTCATATCTGAAAACATGATGTTTCAGTCAAAGCCTTGGTGATATAACCTGTGTTTCCAGTTTGTCCTGTTACAAAGACAACAGATTCTTATTAAACTTATGCAAATAAATACTTTGCCATAAAAATAAGAATATGCACAAATAGTTTCCAAATTCTGGAGGGATAAGTTAGGGGGAAAAAGTAAATGTTTCCATTTTGCACAAAAGTATTCTTTACTGAATTGGTGTAAGCTAGAGATAGCTTAAAAGAAAGTTTTCTGAAATCTGGAAAACAAAACATTTAAAGAACTAGCAATGTTTCCAACAAAAAGTCATTTTAAAAATTATTCTCATCAGTTCATTCAGTACCATGTAATTCAATCTTGTTTTGCTTGATCTTGGGTTAGTAGTTACATGAACCCATCAGTTTTATTAGAGTTCTGGAAATTCTTATCAGTCCAATTGTATGACGTTAAAGTTGTTCAGAAACCTGTATTCCAGAATACTCATAAGAGTATTTTCCATAAATCTCCTTGAAGAAGAAGCCATTTTGGACTGTAGCTAATTTCAAATGCTTTTAGAGAACAATTAAATTAAAACAATAACTGTCTACAGATGACAAGGACTTAAAATGTCCATGGTTAAAAAATCTAATGAGAGTTCATTACAATGATGCAATTTATAAGAAAATTTGGTTAGCATGGCATACAGCATTTTAACATAATAACCAAAATTATGACTGATAACATACTAGATTTCTAGGAATCTCATACAACTTTTGTACACTTATCCCAATAATATATCCATAAATATAACTTAAAGATGGCTTAGCATCACTTTTTATTTGAATGCTACACATATAATTTAGCATATTAAATAAATCTAATTGGTTTAATCTCTCTTTCATACAAAAAAAAATATTCTTTGTGGCTTTCTGAGGGTCCAACATGGAGAATCCTAAGTTAATTTGAGGTCAAAAAGACTTAACTTAGAATGTGATTTTGGGAAGATTGTCAAAAATGTCAAAAAGTTTAAAACATTTAAAACAAATATGACCATAGTTATCTATTTAATAAAAGCTCCATTAAAAGATTTTAAAGGCAAATTCAGATTACATAGTTGTGAACAAGAACTTAGCTCCTTTAATATTGAGAAGACTCACTTTTCTTAAGTAACCAAAAACCTAATAAAACAACATGAAACTCAAGAAATTATCTTGATGAAACAGAGTCTCTGTTTCTGAGGCCAATTACTTAAAAGGAAAAAAATACCCTTTACATTCTCAGACCAACATTCCAAGAAAACTTTACCATTTTAACGGAGAAGATCAAATTCTACTTTTGAATCAATGTATTACTAAAACTAAGTTTTAATAAAACCTTATAAATAAATCTATCCAATCTCAGTCAGCTTAGACCATACAAGATAAGATTTTCACAATCCTTCTAGACATCTTTTCTTATTTACTTTTGCAACAGACATACACCAGACAATTAAGCAATTTACTTTTACTACATATTTTACTCTTAGGTTGAATTTATGGTTTTATGGCCTTAAACATCTAACAGTAACAACACAAACTTGTCTAATCAGCAAAGCCAGGTAAAACAAGTGTATGCTGACAATTCTGAAAATGTTTCTATTTTTATTTTACCAATATTTTTTAAACTAGTTTTTATTTACTAAAGAATATCCCAGATTATGTGAACTTAAAAAAAATTGGGTCAGTTTCTACTTTTCTGAAAATTTTATACATTCTTATTTGTTTGAGTGCTCATTTATCCCTAGCCAATTTGGGTATTTTAGTTTGGTAATAACGTTGGAGGTAGAAAAATATCACATATACATAACATAATAACATAGATACACACATGTACACATACACAAACATATAGAGTGATGTAACCAGATCTTATGACTTCTCATTTAAAAAATTTTAACCAGGCCAGGTGCAGTGGCTCATGCCTGTAATCCCAGCACTTTGGGAGGCTGAGGTGGGTGGATCACCTGAGGTCAGGAGTTCGAGACCAGCCTGGCCAACATGGCATAACCCCGTCTCTACTAAAAATACAAAAATTAGCCGGTCATGGTGGTACATGACTGCAATCCCAGCAACTCGGGAGGCTGATGCAGGAGAATCGCTTTAACTCGGGAAGTGGAGGTTGCAGTGAGCCAAGATTGCACCATTGCACTCCAGCCTGGGTGACAGAGCAAGACTTTGTATCAAAATACATACATAAATAAATAAATAATAAAAAAGACTTCCCTGATCGAAATTTAAATCAATTTCCCCTTCTAATTCTAAAGCAGCCTCCAAGATCCTATAGGGTTTGGGAGAAAATTTGACTTAATTGTCCAAACTTTTAGCCCGAATATTCTGATTTTTATCAATTAATTCACATGTGGTGTAAGAAGGCAGGGCCACTAAATGGTTGAAAAGGGCGAATTGGAATAATTCTTTAGAGGATTTTTAAAAACAGACTAAAGCAGACAATGAAAGGGTCTGCATTTTGGCCAAATACCTCCATGTTGCCATTCCCCAGGTTGTTCCCAAAAATGTAGATTGGAGAATTCAGCAATGCACTTAAAAGGCCAAGCAAATCTGTCATTGGTATTTTAAGTGGTTAAGATTTATTGATTGATTGATTGAGACAGGGCCTCACTCTGTCACCCAGGCTGGAGTGCAGTGGCTCCATCATGGCCCACCACATCCTCAACCTCTCAGCTCTAGCAATCCTCCCACCTCAGCCTCCCGAGTAGCTGGGACCACAGGTGCATGCCACAATGCCCAGCTAATTCTTTGATTTTTTTTTTTGTAGAGAGGACATCTTGCTGTGTTTTCCAGGCTGGACCTGAATGAACTTCTGGGCTCAATCAATCCTTCCACCTCAGCCTAACATTTACACTGGGAGCAGAGATGCATTTGGAGTAGGTGATGATTTTGGAATGCTTTAGAAGCAACATAGGTATCTGATTTCATCAGGTCAAGCCATCAAAAATGACCAATAAATCTCTGACCTCTTAGAAGCAATTTGAAGACCCAAATTTTGGCCATCATCAAAATTCGTGTTCATTCAAAATTAGACATTCTGGAGAGCAAGGACAATCATTTTGCTGATGCTGCAGCTAAGAATGCAGCTCTGAAGGTGACATCAGACACAGAACTCCTCGAAATGACCTTGCTGACTTATGACCCATTGAAGACTTCATTAGAAGTACAAGTGGGCTGGGCATGGTGGCTCATGCCTGTAATCCCAGCACTTTGGGAGGCCAAGGCTGGTGGATCACCTGAGGTCAGGAGTTTGAGACCAGCCTGGCCAACATGGTGAAATCCTGTCTCTACTAAAAATACAAAAATTAGCTGGTGTGGTGACACATGTCTATAATCCCTGCTACTTGGGAGGCAGAGGCATGAGAATTGCTTGAACCTGGGAGGCGGAGGTTGCAGTGAGGTGAGATTGCACCACTGCACTCCAGCCTGGGTGACAGAGCAAGACTCTGGCAAAAAAAAAAAAAGAAGCATAAGTGGGAGCTCCCAAGCAGGAGAGGGATCTCTGGAAGGATAAAGGGAACAAATTTCTTCCAGAAACAGTCATATGGTATGGGCCCAATGATACACTGATCTATCCCTTAGGCTTCAATTACCCTTTTACAGTACTTCATAAGCTGACTCATTGGAATTCAGACAAAATGTTGGCATGGGGAAAGCAATGGTATTGAAAATCATTGCCTATGATTGCAGAAAATGTTTAGTCTTGCCATACTGTCTGTCCCAAACATAATCCTGGAAAACCCCTTCATGGGTCACAGGGACATTTTGCCTTTGGGACCCTTCGAGACATGGCAGTTAGACTTTATCCAGCTGTCTCCATCTCAGGGTCACAGATACTTTCTGGTGCTAATTTGTATATGCTCACTGGGGTGAGCATTTCCATGCCGATGAGCCACAGCCCAAGTAGTAGGTAGATTGTGATTAGAAAAGGTAATTCCTCATGGGGGGTGCCATCTGAACTCCATAGAAACCGAGGAACACACTTTGTTGGTCAGGTAATTTGATCCATTTGTAACATTTTTGCCTAAGTCCCAACATTTCCATTGTGCCTGTCACCCCTAATCCTCTGGGCCGATGGAATGCACTAATGATACAATAAAAACTCAATTGGCAAAGCTAACAGAAGTTTTTAACCTTTCTTGGACAAGGATCTCCCACTGGTTGTGGAAAATGTCCACACTCTCCCTCTTTGAAATAATAACAGGAAGACCCTTGCAGTGGTTAGATGAAGGCGCTTATGAATCTGCACTTCTTAAAGGTGACATTCTCCATTACTGCTAAGATCTCACAGAACTTACTAAGAACTCTACATTAACAAAGAATTCCATTCATAATGAACTCCTGGGAGATGAAAATATCAAAAATCTTGGCCTATAAACTGGAGATGTTGTTGTTTACTGGAAACAACATCAAATAAAATATTCTCCCCAAGACTGTTGGAAGGGACCACATCAGCTATTATTATTACTTTATATATTTTTTTGGAGATGGGATCTCATTCTATTCCCCAAGCCAGAATGCAGTGGCACAATCATGACTCACTGTAGCCTTGAACTCCTGGGCTCAAGCCACCCTTCTGCCTCAACCTTCCAAATATTTGGGACCACAGGCATAGGCCACTGCACCTAACTGACGACAGGTATTACTGACCAATCTGTGCCAGTAAACTTAAGGGCGTTGACACATGGATTCATGTTTCTCTTGTAAAAGGCAACCCTACCAGAGTGGACATCTGTCAGTGGAGATTTTCACTTAGAGGTAACTCACAATCTTCCTGACAGAGATGGCAAGTAGCTGACATCTGGTGTAGTCCACTTTCACCCAAGATACTGGCCTGTATAATCAGTTACAATTCCAGTGCTGACCGTGCCTGAGAGAGTTAGTCTCTTTTTTGCTGACTGGAATACATACACCATTAGGGCTCCTTTAAGTTGTAGGGGTTGTCTCTTGGTGGTTTTGGTAAAATCACCCTATATGCATATTCTCTTAAGATATGACACACTACTCCTCTTGCGTGTATGTGTATATACATATACATACATACATACATAGCAGAATACCTGTGATCAGATTTCTGTTTTACTGTCCCTAATTAATTTGATTACAGCAGGGAGGGATAATTCTCTGATTAGAATCTCACAAACCATTACCTCTGTGGGAAATTTGACAAGGTTCCAGGTTTGCCACTCAAAACCACAAACCACTTTTGACCATAATGACCCATTGGTACATCCTGTGCTAAATTTCACCTGTATTCCTCCTGATTGCACTCACGATGCAACTCAGGGTCATATCAAGCAAAACCTGTTTATCTAATCTGTCTGACTCACCCTAACCTTCCTGCCGCACGTCTCAGTTTAACCCATCATAATCGTATTGTCAAAATAACTGCCTGTAATCCCAGCACTTTGGGAGGCCAAGGCAGAAGGATCACTTGAGCACAGGGGTTTGAGACTAGCCTGGGCAAAATGGTGAAACACTGACTCTATAAAATATATACAAATTAGCTGGGTGTGGTGGTGCCCACCTGTAGTCCCAGCTACTCAGGAGCATGAGGTGAGAGGATGACTTGAGCTAAGGAGTTCAAGCCTGCAGCGAACCCTGATGACGCCACTGCACTCCAGCCTGGGCAACAGAGTGAGACCCTGTCTCAAAAAATAAATAAATAAGCTGCGTGTGGTGGTGTGTGCCTGTAGGCCCAGCTGCTTGGGAGGATGAGCCATTGAGCCTTGGAGGTCAAGAGGTCAAGGCTGTACTGAGCTGTGATCTTGTCACTGAATTCCAGCCTGGGAGACAGAGTCCTTGTCTTAAAAAGTAATTATAATAAAAATAAAAAGTACAAAACCAACCAAACAAAAAATTGTTTCTTCACTCTGAAATAACAGTGGTTAACACCATGATGCCACTGGAAAGTTAAAAGAAAAACACTCCCTCCTGCTATCAGGATCCAACCTGCCCTCTTGCTCTAAATTTCTGACCCATGGTTTAAATGCCCAAAAGCTGATGTACTCAAATTATAGCGCACTTACCTGTTCGGCGTTTATTTTTGTCTCTTGAAAAGATCACCATCCATGGCCCTATAAATGTCGAAGGGCATGGAATGATGAAGTGCAATGTCATTATTGTTATGTATCTCTCATCGTTTTACTTCTGGGAAAACTAATTTCATGGTATTCTGAAGAGTAGAGATGATTCAATAAGTGACAGCAGCTGTAGACTTAACTGAGGCCCCTCTCTCTCTCTCTCTTTTTTTTTTTTTTTGCCACTCTATGATGCCCTTTTTTTTTTAAGACCGAGTCTCACTCTGTCACCCAGGCTGGAGTGCAGTGGTGTGATATTAGCTCAGTGCAGCCTCAAACTCCCAGGCTCAAGCAGTCCTCCTACCTCAGCCTCCTGAATAGCTGGGACTAAGGTGTGTGCCACTACACCTGGCTAACTTTGTATTTTTTGTAGAGATGGGGTTTCACCATGTTGCCCAGGCTGGTTTTGAACTCCTGGACTCAGGCAATCCACCTATCTTGGCCTCCTGAAGTGCTGGGACTACAGGTGTGAGCCACCATGCCTGGCTGTAATGCCCTTTCAATTGGACTTTTGGGCATTCTTAAAAATTCCTCAGTGAGGTGGCTTCTTTCCTCCCCTGTCCCCTGCTTGGGACAGGACTATCCGGGAATGAGCCTTTCTGGCAAAGAGGGACACCCTTGACTTAGCTTTTGATCATCGATGCTTTCAAGAAGAAAGATTAAAAAAACTTTTTATCTGAGGAATGTGAGCCCTTTCAAATGATCAGGCCCAGAGAGACGTTAAATCGAGACAGCAACCACTTTCCGCTCCTTCCTTTTGAGCTGCGCTGAGCTATGTATTCATCCGTTGAAACTGCTTGCTATTGCCTCAAGTAGCTGTAAATTAACCTAATAATGCCACACCAATCCCTATACCCCCATACCCTATAACTTAACAACATATAGCCAATCACCAAGCAATGTTATTTCTGTAAACCAATGAGAATTCCTGATAGGCACCTATCAGCCCACTGTCTGTCCCTGCTTTTGAACTTTAAAAACCTGCTTGTGGGCAGGGTGCGGTGGCTCACGCTTGTAATCCCAGCACTTTGGGAGGCCGAGGCAGGCGGATCATGAGGTCAGGAGATCGAGACCATCCTGGCTAACACGGTGAAACCCCGTCTCTATTAAAAAAATACAAAAAAAATTAGCTGGGCGTGGTGGCGGGTGCCTGTAATCCCAGCTACTAGGGAGGCTGAGGCAGGAGAATGGCGAGAACCCGGGAGGCGGAGCAGAGTTCGCGCCACTGCACTCCAGCCTGGGCGACAGAGTGAGACTCCGTCTCAAAATAAATAAATAAATAAAAAATAAAAAATAAAAAATAAAAACCTGCTTGTGACAAAGACCAAAGGGAGCTCAGATCCAAGCTTCCTTGGTGTGAGTCTTCCAGGCAGTTGTCTTCATGTTGACTCAAGTAAACTCTAAATTATATTTTGTGCTTCAGCCTCCTTCTTTTAGGTCAACATGTTCAACAACAGTAGAATAAATACATAAGTTAATGTATATTCCTACAAAGGAATACACGTAGAACCAAATAACCATATGAATAACATGAAAAATTCATAGACATAGGACTGAGTGAAAGAAGTCAGACCTATGCCTCTGCTTCTGCAACCGCCTTTGCAAAAATTACAACTGGGACAATTACCACAGTGAAAGAGATCTGATCTAACTGATTCCATCTTGCTTCTAACGTACAAGCTGTCCTTGTTGATTGCTGGGCACAGGCCGAAATAACTTTGGGAGGAAATTAGTTTATGGTTTAGCTGTGAAACAAAGATGATAATATCCCTGTCCGGAAGCAAACCCCCTTCCTGCCTGGGGACTAGACTGCCTTTGCCGGACTAACAAATTAGCCACGAGATTAGAAATTATGGTTTAGGAGTCATGTAGCCTCTGGCTGCAAGATTCTAAACCTCCCCAAATTGTTCCTGGAGATCACATCGTTATTGGAAAACCTAAGATCAGTGCTTGAGATATTTTGCCGACCCTGCACTCAGTGGATCAGCTGGCACCAGCTAGACTGATAACCTGGCTCAGCTGGTCTTGTGGCCCCCAAGCAGGAACTGACCCAGCACAAGACCACAGCTTCAGCTCCCTGTGATTTCATCTCCGACCTGGCCAAGCAGAACTCTCAATTCACCGGCCCCCAATCACCAAATAAAGAGTGCAGCTCTTTATTGCAATTCCCCTGTGTCGAAAAATTGGCTCTGTCTAGGCAGCAGGCAGGGTGTACCTGTTGGGCAGTAACACTCCCCCCAAAACCCACTACAGACTGTGACTCAGCTTATATGAAAGTAAAGGGCAGGAAAAACTTGCCTGATAGATTTGCAGAGACGGGGGTGGAAACCATTAATAAGTCTGTGGAGTATTCTCAGAGTTTGGTGTTGTAGTCTACATATTAAAAGTAATCAGTTAAACACCTGAAATAAAACTTCTCCCAAATATTTTTGCCAAATTTGGATGACTGTGTTTCTGTCTTCGCAGCATATAAAGTGTTAACATGAGGTAAGCGCTAAGGTCTAGAGAAGGCAGTGAAGAGATGACAAACTCCAGCACCATGCCTGAGTGTCCAGTGTGCTCTGCTGGGGCAGCACATTTTTGTACATTGCTGTATCTGAAAAAAACCCTACAAGATTCATGAAACTGGACGACCGTCTTTATAATACTCCTAGTGATAAAACAAGTAAGGATGGCTGGTTTGCAGTCATCTGAGCAGCCTCTCTAGTTTCATAGATACGGTTTCTCTCTGATATTGAACGACTTCCAAATGTCAAGCGAAATGCTACATCACAAGGATAACCGTATGTGAAAACCGTTTTTCTTTGTAATCCTAAACTTTCTAGTCTGAGCTTTAAAAGCCATTATTTGAAGAAAAGCGCACAGGCTCCAGCTGGCCGCCAAAGGGGTCCTTTGCATCACAGGCTAAGAACCTACTTCTTTGGGAGAGACCAGGGACGGGGATGGGAGGGAAAGGAGGTAGAGTCAGGTGTCACTTCCTCCGCCCGCTCCCGCAGCTGGTTGGTCGGCCGAGTGGCAGAGGGTGGGGCGGAAGAGCAGACGGGGACGGGAAAGGCGCTGTCGGTGACATCACAGATAGGGCGATTCCTATGCAGAGGAGGCAGCTCAGGGGCTGCTGCTTCGCCACGAAAGATTTCTCGTGCTGTGGGAGCTAGTCCAGGACCTCCGGTTGGACGTGATAGTCCCAGCTGTGTGTCAGGGCTAGGAGGACTTGAGGCGGCATGGGGGCGGGGTGGGGGAATGCGCGGGGCAAGTGACCGTGCGTGTAAGGGGTGAGGCGTATGGAGCTGTGGCAGGGCGGAGGTGCGTTCATTCGTACTTACGTAACAGGAGAAAATACGGCCATGAAGTTGATGTTTCTCGGGGGCGATTTCTCCATTGTACTCAGTATGTGCTGACTGACTCCTGTTACTTCCACATGTGGGGAAACTGGACTGTAATTTGTGGTGGTGGGGAATTGCGTTCGCGCTTTCTTCTGGAGGTTGTAGTGCAAAAAGCAGTTTGTCTACCAAGTGATACTTTCAGCTTTTACAAATGCTGAACAATATCCGTGGTGTGTTTTCATGTCACCTCCTCTCCCTTCTTTGTTAGAAAAAAATGGAAGAGCACGTGGATGTTTTGAGATGAGAAGAGGTGCGTTCACCACCTTCACCTCCGTGTAGGCTTGTTATTAAGGGAAAGGGAACAAAGGAGTCTCACTTATGTAAGATGACCTTACATGAGAAGAAGAAATTCGAGCTGGTGAAAAGAAAGAAATTCAATTTCAGCCGGGCGCGGTGGTTGACACCTGTAATTCCAGCACTTTGGGAGGCCGAGGCAGGCGGATCACGAGGTCAGGAGATCAAGACCATCGTGGCTAACACGGTGAAACCCCGTCTCTACTAAAAAATACAAAAAAATTAGTTAGGTGTCGTGGCGGGTGCCTGTAGTCCCAGTTACTCCGGAAGCTGAGGCAGGAGAATGGCGTGAACCTTGGAGGCGGAGGTTGCAGTGAGCCGAGATCACACCACTGCACTCTAGCCTGGGGGACAGAGCGAGACTCCGTCTCAAAAAAAAAAAAAAAAAAAAAAAGAATTCAATTTCAACAGTCTAATATCCTGGCATGCAAGAGAGAAATTCTAAGACTGTCTCAACTGTAGAAATGTTCAGGGAGAAAAAAAAATAGATGATTATTTATTCTGGTTCATTCATTGTCTCGTTGAGTTTGTCAGATGCCAGGTGAGGTGCCTTACATGTGTTCATAACCTCAAGACATAAAAGGGAAGGAATTTTAGAATGATTCAATGATATCACTGTTTTGCCTAATAAGCAAATAATTCAGTAAGAGACACTTATTAACAAATCTAAGAATAAAGCTTCCTTTTTAATCACAAAATTGCCTTTCTTCACATTATCTTTCTTTACATTCTTTGACAAAGTACCCCAACCCATCAATATTGTCTGTCTTATCCAAACTGAAGGATGATAATCCAGATTTAAGAAAATATCTATCAAAATAATGACAACATTGAGCATGTACTCAGTATCTGCTGGGTATAGGGCACAACAAATATCTCTCGAGTTAGTACCAGGCCCTGTGCTGAGGCCTCCACTCCTCTCTAGCTCATGTGCACTGAGCAGCGAGTGCCACTGGCTCCTTGAAAGCTGCTCAGGCACCACCGTTTTTAATTCCCATGAGAGGTGCTGTGTGCACCCCAGTGGACAGATGAGGGAATGGAGAGCAGGTGGATACCCTTGGGTAGAGAGCCACACATGGTTGGATCCAGCTCTAGAAGGACTGACCCCTTCTCTACCCGACTCGAGAAAGCCCACTGTCAATGATCTCGACCTCTACTTTATGTCTCCTATTTCTGGAACGGAAATGACCTCGTGCATATTTCAAATTCTCCAGCTTTTCCTTGTCTTTCCTCCATCTTGTCAGTACTCAAATAGGAAAATGATATATACATATATGTTGATCATGTACACTTAATTTCCTAGATGTAATTAAGTATAAATTTCAGGCAAAATGCTAACTTGAATATATTTTTATGTTAAAACTTTTCCATATTTCATTCACTTATCATTAAGAAAGCAAAACCTTTGCACAAAATATTGTGCTAGCCTTTGCCAGGAGACAGAAATGAGGAGTCATGGGCTGTGTTCTTCAGGAGTGTTGAGTTCTCCCGAGAGTGTGAGAATACACAGGTAAGCCCAATAGAAAGCAAAAGTCAGGGCCGGGCATGGTGGCTTATGCCTGTATTCCCAACACTTTAGGAGGCCGAGGTGGGCAGATAACTTGAGGTCAGGAGTTAAGAGACCAGCATGGCCAACATGGTGAAACCCCATCTCTACTAAACACACACACACACACACACACACACACACACACACACACACAAATTAGCTGGGTGTGGTGGGATATACCTATAATCCCAGCTACTTGGGAGGCTGAGGGAGGAGAATCACTTGAACCAAGGAGGCAAGGGTTGCAGGAGGCAGTGATTGTGCCACTGCACTCCAGCCTGGGTGACAGAGCAAGACTCTTGTCTCAAACAAGCACACAAACCAAAAGCAAAAGTCAGATGACTAAGGCAGTGATGATTGCCACATCCTGTGCAGGGCAGCCTCTGGGATTTGTCTCAAAACACACTCGATCTAGTTCTTGACGCCCATTGAGATGGATGCTAGGCTATAGGCAGTTACATAAGATCTTTGAGCCTCAGTTTCCTTATCTCTGAAGTGAGAAAAGTAATATTGATATTGTTAAAAAGGCATGAGATTTAGATATAAGTAAAATACTTGTATTTTACTTAGTACCTACTTAATCTTCATGAGTGAGTCAAAGAAAGCAAGTAGAATTAGGCAGGGTTGTGGGGATGGGGAGAGGCAAGCTGTGCTAAAGACGGGAAATGGGCAGATAGAATGCAGGGCTAAACACAGATACCTACAACCTGCAGCAGAGGCAACTTACTGAGCTTAACATAGAGAATACAAGTCACTTTAAAATGTACAGCTCTATGTTACTTTTCACCCCACAATAAAATCGGTCCTTACCTAGAAAAAAGTAAAGATAAAAATGAAAGAAAAGAGGAGTGGGGGAAGTAACATACCTGTGTACACATTCAGACCTTTGGCATGCTTACATCAGAGAAAGAACACTTTTGCAAGTTTTCTTGGCACAACGAATGGTAATAATTTTTAAGTCTATTGTGTCTGTCATCTATTCATATATTCTGAAACTGCTGACCTCTCATTGACAACAGTATGCCTCTTTTTCCAAGATTAGAAATTTTAAAATGTAATTGCTGATAATAAACAATGGACATTATGCTAAGCGAAGTGAGCCAGTCAAAAAAATAAACAAACAGACAAACAAATAAATACTACGTGATTCAACTCATTTTAGGTTGGTGCGAAGTTATTGTGGTTTTTGCCATTAAAAGTAATATAAAGTACCTGGAATAGTCAAATGTATAGCAAGAGAAAATAGAATGGTGCTTCCCAGGGGCTGGAGGGAAGGAGAAATGGGGTTGTTGTTCAGTGGGTGCAGGGTTTGAATTTTGCAAGATGAAAGGGTTCTGTGGCTGGATGGTGGTCATGGCTTCACAGCACTGTCAACGTGCATGATGCCACTGACCTGCGCACATCTTAAGTGGTTAATGATCAATTTTATGTCATATGTATTTTTTCACATTTGAAAACACTTTTAAAACCATTCTTGTTAGTATTTAAAGAACTGCAAGATAAAAAAGAGACATTTTTAAAGTGTGAAGTCGTGTGCACAGGTTCATCGTCTAGGTGTGTACTCATGAAAACAAATCTCTTGTGTTGCAGATAGCGCTCGTTAAGGTTGATTTCTGCATATCAGTGAGAGTTCAGTGATCTTACATTCAACATAAATATGACAACTTTACAAACATCCCCCCTTTCATCCACTGAGTGAGTTTATCAGGAAAACCCAACAAAATCCTTCCAGGCCTCCCTGGGGGAAGGTACACAGTCCCCTGCTCTGGAGGAGGACATGGAGGCTCACGCTGGTTAAGGGAGTTTTCCAAAGTCACCAGCAGCAAGGAACCTTCTGAAACTGCTGACAAATCCGTGCTTTTCCCACGTCCACTTACATTATTTAGGCAAGACCCACTTGGGAATCTATTTTTTCAAGGCATGATCGGGACTAGGTTCAGGATGGTAGAGCAGGGCTGTTTTTGAAAGGCGGTCTCTTTCTCTTTGCACCAAGCTTTCCGTAAGTGTGTGGGTGACCCTCCCAACTTCCTCCTCTCTCCCACAACCACCGCCCTCGCTGCTTCTCTCAGCTTCTCTCCCCGACACCTGGATGACTCCTCTTGGTTACCTGGGGGCTGGCATTGTGGGAGGCAGCCGACGCCAGTGGGTGCTGCTGGGATCCCTGCCCACACCCAGCAGTTGCCTGGAGATGGAGGTATGCCAGGTATGTGGGCCAACAGCTGCAGAGTTGCCACTGACAGGCCGGAGGAGGATTCTTTGTCAGTGACCGCACCAGCCCGAGCCCCTGCCAGCTGTCCCACTCAGTATGCCCTGGCTTCCAGGGCCCCAGCCAAGGAAGGGTGTGGACATGTGATACAGTGGTGGCCACAAGGCAGGGGTCAAGGGGAAGGCAGGCCGATACTAGCAACAGAGGAAATGACACTTCAGAAGCGTCCTCTCTTACAAACAAGAGCAACTGTGTGTGTCCCAATGAGTATGGGAAGCTCAGTCTCCTAACATCATTCAAGGGTCTCCAAGTGACTGTGCATACAGTTTTAAAAATATCACCGAACTTGTTTTTCTTACCCCAGCCATTTTTTATAACTATATCTAGGGAATGGGTTGGTTTACTCTAAAGAGCAAGGAACTAAAGAAAAGATAAACATGGAAACTTCAGGTTTTCCAGAATCTTGCATATTTCCCTCCTGTTTCCCTATTATAAATTACATTTAAAATGGAGAGATATGCAGTTTAAGCCAAATGTTTTGAGTCATGAAAACAAGTGAAACTCTTTTGCCTGTTCATGATAAACCTTCAGATTTGGTGACTTCTTTCCACCAAGGCAAGATAGGTTTCACTGGGGGGAACTGAACTGGTGTGGTGTTTTCTGCCTTCAGCCATCTGTGTGTACACTGTGACAATATGGTTCTGTGCTGGATGAGACGCCTACTATTTTTTCATCTCACTAAAGAGCCTCAAGTTTCTCAGCTACAACCTGGAGGAAGTGTCTGAAAGCTGATTTTCTGATGCCCAGCCCCAGGCCTCCTTTTCCACTGCACAAGATCAGACCTGCTTTTCTCTAAATCAGAATTAGGCACGCCACTCCAGATGAAAGAGCCCTGTCGTTGAAATGCCTTTCTTTGGCCCACACTAAGTATAATTTCTGCTCCCGTTTGAACTCAAATATCACATGTATATTTTAACAGCTGCTGCTCTCTAAGCAAACTGATTCACATAGAAAATCCAGGATTGTGACTACTTATTTTTTCCTCTCTACGCATGAAACAGATTCCCTGGAAACACAGTTATCTTAAGTAGCTGGAATTGTCTAACTTCGGTTACTTTATTATTTACAAATCAGCCAGGTGAGAACAAGAAAGTGAAAAGCAGGAAACAAGATAGGCAGAGAAACAAAGGGCTCGATTGCAAGAGCAGCAAGATGCCTGAGCAGACCTACAGGGTTCTCAGGGCTGCAGCAAAAATCAAAGAACAGTCGTGGTCTCAGGACTCGCCATAGATCAGACCACGGCTTCCAACCATGCCACAGGCTGTCTGTGTGTTCCCTGCACACCATTCATTTTTGTCCTTCTATTTTAATGATCTGAAACCAAGTTTGGGCCATGTGTAGACAGGCCATTCGGAGGAGGCTTCGGGAAGGAGGGTGCATCTGAGACTAGTTGTAAAAGATGAGGAGGATTTCCACAATCGCTCAAAGGAAAGGGGCATTTCAGAAAGAGAGAAGAGCACGTTCACGTGAGCCCAGATAGGAGCACGGGGCACACGCAGGAAACTTCCTGATGCTGGAGTTCATGCGCACGGTGGACGCAGGCTTGGCAGCCCGCAAGGCAGAAGGGGAGGTGGTGCGGGAACCGTGGCTGCTCTAGCAAACTTGAGCTCCATTCTGCAGGCTCAAGGAGACATGGAGTAAGAGGAAGGACTCCTTGGGTGCATTGTTCATGGGAGGACAAATTAGAAAGGGGATTATCTCATGGCAGGCAGCCACTTCCAAGTAGGGAAGTTGGAGAACTTGTTGTCAGGTGGAAGAAAAGAGAAGACCCTTGAAAAGTCATCCAGGAATGGGTGTGCACAAACATGGAGTGTGTTCCTCATGCCGTAATTCTGATCCAGGTCCTTGACTTAACTGCATTGCCATTAAGCTTGTGAAAGGAGGGGAAAGCCGGTACCAGACATTGGTTATATGTCCAATATCTGTTTGACTCTTTGTTAGAGGTATTACCTAAGTTATCTTACAATACTCTAAAAGCAATTCTACAAAGCCCATTGCTATTTTACAGAAATGAAATCTGAAAATGAAAAGGGTCAAGTAAACTAAGAAGTCTACGCATAACTAAGAAGTGGGGCTGCCTGACCCCAATCCTGCACTCTTGGCTCTTTATGACTTCACTTGTGAGCATACTGAACTCAAAGTGTTCTGGACGTCTCCAGGTAGAGGGCTCTAGGAGGCAGCCGAGTACGTGAGTCTGGAACTTAGGAGAGTTCCAAGCAGGGCTGTGGGTGTGGGATGGGGTGCATGGGAAGGAGGTTGTCAAAGCAAAGCAATGCGCAGCTGCTTAGGGAGGGGGCACAGGAGAGTGGCCTGGCCCTTCTTAGATCATTGTCAACTCAACTTGTCTAAATGGCTTTTATGACCTCAGTTATCACCTGCATTAATTCTGGCCTATGGTATTTTGCAGCTCTTCGGGAAATAGTGATCCTTTGTTTCTGACAAAGTTCTTCTTAAAGGGTTTATTGTCTTATTTACTAGGAATCATGGGGAATAGAGTGTTACACAATGTAATTTTTTCCCTAACAAATAAAGCTTATTTTTATAAATTCCAGGGCTTTTAATTTGAATCATGCTTAACTATTTTTCTATATTTTATTACATTGTTTGCTTCCTCCCTAAAGACAGTATATTTTAGTATTTTCACAGAAAAATGAGAAGCCCTCATTATGAACATACCTGATTAAATTGAGCATTTCCAAGTGATGACCACATCATTGCTCAAGTGTTATGAGGCCACAGGATGAACTACTGCCCCCCGAATGATGCTAGAATGCTGTGCCTTTATTTATTTCATTGGACAACTCATTCAACATATATTTATCAAGTGACTCCTATAAGAGTAACTAAAATAGGATTTCCTGCTTTTGTAGACCTTACACTATAGTTGATTCCATAGTGTCTAGTGTTTCATGAAATTATACAAAATGTCACTAAATCTAAAATGCCATTGGTAATGACATACACTTTTTAATGCACTAATATTAAATAATGCTGAAATTAAGTTATGCTTATCTAATGTAAGATACATTGCAGTTTCAGATACTAAAATTTGAACAAGTAGACAAACGTTTCTCTTGAAATCAGTGAAATCTCTATCTAAATCCCTTAGAATAGGGTTAGCACATAGTATTCCAGGAAAGCAAAGCTCTAATTATTATTGTTGGATTGTACCCAGATTATGTTACTATTTAAGTTTCTACTTTATGTAAAGCACTTTTTCATATGGATATTCTTTATCCTAACAATAGTCCATTTGTTACACCAGAAGTAACACCAGATACTTCTGAATAATAATGGCAGTTAAATCTGTGGTTTTGTGGAATTTTGCTTATATACGTCACTGTTGATTCAAACAATATAGCAGCTCTAAGAACATCTGTGCCTCCAGCCTCTGCATTTCAACCATGAGAGCGTCATTTCTCTCCATGATGCTTAAATTAAAAATCTAAATATTTGGTAAATTTTACGCTTTTCTAGAATATGTTTTGTTAATATTATATTCTAGTAAAAACAAAAAATGTTCTTAGCCTGAGAAAGATTTTACAGAAAAGCTTTAGTAAACATTACACTTCATAATGTACCTGTACTACACTAAATGTATAATGTACTTATACTAAAGAGTGAATTATATTATCTTTGAGTTTAGGAATAAGATGAGTAAATATGTAAATGTAATAATGAGAAACTATTAAAATGCAGTAGTTTCATTCAATATGATTATTTAAATAGAAAATCCAAAAATTTGTACATGAATTAAATTAATAAACAAATTCAATGAGTTTACTAGATACAAAATTCATTGTCCAAAGGAATTGTATTTCTTTACACCAGCAATAATGTTAAAAATAATAATTTATAAGATTAAGTTCATATTTCATGAAAAGTGTAAAATTTAAGAATAAATTTAAAAATAGTGTACGAAGTCTTTATATACAATAATATAAAACTTTTGTACAATAATAACATCAAAATGAGGGGTGATATGTACTACATTCATAGGCTAAATGTCTCACTTTTATAATAATGTTAATTCTCAAACATATTTATATTATGCTTGAGTTTGACAAAATTATATACGTTTGACAAAATTCCAATAAATTCCCAATATATTTTGTGGAACTTATAAACTACACAATAAAGGCCAAAACAGTCCTTAAGAAAAACAAGTTGAGAAGACTTGACATATCATGAATGATTTGAAATTTACAAATTTCAGAATTTTTCCCATTGTAATATAAGCATGTAATACTATCACATTTCCCCAAATGGCTACTTTAAGTGCATCCTACAAATTGTGATATATTCTGTTTTTGTTTTCATCTTCGTCCTCTTTGAAATACTTTCTAAGTTCATCTGTGACTTCCTCCTTGACTCAGGAATTTTTAGAAGTGTGTTGTTTCATTTCAGAACATTTGGAAATTATTTATTTCTAGTTTCATTTAGTTGTGCTTAGAGATCATACTGTGCATGATTTCTATTCTTTTTAATGTACTGAGACATGTTTATATAGCCCAGATTATCATCAATTTTAGTGAATGTTTTAAATGTGCAGTTGCTAACAATGTCTTTTATATTGCTGTTTAGTGGACTGTTTTAGAAAAGTCAATCAGGTAAATCTGATTAAGAGTATTGTTTTTCTTCTATCCTTTTGCTGGTTTCTTATCTCATTCTATTAGTTACTGGAAAAAATGGGTTAGAATCTACAATCTCCAACAATAACGGGATATATCCATTTCTTTTTTCTGTTGTATATTTCTTCTTTGTATATTTTAAAGCTCTATTGTTGGGCAATATTTGGTATTGTTGTGTCTTCTTGTTGAATTGACCCTTCTAACATCATGAAATGTTATGCAATTCTGGTAACATTTCTTATTGTAAAACTTACTATTTCTGTCCAAATCTATGCCCTGTCCCTTTATAAAATAATGATGATAACAAATAATACATAATATTTATTGTTTTTTTATCTCCCATTTTTAAAAATTCTGGGGGTTTAGATTATTTGAATTTATATAATTATTGATAAAACTAAAATCAAATCCACCATCTTTCTATTTGTTTTCTACTTGTTCCATCTTGCTTCTTATTTTTATTTTTTAAATTTTTATTTCATCTAGAGTTTACAATACACATCTTTAACTTATCACAGCTCTATGTAGAGTATAAAGAATGTACAGCAGGAGAAGTCAGTTTTTCTCTTCTGTCTTTGCACTACCGTTATCATACATTTTACTTCAAATGCATACATTTAACATGTGCCACAAATCCTATAACACTTTATTGTTTTTGCTTTAAATAATCAATTATCTTTTAAGGAGAAAAAACAAAAAATTTTTACATAATTTTTATATATTTCTGGGACTCTTAATTTCTTTTTTTATAGATCAAATTTTCCTTCTGGTATTATATTTCTTTTACTAAAGAAATTTTCTTTAACACTTATGTAGTGCAAATGTGCTAATAATGAATCAGCTCAGTATTTGTACTGAAAAGTCTTTTTCTTTTTGGAAGACATTTTTGCTGGTTAAAGACTTCTAGGTTGGCAAAAATGTTTTTAAGTACTTTAAAGAACAGCTCTATAGTTCCTGGCCATTTTTTTCTTACTTACATAGATTCGATGAGGAGTCTGCAGTATTCTTGATTGTATGTAGTGGGTTTTCCCCTCATGAGCTGTTCTGCCCCTCTCTCTCGGTTCTCTTCTTCTGGCACTCCAATTACATATACAGTCAACTCCTTGACGCTTTCCCAAGTGCAGTGCTGGAGACTGAAGATTTAACTGCAGTGAGCTTGGACTGTGAGGATTGAAGCAGAGCCAAAAACTGACAGACAGTTAGTAATCATTGCAGATGTTTGCTGAACAATTGCAAGGTAGCAGGCACTATTCTACTTTTCACCTGTAGAATTCTGACTTATCCTCAAGATTTATCTTGAAATTTTCCAGAAAGCCTTCCTATACCATCCTTTCTCACCCTAACCTCTACCTCACCTCTCACACTAGGTTAGGTAGCCCTCTTTTTTAGTTTTACTGCACACTGGGTTTCCAGTGTTTTTAAATCTACTACTCTTTATTCTATTAGATCTTTTTATTTTTAATCTCCATGGCTAGGCTGTGAATTCCATGAGGGCAAAGACTATGACTATTGTCTTGTGTCATAGTCAAATGACCTCTCCTTTGCCCAGGGTGTGTTACATTCTCAATGTGTATTTCATGAAAGAATGGATGAATAAATGGTGTCTCCCACTAGATTGTGAGTTCCTCAGAGGCAGAAATTACACTTTTCCCATGTTTTCGTGACCCTGGTTCAATATATATGATTGATGAAAAAGAGCATTTCAGCAATTACAGTTTTTGTTTGTTCGGTTTTTGTTTTTTGTTGTTTTGAGACAGGGTCTCGCTCTGTCTCCCAGGCTGGAGTGTAGTGGCACTATCTCAGCTCACTGCAACCTCTGCCTCCCGGATTCAAGTGATTCTTGTGTCTCAGCCTCTCAAGTAGCTGGGATTACAGACGCAAGCCACCATGCCTGGCTAATTTTTGTATTTTCAGTAGAGATGGGGTTTCGCCGTGTTGGCCAGGCTGGTCTCTGACTCCTGACCTCAAGTGATCTGCCCTCCTTGGTCTCCCAAAGTTCTGGGATTACACTAAACTCGTGGGAGGCAGAGAAGCAACAGCTAACAGAAGTGGGGAGGAGGCACTGTAACAATTACATTGAGGGCCATCTTTGTTTAACATCAGAAGATTACAGGATAAAATTATTTGTCATGTAGTGAGCCAGGGGTAGAAATCCTGTTTTAAAACTGATTTTCTGTGGCTTCAGCAAATCATAGAATTGTGAGAGCAATTACCCAAAGCTCCAGTGGAAAGGAAGAGTCAGTCTTGTTTGCATACTTGCCTGGCCTAGATCTTTTCATGATCTTTCTGCCACCATGTTGCTGAAGAAATCTTCACTCCCTTTACCTGTGTGTGTTTGGGATGGAATTACTGAAATCCTTCCTGAATTCTGCTTACGTGAAATGTTACTCCATGTGGTTTTAATTCCATGAAGATATTTCCTCCAGTGTATGTGAGTTATATAGGTTGGGAATAACTAGAAAAAGAGATGACTGGGTTAGAAACAGGAAAGAAAAGGAAATAAAATGCAACAAAACAAAGCACAAAGCAGGCAGAACAGGCAGAGGCCCTGCAAAAGGGCTTTGGGCAATGGAGGGGAGTGCTGAGAGCCAGACGATGTCTGGACATGCATTAGAGGGGGTGAGTGCAGGTCTTTGGGGAATCTTCCTCTGTCCCTGTAGTCACACTGTCCATCAAAGGTGGCAGACAGGCCAGGCACAGTGGCTCACGCCTGTAATCCCAGCACTTTGGGAGCCCAAGGCAGGCGGATCACCTGAGGTCAGGAGTTCGAGACCAGCCTGGCCAACATGGTGAAACCATGTCTCTACTAAAAATACAAAAATTAGCCAGGCATGGTGGTGCACGTCTGTAATCCCAGCTACTCGGGAGGCTGAGGTATGAGAATTGCTTGAACCCAAGAGCCGGAAGTTGCAGTAAGCTGAGATAGCGCCACTGCACTCCAGCCTGCGGGATAGAGTGAGACTCTGTCTCCAAAAAAAAAAAAAAAAAAAAATTGGGGGACAGACAGACCTTCACTCCATCAACTCAACCAGGAATCTTGTGGAGAAACCCCCTAAGAAGAAAAAAAAAGCAAAGGAACATGTCTCTCAGTGGGTGTATTACCCACGAGGAACGAAAATGAATGTACGGGAGTCTGGTTGGAACAGACAGAAGGGGAGATCCTGAGAAGATTCTTCCAGCAAAAGATATTAACAGGAAATGGGCTTCAGAGAACCCAGTAAATGAAGATGTGCAAAATGCCTTGTATAGCCTTTTTTAGTTTGCCTTTATTGCTGTATTGTAATAGATATTAAAATAGATATTTACGAATGTCTTCAGGGTGAGTCACAGCTCTTGTTTCCCAGCCCTCCCTTTCTCAAGTCTTCCATTCCTCCATTGCAAGTTTTCCAGCACAGATATTTTCAGAAGCTGGATTCCTGTATTGGGGAAGTTGTTCTGCACTTTAATCACCGACTTGTACCTACACAAGGGGAGAGGTTGTAACTCGGGGAGCTAATGTAAAGAGAAGCTGTACCATTCAACATATGTATATGAATGTTGTCATTTTTACTTTACATGCATTTATTTGCTTACAGAAAATTGCATAGTGCAGCAAATCTATAAAAAGTCAAGCTTTATTGTCAAGAAGCTTAGAGTGACCAAAGACAAAGGGAGACCCATAATATGCTCATTACTGCTTACACTTTTAACTCGAGCTAATCATATTCTTATGTTCGCCACATGTACACATTAAAGAAAATGTCAGTAATTACTGAAGAATTTAACATAATGAATCCATGTAAAAACAAGGGTTTAATTACAGCATTTACACAGGTTACAAACTCTAACATGCCTTTGTATAAGAGACAATCAGATCCATACATTTTGTTTTCTAAGCCATTTTGGGGAGAAAAAAAAACCAGCCCTTGATATTTGAGTCATGCGAATACTCTGGGGTTCCAAGATAGTACTCTGGCATTTTTCAACAAGGTCTTTTTCCTCACTATGGAGAAAGCATCAGTCGCAGAGTTCACAGTGTGTAGTCACATGCACTGAGAAATGTGCATGCATCTGACCTCACACCGGGATACTTCTCCCTGTGTGACCAGTTCCAAAGACGTCTTCTCAGTTTAGTTCCAGGACAAGCTAAAGTGAAATGTTGACTTTCAGTTTCATCAACTGCTGATGTTGACCACACTCCAATGATGGAAAGAGTTTGAGGTCACAGCAGTTACTGGGCCAGGGAGCCTATTTTCCTCAGGAATCCAAGAGAATCAAGCCCTCAGTATGGACCAAGAAGCAATATGGACTTATCTGATCTACAAGATGAAAAGTATTCAAAATTGGCTTTAAAAAATAGTCAATTTGGTTCTGGAAATAAATTGTGAGAATTTCTGTATCTATTTCTATTATCTTAAAAAGTAGGCACATATCTAAGTGTTACTAATATTGAACATGTAGACTGATTCTGGACTCCCCACTCAGGCTGCATGTCAGAGATTTGCATAGCAAGTGAAGTCACTGGTTTCCTGAGAAATGTGGGCCCTGCAGAGGGCAGAGGAGTTCCCACAGCCCCACTCACAGGATCTCTTGCAGCTATTGTTAAATGGCACAGTCATCTTAACCATGGCAAGTGAATTCAAGGATTAAATTGTCTACTTTTGACTAAACTAACTTCACAAAAGGTTAAGTGGGTTAAAAAATTTCCTACAAAGAAATACCAAATTTAGATAATATGATAATTCAAGAACAATAAAATATCAGAGCTACATTTCTTCAATTAGTTGTATATACTCTTGTCAACCACGTAGCAAAGTTGAAAACAATGGCAAGGAGTCAGCCAAAAATTCTACATTATCATCAGGAAAGCATTTTGAAACATAGGTTATATCCATTGTCATCAATGTCAACTCACTCTAAGTGCATATTCTAACTCAAGATTTGAAGTTGATGATAGTATTCAGGAAACACGTACGATTTGATTACTCATGCTCAAAGCCATGTGTTATTGAACCAGCCACTTTACAAAATTTAATTAAACTTAATGATGAAAATTAAAAGTCTCTCTGAAAGATCTTATCAAAGAGCAAAAGACAAAAGCCACTTACTATTGGGGGAAATGTGTTCCTTATAATATGCAAGCTTATTTTCCCATCATTTTGATCAAAACAGAAGAAAAAATATATGAAAACGTATAATAACAAGCTTAATAAATAAAACATGCAAAAATATGGTGTGTTACTTATTTTAACATGAATTTCTATGTATTTACAGTTATCTGAAACAAATATAAAATAGTTTGGATCCTTGTGATCGGTCACAAACTTAGAAAGCCTGCCCTTTACATGCAGCAAACTTTTAAAATTTTTGCATATAACAAGCTTTTAACTGATTAAAGTAATGCCACTCTAGTTATTTATGAAATACATCAAAAAGGCCGGGCATAGTGGCTCACACCTGTAATCCCAGCACTTTGGAAGGCCGAGGCGGGCAGATCATGAGGTCAGCAGATGGAGACCTTCCTGGCTAACATGGTGAAACCCAGTCTCTACTAAAAAATACAAAAAATTAGCTAGGCATGGTGGTGGGCATCTGTAGCCCCAGCTACTCTGGAGGCTGAGGCAGGAGAATGGCGTGAACCCAGGAGGCGGAGCTTGCAGTGAATTGAGATCATGCCTCTGCACTCCAGCCTGGGCAACAGAGCAAGACTCCATCTCAGATAAAAAAAAGAAAAAGAAAAAGAAAAAGAAATACATCACAAAGTAGATGGTATTTTATTTGGATTGATAGATTTATCATTTATAAATGCTTTTCTGTAGTATTCATTTTGTCCATAAAGCACAAAGATGCTAAATCATATACAAATTCTTCCAGGTACTTGTCAAGTGAGTTGATTTTTGTTTTCTAACTATGTAGAAAGTTAAATTCATCAGTTGCTTCTCCAGACGGACCCATTTCAGGTCTCTTGACTACCATCACCTATGTGAGCAGAAGGATTCAGGGGATCCTTGGTGGACTGCTGAAGAATGAAGCATGTGCACCCACTTTACTTCTACACTTTGGCAGCTGTAGAACAGAGACAGTGGTGGTGCAGGATACATCCTTGTATCTGGGAATTAATTCCTTTCCGAGGTGTATACTACTTAGTTTGTGACTAAAATCTACGGGCTTCAGTTTCCTAGTCTTGCTAAATTGGAAACATGTTAATATCTATGACTGTAGCACATCACAAGTAAAGATAAATGAGAAAATGTATGCTTTGGCTGGGCATGGTGGCTCACGCCTCTAATCCCAGCACTTTGGGAGGCCGAGGCAGGTAGATCGTGAGGCTAAGAGATTGTGACCATTCTGGCCAACATGGTGAAACCCTGTCTCTACTGAAAGTACAAAAATTAGCTGGGTGTGGTGGCGGGTGCCTATAGTCCCAGCTACTTGGGAGGCTGAGGCAGGAGACTCACTTGAACCTGGGAGGCGGAGGTTGCAGTGAGCCAAGATCACGCCACTGCACTCCAGCCTGGCGACAGAGCGTCACTTCATCTCAAAAAAAGAAACCAAAACAACAACAACAACAAAAAACAAACAAACAAAAAAAGGACAATGTACGCTTTGTAAACTTTAAGTCTGGGAGATGGCTAACATTATGGGGGAAGACTTGGCCAAGACAGCCCAGAAACCACAAGGTGAATAACAGCACCCAGAACAGAAGGTCCACCATGAAGATAAGGACTTAATCTATCAGGAAGGATTAAATGTAACCGTCAAGAGTAGGCTTGATGGAGGAGGGTGAATCTGAATGGAGCCTTGAGCTACAGTGGGGTTTACAGCACAGGCAAATCCTGGTGACTGCATGCTAGATGAAAGGAATTGGACAAATGAAATAACTGAGGCAAGAGAGGTTGGGCATGTTCAAATTCGTATCTGTATTGCATAGATAGCTTAAGAATGAAGTAGAGCCAGAAAAAACATACTAGGCTCAGATTACGGAACATGTTTAATGCTAGGCTAAGAACTGTGTTCTATTATATATGCAAAGAGGATCCATGATCGCTTTTTGAGCAGAAAAATCACCCAACTTAATGTGATGTTTTAGGAAGATACTTGGGTAGCAATGTGGAAGAGGCACTGAAGCAAGCAGATTGAAGGCAGATGCTACGTATAAGACCATAAAGCTTTTGCACTGGATTTGATCAGTTGCAATGAAGGCTTGAGTTTGGATGGTGGTCTTGGGAAAGTTCAAAAAAAAAAAAAGGAGAGGAGGGGTCATAACTGAAAGCCATTTTATCATGACTAAGAAGTCAAACATGTTAATAACCTCAAGAGATATTGGAACAAGCAGAAAATATTCCTCTTTTGTGCATCCATACTTTTATTAAGAAAAGCTTAACGGAGCTTGAGATATTTATAGAAAAGGCCAGTACCATGAGGAAGGAGATGTGTTCCTAGAACACGTTTAAAATGATAGTGTTCTTTAATTTTAAAATATGATGGAGGATAGTTTTCGAATTTTGTGTCGCAGTTTTTGCAGTTACTAAAGCTTCCAAATTCTAAAACCACATGGTAGTCTGCCAGCTACACATGGAGCAAATAACCTGCCCTGATGCTCCCCACTTGTAATCCAGCCAGCAAGCCCTGTCTCTCCATTCCCAAGGCTGTGTTCACAGACAGCATTGACCAAAACCAGCCAGTTCCCCCCAAACCCCTGCTGCACAGTATCTGACAGATATCAGTGATGGCTTATCTTCACTTGTCTTTCAACCCCTCTTTATTCTCTACCCCTCTTTATGCACCCCAAAACTGCCAATATCTCTATAAATAGCATGACTCTGGCTTTCCTGGGCTTGAACTTCCATGTGGATTTGGCTGACGGAGATCAATGTAAGGTGATGGGATGCTCAGAAGACAGAGAGTTGGGGGTAATTTTCTCCCACTCCTTTTCTGCAGTGGGAACTGCAGTGATGGCAACAGTATTCTCTCCACGAAAACACTCCCTGCCTCCTGCTATGGTTTCAATATTTGTGTCCCTCCAAAATTCATGTTGAAACTTCATCCTCAGTGTGACAGGATTAAGATGTGAGGCCTTGAGGAGGTGATTATATACCCTTATAACAGCACTCTAGGGGACTAGCTAGATCCTGTTTGCTTTTATATTCCTTCTGCAATGTGAGGACACAGCAAGAGTCGCCATCTTGGAAGCAGAAAGCAACCCTCTCCAGCCCCCAGATCTGCTGGCACCTTGATCTTGGACCCACAACTGTGAGAAATATGTTTTTCTCAATAGACTACATAGCCTCCATGTCCATGTTCTGTTAATGCAGAACAAACAGATTAAGACATCCCACAGTTCGGGCATTGACCAGTGCCCTCTTTGCCCACCTTTGCTGCTGGTAGCCTGTCTTGCAGATACCCAGTGGCTTTACAGAAGGGGAGGTGGCTTCCTGGAGGTTCTCACACAGTGCGAGCTGAGAGATGGCGTGCTGCAGGCCTGGAGCACTCCTCTCCAGCATGCAGAATGACTGTGGAGCAATGACCAATGTATGACTCTGTCTCTTGTGTGACCATGTGCTCCAGTTTTCCCAGGACATAATAATAATAATTTCTAACATAATTATTAACAACAACCCCTTTCACCGTCAAAAGTGACCTGACTTAGATAACTGAATTGTAAGTTCACTCCACCTTTTCCACAAAGCCAGAATACTAGAACACACGGTCAGAAAACAAAAGGGTGAAATTGGGTATGACCTCCCTCAGTCTTACACTGATGGGATCTGTATTTTTCATTCTTAATTCCTTATACTCAGTGTGTTGTGAAGTCCTAGGGCCAAGGGAAGAATTTTGCATCAAGAAACATAGTCCTGGTTTCGTTCAATGAGAACCTGAGACTGTTCTATAATCATGTTGGGCTTTTCATGTTACGAGATAGAGAATTCCTATTTTGAACTGGCATTTTACAGTGCCGAAAGGATGTTGGAGTGTTTGTATACAATGGGAGCAAAGAAGATTACATCTAGAACATGGGCAATTTACTGGGGCTCCTTAATTCACTAGTGTCCAAAGATAATGGTTAGTGGGAAACTGTAGCTGTAAAGGATTTGCAGTCTATTGGAATGAAAATTTTGGTCATACTACTAGTTTAAAATTTCTGATAGGGAAAGGTGTTGGTAGAAGGTAAAGGGAGCATTGATAGGTGATTTGAAAAAATGAAAAAGAGGAGCTGACTATCAACATAGAACATAGACCAACAGCAGAGGCAGAACCTATATCAGCTATTGTTTACTTGTGCTGATTAATGCCTTCCTTCCCTTTATCATGCTGCCTGATCTGAAGAGTACTGGTGGAACTAACATTACAACCTAGGTTCCAGGTAGGGGTATGACTGAGTTGATACCAGCCCACCACCATACAGTGGCAGGTGCCCTTTGTAAGTAAGGAGGATAGTAAATGTTATCCTCCTTACTCTACCATTGCACTGCTAAGTAGGCTTTTATTTTGCTGTATTTGCCACCTTTAAAATTTATCCTTCGCACTGTAGTCATAACAAGTGAGGTAATTAATGAGGCTTCCTTACCTTCACTATCTTTCTTCACCTTTGACAAGGTAAAGTTTATTATTTCTATGTTATTGGGGCATACGACATTTCCAGCCTATTCTGTAACCCTAATCCACATTTGGTTTCAGTCTACAGTAAAATACATTCAATACTTACAACTTTTTTTTTTTTTGCTGTATTTTACCAAAGCATCTTCCTTTAATTGGTTGTTATTGTTTTCCTTCCTTCTGTAACCAAATGTATTGCCCTTTTTCTCCACATACCCATGTTTTTGTTCTCTCAAAAACATTAATGAAAATATTTTTCCTGAATTCCTGCTTGATAAAAACTGCAACAAATTGTAATATATCATGTCTGCATAGTAAGACTAGCTTGGCTGCACATAAAAATCCTTGGTTGGCATTGAGAATCTTGTTGGTCTTCCCTCATGACCATCCAGCTTCAGTACAGCTAGGGGAGCCAGGACAGCCTTCTTCATTTCTCCTGTGAGTGACTTATTCTTTTTTTCTGGCTGCCCAATAGATACCTTATTTTTTTTAAGTCCAATACCTTCATTAAGATGTGGTTCACTTTTTGCCTGTCATGAATGGATATACCTTGCTTCTGATGTGCCCTTTTGAAAGGTAGATTCAAGTCTTCATGCATTGCACAGAAGTGTTCTTGAATTATAATTTTGAAGTATTTGTTCTGTCTCTTTTGGTTTCTTCTTTGGATGTTCCAGTAATGTATGTGTTCAATCCATTTGTCGGTCTTCCATAGTTCTCATTTTCTCTGTAATACTTGAGTTTTGCTTTTCAGATGTTTGCTTAGATAATTTTTGTATAAATGGGTATCTATTTCCTTTTATTTTTTGTAATATACTACTAAATGGCTTGGGTTTTCCTAGATAACTACAGAGGTTCAGAGAGAGAATTAAGACAACCTTCTGGGCCTCACACCAGAATGGCTCTTTCCTACTGGGCTATCACAGAGACAGACTGCTTCCTGCAAGTATGGCTCCTCTGGTGATTCTCTGTGTGGTTGAATCTCCCTTGTTCCTCCCTTGAACAAAACTGGGTCCAGGAGGGGACTTTTTCTGGTAGACTGTGTACCCTGGTTCCCACTCCTGTGGTTAAAAAAAAGGGGTATAAGTTTTGAACATGGAAGTGAACTCCCAAATTTTCAGGGAGTACATTTTGTTGGTGTTTTCTGAGATTATCAGCCATTGGCCTCACTACCTCCATACTTCATTTACTCCCATGTGGCTTGTGCCTGATTCCAACTAGATTTGGTCATCTCTACATACGTTTTGAAATCTTTGGATTCTAACTTTTTCTAGTTTCACTAAGGATATATTTGGTTCTTTTTTTCTCCATTTTCCTTGTTGCTTTTTTATGTGTTCTGGAATAATATGAGGAAAAATGCTGACTTTTACAGCCTGTGTATACAACTACCTCTACAGAAAATTTTAAGATATATATTAGCTCTTTATATTCACACAATAACTTTGCAAATAGTCCTAGTGTACAAAGCTTATTCCGATATCTTGCTGTGTTTTTAAACAAACATATATACATATATGCTGTGATAGTTGATGTTGAGTGTCAACCTGATTGGATTGAAGGATGCAAAGTATTGTTCCTGGGCATGTCTGTGAGGGTGTTGCCAAAGGAGATTAACATTTAAGTCAGTGGATTGGGAGAGGCAGACCCTCCTTCTATCTGGGTGGGCACCATCTAATCAGCTGTCAGCACAGCTAGAATAAAGCAGGCAGAAGAAGATGGAAGAACAGACTTGCTGAGTCTTCTGGCTTTCATCTTTCTCCTGTGCTGGAAGCATCCTGGTCTCGAACATCAGACTCCAAGTTCTTCAGCTTTTAGACTCTTGGACTTACACCAGTGATTTTTCAGGGGCTCTCGGGCCTTTGGCCACAGACTGAAGACTGCATTGTTTACTTCCCAACTTTCGAGGTTTTGGGACTCGGACTGATGCACCACTGGCTTCCTTGCTCCTCAACGTGCAAATGGCCTATCATGGGAATTTATCTTGTAATCATGTGAGTTGATTCTCTTTAATAAACCCCCTTTTATATGTACATCTATTCTATCAGTTCTGTCCCTCTAGAGAACCCTAATACACATGCATACACATATGTGGTCATGCAGACATGTATACATGCATGCACACATATGTGACCACATGAACATGCATACACATATGTGATCTTTGCCATTGTGGATGGCTAGGATGATTTTTCTCAGGAAAGGTATCTGTGTTATTAGAAAAATAGCCCTGGTTCTCATCCTAAAGTCATAAAAATCAGGAGGTAACTCAGTAAAAGGAGACACACACACACACACACACACGATGTTATATGTATAAGTGATTTAATATTTTATATATATAATCAAATCCTTGAAATTGCCCTTTGTATTAATCAGGGTTCTTTATAGAAACAGAATCAAGAGTATGTGTGTGCGTGTGCGCGCATGTGTGTGTGTGTGTATATATATACACGTATATATTTAATACGTGTGTGTGTGTGTGTGTGTATATATATATATAGACAGAGAGAGAGGGAAAGAAGGAGAGAGAGGGAGTTTATTATAAGAAATTGGCTCATGTGATTATGGGGGCTGAAAGTCTCACGATCTGCCATCTGCAGCTGGAGACCCAGGAGAGGCAGTGATGTAGTTGAGAGAACCAAAGTGTCGATGGTATAAGACCCAGTCAAGAACAGCACAGGGGGCTGATGTGTCAGCTCAAGCAGTTAGGCAGAGGGTGAAGTCACCCTTCCTGTGCTTTCTGTTCTATTCGGGTCTCAGTGAATCGGATAATGCCCACTCACACGGTGGAGGGCCACCTGCTTTACTCAGTCTGCTGATTCAAACGCTAATCTCATACAGAAACAGCCTCACAGGCATAACCAGGACCCATGTTTAGTCTGGGCACCTCATGTCTAAGTGAATTTGACACAAAAATTATCCATCATGCCCAGAGTTCTTAATGAAAGTTTCAATGACTGAGGCCAGTCCTGGGCCGCTAATGTTCGTCCAATATTGCGTCTAGTTTTACCATCCCTTCCGTTTGCCAGAAATAGAAACAGAAAATGTTCTACATGTTTGCACCACCAAATAATGAATAAGCAATCAAATGCCGTTTTGATTATTGACCTTCTAGCTTTTACAAAACACAAAACTTGCACAAATAAAGATACTACTGGAAGCCAAGGAACCTAGAGACACATGTAAATTCTCTTTATCTCTGCTCGATGCGTAAAGTATTCCTATTTAAGAGTAAATTTCCTCTTGTTTCAGTGAAAGATATTTTTAACTGATATTTTTACCTTCAGCAAACACATAAACAGTGAAAGTTATCCCAAATATTGCCATTTTCAATTTCCAAAGGAGCTTATGCTAATTTCAGAGGCATCTCTATGGTTTATATGTATATTTAATATATAAGGCAGGTCCTACTATCTCTATTTTACAGAAGAAGAAACTGAAGTTGGAAAGATCAACAAGCTTACCTGAAGTCACAGGGCGGGAGAGTAAAGGAGCAGAATTTTCAACCTAAGTTTATATGATTCTAAAATTTTCCACTACCATGCTACTAAAAGAAATTACTCAACTAGTTCTTCCTGTTCAGGTAAGTCAGTTCAGACTTTGCTAATTCTGAATAAAGGGGACAGAAGTTATGATGCTGTAACTATTTGACATAGACTGTGTTAGATTAGAGATGAGAGGCAAAAATCTGACCCTAGTATATTTGCTTTCATTGATTCCAATGTCATCTTTAGGTTTTTGTATATTTCTTTCTGATTTTAACATATGATCCTTTATTTTCTTCTTACTTTCCTCCCTTCCTCCTTTCTCTGTCAAATTGTTTTCCTCTTCCTCCTCTTTTAAAAATTCTCAAAATTTGACTATAAATTGCTTTTTCTTCTTTGCTCCTTTTCACAACTCTTTCATTGCCACAAGGCATTCAGGTAGAAAAAAAGGCCAAGGTAGTCTGCAGTGTGCTAGCTATTTACCCAATTGACCCACCATATCTTTTACATAAGCAAATAAATTAACAAGTTATGTAAATAATTTATATTCAAGTATTCAGAAGTGTCTTAGACATGTTTAATATGCTACCAGTAAACTCCTTTTAGGAGGAGACCACATGCAGCTTTAGAATAGAAAATAGAAGAAAGGAAAAAAATAAACAAACGAAGGTTTTTCTCTGCAGTCTTTATGCAAGCAACGACTTATTTCTTAAACTCTCCCCTTTGTGGCTATCACTCAAAGAAAATAAAGAAGAAAAGCTACTGGCTTTCTAGTTTAAATCACAGTCTCATTATTCTGTAGGTGAATGGGGAGGGGGATTGGAATCATAGGTCCGAGTGGGCAGTAACTTGAAGTCAATGGAGATATATACAAAACAGAAGCACAATCACGATCCAGCAGTTCTGGAGCTGCTAACTTTTTCTGCCTTTTTCTAAATGTCCAATAATAAGGTTCTAATGGAGACTGAAGATCCATCACCTGCTCCACATCTCCAGGGGGCCCATGTGTGCATCGCAGTGCAGATCATACATGCTTCTTTCCCCTCCCATGGCAAGGGGAATACTGAATGATGACAACTCACATGTGTAACCCAAGGGCTTTGCTTGGGTTTGCAAGGACTAGTGCACAATACATTCTTTGAGTGTTATAATAACATTAAGTCAATGCATGAATTATAATCCCTATTTCACAAGTACAAAAACACATTCAAAGAAATTAAATTCCTTGCTCACCAGTTATTGACAAAAATTACAATATTTATGTTTCTTTTGAAAAATATTATAAAGATTCTCAAATTGTCTAACCAATCATATTATCCGTATTTGTCTCTTCTCAATCTGCTAATAAAGACATACCCAAGACTGGGACATTTATAAAGGAAAAAGGTTTAATTGACTCACAGTTCGGCATGGCTGTGGAGGCCTCAGGAAACTTACAATCATGGTAGAAGGGGAAGCAAATATGTCCTTCTTCACATGGCGGCAGCAAAGAGAGGTGGGAAAAAGGAGGGAAAAGCCCCTTATAAAACCATCAGATCTCATGAAAACTCACTTACTATCAGGAGAACAGCATGGAGGTAACTGCTCCCATGATAAAATCACCTTCCACCAGGTCCCTCCCATGTCAGGTGGGGATTATGGGAACTACAGCTCAAGATGAGATTTGGGTGGAGACGTAGCCAAACATATCGTTATCTTGATAAGATATTGCTTTGGATTGAATCGTGTCCCTGCAAAAATCTTATGTATAAAAGTTCTGATCCCTGATGTGACTGTTTTTGAAGACAGGCAGGGCCTTTAGTAGGCACTTAAGGTCAAATTAGGTCATATGGGTGGGACCTCAGTCTACTAGGACTGGTGGCTTTATACTGAAAGAAAGAGACAGATGTCTCTCCCCTCGACCTCACATGTATAAAGGCCACATAAGGAAAAAGCAGCCCAAGCCGGTAAGAGGCCCCAACACACGCCAAACCCTTCCAGCTTCATGATCTTGGACTTCACTGCCCCCAAAACTGTAAGAGAATGAAATTCTGCTGCTTATGCCATCCAGTCTGTGGCATTTAGTTACGCCAGCCTGCACTGGCTAATGCAGATATTCAGAATCAAATGAGTCATCCCAAGCAATTTCTCAGTATATACAGCACAGATTTCACCTTCTAAACTCACCCTTGTCTTCGCCTTTTTTTTTTTTTTTTTTTGAGACGGAGTCTCACTCTATCGCCCAGGCTGGAGTGCAGTGGCGCGATCTCGGCTCACTGCAAGCTCCGCCTCCCGGGTTCACGCCGTTCTCCTGCCTGAGCGTCCCGAGTAGCTGGGACTACAGGCGCCCGCCACCACGCCTGACTAGTTTTTTTTTTTTTTAATATTTATATTTTTAGTAGAGATGGGGTTTCACCGTGTTAGCCAGGATGGTCTCAATCTGCTGACCTCGTGATCCGCCCGCCTCGGCCTCCCAAAGTGCTGGGACTACAGGCATGAGCCACCACGCCTGGCCAGTTTTTCTTAATTATTAAATAATCTTTCATTGATTTAAGAAATATTTTCATATGTTTCCTATTCAGGCCCAGGCATTGTTTTTTTGTGCTGCAGACAATGTGTTAATAAAAGCTGTCCAGCCTTGTTAATACATCATGATATTTATATTTGACAAATCCTCTACTTAGATATGTATCACCTCCATAATTTTTTGGAGCACATAAATTTTTTGAACCAAATGGAATAAAAAGCTAGATATATATGTATAATGAATATATTTGAAACTTTGTACTTTGCTTTACAATTTGCAAAAGAACATCATATACAGTGTTGTATTTGAGTCTCCCTTAAGCCCTATTAAGAAGAAATTTTTCTATTTCTGCTGTTCAGTGAAGAAAATGAGCAAAAAAAGGTGCAGCAACTTCCCAATATCCCATATTTACAAACATAAAGGAGTGGGACTTTAATGTAGACTCTTGGTGTCCAAGTTTGTGCTCTTTATGCTTCATGACACCAGGTAAAGTGCAATGAGCACAGCAAATGTGCCCCCTCAGGAGCCAGCTAAGACCTTCCGGGGGCTTCTCCTGGAAGTACAGAGTCTGCGACCCCCATCCTAATTACACAAGCATTGGCATCACTGTCTCACAGTAAAACAAAACAAAACAAAACAAACAAACAAAAAAACAAAGAAAAAAACAAATACAATCTGTTCAGCAGAGTAATTGTACATAACACAAAAGAACTTCTGGGAAAAACACGGAACGCATATTGAAGTCAGAGGCTTAGTCATGTGAAAATAAAAGGTCTTGTTGGGTGCCTAAGTCTTGTCTTTGCTAACAGCTGTTTTCATGCAATACCAGTAAACCCAGCCAAAGGCATTCTAGTGAGCAACACAGGAAGACTCCTATACACTTCAATTTTCCAGCAATCCATAAAATTGAAACATAAAAATAGGATTCTATTTCCCTTGTTCATTCTATATCTTACCAGTACTTATATTTGCATATGTGTAGAAACTCAAGGTTTACAAAGCATATCCACGGTCTTTATTGTATTTCATGCTCCACAAAATGTTGCAAGGGACTCAGACAAAGTCCTGTTTGTACTATGTTACAGGTGAGAATGCTGACATGTAGAGGGGCAAGTACTTACCTGATCACGTTGTCTTAGTATGATGAAGCCTCACTTAAACCCATGATCTCATGTCTTCTCTTAAACTGATGCACTGAAATACAGTCAGGTAAAATAAAGAGTTAGGGGCACATTTTAAAATACATTTAAGGTGCAGCAAAGATTTAAACCAATCACTTGTAACATCTCTATTTGTCAAACTCATTGGTGATCATTAGCATTTAGAGAGACCCAGGACAATTGCAAGATTCTAAATAATTTTCAAACCATAGTAGAGGATACTTTGTTTACTGTTATTTATGTATTAAATATCTTTTAATATACTATAGCTTTATAAGAACAGATAATCCATTTTTGGAATAAATTTGTGTTTTAATTGGCCAAAGAGTTAAATCCATTTTTTCTAGATCCTCTGGATAATTAGGAATCGGTAGTAAAAAGCAATTGCACTTTTCCAATAAAATAATATGCTCAGTTGTTCAAACCCACATTCTTGATAAAAACAACTAGAAATTCTGCATAAGATAGAAGAAAAAGAAGATTTTGGAGCAACAAAGAGCATACAAGATGGTAAGGAATTACAAGACCAAAATCTAAGTGATGTCTTGATCTCAGAAAAGAAAGCTAAATGTTGAATTCCCTTTGGCCCTTGGAGAATTCATGAAAGCAGTGAATTTGAGCTTCAGTTTTTCAGTTTCTGTGGAGTGATATGGAAGAAGGAAAAAATCTCAAGTCCCCAGCAACACGCATGTGATAATAGAAGACTTTCCCCCTATGAAACAAGACCTCCAAAGAGCTATAATTTCACAATAAGCATAAACCAAAAGTAAACCCACACTACCTCACTCCTGCTTCCATGTGTCAGCAAGGAAGTGTTCGTTGGTGCTGAACAAAGCATGGGGAAAATGCTGCTGTTGCATAAATTACAATCTCAAAAACTCAAGCTATAAATTTAGTTTAAAACAGTTCACAATACCTAATAGAAACAAATGTGCAGTTCCTCCTCATCCTGAAAGAATCTCCACAATAATATTCCAAGGAAAATAATGCACTCACAGCGTATGTATGTATCACCTATATGATGTATATAGCTGATAGATAAGTACATATGTATCATATATATATATACATATAACCGTTACAGAGAACTAGAAGAAATAGTGGAGAAAGAAACAGTTCTACAAAGACCCTAGATTTAAAAATAATCAGAGAAAAATGTTGTAAAACAACTCTTCTCATAACGCCCAAAGTTGGAACATACTTGAAACAATCTCAGCAAAAGAAAGCTGTCAAATATGCAGCCATAAAAAAGGATGAGTTCATGGCCTTTGTAGGGACATAGATGAAGCTGGAAACCATCATTCTCAGCAAACTATCGCAAGGACAGAAAACCAAACACGGCATGTTCTCACTCATAGGTGGGTACTGAACAATGAGAACACTTGGACACAGAAAGGGGAACATCACACACCAGGAGCTGTCGTTGGGTAGGGGGAGGGGAGAGGGATACCATTAGGAGATATACCTAATGTAAATGACAAGTTAATGGGTGCAGCACGACAACATGGCACATGTATACATATGTAACAAATCTGCACGTTGTGCACATGTACCCTAGAACTTAAAGTATAATAATAATAATAATAATAATAACAATAATAATAAAAGAAAACTGTTAAAAATGACCAGCATGGAATCTCTCTTCCCCACTGTCAGACAACATTTCAGTGGTCCCTGTAACTATTGCTCTGGTCCTGAATAAAATCTTTCTCGCCATGCTTGAAAAAAAAAAAAACAGAATTGCAAAATATGTCTCTGACAAAGGACTAAAATCAAGAATCTACAAGGACCTCAAAGAATTCAAGAAGAGAAAAAGAAACAACCCCATTAAAAACTGGGCAAAGGACATGAACAGACATTTTTCAAAAAAAAAAAATGCGAGCAGCCAACAAACACATGAAAAAATGCTCAGAATCACTAATCATTAAAGAAATGCTCATTAAAACCACAATGAGATATCATCTTATATCAGTCAGAATGGCTGTTATTAAAAAGTTGAAAAAAGAAAAAAACAGAGGTTGACTTGGATGCAGAGCAAAGAGAGAACGCTTATACACTATTGGTGGGAATTTAAATTAGTTCAAGCTCTATGGAAAACAGTATGAAGATATCTCAAAGAACTGAAAACAGAACTACCATTTGACCCAGAAATATTCATAACTGGACACCGACCCAAAGGAAAACAAATCATTATAGGACAATACCTTGACAATAGCAAAGTCATGGAACCAACCTAAGTCTAACCTATGGGTCCATCAATAATTGATTGGATAAAGAAAATGTGATATATATACACATCATGTAATACTACACCACCATAAAAAATAATGAAATCATGTCCTTTGAAGCAACATGGATGGAGGTGTAGACCATTATTCTAAGTGAATTAACTCAGAAACAGAAAATAAAATACCGCATATTCTCACCTACAAGGGGAAGCTAAACAATTGGTACACATGGGCATAAAGATGGAAATAATAGACACTGAGGTTTCCCAAAGGGGAGAGGATGTGAGTGTTGAAAAACTACCTATTAGGTACAATATTCATTATTTGGGTAATGGGTGAACTAGAAGCCCAATCCCCACCAGTATGCAATATACCCATTTAACAAACATTCACATGGACCCCTTGAATGTAAAATAAAATAAATATTTTTTAAATGACTGGAATGTTTGAAAAAGGAAACAAAGAACATTTCTAAAATAGAAAGATGCAAAAAATAAATTTTTAAATGCAATGGCTGTTCACTATTTTGTAGTAGCTAAAGTAGGTACTAGTGAATCCAAAGATCAGTCAGAAGAAATTATGTAGAATGCATCACAGCAAAACGAGGCAGTGAGACATTTTACCATATTTTTACTTGGATTCCTAAACAAAGAGGAGAAAGAACATAGAACAGAGAAAACGTTTGTAAGTAATATTTTAAGATAATGACTGATACCCTACATCAAAAGAAAGCCAACGGGAAGTTCCTAAATCTATAGAGGGTACACAAACATAAAACTACACTTGAACATGTCATGGTGAGTTGGATGAACCAAAAACAATAGTAAAACCAAAGAACAACCACACACATGCATAAATCCACAAGGTAGTGAATAAAACAGCTTACTTTCAAGGCGGCAGAATGGCATTGACCACTAACTACTCAACAGAAATGATGAAAGACGGATGCCAGAAGAATGAGATCACCAAAGTGCTAATAAAAAATAATTGCCAACCTAGAATTTCTAGGACCCACTTTTTAAGAGTAGGATGAAATGCAGACATTCTTGGGCAAACAAAAAAAGAGAGTTTATCTGCAGCATATCCTCAGAAAAGGATGTAATTAAATCAGAGAAAAAGATGAGGATCAAGAAGGTAGGAAACATGGAAAAATCATGACAAGTAGTTTTTGCCATTAAGAAAAAGATGAAACTAATTAATTCCACAAAACAAGTCAAGAATAACTCGTGAATTAGAGGGAGCAGAAATGGAGTTGCCATCTTCAAAGGCACTCGTTTTCAGGAGATGTATACAATTTTTGGAAAAACTTGTATTTGAAAAGTTAAGTATGCATTTTGCAATTTTCAGAGAGTGAAAGAATAGCAACAAAATACTTATAAACTAGGAAAGGAAAAATCTTGAATAAGAAAATAATCTATACCAAAAAAGCCACATTTAAGTACTATGTTTATTTTGTTAAATTAATTTAAATTTTAAAAATTTATCTTCACTCTATGCAATAATATTTGTGAAATTTTGACTCTGGTGTGTAAATTAACTTGTTTACTGCATTGAATCCTTTGTCATTTTTGTAATACTTTGATTATCTCCATCTAAATATTCAAACATCACCTCTTAACATAACCAGTGGTACACTTTCCATGATTTAGATATGGTGGTCTGACTAGCGTTGAAACTTGAGAGAAGCTAGCCTCAATAACAGGACCCAGGGATAACCATCTAGTTCTCCAGCGAAGGGCCTTAAGCCCTCTGGGGGTCCACATTGTTGGTTACTCACTAATCAAAGATGTGCCCGGCCCCTAGTTTTCTCCTCCCTGACTCAAGTTCATGTCATTCAACTCTCTGCCTGGTTCACGGACTCATGGTATTCTGCCCTACTCCTGCTGCTTGGCTATCCACCAGTTACCAAAAGCTGAAGTTGATGCAACCACGTGAAATTTCTACAAGACCCTCCCCTCTTTGGGCTCCCATCACATTGTCACTACTGCCAGATGTCATCAGCGTGAGAGAATCAGTGGTGGTCCACAGGAGCATCTTGTTGTCCCTCCCTAAATGATACCAGCACCACTTTCCTCCCAAAATCAATGCTCCCAACCACAATACCCCCCTTGGCTTCACTTGTGTTCCCAGCAAGCCATCAAAACTAGCACCAAGGCTCTCTCTAGGAGGCTATAAATATGTATGTTTTCCTTTTTTCTGTCTTTAAATGGTGAGTTAACACAAACAGACCTACGTACACCAGACCCCAAGGTATCAATCTGGATCCCTTCACAGGATCCTTTGACATTTTCCATTCACAGAACCAAGAAAAAAAAAGCAAACTCTGAAGCCCAGCCCTTCCCTCCTCTATTCCGGAGCAGGCAGCTGATGGGACGCAAATGGGGCTGCTGAGCTTCAGGGTGGAAATGGAAGCCAGTGCCTTGTGCTCCTTGTGATGTGAAACGTGTTGCAGCTGCGCAGAGAAACAAGAGTTTTCACTGGACACAGTGCAAGGAGCAAGCAGGATGCCTTTCATGGACAGAAGCTGCATCTGTCTATACTTCAGCCATTCAATCAACAAACATTTCATGATCATCAGTTACTGCTATGAAAGGTAGATGCTGAGGGTAAAACAAGGAACAAGATGAGAATGCCCCACTCCCATATGGCACATGTAAAAGCATAAAAGTCTATCTGAATCATTTTTGAAACAGAAGGCCCATGACATTGCCTGCTGAGTCCACATTGGCTCTTGTTTGTGGATACCAGCACATATTAAAATTATCTGAAATATTCAGTTGTGAGCCCCCTCCCCTGATATGGTTAGGCTTAGCGTCCCCACCCAGATCTCATCTTGAATTGTAATCCCCATAATCCCCATAATCCCTATTTGTCAAAGGAGAGACCAGGTGGAGGTAATTGAATCATGGGGATGGTTTCCCCCATGCTGTTCTCATGATAGTGAGTGAGTTCTCCCAAGATCGGATGGTTTTATAAGGGGCTTCTTCCCCTTTGCTTAGCACTTCTCCTTTCTGCCACCTTGTGTAGAAGGTGCCTTGCTTCCCCTTCACCTTCCACCATGATTGTAAGTTTCCTGAGGCCTCCCCAGCCATGCTGAACTGTGAGTCAATTAAACCTCTTTCTTTTATAAATTACCCAGTCTCAGGCAGTTCTTTATTACAGTATGAAAATGGACTAATACAGTGAGAAAAAAATAGCTCTGGAGGGCTGGGTTACATTCAGGACATGTACTAAATATTTTAATGCATTTTTTTAGCAAGAACGTAAAATGTCTCCCCCGAGGCTTTAAGCTCTCTTTCTACTTCCCTAAAGGTTTCCCCATCAAAATAGGAAATAAATATTGAAGCTAGAAAAGGCTTGTCCCCTTCAAAGTAAGTAAGGGCACGCTTCATGACAGGCATATCTTTCTTCAGACAGTGGGGGAGGACACTTAATTCTTTCACCTAAGAAAAAAAAAGTTACAAAACAGCAACCTATGGAAACAAAAACATGGAATCAATGCATCTCCTGAAATAACTTCCCTGTAGTCCTGAGGGTGGTGTTTTGTTTGGCTTGTTCTCCTTCCCACCTTTTTATACCCACCAAGGATCCTTCTCCTTCTGTTGTAGCCAGGGCTCCTAGAGAAGGCTGTCAACATTGAAGGGCCCAGATCCCTTCTACCAGTTTTTCTTGTGCTTCCTATGTGCTTGTAACTGTGAATCTCCTGCTTTTCCAACAACTCTTCTGCCTTTTGTATGGGTATACATTAAAGGGGAAAATCAGGGCCTCTTCACACTACTCTGGCAAAATCAACCTGAACTGCTGGATTATAGGTCTTGGCCTCTGGAGCTGCCTGCTTGAGCCCTGGCAGGTCTGGAGGCTTGGGGCTCTTTCATTGACTCAGGAAATATTTCTGCTTCCCACCCAGGACTTCTGTTGTCTCTTCCTCCCTTCTCCTCCCCTGCTCTCAGGACTCTTAGATGTAGCCCAGGTTTGCTTCCACACAGTTGACATTGGCGGTGCACGGTCTTCTCCCCTCTATGCCCTCAGATCTCCACGCCTGTGCCTATGACACGTGACACCTGCACCTGTGTTGCCAAGCCTGGCTCCTCATCCGTGGCCACTCCTGCCCCCACAACCTGCCAGTTCTGCCTCCTTTTTGCCTGCCTCCTGCCTATCTTTACTTCACTGATTTCTTCGGCTGGAAAATATTTCTACAACTTCCCCTCCCACACTCACCTGGGGCTATGACATTGTTGTGCGCACTGGTTGGGCCTCGCCCCTGCCACCTAACAAGTACATCCTACAGGCCCAGGAGGGCATTATCTGTGGTTTTGAATTTCTAGTGTCTCGAACTGTACTGGCCCAGAGAGGACCTCAAATATGGAAAACTGAAGTGATTGCTTTCTGCACGTGTTACCTATGCACCCATGCATAACTCACACAAACTTACTGAATCTTCATTTACTCTTCTGTAAAAGGGGAGTAATCAAAGAAATGCACTTTACTAACAACAAGAGGATGGCATAGTTTATCTTTTAAACTGATAAAGATGTTCTGAAATAAGAATCTATGTTTTCAAGGGTACAGGACTTTGGTAGTTATACCATGACAGTAAAGATGCATATTTTAGGAACTTTGTGGGGGATAATTTGACAATACACCTCTACATGTTTACATTGTACATACCCTTTGACTGACACTCCACTGTTAGAAATTTGTACTAAGGAAATAATCAGACCTACAACATAAGCACTTAGCTATAGGAATACTGGTCAAAGAGTTGTTGATCATACTCAAAAATTAGAAACAATCTAAATATGCAATAAGAAATATTTAAAATAAATTATATTGCATTCATCTGATGTAATATTATACAGACATTTAGAAAGCTCTTGTAGCCAAAGGATAAGTAGGTTACCTTTGGCATATTAAATGAGTAAAACTGATACTAAGTTGATATACCCATTGTGATATAATTTTCTTTGGTTCTTAAATATTTTTATATACCTAAGGAAAAAGATTAAAAGCTTATGAAACCAAAATATTCACAGTTTAGTTATCACAGTCTAGTGTGATTATGAGTAATTTTTATTGTTTTAATTTCATATTTTTCTGTTCAAAGTTCCATTGCTTGTTTAATTAAAAAAAACTTTTAAATAATATTATAAAATGACCATCACAGAAAAAAATATCATTAGGCAATATTGCCATGACTATAGACCTTTCTCCCTACACTGTTATTCTTACAGTTGGATGCTTTGAATCGGGAAGTGATATATCGCCTTGCTTTTCGCTGGAGAAGGAAGCGCCAGCCTTTGTGAGCATGTGTATCACAAGCTAACTAGCACGAAGATTGCATAGCTCTTTCTACATAAGGCTACTGTTCGCAGAAATTTGGTCCATGGTCTCCAGTCTCTTGGGGTCTCACGCTCTGTGAAAATCTTCGTGTTTTTCCCTAGCCCCCAGAGTCACCTTTCACACAGCGTCTGCTTGTAACCGCGGTCCCCACAGGAGTTTGTAGGATTTCTGTGCCAGCGGTGAAGGTGTTCTCACCTCATAGAGCAAGGTAGAAACTACGCAGACAGGCGCTGTTCTTTGGGATGAAAGCAGGGCCTTTGGGGCTCTTTCTTAGTGTCCCCGTTCGGTCGTAGACATAACACGCTTGCTTTGTGTAGGAGATCGGCTCTGCCGGCGCCCAGGGGCCCTAAAGCAATTCATCGAGGCCCGCAGGTCAGAACTGCAGTCTCACCTGTCTTGGCGGAAATGCGCTGCGCTCCTCCCTGTACTACATAAGCACGAGAATTCCACTACAGAAGAAAACCCCAGGCCTAGTGATGGCGGTTCTGGGCATTTTGCCAGCTTCTCCCAGGGTGTGTTTTCTGACCCCACCCACTTCTGATCTGTAATGTCATGGTCAATAGAAACTACTTGGCCCAAACGGAAAAGGCAAGGAGGAACACAGCGGGAAAGCCTATGGCGTTCCCTGGTGGCTACCCCGGGGACTGCACTCATAGATCCGCGTGTTCCGAGAAGCCTCTGCCATCCCGACCCCGGAGCCGTGCAGAAACCCGCGGCTCCAAAGAAAACCGGCTAGAACGCACAGGAAGCCCAGCCAGTGTTCAGGACACTGCGAGTGGAAGCCGTACGTCCCACGGACTGATCTAGTTTGCTGAAGAGGAGCCATTTACTTCTAACCCCAGCAGCGGACATTGCCTTGCTCAAATATAAAATATATGAACCAAGACCGAAAGCAACTCTTATTGCGTTACTGATGAGCAAACGGGTTTTTAGAATGGTTAAGAAATGTCCCTTGTTTTGGGACCGTCATCACTAACGTATGCTTGGGATTCCTGATCGAGGAGTTTCTGAGCAAAGCAGCCCACCAATCCAGTGGCTGAGAACGGCTTGGATATTGGCTTCCAGGCGCATCAGAAATACCGAGGTTCTGACAGAGACGTGAGCTTCTGTCTGCCTTTGGGAAGGCCTTCTTCCAGTCCTGGCGCTGCCGCTTGCCTTCTGTTTGACCTGGGGCCAGGTCCTTCAATTTGCTAGGCTTCAAGTTGGAAAGTGTTACAGGAAAATAATAATACGAAGTACTTCTTAGAGTTATTGCACAGATTACAGAAGATAGTCTAATAGTACAGCTAGCATCCTGTATGGCTTACATTAAGGATTTGCTGATAGGAAACAACATCCCAGATAAAGTTTTTTCCCCTTAATTATGAAATATAACAAAGGAAATTGTGTAGACTTATGCTTCAGGCCTCTGTAACATTTGAATGAATTTTGCACTTGTGAAGGTGACATCATTTTACAAAATCAGTTAATACTAAAGAATGACAAGTGGAATTTACAAAACATATATTCACAAAAAGAACTTGTTCTTAGCAGCTTTGTTTACAATAGTCCCCAAACTGGAAAAGGTTCATATGCATCAAGAGGTGAATGGACCTATTGTGATATATTCATCCAACGGAGTACTACCCTCAATAAGATGGGACAAATTATGGAAACATGAGATAGCATGGGCCAATCTCAAAAACCTCATGCTGAGTGATGAAAAGAGTGCATTCTATGTGGTGCCATCAAGGTGAATTTCTGGAACAGGTGAAACTAACCTGTATAGTGGCAGAAAATACATCATTAATTGCTGGGGTCAGGGAGTCGAGGGGACTGACTGCAAAGGGCACAAGAGGACCTTCTGGAGTAGTAGACATGTCGTCAAACTTGAAATGGATGCATTGTACCATATTCAACCAATGCCTTAATCAATTTGATTGTAAAAAGTAGTAAGAAAACCACTGCAGGCTGGACGCGGTGGCTCATGCCTGTAATCCTAGCACTTTGGGAGGCTGAGGCAGGCGGATGGGAGGCGGAGGTCGCAGTGAGACGAGATCGAGCCACTGCACTTCAGCCTGGGCAACAGAGCCAAAAAAAAACAAAAAAAAACAAAAAAAAACCTCCGTCTCAAAAAAAAATAAAAAAAAAAACACAGCAAATCATAATGCATTCTACTTAATTTAATGTATGTTTAGCTTTAGAGGATTCCTTTAGAAAAGCATCTCTCTAAATGTGATTGAGAGTTCAGGAATTCCTTCATTTCTGTTTCTGTCTCTTTGTCTTCAGTTAAATTCATGCACTATTAAATGGAATATTTGTAAAATAAAAATAGAGTCTAAGTTCAATTTTACAAAAGCATATATATCTATGTGTGTATATATAATATATAGCTCCCATATATATGTGTGTGTATATATAGAGAGAGCTTTATTTATTGCGGGGGGGACAGTCTAGCTAAAATATACATTCTTCTCTCTGTAGATATACCAGAAGAACATGACTCGATCAGAGTTGCCCTAATGTTAACAAAAGTTATTTTGAACTTAAGGTGATCAGAAATTTTACCTATCTGTACTTTTTCTGTATTGGTGGTATGGTCTATGCTAAGCGTGTATAATTTAAAAAAAAGAGAGTAACTTCAAAATGATTTGGAAGAAAAAATATGTACATATGTGAATAGTACTTAATTCCAGGTGATGGGAATATGGATGACTGGTTATCTTCTTCTTTCTGTATCTTTTATATTTTTAAATGGAAAAACTCAACGACCTGGAAGTGAAAGAACAGATTTGGAAGAGGTGTGGGGCAGGTGAGAGGAAAATGCAGAGTGAAACTCTGTCTCAAAAAAAAAAAAAGTTACTTGTAATAAAACTCACCAATTTTAAATCTACGATGTAACCATTTAAGGAGGTTTGTAGAATTGTGCAGTCATCAGCAGAGTCACGTTTTAGAATATTTTTGTCATTTCCCCAAATACCCTAAAGCCTCTGCACAGTCATTTCCTAATCTCTGGTGCCCATGACTGGGCCCCAACAAAATAAAAATTTGGAAATCCGACATCATTAAATTTCAAATTTTCTTAGATTGGGATTTTCTGTAGTGAATCATTGTCTTACTTTTGTGACATTTGAGGAAATGTTGCATTTTAGGGACTTTTTTGATGAACTTAATAATAGTCCTGTTCATTGCTCTTCGTGAATTGTTTCATTTTTACCGATAACTGATAGTTGCTACCAAACCTGGTCTGGCAAGCCTAAATGAATGAGCTAAAAAAGAAAAAAATCTGCTATAAGAAATAGAGATAGATGATGAATTTGCACATAAGATTATGTGGAGTTAGTATTGTACCATCTTTATTCTTTCAGAAATTTGGTTGGTAACATTACAGATACTCCTCACATGCTTGGAATGCCTCTCATTATCTTCTTCAGGTTGCAAGGGCTCCAGAATAGTGACATAAAGGTGAACGTGAGTGCAAGATTTTTGCTGTAGTTCTTTGCTTTTTAATTTTTTTCTCTTAGAGGGATTAGCATCCATGTATCTGAAATAATAAATCAAGAGTAGAGATAGGCATCTGTACCAGTTTTCTATTGCTGCCTATTAACACATGCAACAAACTAGTGGATTGAAACCACAGAAGTCTGGAGCAGAGGCTGGGTTCTCTGATAAGGGTTTTAGGAAGCTGAATCCAGGTGTGTCTGGCTATGTAGTTATGTGGAGCTCAGGCTACTTCTCCAAGTTCACTTCAGGTGTAGGAGGAATTCATTTTGTGGGAGTTGAAAGACTGGGTTTTCTTTTTCTGTGCTGGCTGTCCCAATAACAGCTCATGGAGTCCTTCTCAAGCTCCCATTCTTCCTGACGTTACCTTCTTCTGACAGCTAGAGAAACCACTGGCATGTATGCAGTGATGTGATTAGATCCAGTTTACACAGGTAACCTCACCATCTTAAAGTCATATAACTGGCTTATAACAACATAATCACCAGAATGATGTCTCAGCACCTTAACAGGCTTTAGAGACAAGGGTGTGGCATGTTTGGGGACCATTTCAGAAATTCCGTCTACCGCAGTTGGACACTCACATTCCCCCATCTGCAAAATACATTCACCCTCTCCCCTAAGGTTTCCAAATTTCATGTCATTAAAGCGTTAGTTCAAAGTGAAAAATGGTATGTAGACCACACCAGATCAAAAATTTAAAATCTTATCTTAATCATCCACACCAAGTATGAATGAGGCTTCTGAGGGTGTCCTTGACATAATTCCCTTCCCTCTATCAACCTGTGAAACTGAACAAACAGCTTATCTGCCCTCAGTGTGCAATGGTGGGACAGACATAGGAAAACGATTCTTTTTTTTTTTAATTTTTTTATTATACTTTAAGTTTTAGGGTACATGTGCACAATGTGCAGGTTAGCTACATATGTATACATGTGCCATGCTGGTGTGCTGCACCCATTAACTCATCATTTAGCATTAGGTATATCTCCTAATGCTATCCCTCCCCCCTCCTAGAAAAACAATTCTAGTGATTCTTGTTCACAAACGGGGAAAGTGGAAGTAACAAAGAAGTCACTGATCCAAAACCTTTTTGAAATGGGGCTGAGCAAAGTCCAGCAGGAATTGCGTGGTTAGGATCCACAACCTGGAACTAATCTTCTGTGACATGGGGCTTTGCCTCTGGAGTCTGCATTTCTTTCTACCTTTATGGCAATCATTTTATTTTCCTTCCTCTCCTACTCCCTTGGTTCTTCCCCTTTCTCCTTATGGCAGCATCCTCCCCTTAATCCTTTGCACATCATCCCCAGCAGAATTGGTCAAATGTTGCCCAGGTCACGGTCCTGACCATCTCCATGTGGGGCTGTCCTTGTGACCCCCTGCTCCCCTGGGACCCTCTTCACTGACCTGACCTCTCTGTCATGATTGCTTTCAGCTGAGCTGGCTGGTTTAGGAGAAAACCTAGAATTGTGGAGACCCAGAGCCAATCTCTGCCCTCTCTTATCTCCAAGAGAGGAAGAAAATAATAGGTATCACCATGGAGAAATGACCCACATGAGGGCTGAGACTCTCCAGCAGTTAGAGCAGAGGAAACTCCCTGAAGAAGGGAGGAGCTGAGATCCCAGGCTGGGAGAGCAGGCTTGTGTTAAACATTACTTAATCTTTATGTGCTCCCTGCCTGAATCTACCAGCCAGCGAATGACAACTGACTGAGTATAAATACTAGGACTACAGAACCGTGATAAAAGGTTTGTCCAAGGAAAAGCCCTTTTACTTTATTTGTTTTCACAGTGGAAATTGCTGTTTTTGATCCAAAGTTTTCTGAAACGCAGCAGTGAGTTCCTGGTGGGTGAGTTAGGTGCTTTGGACCTGGAGGCTGAGGCCAAGGCTTGTGTGGTCGATCTGCTGCCACCATGTGGTGAGGGAGCCTGGGAGAGTCTTAGTCTTTCTTGGCTTCACTTTCCTCCTCAGTGAGGTAGGGGCTTATTGTTCCTCTCTGAGGTCGCTTCCTACTGTGTTTTCTCTGAGTCTCTGAGGAACTGAGATGGTTTTTATTTATTTATTTTTTTCCTTCCCTTTCCCTCCTTCTTTCGTGTGCCCAGCTGCCAATCAAGCCACCCACCTTTCAATTTGCTGGGGAAGGGGGCGGTACCCAACCCCCTCTATTACTAGGGGGTTGTTATGGTAACTCCCCACGCGAGGGCTGGGTGGCCTCTAGATAGGACGGGCTCTCCACCCACCCAATTGCTATGGCAACAGTGGAGCCGCTGAGGGAGGGGCCACTCCGTGAGAACTTGGCTGGAGAAACCACGTGGGAGTTGGGGGGCAGAGGAGGGGCACCGGCTGCCTCAGGAATGCCCTTTCCACCCTCACCTAGCAGGTTGGGGAAGCATCGAGGTGCTCTCAGATCTCAGGATAAGGAATCCTACCGCAGACGTGTATCTCTGCACCTCTTTTAACGAAGAGTTCTGAACAAAGGAACTGTTTCCACAATTATTCATTGATCACTGGAGTCGCGCGTGGAGGAAGGGGTGGCGAAGGGGAAGAGAGGGAATCTGCGTTCAGTCCCTTAAAATATTGCTTGGGTCGCCTTAGATCTAGTCATGTTGGCATAGCGCCTACAGCCATTAGCCTCAGTGGAGGCTGGGTAATGCTATCTAAGAACCACGAGTCATGTTCTACCACTGAAATGCTGTGTGACCTTGAGCAAGTTGCTTTGCTTCTCTGAGGTTTTCTTTCACTGTGAAATTGAGGGGGGAGGCTGTATGATCCTCAAGAGCTCTTCTAGCACCAACACTGCCTCTGAAAGACTCCACCACCAGCCTTAATATAAACATCATTTAAGAGAGTTTAATTTAGAAGTCCTTGAAAAATAGCTGAACACATTCCTTTCTGGACCCTTTTTAGCATTTGGGTGCACAGCCAGTCGGCCCCCTTCCCTAACCCCTAGCCCATTTTCCTTGCCACTGCCCTTATTCAAGCCGCTATCCCCATTCATCTCCTATTTGGCCTTCCGGCCTGACTCCTTCAAGTCAATTCTTTTTTTTTTTTTTTTTTTTTTTTGAGACAGAGTCTCACTCCAAGGCCCAGGCTGGAGTGCAGTGGCGCGATCTTAGCTCACTGCAAGCTCCGCTTTCCGGGTTCACGCCATTCTCCTGCCTCAGCCTCCCGAGCAGCTGGGACTACAGGCGCCCGCCACCTCGCCCGGCTAATTTTTTGTATTTTTTAGTGGAGACGGGGTTTCACCATGTTAGCCAGGATGGTCTCGATCTCATGACCTCGTGATCCGCCCGCCTCGGCCTCCCAAAGTGCTGGGATTACAGGCGTCAGCCACTGTGCCCAGCCTCTATTTTTTTTTTTAAAGACAAAGTCTCGCTCTGTCACCCAGGCTGGAGTACAATGGTATGATCTCTGCTCACTGCAACCTCAAGCTTCCCGGCCCAAGCTATCCTCCAGCCTCAGCCTCCCAAGTAGCCAGGACCACAGGCAGTGCATGCCACCACGCCTGGCTGATTCTTATATGTTTTGTAGAGATGGGGCTTTGCCATGTCGCCCAATCTGGTCTCAAACCCCTGGCCCCAAGTGATCTGCCCGCCTCGGCCTCCCAAAATGGGGAGATTACAGGATCCCTTGAGGACAGGAGTTGGAGGCCAGCCTGGCCAACATGGTGGGGTTTTTTTTTTTTTTTTTTTTTTTGAGACAGTTTTAGTTTAGTTTAGTTTTTTTGTGAATTTGTGAATTTGTTTTTATTGGGGAACAGGACACAGGGTAGAAAATGTCACCTTGGTGGAGACAGAGTTTTGTTCTCGTTGCCCAGGCTGGAGTGCAGTGACACAATCCCGGCCCACCGCAACCTCCGCCTCCCGGGTTCAAGCAACTCTCCTATCTCAGCCTCCCGAGTAGCTGGGACTACAGGCGCACGCCACCACGCCCAGCCAATCCTTTGCATTTTCAGTTGAGATGGGGTCTCACCATGTTGGCCAGGCTGGTCTCGAACTCCCCATCTCAGGCGATCCACCTGCATCGGCCTCCCAAAGTGCAGGGATCACAGGCGTGAACCACCACAACCGGCCAAGCCTGGCAGACATGGTGAAACTCTGCTGAGATGGTTTTTAATGCCACCCAGGACCTGCAGCTGAGACCTGACTCTGTGTGTCTCCTGCAGGAGCCTGAGCTGAGTCCACACACTGGAAGCCCAGAACTGAGGGAACAGATGAAAGAAAGAAAGTCAGCAGGTTTAGGGGATGAGAACAACTCACAAAGGACAAGCCATTGGTAAATGAAAACCAAAGAAGGGGGGAATAAGGACAAGTTGGGACAGAAGCCTCAGGGGAAATGGGCAATGCCTGTCATCATCCAAACTCTCAAGGAGCAGCGCGAGCTGAGCAGTGGGGACTGAGAGAGAAATTTACTCCACAGGAGTCTCCTGCCCCTGGCCAGGGAGAGCCACAGGCTGGATGACATCTGGTTTATAGTGAGGGGCAGCAGCAACTCCAAGAGGGGGAAGATGTGACCATGAGCCCCGCCCCAGACCCAGGAGGCTTGACCTTGGGGCTGCCGTAGCAGTGGATGCTCTTCAGGTCAGTGTGGGTTAGAGGGAATAACCATGCTGGGAGAAGGGTTGGAGACATCCATTCTTATGTTAAAAAGCTCTGCCCTAGGTCAGGTGCTAGAGTAAGTGTCCCTTGCTAGTATACAAAGCAGTGATACTTATAATATTCTTCTGTACTTACAGTTGAAGGAGGTTTCCAAATGATATCTCATAAATATTTATTGGTGTTTAATTTTCTTTACGCTGTGTTAAACACTTGGGATTCAGATATTAATGTCTCCCCAAAGGAACTCAAGCCCATGAGAGAAAGAACAGAAATATAGCTTTTTAAGAAAATATGAAAGTTCCCCCACATTGGGGTGCTGTGGCAACCCATAGAGTGGGAGTTTAGGTGAAGACATTGCTCCTAATGACAGGGGGAACCATAAGAGGACTTCTTCAGAACAGACTCATTTTCCTCCAATGTCCCACAGAGAGGGATCCTGGGGCATGAATGGTGTAAGGCAAGGGCCAGTCTAAGGAAAGGGATTTGCTGCATCCTGGGAGAAATCTCAGCATCCCTGACAGGACATTTGGGACAGGAATGCAGGTGAGAGGAGGTTTGCAATCGCTTTTATTCAATAATTGATGAACACTCTCCTGAGAACTCCCTCAGTGCTAGACCCTGAGCTGGGAACCATGAACACAGAGATTAGCAAGATATGATCTCAGCTTTGACAGAACTCTCAGTCTAGTGACCAGCGATTCCTGAGAAGTATGGTGATGGTGGGTTCACTGGAACCAGTGGCCCATGCTGCATGGAGATGACCTCAGTGGATGGCCTGGTCTCTCTTCTGTTTTTTTCAAATAGCTGAATGACCTATCCTGGGCCCGTGACCCTGGACTTCAGCCAGATCAGCATCTCAAGGTACAACCAACATCTTGGCTCCATGATGGGTCAAAACAGTTAACACACCCAAGGTATTCAAGGTATCAGTAGCTACTGACTATGTCCTGGCCAGCTGTGAAAAGAAAGGGGTGAATTTAACAAGTATTCTAAAATTGTCCTTGACATAGTAATCACAGATTATCTATCTTCTGTCTGGTAATATATATATATATATGTTTTTGTTTTTGTTGTTGTTGTTTTGTTTTTTTGTGACGGAGTTTCGCTCTTTTTACCCAGGCTGGAGTTCAATGGCATGATCTCGGCTCACTGCAACCTCTGCCTCCGGGTTCAAGTGATTCTCCTGCCTCAGCCTCCTGAGTAGCTGGGATTACAGGTGTGTGCCACCACGCCCGGCTAATTTCCTATATTTTTAGTAGAGACGGGTTTTCACCACGTCGGCCAGGCTGGTTTCGAACTCCTGACTTCAGGTGATCCACCCACCTCGGCCTCCCAAAGTGCTGGGATTACAGGCGTGAGCCACCACTCCCAGCCTCTGTCTGGTAATTTAAATGCTTTGGAGACTCCAAGATTCACCCATGTCCAAAATAAATTCTATATCAGTCATAGTACTAGCATTTAGAAGTTGTGTGTTTTATCCTCTAATTATAGATGAAATACCTAAGGTGGAAAGGAGTAAAGCAGCTTCCATGAATGTAGTGAGAATGTAGGGGGGTTAGGGACTAAAGTCCTGCCTTAGGATTCCCCAGCAGTTGCCAGTCACAATTTTTGTACTCTTAGAAACAACAACAACAACAACAAAATGACAACCTGTTTTGTTCCTCGCTTACCCTATCCAATTCTCTACACCATAACATCTCTGCTTATCAAGACAACTTGGATTCTCAATTTGTTGAGCTCAACAAATGCATCTCTTGAGCCCCTGTGGGTAAAGCATTATGCTAGTTACGGCGGGTGATACAGAGGAAGCACAGAAGAGACCTTAGTGACAAGAGCTTAAGATTTCTGCTCTCAGCTCAGCCTGAGTTGCCTGCAGGTGAGAAAATCAGTAGCCGACACCCACAGGTGCATTCTGGTGAAAGGGTCGATGATAATGAATAGTGGTTCTGACAGGGCTGGGCTCTTAACCTCCCAAAGATGCTGGTCAAACAGGATCTGGAGGATCTCTGCACATAGTGTCTGACTACTGACTGTCATAAGTGAATGTCGCCAAGTCTTGGCCTGGATCCCCTCCCTTTGTTTCATTTCACAGATTACATGTTGACAGCAGGAAAATCAACAGAAAGACCATGAGGCTAGACTCCAAAAGACTTAGTAATGCTGCTGGGTGGGCCATGAATTTTTAAAAACACATGAAGGGCCTTCTCAGAAGTGAAGTTTTAGGAAATATAAAATGCATAGCTGGGATACATTATAGTGTACTGATAGAACAAATATTGGATATAGCAGCATCTAATAACTTCTGGAGGAAAAAATATTTTTCACATTACTCCAATTATGGCCTTATATGACAAAAAAGAAAAAAAAATCCCTAAGAGAACCACTAACATCCACTGGTTTTGTAGAAACAGGATACCCTTAGTGCACTTAAAGTTGGAAAAATGGCTCTGCCTTTAGGGCCATGCAATGAAACAGACTGTGTGGTAGTTGACACAGGAAGAGCAGAGCAGAGTTTATAACAATGGCCACAAGACAGTTAAGAAAATGCTTTGGGGCTTTTAAGCAGCAGATAAGGTGACTCAGAGGAATGTTAGACAATCGCAGAAAAGCAACTTCAGCAAAGTTTTTGATTCAGTGGGCACTGCATACTTAGTCCATGCTCTGCATCTGTTCTTTCACAGTCTGTCCCTTCATCGACTTGGGCCTACAATGACTTTTCTGGGAGGGGACAGGGATCAACACAACAGCATGCACACACCTGAAATAAAGAATGAATTTCTGATTTTCAGATTTTAGTCTCTGACATAACCAAAGAAGTGACTACCATAGATGTTAACTTTTTTTTTTATTATTATACTTTAAGTTTTAGGGTACATGTGCACAACGTGCAGGTTTGTTACATATGTATACCTGTGCCATGTTGGTGTGCTGCACCCATTAACTCATCATTTAACATTAGGTATATTTCCTAATGCTATCCCTCCCCCACCCCCCCAGATGTTAACTATTAATAACATAAATGATGCTCACAAATATGCAGATCTTATAATAACGAGGTAAAATAGCTTAAAAAATAGATGGTAGAACTGTAGTCCAGGGACACTAATAGAAGTGACCCATAACATTACATCATCTCCACTTCCAACAAAAATCAGGCAAAAGAAGGAAGGAGACTGGCAACCCAATGCACAGAACTATATATAACAGGCATACTAGTTATTGGTTGGTTATAAACCAGTGGGAATAAATCTTTTTTATATACTGACTCTTGGTTTATGTCACTGAGGCACAGCATGGAACAATAGAAAACCGGACTGTAAGATAAATTCATTTGAGTAACTGGACTTTTGTAAACCATTAGACAGACATTTGAGAAACCAAATTTAAAGCTGTTTGTGAGCCATGTTAGCCTATCAAGGTTGAAATTCAGGAGAGATACATAACGAAAAATAAATGCTTTTTTTTTTGTGACACTGTGATCTGATGCATTGGGAATGTGATCTTGTGAATCACTCAGGTGAGCAAGCCTGACATGAGTGGGCATAAAGGTCAGTAACTGAAGAGGTACCAAAATGTGCTACATGTGTCAATTGTGACCTAAAGAACTGAAGGCATTCACCCTCCCTTGAAGTAATGAAGCTGACACAGCAGGGGGCTGCAAATTCCACTGCAGATCAGGGTCTTGAAGCTGACATACTGAAGAGTGGACTCCCACTTGAGATACAGAGTAGGAACTACTGTTTCCTACGGCTACTGAATATCCCACAAACTAACCTCCTCAGCATGCCATTATTAATTATTTTAAAGCTCTTAAAGGTCTCATTTTATAATAGATCACATCAGAAGGAAGACTAATAAGGATCAGGTACAAACTCATACTTGCTGGACATATCATTGCATATCATCCCAAAGTTTTTGGCACTACATAATGTTGGAATAGATTCTTGAATATTAAATTTTAAACTAAGGGACAACATTGGCTTCTAAATTTTACAACTATAGTATTGCAGCTAAACACAAGTGCAGATGGGCAGCCTTATAACTGCATGAGTAATCTTAAGGAAAACTTATTGGTGAACATACAGAACATTTCACATGCATTTGTCTACAAAGGACAAACTCTTCCCAACCTCAGAACTTGATATGCGTTAGGACATTCCTCTCCCTTGGGCTGGTGATAAAGCTCCAATTGAAATGAGAAAGATTCTTCATGCCTGGTAAATACGCAAGTTTCCAAAGATATTGCCACTGGCCAATCAAACCTGAATCCAAAAAGCATTTGTTTCTAGCAGGATATAAGATCAATATGCAAAAATAAATTGTGTTTATGCAATTGCACGGCAGAATTTAAATGTAAAAGGAATACCATTTACAATAATGTCAAGTGTATAAAATCCATAAATGTGAATATGACTGAAAATTAGAGCATATTTCACGGAGAACATAGTGCAGGTCTAATAACTGGAAAGATATTGTTTGTTCATGTGTAAGAATATTGTTGAGATGTTCATTTCCCCTAATTTGATCTATGAATTCAATGCAATCCGACTCAAAATTTCAGCATGCATCGTTGGTAGAAAATGGCAGCTGATTCTAAAATTAACATGAACTAGCATAACCAAAATGCCTGTATAACGAAGTGCAAAATTGGAGGGCTAGCTCCACCTGATTTAAAGAACAATCACAGAGTTGTAATGGCCACAACAGAGCTTTGGTATGTGATCAATTAAATGGATCAAAAGAAAATAGAGTCCAAATATAAATGAACACATATATTGAGAACAGATTTTTGACAATCTTGAAAAAGCAATGTATTTAAAAATGCATAATATTTCAACAAACGATTGAAGATTTTCTTTTTAAGCAATGGATGTGACATATTTGTAACCATATAAAAATAAACAAGTAGAAAAAACTGAATTCATGTGTCATATCATATATTAAAATTAGTGGTTACAAGAGGCTGGGAAGGAGATAGGGGAGAAGGAAGAAAAGATATTGGTTAATGCATATAAAATATAGTTAAATAGAAGGAATAAGTTCTAGTATTTGATAGTATATTAGGGAGACTATAACTCAAAATAACTTCTTGTATATTTTAAAATAACTAGAAGAGAGGAATTGGGATATTCCTAACATAAAGAAAAGATAAAGTTTTGAGGTGACAGATATACTACTTACACTGATTCAATCATTATAAATTGTATATGTTTATCAAAATATCATGTGTATCCCCAAAATGTGTGCCACAATTATACATCAATTAAAATAATGAAGAGTACATCTTAGACAAATTAACAATGATTCCAATCCCATCGAGTATCTTTTCTGACCACAATGGTATGAAACTAAAAATTAACTACATAAGGAAAACTGGAAAATTAAAAAATACATGGAAATTAAACAACTTGCCTTTGAACAACTGATTGATCAAAGAACAAATCAAAAGGGAAATTTGAAAATATATTGAGGCCAACAAAAGTGAAAACAAACATAACAAAATCTTTGGAAACAGGAAAAACAGCTCTTAAGAGTCAAGTTTATAACCATAAATGCATACATTAAAAAAGAAGAAAGACTTCAAATAAACATTACACCTCAAGAAACCAGGAAAAAAACAACAAAATAAATCCAAAGTTCACTGAAAAAAGGAAACAAAAATCAATGCAGAAGTAAATCAACTGAAGAACAGAAATACTACAGAAAAATAATAAAAGTGAGTTGTTGGTTTTTTGTTTTGTTTTGTTTTGTTTTTTTTCCTTTTCCTTTCTCTTTCTTTTTCTCTTTTTAGGAGAGACAACGTCTTACTATTCTTTCCAGGCTGATTGGGAACTACTGGCCTCCAGTGGTGATGCAACGTAGGCCTCTCGCACCCGAGTTGTTTTTCTGGAAAAAGTAAAATTAACAAACACTTGGCTAAACTAACTAAGAAAAAAATAGAGAAGACTCAAATAAATAACATGCGAAATGAAAGTGGAGGCATTACAACAGAAGCCTCACAAGTAAAAAGGATCATAAGAAACTATTATTAGGCCGGGCGCGGTGGCTCCTACGCCTGCAATCCCAGCACTTTGGGAGGCCGAGGCGGGCGGATCACGAGGTCACGAGATCGAGACCATCCTGGCTAACACGGTGAAACCCCGTCTCTACTAAAAATACAAAAAAATTAGCCGGGCGTGGTGGCGGGTGCCTGCTACCCAGCTAGCTACCCAGTAGCGTGTAGTCCCAGCTACTCGGGAGGCTGAGGCAGGAGAATGACAGGAACCCGGGAGGCGGAGCTTGCAGTGAGCCGAGATCCTGCCACTGCACTCCAGCCTGGGCGACAGAGCGAGACTCCGTCTCAAAAAAAAAAAAAAAAAGAAAAAAGAAACTGTTATTAACAGCTCTATACCAACAAATTGGATAACCTAGAGTAAATGGATAAATTCTTAGAAACACACAACCTACCAGGATTGAATCAAGAAGAAACCGAAAGCCTGAACGACCAATAACAAATAAAAGGACTGAAGAACCTCCCAACAAAGAGAAGCTCAGGACCAAATGGCCTCACAGCTCAACTCTTCCAAACATTCAAAAAAGAACCGGGCGCGGTGGCTCACGCTTGTAATCCCAGCACTTCGGGAGTCCAAGGTGGGCAGATTACCTGAGGTCAGGAGTTGGAGACCACCCTGATCAACATAGTAAAACCCTGTCTCTACTAAAAAAATACAAAAATTAACCGGGGGTGGCGGTGCGTCCGTGTAATCCCAGCTACTTTGGACGCTGAGGCAGGAGAATCGCCTTGCAGTGAGCCGAGATGGCGCCACTGCACTCCAGCCTGGGAGACGGAGCGAGAGTCTGTCTGGGGAAAAAAAAAAAAAAAGAAAGAAAAAAAAGAAAACGAAAACCACTGCAAATCATAATGCATTTTGTCCACTTTCTGAGAATGTGATTTCCTCTTCCTGTGGAAACAGCAATAATTTTTATGAGGGGGTGCTGCCCGGACCCCACTGGAGGAGTGGGTAAGATGAGGATTGTGCTCGGTGTTGCCTCCCTACAGAACCACACATACTGATCTGTAATACCTGTGGCCCCTAAGTGTCCGTGAAGGGACTGGTCCCTTTACAACATTGCGTATGGCTGCGGAAACCCACTATGTGGCAACAAGATGTATATGTGTGGGTTGGTGGTAAAACCATTATAGGCAACGGAAATTCAAAATGTTCCAGAACTCTTAAAAGTTCGCCTCATGTAGTATTTGGTTTCTTGCAGGGGGCCCCAAGCCCCCGGGGCTGTGGTCAGCTACCTGTCCTGGGCCTGTTAGGCACCAGGCCGCACAGCAGGATATGAGTGGCCCGCAAGCGAGCATTCCAGCCTGAGCCCCGCCTCCTGTCAGATCAGCGGTGGCATTAGATTCTCATAGAAGCACAAACCCTATTGTGAACTGTGCATGAACGGGATCTAGGTTGCGCGCTCCTTACGAGAATCTAATTAATGCCTGATGATCTGAGGTGGAACAGTTTCATTCCGAAATGATCCTTCCCTCTTTTCACGTCCCCCACCCCTGGTCCAAGGAAAAATTGTCTTCCACGAAACCAGTCCCCGAGGCAAAAAAGTTTGGAGACTGCTGGTCTACAGTGTCCCAAAACCCTTTTCTATGGTTCCTTCCCAAAGCCTGGAGGCTCTAAGTCCTCCCCTGTTCTTATACTCCTGTGTGTTGAGAAAAATAGCATTTCCTATGCTCTGAAGGTTCTCCAGAGCATTCTTTCTAGGCTGCAGGATGGAGATTAATAATAACAGAATATTTGGCATGGCCTTGTTAGCCAATCCAAAGCCCTCTGGGCTGAAGTGGGGGTTTTTCACTTCAGGGTCATCCAGCCTGGGTACCTTCCATCTCAGCATCCCCAGGCACAGACAGGAAGGTGACATCACCCCATTTACATGATGTCTGTCTTTGTGGCCTGGGCCACTGGGTGGCTTACCTCAGAGGCGGAGATGTCAGAGATGGGTGTTCTGGGCATGATTAACAAAGGGAAAGCTGAGAGCGTTCCTACTGAAGCCCCTTCTCCTTTCAGCTCCCACCCAGGTGGCCTGTCCTCACGGGCCTTGGAGTGGAGACTTGAGCCACCACCTGTCAGAGGTGGAGACTTCACAGGCACAGCTGGAGCCAAGAATCCTGGTGCCCAATTGTCTGTGACTGCAACTGGATCAAGGGTTTGACTGTGGCTATGGCTTAGCCAGGCGGGATGTTTCCTCCACCACCTGCAGCTTCACAACCAACGGTGATCCTGGGAACCAATGGCCCTTCCAAGGTAGGGAAGGAAAGGGGACCAGGAAGCTCTCATCCGGGTGTCCTGGTCATGGTGCTGTGAGGGGAGGAGGCAATGGGGTCTCTTCGTGCTCCCTCAGAGTCAAGCAGAAATCTACAATGTTCCAACCCAGTGAGGTGAGCAAGAGCCTGGGGTTTAGGATCAAATCTGCTCTCAGGTCCTGGGCTTAACCCTTACTCATTCATCTCGGCCAAGTTATTTATGGTGTTGGCATTTACATCTCAGTCCTGTCATCTGAGAGACCTGAAAAATAATATCTACATTCCATCATTGTCGATAACATTAATTATGATAATTTCCAAAGGGCTAATTCAGTAAAAATTGCTTAATAAATCTATGAATAGATGTTATCTAATTCTGTTATCTTTCTGGTAAGTTAGCACTCAGGAAATGACTTCACGTGCATTGTTTCAACTGAGGAAGAGTAACTGTTAGGATCTCTACTTTCTAGAGACTCCCTTCCTGTGTTTACTTAGAAAGTATCTTTTGCCAGTTTTCTTTCTCTTCCTCAGCATCCCTTTTTAAGTCAATTTCCCCCGGTCATGCACTTCAGTAACAACCTATTAGGCACATTAGTAAAAGTGCAAATCCTGGGCCCACAAGTCAGTCTCCTGACATACCCAGCTTCTTGCTCTGTTTTCTCCCCTCGTTTTGAAATAAAAGAATGAAAGGGCAACCTTCTCATGGAAAGGGTATAAATCTGTCTCTTTTATGAAACTCCATTTAGTTCATCATCTCCATTCATGCCCACGGCCATGTCCTCAGTTTTCTTCTCACAGGGATCCACTTCTGCCCAGATTTCCTTAAAACCCTGGGTTGTGTTCATCCTTACTCTCCGTCCCACTCAATATCTACTCCTGGAGCCCCTGGGGCTGCCTGGTGCTCATCTGTCAATCGATGCCCCCAGCCGAGGAATAAGGAGACCCACGTCCTCAGGAGGAGGGAGGGTCACGTGAGATAACGAGCACCATCTGGGTCCATGGAGAGGACACATGGAAAACGCTCAGTGAGTGTCGGGGGATGCGTAGTCCCTGACACGTGCCCTGATAACTTTGAGTATTTAAACTGATTTCTTCCCACTGGTGTCTCTTTTGCTTCTCCATGGATTCCTGCACCCCTAGTCAGGACTCACCCCGCTGGCTCCAACACTCTTACCTGCTGGCTTTCCCAGGAGTCCGGATCACTAACCAGGTTCCAGGCAAGAGGACAGAGTGAATGCCTTTTGTTTCATTGTCCTTTATCTGGTGACTTCTCCTTGCTGTCTAATAGGGCATTTGTTTCTCACCATGTCTTCTCTCTCTCGTTCATCTTATTTTTCTAAAATTTTTTCCAGTTTCAGTGGACCAGATTATAATGTTAGTGATTATAACGCTAATTCAACATCTTCCACATCCTTATGTAACAATTTCTTCCAATAGATTTATATATATAAATATATGCATTTATGTCATTGGATATATATATTATGCATATTTGGCATGTATTTTTAATAAAATGTAGATATATGCTATATACATATCTGCATGCTCATTTCATCAATATCTCATGTTTAGTCTATCCAATTCTTTTCTCTCATATGTTCATTTAATGTTGAGTTTTAGAATCTCCTCCCTCCCAAAACACCGCCTGTATCCAGTCTGACTTCCTTGCCTTTGCCTTATCTACCTGGAAACTATTTGTGTTTATTGATCCTAAATTTTTTGAATATGTTTGTCAGTTGGGATCACCTTTTCCTCCTGGCAATCTTGTCATTACTGGGTGATGCATGAAAAATCAACAATACAGAAAATACCAAAATGTCTTTCCTGGCTTCCCTTTACCCGTTGGACTTTCTTATTCAAGGCCACTTTCCTTCTCTGATGATCCTCTTGGGTGGAAGAGAAAGTCACAGTAAGATCATGGATGACAGTGAACACTGTTGGGTGTGGTTTCATTTTCAGAGCTGGGTTGAGAGCCTTCCCTTGAATGAAGAACCCTCCCCAGCTGGAAGGTGATGCTATTGAAGGCTCAGCTGACAACATACATGGGCATCAAGTCATTGGCCACATTCATGCCTCAAGTGTCCTAAAACCGAAGATGATCAAAAGAAAACTGCTGTTCAGCAAGTGGAGACTGGCATGCAGATTCCCTGGCCTGCAAGCTTAGAGCAGGAAGGTAATCACATCTATGGCTCTTAGCTGCACTCACTCCTTATTCCTCTCTGTCTATGATGACAGCTCCTTCTCCCACTGCTTTTTTCTTCTGTATTTGTTCTCTCCAGCAGCTGCTGTCACCTCTGTCTGGTATTACCTCTGTGTCCCATGGGCTGCCATGGTGCCAGGTCCTTCTGATCCCCATCCCCTGTTTGCTCTCTGAACTCTGCTCTGTTCCCACTGCTGTTGTCCTAAGAGTCCCTCTCATGGCCACAGGAGAGCCCAACTTCCTTGTCCCCCTCCAAGTGCATGGTGTGAGCTGCTAAACACAGGGTTCTTTGCCTGGAATTGCACAGCTTGAGTAATTTGCCTTTCCTTTCTGCATCCCAAACTCCATTGCCCCTTTCTGCCAGGAGCATTGCTTTAATACGTCATTTACACACAGATTTTTCTCTTGGGACAGCTTTTGAGCAACACAACTAAGTCAAACTGTAACCCTCACCTTGTACATGGGAATGAGAAGTGTTAAAACTGAGCACTAAGAACTCCAAATCAAAAACTAAATTAGAACCTGGGTCACAGACGAGAGTTCCCTACTAGCCTGGAGTCAGGTGTGTCTTCATCTCTAGATGGGCAACCTTATGCCAGCGTGGATGAAGTTTCCAGGGACTGTGTCTGCTCCTCATGGAGTCACTTAGCTGACATTAACTGGAGAACATTTATGACATTCCAAAGGGACCTCAGCCAAAGAAAGATGCAGAGGGCAGGGCAGGACTTTGAACCTGCATAGACCACAAAGTGCATTCTCACCTCTGTCCTTTTTATTCACATATTTACTTCTACAAGCTCAGAGTCTAAAACACAACTCAGGTGAATCTTGAGGACAGAGAAATAAGAGAGCATTTAATGAATTAACTTTGAGAAAAGTGAGTCCAGGGGCCAGCTTTATGTCTACACAAGATGATAGACAAGAACCTATCTACAGGACAGACTTTGCCTCAGACCAGCCCAAGTGAGAGATTTAATTGAAATAGTCAGAAGAAAGACTAAAATCCACAGAGCCACAGAGAATGAAGGCAATCACGAGAGAAATGAGGATAGGAAAGAAAATGATGGGAAATCAGGTTGGTTCATTCATTGTCTCTAAATCCTGCTACCATGTAATAAGCACCTGGTGAGATTTCAATAAAGATGAATGCCTTGAACTGACATCTTGAGATTCTCACTTAAATGGTCTGGGGTGTGATGTGAGCATCAGTACCTTTAAAAAACTTCCATGATATTCTAATATACAACTGAAGATGACAAGGACCACTGGTCTACTCTGACCTCAGGTTTTCAACATGGAGATGACCACTTGTGTGGCTACTCCACACAAAAGGCGGAATATCCATCAGACATTGATGGGATCTGTATTCACCTCTCAACAGTAGTATTTGTAGAACGTAGAAAAAAATTAAAAAGAAAAACAAGAAAATAGATGGATTAGACCTGTAGTCTCTCTACTTAAAGCACACTTGCTTAATTTTGAGTACAAGTAAAATAAGAAATAGTCATTATATTGAAACCCAGTATACAGAAAACAATACCTCGTATATTACACATATTCAGATTTAGTATTTTCTTTTAAATTTTATTTTATTGTATTTTATTTTTAAGACAGAGTCTCGCTCTGTCACCCAGGCTGGAATGCAGTGGCGCAGTCTCGGCTCACTGCAACCTCTGTCTTGCGGGTTCAACAATTCTCATGCCTCAGCCTTCTGGGTAGCTGGGATTACAGGTGCCTGCCACCACACTTGGCTAATTTTTGTATTTTTTAGTAGAGGCATGGTTTCACCATGTTGGCAAGGCTGGTCTCGAACTTCTGGCTTCAAGTGATCCATCCACCTCTGCCTCCCAAAGAGCTGGGATTTAGGCATGAGCCATCATGCCCAGCCTTCTTTTCAATTTTAAAATAAATCCTGCAGTTTACATTTCCACACACTGATTCCACAGCCCATTAATGGGTTCGGCACTGCAATGTAAAAATTCTGCTTTGCTCAATTCTTGTCATTCAGCCAAATCCTCAGAGAGAACTCGTAGGTCTCACTCCACTAGACAGAATATAATAATAAGTAAAAACTGAAACTTGGCCGGGCATGGTGGCTCATGCTTCTAATTCCAACACTTTGGGAGGCTGAGGAGGGTGGATCACCTGAGGTCAGGAGTTCGAGACCAGCCTGACCAACATGGCGAAACCCTGTCTCTACTAAAAATACAAAAATTAGCCACGCATGATGGCACGTGCCTATAATCCCAGCTACTCGGGAGGCTGAGGCAGGAGAATCACTTGAACCCGGAAGGCAGAGGTTGCAGTGAGCTGAGATCACACCACTACACTCCAGCCTGGGTGACAGAGTGAGACTCCATCTCAAAAAAAAAAAAAAAAAAAAGAAACAATAATAATAAAAAAACTGAAACTCAGGAAGAGATGATATATGAATACTTTTTTATGCTACCCTTGATGCTGGCATGAAATTCTAAAAAGAAATCTTTCCCAAGAAACCACTCTGGGAAAAATGTAACAGGGAGAGGAGAATGTAATAAAACACAAACTAATCCTTTTCACTTTCTACTTCAGAGTTTTGTTGATCAGATATTGAGCATGTTTCTAGAAATGCCTTAAGGTGTAACCAGGTGTGGAATCAACTTCAGGGAATTAGGGATAATAAGTTGGGCCATGGTTACAATCACCACCCTTCCTTTGTAATTCCATTTGACTCTTTCCTTTTCTTCTGATCCTTTTTGGAAGAACACATAATATTTCTTTTGTCTTTTTCTCATTTTTTATTTTAACCAACAAAACAAGCAGCAGTGACATCATATTTCTTTGTAAAAGCTCATTCCTATCCTAGCCAAGGTGACCCAGCAACCTCTAGTGACTGTCGAGAACTCCAGATTGGAGAATTGACTCTCCCTTCTCTCTAACTTATTGAAAGAGACTTCGTGCGTGGGTTCTAGTTTCAGGGTTGTCCATTGCAAGTCATGTGGCTTTAGTTAAGTCAGCCCTGTGGCATCACTGCTCCTCTGTTGTAAAAGGCAGAACTGGATGTGGATGCGGTCTGAGGTCCTTCCTGTATCTCACCTCCAGGGTTCTTCCCATGGCCCTGCACACCCTTCCCTAAGAGACGGGGACATGGAGTTGTAAGGGAGTGGGTTTCTCTGCAAAAGGTCCTTTCCTTCTGCAGCCTTCTGTTTCTGAGCTTTCATGGTTGATGCTGAGAACATCCTCACTGAGGGGTGTGAAAAGCCATTACTCTGCTCCAGACACTGGGGATCAGGAGGAAAGGGGCTGCTGGTTGGGCAGAGCTAGGGTCCCTATATCCTTCACCTCAAGCTGACTGGAAGTTCAGGGGTGTTTATTTTTCACTTGCGGATGGCACTTGCCTCTTCACTCAGCCTGAGGCTCACCCTTCAGCTCATCCTCCTAGCAGGAGCTCAGTTTGCCCCTGGGCTATCACCACTTAACAGTCCCTCTAGACTCAGCCATCAGCAGGACCTGACAAAGATGCCCATTTCATCTTTCCTTCTCTCTCTCCTACAGATACTAAATGCTGCTGGAACAATGAAAAGAAAGAACGGATGTCACAAAAAGCATTTTCATTTGATGAATAGAACTAAAAGAGCAAAGCAATTGAAAGCTCAACACAACACAGGAGGGATCCATGGCTGAGGATTGTATTTCAGAACCACTGACTGCTCTTGACAATTGTTAACCCACTAGGCTCCTTTGGTTAGAGAAGCCACAGTCCTTCAGCCTCCACTTGATACCAATACTTAGGAAGACCAAAGCCAGATGGACAAACAGCATTGAGAGGCTTTAGCCCTACTCCTCTCAGCTTCCATCCTGTAGAGAACAGGAGTCAGGAGCTGCTGGCAGGAGACAGCATGTCACTTGGGACTCTGCCAGTGCAGAATACGAACAATGCCATGTTCTTGCTAAAAATGCTTAGCTTGAGTTTCATAGGAGGTAATCACCAGATAGACAACTGCAGAATGTAGAATACTGAGCAGGACAATAACCTGTCTCCTTCAGACAGTCCATGTCACCACGAATCACACAATAAAAAGGAGAAAAGACATTTTGGGTTCAAAAAAACTAAAAAGATAATGTAGCTATATTTCTTTAGTTATTTTGAACCCAAAGTATCTCCTCATCTTTTTGTTGTTGTCATTGATGGTAGGGACATGGACTTGTTTGTAGAGGACAGGTCAGCTGTCTGGCTCAATGTCCTACAAGAGACAGGGGGGACATGGAAGCGTACAGCTATATTTGTGGATTAGTCTAGCTATCTGTTCAGTATTTAAGGTTGTTGTTGCATAGATATTTATGACTTGAAATTTTGCATAGATATTTATGACTTTTGTCGGGGGGGGGTTGGTGGATTGGTCCTTTCATCATTTTATAACGTCCCTTTCTCTCTCTGATTAGTTTCTTTGTTCTTTTTTCTATGGACATCTTTCTTTTAAGGCAGAACTACTGGTCAGAGATTCCCTTAGCTTTTCTTAATCTGAAACTCTTTTGATCTACCCCTTAATTCCTGAAAGACTCAGCAAATAAATACAAGACATAAATAAGAACCAAATGGAAGTATTAGAAGTGAAAAATGCAACTAAAATAAAAAGTCCAGCAGATAGGCTCAGCAGCAGAATGGATGGTGTGGAGCAAACAAATCCATATACTGCAGATGAGAAAAACAGAAATTACAGAATCCTAACAGGGAGATGGGGTTTTGCCATGTTGACTAGGCTGGTCTCGAACTGTTGACCTCAGGTGATCCACCCACCTTGGCCTCCCAAAGTTCTGGGATTACAGGCATGAGCCAAAGAGCCTGGCCTCCCTTCTTTATTTCTATCATGAATAGATGTTGAATTTGTCAAATGATTTTTCTTCATTGACTGATAAACATTTTTGTGGTCTGGTTTTGGAGTTGGGGTAATCACAGTTTTACAGAAATAGTCGAGAGGTGTTCCTTCATCTTCTATTTTCTGGAACAGATTGTACAGAATTGATGTTAATTCGGCTGGGCGCGGTGGCTCACGCCTGTAATCCCAGCACTTTGGGAGGCCAAGGCGGGCGGATCACGAAGTCAGGGGATCGAGACCATCCTGGCTAACACGGTGAAAACCCGTCTCTACCAAAAATACAAAAAATCAGCCGGGCGTGGTGGTGGGCACCTGTAGTCCCAGTTACTCGGGAGGCTGAGGCAGGGGAATGGCGTGAACCTGGAGGGCGGAGCTTGCAGTGAGCCAAGGTTGCACCACTGCACTCCAGCCTGGGAGACAGAGCAAGACTCTGCCTCAAAAAAAAAAAAAAAGAATTGATGTTAATTTTTCTTCAACCGTTTGGTAGAATTCTCCAGTGAAACCATCTGGACCTGGAGCTTTTCTTTCTGGAAATTTTAAAATTAGGAATCCAATTATTTTCATAGTTACAGAGCTACTCAGATGACCTGTTTTGCTTTAGGTAAGTTGTGGTAGTTGATACTTACGACACATTTGTCCAATTCATCTGGGTTGTCAAATATATGTGTGTACAGAATTTTAAATAGTTTTTCCCTTATTATTATCCCTTTGATATCTGCAGTCTGTAATGAGTGTAGTCCCTGTTTCATCCTGATGTTCATAAGCTGACTTCTTTTTTTCTTTGTCAAGTTTATTGATCTTTTCAAAGAGACAGCTTTATTTTCACTAGTTTCCCCTTTTGTTTTTTTCTGTTTTCAATGCCATTGATTTCTGCTATTATCTGTATTATTTCCTTCCATTTGCTTTAGGTTTTTTTTTTTTTTTTTGTAGAATCAGTCTCATTCCCATGGTGCAGGCCGGAGTGCAGTGGTGCGATCTCAGCTCACTGCAACCTCCACCTCCCGGGTTCAAGCGATTCTCCTTCCTCAGCCTCCAGAATAGCTGGGATTACAGGTGGCTGCTACCATGCCCAGCTAATTTTTTTGTATTTTTGGTAGAGACGGGGTTTTGCCTTGTTGGCCAGGCTCGTTTCAAACTCCTCACCTCAGGTGATCCACCCACCTTGGCCTCCCAAAGTGCTCGTATTACCGGCGTGAGCCACCGTGCCTGGCCTGCTTTAGGTTTCTTTTACCTGCTTTTTTCTTGTTTCTTGAGGGGGGAGCTTAAGTGTATTCATTTGAGACATCCCCTCTTTTCTTTTATCCCTTTTAAAAACTTTTGTATATAATTATTATTGTAGGAAGTTAGGCTTGGGCCCGCAAACTATGGAAGAACAGAATATACTAGGCCACTGCTTTAATAGCTGGTGCCTGCTTGTTGCCCACCCCCACTCCCCCACCTTAGCTGCCTTGTCCAAACCAAAGAGTTTAGTCTAGAATGGACATTTACTAGCCTGCAAAATAGTTCGCTACATCTATTCTTATCAGCTTGCCTGACTGCCCAGGTCATAAGTCTAATACTTGAAAAGCCCCCGAGCTGACCATGATTGCAATGCATTATGGGCTGCAACAAAATACAGGGAGACAACCCTAAAAAAAAAAACAACAACCTAAAAGTCCCAACCCAAGATCCAATAGGCGACATCCGGGAATACTGTGACCCCATAGTACTCAGCCTATGAGGAACCGGGGGAGGCACTTCCACACTAGGGGATAAATTGCTTGTTGTAAGCCTACTGGGTGTGCCTGCCTACCAGACACCCGATCTTGCAAGACTGTCATTAATAATAAGTCGCACTTCTGCTGTTTTCCGGGTCTTGGAGTCCATTCTTTGGGTTTGGACGGGTGAGTTTATTTCTCACGATTATTTCCAGGCAGGCCTTGCCCAGTGGGTGGCTCATGCTTGTAATCCCAGCACTTTGAGAGGGTAAGCCTGGTGGATCACCTGAGGTCACGAGTTCGAGACCAGCCTGGCTAACATGGTGAAGCCCCGTCTCTACTAAAAATACAAAAATTAGCCGAGCGTGGTGGCGAGGGCCTGTGGTCCCAGCTACTCGGGAGGCTGAGACAGGAGAATCACTTGAACCCAAGAGGCGGAGGTTGCAGTGAGCCGAGATGGCATCACTGCATGCGACAGTGCAAGACTCCGTTTCAAATAATAATAATAATAATAATAATAACAATAATAATAATGGCACTACCTAAAGTTATGCAAGCATTTGCCTTAGATAAAATTTCAAGTTTTCAAAGCTGTTAGCTGGGTGGACGGCATGGCTTTACTTCCTATTTCTTGGTATTTCCTAATCTTGTTGAAAAAGTTTTTCTTTTTCTCAAAGGCTTATTTCAGTGGAAGCCCATCTGCAAAATCTGTTATTAATTTAAATTAGAAAATCACTACAAGTCCCACTGACATGTGGGTTATTGTTTTTGCGAGTGACCTAAGGCCACCTCTCGGGGGAGCTGGGGGTTGCCTTCCCACGTCTGCGCGTCTGCACCCCATGCCCGGGCCTGGAAGTCAGACTCGGGGGCGGTGCTGCAGCACCAGGCCTGCAGTCCTAAGCGCGGGGTCGCTCCGGGCCCCCGAGGGGGTGTGTCTTCTGCCCCTTTAACCTGGCAGGGGCAGTTCAAGTGGCCCGGGAAATCAGCGATTTGTAGGGTCAAGGGCTGGTGCTTTAAAAGAGAGGCGGAGGGGAGAGAGGGATTTCCCGGTCTCTGCTGCACTCTGTCTATCCGCTCGGTTACTCCTTTTCCTGGCCCGCGCGAACCCGCTGTGCCGCAGAGGCGGCCATGTACCTTTAAGGCCCCGCTGCGCCTGCGCCTTGGGCTCTCCTGACGCGCCGAGCGGGACCCTGAGGATCCAGCTGGCCGCAGGCTATGGGCTGGGCGGCGGTTGAGACAGCGGCGATATTGGGAGGGGTAGGTGAGCGTCGCGAGGCAGCGTGAGCTTCTGAGTGAACGCGGTGCTTTTGGGAACGCGGGACGGGCGACCTGTGGCGCCAGGAGCGGGCCGAGGCGCGGCGGCGCGGCTGCCGTCTGGATGGGAAGTTACGGTTTACAGCGAAGTCCACCCAGCGTTTCCGAGGTGAAGGCGCCGCGCCAGGCCGGGCGGGCGGTGAGTCCGGGACCCGCGGGTACACAGCTGGGTCGAGCTGCGGCTGTCGCAAGCTTTGTTGCGAGCGACGGAGGGCGAGGCGGGGTGGGGGGTTGGGAGGGCGTGTGTTCCGGCCCCGCCGGGGCTTAAGTTCCATGCGTTCGATTCCTCGCTTGCCGCTGCCGCCCGCAGCCCTCATCTCTTGGGCGCTGGGGAAGAAACTCGCTGGCGGGTGTTCTGTGGCATCCCAGGGGGTGGAGGGACGAGCAGCTTCGGGGGCACGTCCTCGTGTATCCTGTGGAGGACCCTGACCCCGCACCCCACCCTCGAGGCCAGAAATCGGTTGCCTCTGGGGACCTGAGAAGCGAGACCACTCGCGCCCCTGACTTGCAAAGTTGGGGTCTTTATTGGCCTCCGGGATTCTGCTCCTGGCGGTTTCTCCAGGCTGGTGATGGGCAAGCCGGGTGTACCAAGTCCAGGATGCACATGAGGAGCGTTTGTAGCCGTCACTGAATCACCTCATGACTAGCGGGGCAGGCCTCTAATTCACCGCAGGATTTCCGGTAGGTTGGATTGTGGGGTTGGTGTTTGCACTCCAAAGAGTTGCTGTGATTTCCCTGTATCTGTCTTTCTGGCTTGTTAGATCTTCTCATTTGGCGTCCTTTCTCCGAAGAGTTAACCAAGACGTTTGGCATGGTTTCCTTGCTTTCCTCCTATCTTTTGCTGCTAGAGCTGCTTTCGAAAAGAAGTCTTTTCTTGCAGTGGTATCTTTTCTTTGGGTTACAGTGTTGTTCATCCTTTCTTTGCCGAAAGAATGAATCCCAGTGCTTCACGAGGTTAAAGGAAAGATCTGCTGGTAGTGTTTAGTCTTTGTTCTGAGCTGATATGTGTTAGTAGCTTTTTGTTTTTAAATTTTATTAGTAAAATTTCACCAGTGAACCAGAAGCTCTTTTTTTCTGTTGTGAAATGCTAGCTTTAAGATTTCTGAGAACTTTGTGTCAAAGAAATCTTTGAAAAGTTACTGAAGTATACAGAGAGGTTCACAATTTTAAATGTGCAGGTGGTCCGGGCGCGGTAGATCACACCTGTAATCCCAGCACTTTGGGACGCCAAGGTGGGCGGATCACTTGAGCCCAGGATTTCCAGACCAGCCTGGGCAACGTGCCAAAACCCTATCTCTACTAAAATTACAAAAGTTAGCTGTGTGTGGTGGTGTGTGCCTGTAGTCCCAGCTACCTGGTAGGCTGAGGTGGGAGGATCACCAGAGCCCAGGAGGTTGAGATTGCAGTGAGCCGTGATCATGGCAGTGCACTCCCGCCTGGGTGGCAGAGTGAGACCCTGTCTCCAAAAAAAAAAAAAAAAAAAAAAGTACAGGTAATGAATTTTTACCAAGTGAACCACCACAGATCAAGAAATAGAGCATTACTAGACTGGGGTATATTTGTAGGAGTGGCATTGTTGGTTTTAGAGGTATATGAATGATAAAACTTAGTATTACATACTGTTGAACGTTTTCCCAAAGTGGTTGTACCATTTAGCAGGGATATTCTGGTTACCCCACATCCTTGCTGATGCCTGTCAGTTAAAAATTATTTTGCCATTCTAGTAGGGGTGCAGTAATGTATCAGTGTGATTTCATTTTGCATTTTCCTGGTATTGAGATTGAGTATCTTTTATTGTCATTTGTGTGTCCTCTTTTGTGAAGTGCCTGTTAAATCTTTTTATCCAGTTTTCATTGATATGCTTGTTTTTCTGTTGATTTGTAATACTTTTTTCCGGATATGTGTCCTTTCTACGATATATATGTATTGCATTTCCCTTTTTTCAATCTGTAGCTTGCCTTTTCGCTCTTTTAATGGTGCTTATTCATGAATGGAGATTCTCTAACTTTTTTTTTTCTTTTTGAGACAAGATCTCACTCTGTTGCCCAGGCTGGAGTGCAGTGGCACAATCACAGCTGACCACAACCTTGACCTCCCAAGGCTCAGGTGATCCTCCTGCCTCAGCCCCCAAGTAGCTGGGACCTACAGGTGAGCACCACCACACTCAGCTCTTTTCTGTATTTTTAGTAGAGATGGGGTTTTGCCACATTGCATAGGCTGGTCTGGAATTCCTAGGCTCGGGTGAGACATCTGCCTCGGCCTCCCAAAGTGTTGGGATTACAGGCATGAGCCACTGCACCCAGCCTGAGATTCTTAATTTTAATGAAATTATACTTTATCAATCTTTTCCTTTATGGTTACTGCTTTTTGTGTCCTGTTTAAGAAATCAATGCCTAACCTAGGAGTATGAACACATTTTTCTGTGTTAACCTTATAGCAATTTTATTTTAGTTTTTGCATTTCTTTTTTTTTTTTTCAGACAGGGCCTCACTCTATTGCCCAGGCTAGAGTGCCGTGGCAGGATCTCAGCTCACTGCAACCTCCACCTCCTGGCTCAAGCGATCCTCCCACCTCAGCCTCCTGAGTAGCTGCGACTATAGGAGTGTGCCACCATGCCTGGCTTAATTTTCATACTTTTTGTAGAGATGGGGATTCAACATGTTTCCCAGGTTGGTCTCAAACTGTTGGGCTCAAGTAATCTTCCCACTTAAGCCTCCCAGAGTGTGGGGATTACAGGCATGAGCCACCCCACCCGGCTGTGATTCACTTTTTACTACATGGATGTGTCTGCTTGATCCAGCACCATTTATTGAAAAGACTATCCTTTTCCTTCTGCACTGTTTGGCACTTTTTTTCTTAAATCGGATGACTGCATGGTCATCCAATTTATGAAATTAGTGTGGGTCTGTTTCTGTTTCTGGACCAACCTGGGCAATATAGTGAGATCCCATCTCTACAAAAAATAAAAATAATAAATAAATGAGTAAAATTTAAAAAATAAGTGCATAGAGCAGATGGAGTCATAGGTGATAATTTATAAATGATTGTCAGTTTCTTGGCTACATACGGGTGTTGGTAATTCAGATGTGTTGGGCATTCAGGGAAAATGTATTAAGGGAAGTATGTGGTGTTCACAGTGATTGCTAGATGTTCATTGTGACTTGAATTAGATGTTATTTGAGCCTCACAGAGCTACAGTTTTGACTCTTTATTTATTTATCTTTTTACAATTTTTACAATCTTCCTGTCAAGGCAGTAACTCTTTTATACTTCATTGTTCTTAGGTATACTTAATTACCAGGAAAACTTTATGGATCGTACCTAAATAAGCGTTAAGCCATTTAAAGGGCCGACGTGATATGATGTAAACAATAGTATTCTACATAATAGTTTTAGGACTACATCGAACCATTTTTTTTTTTTTTCTTGAGACAGTGTCTCGCTCTGTTGCCCAGGCTGGAGTGGAGTGGTACGATCATGGGTCTCTGCAGCCTTGACCTCTCAGGCTCAAGCAGTCTGCCCACCTCAGCTTCCTTAGTAGCTGGGTCTACAGGCATGCACCACTATGCCCGGCTAATTTTCTATTTTTTGTAGACAGGGTTTTCCTGTAGTGCCCAGACTGGTTTCAAACTCCTGGGCTCAAATGATCCTCCCACCTTGGCATCTCAAAGTGTTGGGATTACAGGCATAAGCCATCACCGCTGGCCATTTTAGTTTTAATGATTTTTATGTTTTTCTAATTTAAAAGATTTACTAAAATCTCTTAACAGCTATTATTTATGAATATAGTATTCATTGTTGTTATTATGATTATTTTGTATGTGTTCAATCTCATTTTCAACATAAGCTCCTGGAAATTTGAGATTTTGTCTCTTATTCACCATTGTATTCTCAGTACTTGACCTTGCCTGGCATGAAACAGATATTGAATAAATATTTGTTAAATGAATGAATGAATGAACATACTAATATACCATATTCAACAATCTCCAAGTGTCACAGTTTTCACCATCTAACAAATAAAATAGCTTGTATACAGCAGAGTCACAGTCAACCTGACATAAAAGGAAATGTCAATGAAAAATAAACCTTTGTATGTGTTGCTGCTAAGATTTTGGGGCTTTTGTTACTGTAGCATAACCTAGCGAAAGCTCAGCGAGATAGCCTGTAGAATATACGTGTACAGATAGACCAGTAGATGAGATTCCAAAGAAGCATTAACTACACCCACACACTCTTAATTCCCTAACAGAAAGAATCAAATTCTTGTTCACTAAGATCTGCCTCAAGTATTACTTGGTGAAAACTTCCCTGGCTACTCAAGTATTTAGTCAGGACTCTTTATTTTTTTTTCCCCCAGGCTGGAGTTCAGTGGTGCCATCATAGCTCACTAACCTCTAATTCAAGGCTCAAGGAATCCTCCTGCCTCAACCTTCCGAGTAGCTGAGACTACAAGTGTGTGCCACCATGCTGGGCCAATTTTTCATTTTTTATTTTCAGAGATGGGGTCTTACTATGTTGCCGAGGCTGGTGAGGACTGTTGATTACATATGACAGGAACCCAAACAATTCTAGTTCCCCACCACCTTTCAACCTGCTCCTCCCTGGGTCTTCCCAGTCTCCGTAAACGGCAGCTCCATCCTTCAAGTTGCCGAAGCCCCAAATCTCAATATTAACCATGATTTCTCTCTTTTATCTCATAGGCAATCTGAAAGCAAATCCTGTTTAGATGCAGGCGAAGGTTCCTGGTGACCCAGGCTCTCACCTTACCGTCCCTTACCGTCCTCCTGAGGGTGTCCTGGAGCTTCAGTGCTGTGTGTTCTTGGCCTCCATGCTGGGGGTGCCACCAATTCCCACTGTCCAGGGCTTCCAGTGGACTCTCCGAGGTACTGATGTAGAAACTTCCCCATTCGGTGCACCAAGAGCAACCTCACACGGTGTGGGCCAAATGAAGAGCTGCCAGATCCCACAGGTAAAAACCCTGAGGCATTGCCAGCTCGATGGAGTCAGAGAGTCCTTTTTCTATTATGACTCAGATGTGAAGGGAAGATGCCAAGGGCCCTAAACATCGCAGGGCCTTACCTGGCATGAAACAGATACTGAATTAATATTTGTTAAGTGAATGAACAAATATTCACAGCGTGTGCCACCCTCGACCTGCAGTGCCGTTGTCAGGTGGAAGTGATTTTACTTCAGGAGAGGACAGTGTTCTCTCCAGGACTTTTCCTTAGTAGCTAGATCTGCATCCCACTCCTTGCTCTTCCCCTCTTACCCCCCATTCTCTGCCCCCATTTCCATCTCTTGTTTCCACCCTGCCGTCCCCTTTCACCTGCTTTCTCCTCTTCAGCTTTCATGGCTCACCCCCTCCCTGTCCACCTGCATCCCCCAGGCTAAGGCCCTGCACTGTCCTGGGTGGGGAGATGTGTGTGGTTTTAGGCAGTGCCCTCTAGATGTGTCCAGGATGGGGAAACATGGCTCAGTTGCCAGTATAATGGGTTAAAAGAGAGGCCACTTTTGAAGGCCGTTCCCATCTCCCATTCCAGAATCCTGTGGGACTTAGAATTTATGGGCCACAGTGGAATTCTTGGTTCCCCAGGACCTTGTGGTGGACGCCTTCTTTCACTGAGCATTCATGGGGTGACTATTAGGTACCATGCCCTGCTCTGGGCTAGAGACCCCATAACGAGTAAATCTCAGGTCACTACCCCATGGAACCCACCACTGCAGGCATTGAGAGGGGGAGAAAGAAAGGGGCATGGCCTGTTTGTATCCTTCTCACGTGGCCGTCCACCAGGTCCTGGGGGAGTGGGAGCCAGTGCAAGGAGGGAAGTCCAGTGAGAATGACAAATGGACGATGTCAGACCCAGGGGCTGAGGCCCCCACCTGCAGCTGGGCAGCTTCTGGAGTGGACAAGGAGCAGCAGGGAAGGTTGCGGCCTGGTGTTCTGGGATCCACTGTCTCATCTCTTTCTTTGGGGCACCAGAACTTATCCAAAGACAAGACTCAGTGTTTCTGGCAACAGTGGGCCAGAGGAATAATGTGTTTCAGAGGAGGAAGAAGGGGTTGTACCCCATGGAAACAGTATATAGTTTTACAGTAGTGCGTCTCTCTCCAATAACTAGTTAGCGTGTTCCTGTTAATGGAAAATACTGGTGGTGTAAGTTCCCCTGGATGTTCTCATCTTCATGTAAATTTGTTCATTTCCTTCCTTCCTTCCTTCCCTACTTCTCTCCCTTCCCTACTTCTCTCCCACTCTTTTTCTCTCTCTCTTTATTCTTTCCCTCCCTCCTTCCCTTCCACCCTCCCTCCCTTCCTTCCTTCCTTCCTTCCTCCCTTCCTCCTTCCTTCCCTCCCTCCATTCTTTCCTTTCTTCCTTTCTTCTTTTCTTTTTCTTTGTCTCTCATGTTCTCTCTTTTTCTTTCCTTTTTGTTCTACTTTTTTAAATAGACCACACTGCACTGAAATCTACATTACTTACCAAAACCTCTGGAGCTGCTTCTGTCTTGTAGGCAGGGAGCTCGTCCTGTAGCCCTTAGGTCCTCCCAGCCTCCTCCTCCTCTGATTTGTGGGTGCCACTGGGGCAGCTGCTGAGTCTCAGTGGTTCCTAGTCATCACCAAGTTCTGCCCACCTAGATGGTTTGCACCTGTCCTTACCAGAACCCTGCACTGTCTAGATGACTGAGGCTGCTTCTGCCTAACTGATCTGCTATCTGTGTTCCGGGGGCACCCCAGGGTTAGAGGTAAATGGCACAGGCATTGAAATCTCCAACTGCTCTGACTCCAGGTTGGTGCACTTCAATGCCAAGTACTAACCACACAATAACAGGATGCCACCAAAACCTTGGTATGGGGCTGCTGCATCCTAATTAAAAAAAAGTAATAGATGTTATTTTTTAGAACAGTTCTAGGTTTACAGAAAAATGGAGTGGATAGTACAGAGAGTTCTCCTAGGCTCCCCTGTCCTCCAGCACACAGTTTCCCCTATTAGTATGTTGTATTAGTGTGGTCCATTCGTTACAATTGATGAACCACTATTGATACATCATTATCAACTAAAGTCCATAGTTTACACTAGAGTTCATTCTTTGAGTTTCACAGATTATGGGTTTTGGCAATTATGTAATGTCCTAAATCCCCAATACAGCATCATGCAAAATAGTTTCACTGCTGAAAATTCCCTGTACTTCACCATTTCGTGCCTCCTCCTCTCCTCCACCCCTGACAACCACTCATCATTTTACTACTTCTATCTTTTTGACTTTCCAAGAATGTCCTAGAGTTGGAATTACAGTATGTAGGTTTCCAGACTGGCTTCTTTCTAGCATTATGTACTTTTAAGTTCCTCCACGTCTTTTCATGACTTGACAGCTTGTTTTGTAAAATCACTGAATCAGATTTCATTGTATGGCTACAACACAGTTTGTTTATTCATTCACTTGGTGAAAGACGTCTTGGGTACTTCCAAGTTTTGACAATTATGATAAAATTGCTGCAAGTACTTATGTGCAGGATTTTGAATGAACTTAAGTTTTCCAAAGTGACTGTACACTTTTGATTTCCACTAGCTATGGAGAGTTCTGGTTGTTCCTCATCTTCGACAGCATTTGGTGTGTTCACCGTTTTGTGTTTTAGCCATTCTGATAGGTTTACAGTGATATCTCGTTGTTTTAATGTGCAATTCCCTCACAACAAATGATTTTGAACATCTTTCTCATATGCTTATTTGCCATCTGTATATCTTATTAATGAGGTGTTCAGATCTTTCACCTTTTTTTTTTTTTTTTTTGCTTTGTGTTGTTTAGTTCTCAGAATTCTTCATATATTTTGGACAGCAGTTTTTCCATCAGATTATTTTGTAAATATTTTCTCCCAGTCTGTGACTTGCTTTTTCCATTCTCTTAACAGTGTCTTTCACACAACAGAAGTTTTTAATTTTAATGAGGCTCAACTTAATTTTTTTTTCATTAGTAGATTGTGCTTTTGGTTTTGTATCTAAGAAGCCATCATTGAACCCAGGATCCCTCAGATTTTCTCCTATTTTATCTCTTAGGATTCTTATGGTTTTGCACCTTACATTTACGTGTAAGATTTATTTTATAAAGGGTATATAACATGCATACCTGGATTTATTTATTTTTTTGCATGTGGTTGTCCAGCTGTTCTAGCACCACTAGTTGGAAAGGCTATCTTTGCTGTTTTAAATTGTCTCTAAACCTCCATGGAAGATCAGTGGACTGTATGTAGGCCTGCTTCTGGGCTCCGTATTCTTTTCCATGCATCTATATGTGTGTGTTTTCTCTTTTCACCAACTTCACACTATTTGGGTTACTGTAGCTTAATGTAAGTCCTGAAGTTGGTAGTGCCAAACCTCAGGGAGTTTTTCTGAACTTCATCATGAGAACCTGGTTGAGATCATTGTAGTAACACTTGGAAATGTGTGAGATTCCCCCTTAGTCTGGTCTTCAAGGTGTTTTTAATGTTCTAGCCAGGCTACCCTCAGCTTCTAGTAATCTGTCAATATCATTTAAGTGCTCCTCCCACTTGCTGTCCCCAGTAGCTTCTCTTCCCTGTGAGCTGTGACTCCTTGTGTGTTAGCCTGTGTTTCTCATTTTTAAGGTGGCAGTTTTCCCTGTGACCTCAATTCTCTGATCCACCCTAGAAGGGTTGACTTTCAGTTTGTTCAGCTTTTTTCTAGCTGTGAGGACAAGTGATGACTGCCTAGCTCTTTCCATGTTGAAATAGAAACCTAAAAGTTTGTTTAAAGAATTACTTGTTATAAAAGTCCCCCATTGTTAATGTACAACTCAATGATGTAAGTTGATTTATCGAATTGTGCAGCCATCAGCAGAGTTCTACTTCAGCATATTTTGTCACTTCCCAAATTCCCTTGAACCTGTTTGTAGTCATTTCCTAATCCCTGGTCCCCATGACTGGGTCTGAATAGAATAAACATTTGGAAAGCAGATTTCATTATATTTACATTTTCCTGTGTTTGGGACTTTATATAGTGGACTATTGTGTTCGTTTTGTGACAAGTAGAGAAGAGATTGCATTCTAGGGATGGTTTTTGGGGAAACATAATAGTAGTCCTGTTTATGGCTCTCCTTGAATTGGTTCATCTGTGCTGGTGACTGGTATTTGTTACCAAACCTTGTCTGGTGAGCACAAGAAAAGGAATTTTTTAAAATCTGCTATTAAAATTGAGATGATACATTTTCACATAATAATATTTGGAGTTAAGTAGTGAACCGTCTTTATTTTATCTTTTCTTTTGGAGATGGAGTTATTTCTCTTTTCCTTGGGCTCGAATGCAACGGCGCCATCTCAGCTCACTGCAACCTCCACCTCCTGAGTTCAAGTGATTCTCCTGCCTCAGCCTCCTGAATAGCTGGGATTACAGGCGCCTGCCACCGCACCTGGCTAATGTTTGTATTTTTGGTAGAGACAGGGTTTCTTCATGTTGGCCAGGTTGGTCTCTAACTCTTGACCTCAAGTGATCCACCTGCCTTGGCCTCTCAAAGTGCTAGGATTACAGACACGAGCCACGGCCTGACCTGAACTGTGGGGAAAAGAAAGAGAGATCAGATTGTTACTGTGTCTGTGTAGGAAGAAGTAGACATAAGAGACTCCATTTTGTTCTGTACTAAGAAAAATTCTTTTGCCTTGAGACGCTGTTAATCTGTAACCCTACCCCCAACCCTGTGCTCCCTAAGACATGGGCTGTGTCAACTCAGGGTTAAATGGATTAAGGGCTGTTCAGGGTGTGCTTTGTTAAACAAATGCTTGAAGGCAGCATGCTTGTTAAGAGTCATCACCACTCCCTAATCTCAAGTACCCAGAGGCACACTACACTGCGGAAGACTGCAGGGTCCTCTGCCTAGGAAAGCCAGGTATTGTCCAAGGTTTCTCCCCATGTGATAGTCTGAAATACAGCCTCGTGGGAAGGGAAAGACCTGACTGTCCCCCAGCCCGACACCCATAAAGGGTCTGTGCTGAGGAGGATTAGTAAAAGAGGAAGGAAGGCCTCTTTGCAGTTGAGATAAGAGGAAGGCATCTGTCTCCTGCTCGTCCCTGGGTAATGGAATGTCTCGGTGTAAAGCCCGATTGTATATTCCATCTACTGAGATAGGAGAAAACCGCCTTAGGACTGGAGGTGGGACATGCTGGCAGCAATACTGCTCTTTAAGGCATTGAGATGTTTCTGTATATGCACATCAAAAGCACAGCACTTTTTTCTTTACCTTGTTTATGATGCAGAGACATTTGTTCACGTGTTTACCTGCTGATCTTCTCTCCACTATTATCCTATTGTCCTGCCACATCCCCCTCTCCAGAAATGCCCGATAATGATCAATAAATACTAAGGGAACTCAGAGGCCAGTGCCGGCATGGGTCCTCTGTATGCTGAACGCCGGTCCCCTGGGCCCATTTTTCTTTCTCTGTACTTTGTCTCTGTGTCTCTTTCTTTTCCAAGTCTCTCCTTCCACCTAATGAGAAATGCCCACAGGTGTGGAGGGGCAACCCATCCCTTCACTGAACCATTTTTATTCTTCCAGAAATGTGATTGATAATAGTAAAGCCACACTCCTCAAGTGCCTGAAATACCCCTCATTGTCTTCTTCAGGTGGCAAGGGCTCTGGAACAGCCACATAAAGGTGAGGGCAATATTTTTACTGTAGTTCTTTCATTGATTGGTTGATTGATTTTTTTCTCTTAGAGGGTTAGCATACATTTATCTGAAATTGAAATTCAAGAGGAGAGACAGGCACCTGTACTAGTTTTCTCTTGCTGCCTATTATCACATTACCACAAACCAGTGGTTTGAAACCACAGAAGTCTGGAATGAAGTGGCCGGGTTCTCTGATCAGAGTCATGTGAGGCTAAAATCCGGGAATGGGCTGGCTGTGTTTTTTTCCTAGAGCTCAAGCTATTTTTCCAGGTTCACTACAGATAATGAAAGAGTTCCTATTCTAGTTTGTGGGGGACTGAGGGCCCTTTTTCTGTGCTGGCTGTCAGCGGGGAGACAGTCTACTCTGACTCCAGAGGCCACGTGCTTTCCTCCTTACCTGTCTGTTTCATCTTTCAACCAATAACAACTCATGGAGTCCTTCTCAAGCTCCCACCTTCTCTGACTTCATCTTCTCCAACCAGCCACACAAAGCTCTGTCATGTATGGAGTGATGTGATTAGATCCAGTTCATGCGGTAACCTCACCATCTTAAAGTCATATAACTGGCATATAACAACATAGTCACAGGAATGGTGTCTCATCACCTTAAGAGGCTTTAGAGACAAGGGTGTGGCATGTTTGGGGACCATTTCAGAAATTCCATTTACCACAGTAGGACACTCACATTCCCCCATCTGCAAAGTGCATTTACCCTCTCCCCTGAGGTTTCCAGATTTCATGTCATTAAAGCATTAGTTCAACATGAAAAATGTCATGTAGACCACATCAGATCAAAAGTTTAAAATCCCATCTAAAACATCCACACCAGGTGTGAATGAGGCTTCCGAGAGTGTCCATTAAGTGCAGATCCTTGACATAATTCCCTTACCTCTGTCGACCTGTGAAACTGAACAAACAGCTTATCTGCCCCTAATGTGAAATGATGGGACAGACATAGAATAACCACTACAGTGATTCTAGTTCAAAATGAGGGAACATGGAGGGGATAAAGAAGTCAATAACCCAAAATAGTTTGGAAATGGAGCTGGGCAAAATCCAGCAGGAGTTTCTTAGTTAGGATCCACAGCCTGGGACTGACCCTCTGTCCTGTGGGTCTTTGCCTCTGGGCTCTCTGCTCTGCATTTCTTGAAACCATTATTATTTATCATTTTTCTCACACTGTTTTGCGTATGGCTCCTATTGCACTCAAAATGTTTTTGAGATTCATCCATGTTGTTTTGTGTGTCAAAAGTTTGTTCCTTTAGCCATTCCATGGAATGAATGTATCACAGTTTATTGATCCATTCTTGTATTGATAGATATTTGAATGTTTCCAGTTTTTCCTATTATGAATAAAACTGCTATGAACATTCTTGTATAAATCATTTTCTGGACATATGTTTTAATTTCTCTTGGATAAATGCTTAGGAATTAGTGAGTCATAGAATAGGTAGTTGTTTAGTTCTGTAAGAATATGCCAGACATTTTTTCCCAAAGTGTTTATACTATTGTACATTCCAACCATTAATGTATGAAGGTGAGAAAGCTTTTGCTACTTCCAAAGAGGCCTCTCTATATACATGTAATTTTTTCTAACTGGAGACAGGCTGATGACTTCAGGGACATGAGCATGGGATACCTGTCATCACCACCACCATAAAGTTGGGATTCAGGAAGGAGGTTAATCATATAAAGAATCCTGTGACCAGTATGAGCTTCTCTCAGGCCACACAGGGCACTCAAGTGAACAGGGCATGGGGGCCCTGGGGTCATGGTAAGAAAGTGTCTCATTGGTAAAACCTTTTCCTCTGGGGAGGTAAATAAATGATTTGTTTCTTCTTGGTAGCCCTTGAAGATAAGGATGGTCAAACAAAATAATATCATACCTGGAGAAACTCAGATCTTGCTAAGATTTACTGGTTGGGAATCCAAAGTTAATGCCAAGAAGCAGCCGCCAGTTGGGATCAAATGTGAGCCTATGGATCAAGGTGCGTACTCAAACACAGAGAGCTTTCTGAAAGATGCTACCAGTAGTTTTTCCAGGGCAGAGATGGGTCCTTTATTTTTCTCTCTAATCTAGCCCATATGCTTAGCTGAGTTTTCTTCGTATCACTTTAAATGATGATGTCCCTTGTTGAACAATTTTCTAAACATTCTTTAGATAATAATTTTATGGGCATTCTTTATTGCATTAGGCTTAAATTTAATGCATCTTAAGGTTTTATTGCAAAATATTGCCTTGTTTCCTTTTTAAGATGATACAGTTTATAATATGCAAATTTATTGTCTGTCCCCTCCCTTTATGTACATAGGAAATGAGCAAACAGGTGGCCATGAAACAGATGGTCATAGAATTGGTTCAGTGGTTGTGAGTGCAGCAACCCAAGAGTGTCTTATCTGAAATACCACCAGGAATGTCTGGACACAGTAGACAAAGTTTTTTCAACTGGACGCCTTAGGATACATGCTTCCAAAAACAAAGTAGCCAAAAAGAAACCAGAGTCACAGAATATCAGAGCCAAAGGAACATTTGGAGGTAATTCAGTACCTCCTCCTTTTCAACCTACAGGGGAGATAGTGGAAGAGAAGCAGGGATGGGTCTGCCTTCTGTGCCCACAATTCATTGGAGATTGTTGTGGTGAAGAATTTCTTTTATGATGAAGGAGAAATAAACTCCCATCAGCTTTAATTCAGGCAGGTTTATTGAAAAGGTGAAGAAGCATCTTGCAGAAGCAAAGCATGGCTGAGGCTTGTGGGCTCTGTCTGGACAAATGAGCAGCCGACAGTGGCTGATGCTGCCCCTGACTCTGGGGCCGTGCGGTCTGTGGTTCTCTGTGAGCATCTCTTCTATTCTCTTGCACCTTCCCTCAGCCTGGCAGTCTCTGTGTACTCTTCAACCCATAATTGAGCGAGGCTGTACCAGCCCCAATGCCATGTAGCACTTTATGTCAAATTAGAAAGGCATGAAATAAACTAGCCCTTTATAATACAACTGTTGGAACAACAGTTGAAAATAACAATATCTTGACTCCTGGTTGAGTGCTTTACGCTGAGCTGTCTTTTCCGAATATGAGCACAGACTTGGGGATATTAGTGTCACCTAGCGTTATTAGCTAGTATTCTCCTTTTGTTTCCCCATAACATCCCCTCCTCCTTCCCACAGATCCACTCTCCACTCATTTCCATCCTGTCTTATGCCACTTGGGGCTTGTCCCTTCTAGAATGCATCCCTGGCTCCCCTGTGTGCACACTTGTAGTTAGGTTTAGCAATGGGGGCACCCGATGGAGCCTGGAAGTGAGAGGAAGGTGAGGTCCGTATTTCTTCCCTCTCCCTCCCTGCTCTGGCACTGAGTATCTGGCAATAGCTGCATCTGTCTATTACTTCAGTGGCCACTCTTCCACAGCCCCAATTCTCAGTGGGTCCCATAGCATTATTTACCTTTGTTCCTTTAGCTCCCATCAAGGAAGACCCAGAGGCATTCTCCTCACCAAGGCATTAAGAAATGCATGGGTGAGGGGAACAGCGGTGTGCGTGTAAAGGTCCTGTGGCACCTCTCCTCTGCAGGCTGGAGGTCATGGCGGGAGATGCCGCATGGATTTGCCCTCCCTGCTGTCAGAACAACAGGGTTCTGGAAGAGTAGAGGACAGGCCGTGGGACTTGGCTGTCTAGAGACAAGGCGGGAGGGATTTCCTTGAGAGGCAGGGACATGTGGTGGTTACTAATCATTGTGAGGTGTCTGGGATGTAATGGATGGGAAATCTACTAAGAAGTCAACTTATGTAATAATTAGAAAAGCTCTAGTTCTGAGGACAGAGACCTGTTGGAGTCACCATAGTGGGAATTTTTGACCTGGCATCCAGTTCAGATACCTGGAGCTTCTTGACTGAGGGGAGATTGGATCCCTTGGGGAAGAGTGAAGCCTTCAATGCTGCCACAAGTGTGATCCGCCTGCCTCAGCCTCCCAAAGTGCTGGGATTACAGGCGTGAGCCACCATGCCCGGCCTCTTTTTTATATTTAAAAAATATCATTTTATATATTATCAGGGCAAAAGAGAAAAACCGTATGATTACCTTGTCATACACAGTAAAAGCATTTGGCAAAATTGAAAACTTTTTTCATGATTTATAAAAACAAACCCCAGAAAATGCTCAGCATGATGAGAACAGAAGGCAACACTTCCAACCCCATTAATGGCAGATTTGAAGAACCCACAGGTAACATTATATTAAATGGCATAAGATTGAATGCTTTTCTATTAAATCAGAGAAAAAAGTAGAATACCTGTTGTTACTCTTCTAATTCAGCATTATACTAGAGCTCTAAATCAATGCAATAAAGTAAGAAAAATTAATAAAGTATTGAAAAGAAAGAATTGAAGCTGTCTTTATTCACAGATAATGACTGTGTTTGTTAACAATGCTAGAAATCTACAAAAATCTACCAGAACTAATCAGTGAGTTTGGTAGTGTTGCAGAATGTAAGCTCTCAATATAAGTGGTCTTTTGTATTTCTGTATATTAGCAATGAGCATTTGGAAAATGAAATAAGAATACAATTTCATTTAAAGTAACATCTAAATACATGTTGTGCTTATAAATAAATTCAACAGACTGGGCACCGTGGCTCACACCTGTAATCTCAGCACTTTGGGAGGCCGAGGTGGGCAGATCATGAGGTCAGGAGATGGAGACCATCATGCCTAACACAGTGAAACCCCATCTCTACTAAAAATACAAAAAATTAGCTAGGCGTGGTGGCATGTGCCTGTAGTCCAGCTACTTGGGAGGCTGAGGCAGGAGGATCACTTGAACCTGGGAGGCAGCGGTTACAGTGAGCCGAGATCGCATCACTGCACTCCAGCCTGGGTAACAGAGCAAGACTCTGTCTCAAAAAAAAAAAAAAAAAAAAAAGGAAAGTCAACAAAATTTATGTAAGGCCAGTACAACAAAAACTACAAAAAATTGCTTTGGGAAATTATGAAAGAACTAAATTAGTGGGGAGATAAACCTTGTCATGGATCAGAAGAGTTGTTATGTTTAAAAAGTCAGTTCTTCGTAAATTGATCTCCAGATCCAATGCAATTCTAATAAAAATTCCAACCGGCATTTTGGTAGAAATTTACAAGCTGATTCTACCATTTATATGGTAATGTCAATGATCAAGAATAATAAAATAGCAATATTATAAAAGAATAATGGTGAATGAATTCACTACCTATTTCCAGAATTACTCTACAGCTATGAAAATCAAGATTATGTGTTTTGTTGAAAAAAAAAATGGAATATATATCAGTGGAAGAGAAGAGAGAATCCAGAAATAGATACTCACATGTATGTCTAATTGATTCTTAGGACATATATATATGTATACACACATACACACACAAACGTGTGTGTGTGTGTGTGTATATATATATATATTCACCGTTTTGAAGATTATCATCTCCAAATAGGGAATATATATATATATACAGACACACACACACACACATATATATATATATTGCAGTCTGATACGATAAACAGCACATTGAAACAATTTCTCAAAAGACTTAGATACTTCAGAAAAGAAGACACATGAATGGTCAATTAGCATAGGAAAAGATGCTCCACTGTTTAGTCATCAGGGAGATCAATCAGTGCAACAATGAGATACCAGTACATATCCATAAGAATGGCTAAAATTAAAAAGGCTGAAAATAGCACCTGTTGGTGAGGATATAAAGCACTTGGAAGTCTTATACTTGTAGGAATGAAAAATGGTATGGCTCCTTTGAAAATCTAACAGTTTCTTAAAGGTTAAACATAACACAAATCAGATAGACAGTCATTCCATTCCTGGGAATTTACACACTGTGTCTGCACAATGATCTGTATGTGTGTTTCCAGACCAACCTGAGGGGCGGGCTGCTATTTCTCGTGGCTCAGTAACGAGACACAGATGAACTGGGGAGGAAGAGAGTTTTGACTTCTGCAACTGGTTACAGGGAAACGGCCTGGAAATTATCACCAGACCAACTCAAAATTGGAAAGTTTTCCTGAGCTAATGTACCTTCTAAGCTATATGTGTATGTGGAAGTGTGCATTCATCTAAATACATAAATGATTAACTTCTTTTAATCTATAACTAAGTCTGAGTCCTGAAGACCTTCCTCTGGAACCTCAGTTAAATTCAGTTAATCTAAATGGGTCTAGGTGCTGGGGGCCCTTATCTTGTCTCCTGCTAAATCACAGAGGTTTGGAGAGTCCCTTCAGATCTCCAATAAACTTGTTTGTGGAGGCCTGGGGAGTTTCTTCAGACCCCCAATAAAACTCGTTTAATACTAAATGGCTCCTGTTAAGAATGCCTTCGTTATTTCGTCATGCTTTAAGGCCCAGGAAAAACCTAGGCAAAACTCTTGGTGGGCTTTTGTTACATTCCAGCCTTTGTATAAGGGCACTGGCTTCTTTTTTTTTTTTTTCCTCTTAATATTTAATTGAACCACTCAGTCGGTACTGAAACAGTTGTTAGGGAGGCCTGTGTTAGTGAGACCTGGCCTGCCACGTATGGATGCTCATGATAGTTTCTTCATAATAGCCCAAACGCGGAATGATAGAAATGTCCAATAATAAGTGAAAGTACAAACATACATGGTATAGCCACACGAAGGAATACTACTCAGTATTTACAAGACATTACAGATGGATTTTAAAATTACATTGATGCATGAAAGAAGGCAGACACAAAAGAACACAGGTATCATTTCATTTATAGAAAATGGTTAAAAATGCAAACGGACCTGAAGTGACAGTGGCTCCTTGGGGCTGAGGGTTGAAAGGCTGATGAACTGCAAAGGGGTACAAGAAACTTTGGGGCATAGGGAATTTCCTCTATCTTGGTTGTGACAGTAGTTCCGTTAGTGTATCCATTTGTAAACGTGCATTGAATTACACATTTTAAAGTGGTGCAGTCTGTTGTACCGAAATTATGCCTTTATAAAGTTGTTTTCATCATCTTAATTTCTCCATACTAGCAATTAGCAGCTAGAAAATGAAATTCAATAAAACATAATAGAGATTAATAGCCAGAATCATTACATGCTTAACAATACATGCAATGAAGCAGGTACAAGGCCCCTAAAAGCAATTGGTGAGAAAAATTAAAGAAGGCTAAATAAATATATATAATGTTCATTGATTGGAAGACTCAATTTTGTTAGCATATTACATCAACACAATTCTGCTTATTATTTCTAGTAGGAGATTTTAGAGAAATTTGAAAGCTAGTTTCAAAATGTATTTGAAAATCAAAGAACCTAGAATAAGCAAGTCGATATTGAAGAAGCAATAAGTTGGAGGACTTACTCTGCTAGATTTCAAACCTGATTTTAAAGCTACAGTAATTTTAAAACAGTAGTAATGGTGTAAGTATTCATAAATATATCAAAGTGAAAGAATACAGACTCAAACAATATGCCCACTTATGTACAGTTATTGATTTTTTTTTAGTAGAATCTTTTTTATTCATAAAAAATCTATCAAAAAAAAGTTTTCCAGCCACACACAGGAGGGGTATGGGTGGGGGAAGGTGTCTGTCCATCTATCCCTGGCCCCCAGCCCATGTGGTTTTGGCAGCAATAAGGTGTGTGGAGTGATGACTCCTGAAATTAAAATGGTGTGTGTATGTGAAGGAAAGGTGGGCAAAGCTGTGGGGAGCGGTGGAGTGGAAGGAACAAAGGAGGTCAGTACTGGGAACGCTGAAGGTGGGAGGCCATTTCATAACATTACTTGTTGATGAAATTGCCATGGATACCTTCTTTGCCCATCAGCAGGCCTAGCGTCTTGGCAGTCATGGTGACAATGACGTTGAAGGTGGGGGCTCCACCGATGCTCTTCATACAAAGATCCGTGGTCAATTCCCCATCCTGCAGCAGTGAGTCCAGGACCACAGTATATTTCTGGCCCCCCCAGTGTCAGCCCATTCATGACAAAGCTTGACCAGTCTTTGCCAACCAGGACACCAACCTCAGCTGGCGTGATGTTGAGGAAGGTTTTCCCTGGGACGGCGGCCCAGATGGAAGGTGGGTCCTTGTTGCCCACAATGGCCGTGTCCTAACAGGTCCCGTCCGCCACGAGGCTGTAGATGGAGGTGTCCACCTGGCCGTTGCGTTGCTGCAGGGGCTCCTCTGGTCGCTGCTGCTGGGGCCGCCTGGGCTGGTGGGTGGGGGAGGCGGAGAGCTCGATGCAGGTGCTGTCCTCCTCGCCACGACTCTGCTAGCTGTGCAGTAGCCCTCGCTCCGCCACTTAAAAAAGAAAAATATATATATATATAATATATATACACATGTTATATATATTGTATATTATGTATATACACGTATTATATATACACACGTATGTATATACACGTATATATATTATATATATTCATGTGTGTGTATATATTATATATACGTGTATACATGTATATATGTGTATATATAATATATATACACGTGTATATATATTATATATATATACGTGTGCCATGTTGGTTTGCTGCACCCATTAACTCGTCATTTACATTAGGTATTTCTCCTAATGCTATCCCTCCCCCAGCCCTCACCCCATGACAGGCCCTGGTGTGTGATGTTCCCCGTCCTGTGTCCAAGTGTTCTCATTGTTCATTTCCCACCCATGAGTGAGAACATGCTCGCACCGCCGCTTCTAAATGTTTTAAAAACAAAGACACCAATGCCCTTCATTGGGGAAATGAAAGACTTTTAAGTAAAACGATTTTGAGTGAAATAATATTTGTTGTTTTAAAAAGTTAATATTAACCACTCTCCATCATATGTTGAAATTATCTTAAGATGTGAAAGTTAAAATTAGAAACCTTGTAAAGGAAAAATAGGAAATAGTTTCATGAACTTGACACAGGAAAATATTTCTTAGACTAGATACTGTAGCACTCACCACAATAAGAAATCAAGCGAATTGCACTTCATTTTTAAAAAGCTTCTCCTTATTATGTTGTTGTTTAACAACTTAAACGCTATCTCTAGACCAGGAATAATTATTTGCTATATATTACAGCAAAAAATATGTATGTATAAATGGACTCATTCAAAATATATAAAGAACTCCTATTACAAAGAAATTGACAAACAGCCCAGTATATCAATGAATATAAAAATTTGAGAAGATATTTTCCATAAGAAGATATCTAAATGAACATTAGGCATGAGAAAACCAAATTTTAGGATATCACTACACACCTGGCATAGTTTAAAAGACTGAAAATATTAAGTGTGTGGGAATGTAGAGCAACTGGAAATGGCCTACATCTTTCATAGAAATGTAAAACAATACAAATACTTTGCAAAACTCTGTCCAACATTTTCTACCCATTCACCAAGCAACTCCATCCCTAGCTATAGATACCCAGGAAAATAAGTATGTATCTTCACAGAAATAATTGTATGAGAATATTCATAGTTACTTATGCACAGTAGTTATCAAGTAAACCTGTCTCCCATCAGAAAAATGGATATCAAATTGTGTGATAATCATACAATCAATAGGATATTACTTGGCCAAAACAAAATGAAACAAGGGAAAAACACAATCAAACAAATTAGTGGCATATATACCCACCTGAGTAAAGAGAAGTCGGCCGGGCGCGGTGGCTCACGCCTGTAATCCCAGCACTTTGGGAGGCTGAGGCGGCAGATCACGAGGTCAGGAGATCGAGACCATCGTGGCTAACACAGTGAAACCCCGTCTCTACTAAAAATACAAAAAAAAAAAAAAAAAAAAAAAAAGAAAAGAAAAATTAGCCAGGCGTGGTGGCGGGCGCCTGTATTCCCAGCTACTTGGGAGTCTGAGGCAGGAGAATAGCGTGAACCTGGGAGGCAGAGCTTGCAGTGAGCCTAGATCGCGTCACTGCACTCCAGCCTGGGCGACAGAGTGAGACTCTGTCTCAAAAAAAAAAAAAAAGTCAAAACAAGAGAACATACTAAATGATTCCATTTTTTTATTTATGACTTCATGACTACCATTAAGAAAATATAACCTGTTGGGAAACTGTTTCTGCCTTGATGATGTTGTACAGACAAGAGATAAACAGTGAGGAATATGCTTAGATGTATTGGGAAAGACACGGGTCTGTGGCATTGTCACAAGGGTACACGAATACTGAGAGTGAATGCTGAAGGAATGATCCCCATTGGTGGTGACCCTCAGGTGAGACTAGGGTGCCTGTGTTTCAGCAAAGCCTGGGCAATTGGAATGCAGGGCTCCTAAGATTCCATGACACCCCCACCTTCTAATTCTGTTATTGCAACTGCAGACGGTTACCTGGCACGCTGGCCACAATCTACCTCACTCTTATCAGAGTCTGAGCTACTGGCAGTGCTTTCAGCTCTGAGTTGAGGCACCTCAAACCTTGTTTTTGTGGTGAAGGATCCTAAAGTGCTGTGGGAGTGATCACATTTTTCACAACAGTAAGGTAAGAATTTCAGTTACTGACATCCCTCAGTCCTGATTAAACCTATTTGATTTCACCAGTTTTTAACCCATCATATGTTTGGGTTTCTTCTCCCCAGTCCCTGGCCCCACCTCTTCTGCCACAAACGTCAGCATGGTGGTATCAGCCGGCCCTTGGTCCAGCGAGAAGGCAGAGATGAACATTCTAGAAATCAACGAGAAATTGCGCCCCCAGTTGGCAGAGAACAAACAGCAGTTCGGAAACCTCAAAGAGAGATGTTTTCTAACTCAACTGGCCGGCTTCCTGGCCAACCGACAGAAGAAATACAGTAAGATCTATAGGCTCACCGTCATGAAAGTGATGAATGATGTCCTGTCTTCTCTCTGAGACACTAAATGCTCTCTCCATCAAAAATAATTTCATCCTTCCTGTACTTCTAGGAAAACAGAAATGGGTATTTTAACATTTGGTTAAAGTTGGAAGACAGAGGTACCAAAGTATTTAGCAACTTTCCATGTTTGCAATCAGATGGGGGTGGGACTAGAGTTAAACTCACAGTTATTGATTTCTAACACAGGCACAGAACGACCTGTTTTCTCCAAGAGGCTCAATCATGTTTTCAAGAATCCTCTCTGTACCTTATAAGATCCTGCAGACAAATAACATCTAGTCTGTTGTTCTAAATGTCTAGGACTAGTGAACTTTTATTCAGTTCAAATTTCCGTTGAGGCCCAAGAGGCAAAGCTCTGTTCTAGTGACTCTGAGGGGAACTTGGTGATAGTAGCCAGTACCTGCTCTGAGGGGCTTCAAGAGGAGTCTGCTCCTAATAGAACCTGTGCTACCTATAAGTGACAGCATCAAGAGCAGGGAGTAGGGGCCGTGCAACGTGGCTCACTCCTGTAATCTCAGCACTTTGGGAGGCTGAGGCGGGCAGAGCACGAGGTCAGCAGTTTGAGACTAGCCTGGGCAACATGGAGAAACCCCATCTCCACTAAAAATACAAAAAGTAGATGGGCGTCGTGGAGGGCAACTGTAATCACCACTAATCGGGAGGCTGAGGCAGAAGAATCCTTTGAACCCAGCAGGCAGATGTTGCAGTGAGCCAAGATTGCACTATTGCACTCCAGCATGGGTGACAGGGCAAGACTCGTCAAAAAACAAACAAACAAAAAGATAAATAAATCAAAAATAAAAATAAAAGAGAGTACCTTGGTGAGAGTGAAGTCCTGCTTCCTGGTGCACAGGCTCTTGTTCCTAAAGAGGAAGAAAGATCACACCCGAGAATGTGTGGAAGCAGCAGTGCAGTGTGCAAAGCAGGGACCCTCAGCCTGTCTCCTGGGCTCCATCCAAGTTGCTTGTCTTGTCTGTCCCTCAGTTTCCTCATCTGTTCAGAGGGTACTACAATAATACCTACCTCTGTAAATTGCTGCAATGAATTACATGAGGCATTTCCTGTCAATCTCCTTGAACATTAATTGGCACAGTGTAAACACTATCTATTAGTTCTTCATTCTGATGTTTCTAAATTAACACAACGAATCTAAATCTTAATGCTGCCTCTCATACTAATAAAGTATTTGGGCATATTTCCTTCATGGCCTTATTGTCTTATGTCTCACACTTTATGCTTCAGATATGATTCTTAAAACCATATCTGAATATTGATCTAAAAATGAAATATTTTTAAAGTCCTTGACATATTTGTCCTTGAAATACCCAGTAAAAGGGAAACCATCAGTCCCATAGTCCTAGGGGCCTTCCCGACTGTACAAGAAATCACTACTTCATGCCCCAGTGCAGTGTTTTAGAGGAGAGGCTGCAAGGCTTGGGAAAGTGGCCCCGCATTCAGAGTCAGACCTCAGGGGCTGTGAGTTCTGACTCCACTTCGTTGTGGTTGAATCATCTTGTCAACTTCCTTGATGCGCCCTTGAGGTTCTCTTTCTTCGTCTTTAAATTTTGGAGGATCAGATGCCAGAAAGTCAGGAGACTGAAGAGTAAAGATGTGGAAATCCCTGTCTAGACCCTGGTACTGGGGAGAGTTTTGTCCTTGGGATGGACCTGGCTCCTGCCCTGTAGGCAGTGACCACAGCAGCATGTCCAGCCTTCCACTGAGGCAGGCGTGTCTGTCTTTTCTCAGAGTATGAAGAGTGTAAAGACCTCATAAAATTTATGCTGAGGAATGAGCGACAGTTCAAGGAGGAGAAGCTTGCAGAGCAGCTGAAGCAAGCTGAGGAGCTCAGGTGAGGGGACCCCGTGGGGGGAGGCAGGCGGGTAGGTGTGTAGATCTCTGAAGTACAGCAGCTCGGCGGGGAGAAATAAGAACGAAGCTGGGCCAGGGGAAGGGCAGAAATTGCCATGGCAGGCTCATGACACACAAATATTTATCAGAGAACAAGGATAATAATAAGTTCTGTGTTGCAGTTGTTTCTTAGAGCCTTGTTTTCTCTTTTTCAAACAAGTAATTGTTGATGTGAAATTTACATAACACAAAATTCACCAAAGGAGTGGGAACCACCTAGCAGCATTCAGTATACTCAAAATGGTGTGCTATTGCCACCCCACTTACCCTTAGTGAGAATCACCTCCTGACTGACTGCGGCTTCTCATTCTTTCACTCAATCAATGTTGCCTTCTCGACCCTGTCATTCTTTTCTTCTTTCGTCTTTTCAATTCGCCCCATCTGCCCCTGGCCTCATTTCTGTACATGGCTTTGTATCTAGTGGCCGCAAGATGCACTATGTGTATTTTCACATGGAAATGTCCATGGCCAGAGTGAGGAACTGAAAAGATGTCTTTCTGAAAGGGAATTAGGAAGACACCTACTTTTGTTTACAGAAGGGAAAGATGAATGGAACATCATCGAGGATCTTGCAGGAGCCCTCTCTGATACAGAGGAAGCCTGTAAACCATTTTCTATTCTTTCTCTTGGCCACAGACATTCCTTTCAACATGTGCTGACCTTCTGTTTCAAGGTCTCCTTGAGGACATTATCTCAGAAGTCTCTGTTGCAATATTTGAACGGATCACTCAACCCTTTCTACTCTTAAATTTTCTCTACCGTCTCACCTTAGGCAATATAAAGTCCTGGTTCACTCTCAGGAACGAGAGCTGACGCAGTTAAAGGAGAAGTTACGGGAAGGGAGAGATGCCTCCCGCTCATTGAATGAGCATCTCCAGGCCCTCCTCACTCCGGATGAGCCGGACAAGTCCCAGGGGCAGGACCTCCAAGAACAGCTGGCTGAGGGGTGTAGACTGGCACAGCACCTTGTCCAAAAGCTCAGCCCAGGTAAGGTGGCCATAGGCCCTGATGACCCAAAACCCCAGGCTTATGAGAGGCTCCAGACCTCCATACTTTCACAATGACAGTTGTATCAGTGGGGTTTTTTTCTGCTACACATATGTGGCCATGACACGATCAGGACTTCCTGGGTAAGAACAGAGATGGGAAACCCATGGGTTTGGAGGTCACAGTATTGCAAGTGTCCCTCCTCCCTTGATGGAAGGTGGTCTTTGGAGCAAGAGGCAGCATCTATCTAGTTTTAAAGGACAGGAAGGAGGCTGTGATGGGAGGGCGCTTGTTGGAGTGAAAAGAGCTCTGGGCTAAGAATGAAGGTTCCCAGGCTGTCTTTTTGGCAATGTTCTTAGTAAGTGTCGGTGAGTGAGTGATTTATCTTTCCAGAGTTTCTCTCTCTCCATCTGCAAAGGCAGACAAATTGTCTCTTGCAAGGGTCTGAAGCATCCAAATATGGGAACACTTACGAATGCTTTTCAAAATGAGATGAAGCCCCTCTCCATGTGGTGTTGGAGAAGGCACTTGATGTGGGGGCATTTGGTGGTAGGAAGTGCTTCAGACTGGAGCACTCCCCATGGATAGAATGTCCCTGAATAACACAGCAGAAGCCACATGGAGGGCCTGTGCAGTCTCATGACGCATAGAGGACTGTGGGACAAGTTTGTCCTCTCCTAAGAGAAAGAATGAGGTTTGAAATGCGAACTGTGACAGGACACCAAGCCTGTTCCTGGGAATCAGATCTGTGGCAGGATGGGGGAGACAGCTGCCAAAGTCCAGAGAGAGGCTGCACAAGCCTTCAGTGATATGGGAAGCAAAAGGTCTTTTCAGTATTTGGCCACATCTTGATGGTGGCCCTCCACATCAGAAATGCATTGCCCGATGGAGCAGGAAACCATGCCAGGGCATTTTGTGAAAGATAAAACATGAGAGTTTTCAGTACAATGCTGAACCATACATAGATGTTCATGTCTCTGTGCACGTTGGGCTGACTGTGCTTGCAGAATGTGAAGTGGGAAATATCTGAATGAACATTTTGTATTTCTAGAAAATGACGAAGATGAGGATGAAGATGTTCAAGTTGAGGAGGATGAGAAAGTACTGGAATCATCTGCCCCCAGGTAACACTGAATACTCAGGAGCAAGTAATGGGTGGTAACATATGAAGATGTCTAGGAGGCACACCCTCTCTGGCATCTATGGTGGGCCAAAAGCCCGCATCCCCTTGGCCACAGTATGTGAAATTGAACCCAGCTTAGACACAGGGTGCGGCAGCTGTCGTGTTTCTCTATGTGTGCCAAGTGTCATGTCTGTACCATACAGGGATAGCTGAGTCTTCATCCTCCTCAGCTCCTATCTGTCCAGTGCACTGAACACCAGCTGCTCTCTTCCTCTCTGGCTCCCATGGCAGCCATGGTCTGTTGCAGAGAGAAGAGGATTGCCTGTTCCCTCTTTAAGGGAACCTCCGTTTTGCTTTCTGGAACCACTCTCTTAATGCCGCCTGTCAAAACCAGCTAGTACTCCCTGGGGTCCAATCCCTCTGTGTTTAATCTTCTGTCATCTCTGTCCCACCTGGCTCATCAGGGAGGTGCAGAAGGCTGAAGAGAGCAAAGTCGCTGAGGACTCACTGGAGGAATGTGCCATCACTTGTTCAAATAGCCACGGCCCTTGTGACTCCAACCAGCCTCACAAGAACATCAAAATCACATTTGAGGAAGACGAAGTCAACTCAACTCTGGTTGTAGACAGAGAATCCTCTCATGATGAATGTCAGGATGCTCTAAACATTCTCCCAGGTAGCCTCTATTTTCCTTGTGTCTCATACCTCTGTCTAGGCTATGGAAGATCAATTCTGAGGACAGGCTGTATATACACATATTGTTATTGTTTTAGTCAGAAACTAGGATGGAGCTAGGTGCTGTGACTCACACATATAATCACAGCACTTTGGAAGGCCCAAGTGGGACGATGACTTGAGTTCAGGAGTTGAAGACCAGCCTACACAATATGGTGAAACCCATCTTTACAAAGAACACAAAAAATTAGGCAGGCATGGTGCTGCATGCCTATAGTCCCAACTGCTCAGGAGACTTAGGTGGGAGGATGGGCTGAGATGATCCTCCCACCCTCATTCACTTCTGTCAGGCTAGACTCTCTCTCCTTTTCATTGGCTTGTCTTAGCTATTAATAAGTCTCGGCTGGGCGCAGTGGGTCACACCTGTAATCCGAGCACTTTGGGAGGCCGAGGTGGGTGGATCAGGAGGTCAGGAGATTGAGACCATCCTGGCTAACACGGTGAAACCCCGTCTTTACTAAAAATGCAAAAAAAAAAAAATAGCTGGGCGTGGTGGTGGGCGCCTGTAGTCCCAGCTACTCAGGAGGCTGAGGCAGGAGAATGGCATGAACCCAGGAACCGGAGCTTGCAGTGAGCCGAGATTGTGCCACTGCACTCCAGCCTGGGAGACAGAGCGAGACTCCATCTCAAAAAAAAAAAAAAATAAAGTCTCTGACCAGGGGCGCTGGCTCACATCTTAATCCCAACACTTTGGGAGGCCGAGGTGGGCGGAACACCTGAGCTCAGGAGTTCGAAACCAGCCTGTCCAAGATGGCGAAACCCCATCTCTACTAAAAATACAAAAATTAGCTGGCATGTTACTTGGCCCTTGTAATCCCAGATGCTTGGCCGGCTGAGGGATGAGAATCACTTGAACCCGGGCGGCAGAGGTGGCAGTGAGCTGAGATTGTGCCTCTGCACTTCAGCCTGCGTGACAGAGTGAGACTCTGTCTCAAACAAAAAAACCAAAAAAGAAAAAAATTAAAAAAGCAAAATGAAATCTTTTGTGCTACACAGAAACATTGGCCACTCATGGGGTAAAAATCTCAGGGCCAAGCCTTGCTTTATAGAAACGTATAAGCAAGAAAAGTGTAGAAGTGTTTATGTCTTGGTTTCAAGGTGACTGCATAGCTAAGACAAGTTGACTTAAAGGAGATCAAGACTGGAGATGACAAGAGTGAAACCAGGGAAACAACATCTTCAAATAAGTAAACAAGGCTGCCAGTGACATCCCTCAGTCCTGATTAAGCCTATTTGATTTCACCAGTTTTTAACCCATCATGTGTTTGCCTTTCTTCTCCCCAGTCCCTGGCCCCACCTCTTCTGCCACAAACGTCAGCATGGTGGTATCAGCCGGCCCTTTGTCCAGCGAGAAGGCAGAGATGAACATTCTAGAAATCAATGAGAAATTGCGCCCCCAGCTGGCAGAGAAGAAACAGCAGTTCAGAAACCTCAAAGAGAAATGTTTTCTAACTCAACTGGCCGGCTTCCTGGCCAACCAGCAGAACAAATACAGTAAGATCTATAGGCTCACCATCACGAAAGTGATGAACGACGTCCTGTCTTCTCTCTGAGGAACTAAGTGCTCTCTCCATCAAAAATAATGTCATCCTCCCCATACTTCTAGGAAAACAGAAATGGGTATTTTAACATTTTGTCAAAGTTGGAAGACAGAGGTACCAAAGTATTTAGCAACTTTCCATGTTTGCAATCAGGTGGGGGTGGGACTAGAGTTAAACTGCCATTTATTGATTTCTGACACAGGCACAGAATGACCTGTTTTCTCCAAGAGGCTCAATCGTGTTTTCAAGAATCCTCTCTACCATATAAGATCCTGCAGACAAATAACATCTAGTCTGTTGTTCTAAATGTCTGAGACTAGTGAACTTTTATTCAGTTCAAGTTTCTGTTGAGGCCCAACAGGCAAAGCTCTGTTCTAGTGACTCTGAGGGAAACTTGGTGATAGTAGCCAGTACCTGCTCTGAGGGGCTTCAAGAGGAGTCTACTCCTAATAGAACCTGTGCTGTCTATAAATGACAGCATCAAGAGCAGGGAGTAGGGGCCATGCATGGTGGCTCACTCCTGTAATCCCAGCACTTTGGGAGGCTGAGGCGGGCAGATCATGAGGTCAGGAGTTTGAGACCAGCCTGGGCAACATGGAGAAACCCCATCTCCACTAAAAATACAAAAAGTAGATGGGCGTGGTGGCAGGTGACTGTAATCACCCCTGCTCAGGAGGCTGAGGCAGGAGAATCCTTTGAACCCAGGAGGCTGAGGTTGCAGTGAGCCAAGGTTTTGCCATTGCACTCCAGCCTGGGCGACAGGGCAAGACTGGTAAAAATAATAATAATAATAATAATGATGATAAATAAAAATAAGAATAAAAAGCAGAGAGTAGCTTGGTGAGAGTGAAGTCCTGCTTCCTGGGGCACAGAGTCTTGTTGCTAAAGAGGAAGAAAGTTCGCACCCGAGAATGTGTGGAGATAGCAGTGCAGTGTACAGAGCAGGGACCGTGGGCCTGTCTCCTGGGCTCCATCCAAGTTGCTTGTCTTGTCTGTCCCTCAGTTACCTCACCTGTTCAGAGGGTACTACAATAATACCTACCTCTGTAAATTGCTGCAGTGAATTACATGAGCTGTTTCTTGTCAGTCTCCTAGAACATTTATTGGCACAGAGTAAACACTATCTATTAGTTCTTCATTCTGCTGTTTCTAAATTAACACAAACTTTATTAGCATTTGGGCATATTTCCTTCATGGCCTTATGGTCTTATGTGTCACATTTTATGCTTCAGATATGATTCTTAAAATCATAACTGAAGATATGATTTAAAAATCAAAGATTTAAAAAATCTTTCGCATACTTGTCCTTGAAATTCCCAGTAAAAGGGAAACCATCAGTCCCATAGTCCTAGGGGCCTTCCCGACTGTACAAGAAATCACTACTTCATGCCCCAGTGCAGTGTTTTAGAGGAGAGGCTGCAAAGCTTGGGAAAGTGGCCCCGCATTCAGAGTCAGACCTCAGGGACTGTGAATTCTGACTCCACTTCGTTGTGGTTGAATCATCTTGTCAACTTCCTTGATGTGCCCTTGAGGTTCTCTTTCTTCGTCTTTAAATTTTGGAGGATCAGATGCCAGAAAGTCAGGAGACTGAAGAGTAAAGATGTGGAAATCCCTGTCTAGACCCTGGTACTGGGGAGAGTTTTGTCCTTGGGATGGACCTGGCTCCTGCCCTGTAGGCAGTGACCACAGCAGCATGTCCAGCCTTCCACTGAGGCAGGCGTGTCTGTCTTTTCTCAGAGTATGAAGAGTGTAAAGACCTCATAAAATTTATGCTGAGGAATGAGCGACAGTTCAAGGAGGAGAAGCTTGCAGAGCAGCTGAAGCAAGCTGAGGAGCTCAGGTGAGGGGACCCCATGGGGGCAGGCAGGGGGGCAGGTGTGTAAATCTCTGAAGTACAGCAGCTCGGTGGGGAGACGTAAGAGCTAAGCTGGGCCAGGGGAAGGGCAGGAATTGCCATGGCAGGCTCGCTACACACAAATATTTATCAAACAGAGAAGAAGGATAATAAAAATGTATGGGTTGCAGTTGTTTCTCAGAGCCTTGTTTTCTCTTTTTCAAACAAGTAATTGTTGATGTGAAATTTACATAACACAAAATTAACCAAAGGAGTGTGAACCACACAGCAGCATTCAGTATACTCAAAATGGTGTGCCATCACCACCCCACTTACCCTTAGTGACAATCACCTCCTGACTGACTGCGGCTTCTCATTCTTTCACTCAATCAATGTTGCCTTCTCGACCCTGTCATTCTTTTCTTCTTTCGTCTTTTCAATTCGCCCCATCTGCCCCTGGCCTCATTTCTGTACATGGCTTTGTATCTAGTGGCCGCAAGATGCACTATGTGTATTTTCACATGGAAATGTCCATGGCCAGAGTGAGGAACTGAAAGGATGTCTTTTTGAAATGGAATTAGGAAAACACCTACTTTTGTTTACAGAAGGGAAAGATGAATGGAACATCATCGAGGATCTTGCAGGAGCCCTCTCTGATACAGAGGAAGCCTGTAAACCATTTTCTATTCTTTCTCTTGGCCACAGACATTCCTTTAAACATGTGCTGACCTTCTGCTTCGAGGTCTCCTTGAGGACACTGTTTCAGAAATCTCTGTTGCAATATTTGAGCGGATCACTCAACCCTTTCCACTCTTAATTTTTCTCTACCATCTCACCTTAGGCAATATAAAGTCCTGGTTCACGCTCAGGAACGAGAGCTGACCCAGTTAAGGGAGAAGTTGCGGGAAGGGAGAGATGCCTCCCGCTCATTGAATGAGCATCTCCAGGCCCTCCTCACTCCGGATGAGCCGGACAAGTCCCAGGGGCAGGACCTCCAAGAACAGCTGGCTGAGGGGTGTAGACTGGCACAGCACCTTGTCCAAAAGCTCAGCCCAGGTAAGGTGGCCATAGGCCCTGTTGACCCAAAACCCCAGGCTTATGAGAGGCTCCAGACCTCCATACTTTCACAATGACAGTTGTATCAATGGTGTTTTTTTCCACTAAGCTTATGTGGCCATGACATGACAAGGACTTCTTGGGTAAGAACGGAGATGGGAAACCCATGGGGTTGGAGGTCACATTATTGCAAGTGTCCCTCCTCCCTTGATGGAAGGTGGTCTTTGGAGCAAGAGGCAGCATCTATCTAGTTTTAAAGGACAGGAAGGAGGCTGCGATGGGAGCAGGCTTGTTAGAGTGAAAAGAGCTCTGGACTAAGAATGAAGGTTCCCAGGCTGTCTTTTCGGCAATGTTCTTAGTTACTGTCAGAGAGTGAATGACTTGTCCTTCCTGAGTTTGTCTCTCTCCGTGGCAGACAAATTGTCTCTTGCAAGGGTCTGAAGCATTCAAATGTGGGAACACTTACAACTGCTTTCCAAAATGAGATGAAGGCCCTCGCCGTGTGATGTTGGAGAAGGCACTTTATGTGGGGGCGTTTTGTGGTAGGAAGTGCTTCAGACTGGAGCACTCCCCATGGATAGAATGTCCCTGAAGAACACAGCAGAAGCCACTTGGAGGCTTGAAATCTTCTGATGCATAGAGGACTGTGGGACAAGTTTGTCTGCTTCTAAGAGAAAGAATTAGGTTTGAAATGCAAACCGTGACAGGACACCAAGCCTGTGCCTGGGAATCAGATCTGGCAGGATGGGGGAGACAGCTGCCAACGTCCAGAGAGAGGCTGCACAAGCCTCCAGTGATATGGGAAGCGAAAGGTCTTTTCAATATTTGGCCACATGTTGATGGTGGCCCTCCAGATCAGAAATGCATTGCCTGATGGATCAGGAAACCATGCCAGGGCATTCTGTTAAAGATAAAACATGAGAGTTTTCAGTTGAACGGTGACCCATGCCTAGATGTTCATGTCTCTGTTGCACATTGGGCTGACTGTGCTTGCAGACTGTGAAGTGGGAAATATCTGAACGAACACTTCTGTATTTACAGAAAATGACAACGATGACGATGAAGATGTTCAAATTGAGGTGGCTGAGAAAGTGCAGAAATCGTCTGCCCCCAGGTAACACTGAATACTCAGGAACAATTAATGGATGGTAACATATGAGGAATATCTAGGAGGCACACCCTCTCTGGCATCTATGATGGGCCAAAAACCCGCATTCGCTTGGCCACAGTATGTGAAATTGAACCCAGCTTAGACACAGGGTGCGGCAGCTGTCATGTTTCTCTATGTGTGCCGAGTGTCATGTCTGCACCGTACAAGGATAGCTGAGTCTTCATCCTCCTCAGCTCCTATCTGTCCAGTGCAATGAACAGCAGCTGCTCTCTTCCTCTCTGGTTCCCATGGCAGCCATGGTCTGTTGCAGAGAGAAGAGGATTACCTGTTCCCTCTTAATGGGAACCTCCATTTTGCTTTCTGGGACCACTCTCTTAATGCCGCCTGTCAAAACCAGCTAGGACTCCCTGGGGTCCAATCCCTCTGTGTTTAATCTTCTGTCATCTCTGTCCCACCTGGCTCATCAGGGAGATGCAGAAGGCTGAAGAAAAGGAAGTCCCTGAGGACTCACTGGAGGAATGTGCCATCACTTATTCAAATAGCCATGGCCCTTATGACTCCAACCAGCCACATAGGAAAACCAAAATCACATTTGAGGAAGACAAAGTCGACTCAACTCTCATTGGCTCATCCTCTCATGTTGAACGGGAAGATGCTGTACACATTATTCCAGGTAGCCTCTGTTTTCCTTGTGTCTCATACCTCTCTCTAGGCTGAGGAAGATAAACTCTGAAGACAGGCTCTATAAACACAAATTCATTTGAATAAAAAACTGTGATGGGTTTCTAAACAGATATCAGGGAGTTTTTTGTCCTTCTCAGCTAATGTCATGCCTTTGTCTGCCAGTCCCCAGTATCAAGTTACTCAACCCCAGGCAAGTGTGACAATCTCATAGTCACCTGAGTGCAGGAGGTGCACAGGCAGTATCTGTCAGGCCTCCTAGCTTCGATTCAGTATCTCTTGTCATCTGTGATTAAGTCATCTGTCCCTGAACAATGTCCATGGAGTTTCTATGCCTGTTTAAGGAAGCTGGCAGCCTTGCCTTTGTTTTTGGAAATATCGTTCCCCAGGCTTCACTGCTCTCAGCTTTCATCTGGATCTCCTTTAAGTCAGCTTGCTTAGCTGCACAGTCACCCTGAAATCAGGACGGAAACTTTTCTTCTTTACTTTGGTGATATATTTCCATAAAGCAAGGCTGGACCCTGGTTCTCCACCCTGTCAATGCAATGGCTGATCCAATGTTTCTTTGTAGCATCGTGGATTTTTTTTTTTTTTTTTTTTTTTTTGCGATGGAGTCTTGCTCTGTCACCCAGGCTGGAGTACAGTGGCACCATCTTGGCTTGGTGCAACCTCTGCCTCCCAGATTCAAGTGATTCTCCTGCCTCAGTCTCCTGAGTTGCTAGGACCACAGGTGCACAACATCACATCTGGCTAATTTTTGTATTTTTAGTAGAGACAGGGTTTCCCCATATTGGCCAGGGTAGTCCTGAACTCATGACCTCAAATGATTCACCTGTCTTGGCCTCCCAAATCACAGATTCTTTTTAAAGCAAGAGTTGTTCAAATTTATCTATCAGTCGTGTTTCATGTATAGATGCCTCTAAACATTTAATGTCCATGTTACCTGGTGATATAAGTCCGTATCGCAGCAACACTCTTAGAAAATTGTTTGACCAATTTTTGGAGATTTTTTTGGGGAAAAAATTTTGTTTAACTTTGACTCAGGCAGGGAATATGGCATTATGGTCTACACGTAGAGGGAGATTTTGGCCTGTGGGTCTGGAAAGCAGGGTCATCTAATTCTCACCAAAGTTAATCTAGGACACCCTAGAATATTCCTGTCAGAATCCTTATTCTTGCACTGAGAATAGTTATGTCCTTGGCTATGACTGGACAGTGATTTGTTCATATGTGAAGTATGAATTGCTTAATGTGACCTGCTTCTCTGAATTTATTTACAGAAAATGAAAGTGATGATGAGGAAGAGGAAGAAAAAGGGCCAGTGTCTCCCAGGTAATGTTGTGGAATTGTTGGCTGTTAATTCAGTAGTGACATCTGGAGATTGTAGATTTAGGGAAAATGAGGAAGTGATGAATAGAACTATTTCTTCCATTCACCCAGCTACAAATTGTGCTGATTTACAATGTTGTATGTTATTTGTGGCACTTGTATTGGTTTTAATTTCATAGTCCTCTCAAGATAGGAACTTGCCATCAGATGAGCCAGGTGAACTAGCCAAACAGGGTTTTCTTGTTGATCTTTTCAAAAAACCAGCCCTGGATTCATTGATTTTTTGAAGGGTTTTTTGCGTCTCTATCTCCTTTAGTTCTGCTCTGATCTTAGTTACTTCTTGTCTTCTGCTAGCTTTTGAATTTGTTTGCTTTGCTTCTCTAGTTATTTTAATTGTGATGTTAGGGTGTCAATTTTAGATCTTTTCTGCTTTCTCTTGTGGGCATTTAGTGCTATAATTTTCCCTCTACACATTGCTTTAAATGTGTCCCAGAGATTCTGGTATGTTTTGTCTTTGTTCTCATTGGTTTCAAAGAACGTCTTTATTTCTGCCTTCATTTTGTTATTTTCCCAGTAGTCGTTCAGGAGCAGGTTGTTCAGTTTCCATGTAGTTGTGCGGTTTTGAGTGAGTTTCTTAATCCTGAGTTCTAATTTGATTGCACTGTGGTCTGACAGTTTGTTGTGATTTCCATTCTTTTACATTTGCTGACGAGTGCTTTACCTCCAACTATGTGGTCAATTTTGGAATAAGTGTGATGTGGTGCTGAGAAGAATGTATATTCTGTTGATTTGGGGTGGAGAGTTCTGTAGATGTCTTTTAGGTCTGCTTGGTGGAGAGCTGAGTTCAAGTCCTGGATATCCTTGTTAAGCTTCTGTCTCATTGATCTGTCTAATATTGACAGTGGGGTGTTAAAGTCTCCCATGATGATTGTGTGGAGTCTAAATCTCTTTGTAGGTCTCTCAGGACTTGCTTTATGAATCTGGGTGCTCCTGTATAGGGTGCATATATATTTAGGATAGTTAACTCTTCCTGTTGAATTGATCCCTTTACCATTATGTAGTGGCCTTCTTTGTCTCTTTTGATCTTTGTTGGTTTAAAGTCTGTTTTATCAGAGACTAGGATTGCAACCCCTGCCTTTTTTTGTTTTCCATTTGCTTGGTAGATCTTCCTCCATCCCTTTATTTTGAGCCTATGTGTGTCTCTGCATGTGAGATGGGTTTCCTGAATACAGCACACTGATGGGTCTTGACTCTTTATCCAATTTGCCATTCTGTGTTTTTTAACTGGGGCATTTAGCCCATTTACATTTAAGGTTAATATTGTTATGTGTGAATTTGATCCTGTCGTTATGATGTTAGCTGGTTATTTCACCCGTTAGTTGATGCAGTTTCTTCCTAGCGTCAATGGTCTTTAGAGTTTGGCATGTTTTTGCAGTGGCTGGTACCGGTTGTTCCTTTCCATGTTTAGTGCTTCCTTTAGGAGCTCTTGTAAGGCAGGCCTGGTGGTGACAAAATCTGTCAGCATTTGCTTCTCTGTAAAGGATTTATTTCTCCTTCACTTATGAAGCTTTGTTTGGCTGGATATGAAATTCTTGGTTGAAAATTCTTTTCTTTAAGAATGTTGAAGATGCTGGAGAGGATGTGGAGAAATAGGAACACTTTTACACTGTTGGTGGGACTGTAAACTAGTTCAACGATTGTGGAAGGCAGTGTGGCAATTCCTCAAGGATCTAGAACTAGAAATACCATTTGACCCAGCCATCCCATTACTGGGTGTATACCCAAAGGATTATAAATCATGCTGCTGTAAAGACACATGCACACATATGTTTATTGCGGCACTATTCACAATAGCAAAGACTTGGAACCAAGCCAAATATCCAGCAATGATAGACTGGATTAAGAAAATGTGGCACATATACACCATGGAATACTATGCAGCTATAAAAAATGATGAGTTCATGTCCTTTGTAGGGACATGGATGAAGCTGGAAACCATCATTCTCAGCAAACTATTGCAAGGACAAAAAACCAAATACCGCATGTTCTTACTCACAGGTGGGAATTGAACAATGAGAACACATGGACACAGAAAGGGGAACATCACACACTGGGGCCTGTTGTAGGGTGTGGGGAGGGAGGAGGGGTAGCATTAGGAGATATACCTAATGTTAAATGATGAGTTAATGGGTGAAGCACACCAATGTGGACATGTATACATATGTAACTAACCTGCACGTTGTGCACATGTACCCTAAGACTTAAAGTATTAAAAATATATATATATATATACACATACACACAAAAAATAATAAAGGAAAACTATACATATGGAAAAAAAAAAGAATGTTGAATATTGCTCCCACTCTCTTCTGGCTTGTAGGGTTTGTGCCAAGAGATCTGCTGCTAGTCTGATGAGTTTCCCTTTGTGGGTAATCCGACCTTTCTCTCTGGCTGCCCTTAGCATTTTTTCCTTCATTTCAACCTTGGTGAATCTGACAATTACGTGTTTTGGGGTTGCTCTTCTCGAGGAGTATCTTTATGGTGTTCTCTGTGTTTCCTGAATTTGAATGTTGGCCTTCCTTGCTAGGTTGGGGAAGTCCTCCTGGATAATATCCTGAAGAATGTTTCCCAGCTTGGTTCCATTCTCCCCGTCACTTTCAGTACACCAATCAAACGTAGATTTGGTCTTTCCACATAGTCCCATATTTATTGGAGGCTTGTTCATTTCTTTTTACTCTTTTTTCTCTAAACTTCTCTTCTCGCTTCATTTCACTAATTTGATCTTGAATCACTGATACCGTTTCTTGCACTTGATCGAATTGGCTACTGAAGCTTGTGCATGCATCACGTAGTTCTGGTGCCATGGTTTTCAGCTCCATCAGGTCATTTAAGGTCTTCTCTACACTGTTCATTCTGGTTAGCCATTCGTCTAATCTTTTTTCAAGGTTTTTAGCTTCCTTGCGATGAGTTCGCACATCCTCCTTTAGCTCAGAGAAGTTTGTTATTACCGACTTTCTGAAGCCTACTTCTGTCAGCTCATCAAAGTCATTCTCCATCCTGCTTTGTTCCATTGCTGGCGAGGAGCTGCGATCCTTTGGAGGAGAAGGGATGTCAGGTTTTTGGAATTTTCAGCTTTTGTGCTCTGGTTTCTCCCCACCTTTGTGGTTTTATCTACCCTTGGTCTTTGATGATGGCGACCTACAGATGGGGTTTTGGGGTGGATGTCTTTTTTGTTGATGTTGATGCTATTCCTTTCTGTGTGTTAGTTTTCCTTGTAACAGTCAGGTCCCTCAGCTTCAGGTCTGTTGGAGTTTGCTGGAAGTCCACTCCAGACCCTCAAACAGGGATTTCTTGGTGTTGCCTATTCTCTCCCATGTGTCTAAATCAAGGGAGAGGTGTATATATGCTTTCTTCCTATTTGTTGGTAGTATGTTGGCTAGTATTTTTGCAAGAAAAGAAATTGAAAAAGTAAATATATTATATCAAAATATTGGGAAAATGGGGCCCTTAATACACAAGATCTGTGTCTGCACTGCGTCAAGAACTCTCTTCACTTGAATGCTGCATGTAAAATTCAACCCAATTTATGCAAAGTAGTTGAAGCCCTGTGTCAGTTCTCTGTGCTGCAAGACATGATGGTAGTTTACAGGGAGAGTCTGGGTGCCCTGAGTTGGCTCATCTGTGGCAAATGTACTGAGCACACGCTGCCCATTTTTGCTCTGTCCCCAGAGCAGTCACCCTCCACCCTGTATTTAGAAGGATAGTTTTATTTCTCTTGAAGGAAAAATGCCTTTGGTTTCTGTGACCACTCCATTCTGTCTCCCATCAGATCATCTGGGAGGTTTTGTTGTCTAATGTCTGTTGGTTAAATCTTCTATCATCCCTGTCCTGCCTGGCTCATCAGGAATCTGCAGGAGTCTGAAGAGGAGGAAGTCCCCCAGGAGTCCTGGGATGAAGGTTATTCGACTCCCTCAATTCCTCCTGAAATGTTGGCCTCGTACAAGTCTTACAGCAGCACATTTCACTCATTAGAGGAACAGCAAGTCTGCATGGCTGTTGACATAGGCAGTGAGTACTCCATTGTGAAGGTGATAAAGCTCCAGTTCATGGCCCAGGTAGACCCCATAATCTTTGGGCCTTGTGCCCCTTGTTGGGCTGAGATTTGCCATCACTGTGGGCTGAACCTATATATCAATGTAGATTTCAATCACTCTGGAGTCGAGTCTGAAGCACAGGCATGGGGTGGGTCAGTGAGCTTTGCTCTCTTCCTAGTCTCAGGCCATGCCCGTGCCAACCTGGACTGACTGTCACGACATTGAACTCAAGGCAGGTGTGGCAAACTCACACCAAACTATGTAGCACATGCCCAGGAGTTGTCTGTCAGATCAGCTCATCTGAATTAAATGTCTCTTGCCAGCTACAAAATTCCTTATGAGTTTTGTTCCCAAAGCATGTCTGTGTGGTTCTTTACCTGCCCAAGGCCAGTGTCACCCTTGTCTACCTCTCAGTGAAAGATGTGACCCAGGTTTCACTGAATTTATTCCCATTTTCTGTGTCTTCTAAGTTCGCTTGTTTTAGCTCATCTGTCCGTCATGTTCCTGGTATGTTTTCTAGATAAATGGCTGACTTTTCACCCACAAAAGCCATAATAGCTGATGCTACTGTGTAGAACCAAGTTACATTTTGACTCAAGAGCTGGTTCATTGCACCCCCTCATCAAATCTCTGTGTCCACAATCTCATAAACTATCAAATTCTGGGTATTTGATGAGAGAAAGCTTAATATTGAAGTATCTCTCCTATGAGGTGTTAGAACTATTTGCCTACAATTTATTGGGGAAAAAAATCGCGCATTTGTGTACATAAACCTAGGACAGAGCACATAGGGAAGATAACATTCCAACACAGGGGAATTTTGCCCAAGGCTCATGAAAGAACCCAAGCCAGTTTTCTCAAGACTTGACCTCAGGCCTACTGGAATATTTCTCTCAAAGTCTCCTGTTCTCACACTGACAAGACTGATGTCCCTGTGTTAGGATTGGACAGAGGAATGTTTCTGTGTGCAAGGAAGGACTGCTTAATGTAAGAGGGCCCATCTGAATTTATTTGCAGGACATCGGTGGGATCAAGTGAAAAAGGAGGACCAAGAGGCAACAGGTCCCAGGTGAGTCTGAGAAATTGTGGACAGTTAATTTGATGTTGACACCTGGAGATGCCAAGTCCAGGGAAAACAGTACATGCTGAAAATAATGATTTTGTCTTGTCAGACAAGTATGAATTATGCCTACTACATTGCTTTTTGGTTCTCATTAGAGTAAATGTTTAGGTTTCCATTTCTTCCTACCCTTATCATTTACTAACCTAGTGAAAGTTGACCATACCTCAAAAGCTGTATTCTCATGGTAACTGCAGGGAAACTTGAGCACATTTTATGCAAAATTATTGAGGACATGCTTTTCATGATCACTGTTCACTGTGTGTCCTGAGAGCACAAATACAGAGTGTCCTTTGACTCCCTCATCAGTGTGTCACCTGACCAAATCACTCAGCTCGCTCTGTGTGTGTGTGTGTGTGTGTCTGTGTCTGTGTGTGTGTGTGTGTCTTTCTCTTTCATCCTTTTCTACCTGGCCCTAGTCTATCCCAACATAAAGGCAATAATTTGTTACCTCATTAATGGATCTGTCCTTTTTCTTTTCAAACTCTTCCTTATGTTAGCCATGAAATCTAGCTGGGGCTGTGTGGTTTCTGATTCCCCCTGGCTTATTCTTTACTTTTTCCCACTTTTCCAGGCTCAGCAGGGAGCTGCTGGATGAGAAAGGGCCTGAAGTCTTGCAGGACTCACTGGATAGATGTTATTCAACTCCTTCAGGTTGTCTTGAACTGACTGACTCATGCCAGCCCTACAGAAGTGCCTTTTACGTATTGGAGCAACAGCGTGTTGGCTTGGCTGTTGACATGGATGGTGAGTACCTTTCTATGAAGGTGATAAGGATCCACTGAGTCTTCTGGTTAGGGTCATATTCCTACTGCAAGTGGCCGTTACTGAGCTGAGAGATGTCATTGCCACAGGGAGGACCTATAGGCACATGTACGTTGAATGAAACTCTAGTTCCACTTGGAAGCCCAGACAAGGGATGGGTCAGTGAGCAAGGCTCTCTTCCTAGTCTCAGGCCATGCCTGTGGCGCCCTAATCCTACTCTCATGACATTGGACCTGGGCAGATGTGACAAATTCACACAACTCTGATTTTGTCTCAATTTTGTAGATCTTGTAGATTTCATCCTTCACTCTAATTTCAGCGTCTAAAATCCTCGCTACCATGAACAATCTGAGTATTTGATGAGACAGGGCTGAATAGTGCAGTTTTTCTCCTAGCAACCATTTGGGGGCATTTGCTTTAAATCGATTGGAAAAATATGGCATAACCATTTGCACAAACTTGGGACAAATGATATTGGGATAACGGTCTACCAGAATAGGGAATTTTACCCACAGTTTCTGGGACAAAAACCAAGGAATCTCTATGGTGATCAGCCTTCAGGCCTCCTGAAGAATATCTCTCACAGTGTCCTATTCTCATGCTGAGGAGCCTGAAGTCCCTGTGTGAGGATTAGACAGTGGATTGTTATGTGTGTAGGAGAACCAGCTTAATATGACTGTCCATGTCTGAACTTATTGCAGAAATTGAAAAGTACCAAGAAGTGGAAGAAGACCAAGACCCATCATGCCCCAGGTAACTTTGAGCAATTATGGATGCTTAATTCTGTGTTGACACCTGGAGATGCCAGGTCCAGGGAAAACAAGAGTGTGTTCAATTTCATGTTTTCAACGGAGGTTGAATTACTCCTACTGCCATTGCTGTTGGTTTTCATTGCAGTAGATGTTTAGGTTTCCATTTCTTCCTCCCCTTATCATTTACTAACTTACTATAGGTTGACCATACCTCAAAGGCTGTATGGCAACTGCATGGAATCTTGAGCAAGTTTATGGAAAATTATTGAGCCCACTCTTTTCATGATCACTGTTCGCTGTGTGTCCCGAGGGCACTAACTCAGAGTGTCCTTTGACCCCTTCATCAGTGTGTCACCCGGCCAATTCGCTGAGCTCACTTTCTCCTCTCTCTCTCTCTCCCTCTCCCTGTCTTTCTCTTTCATTCTTTTCCACCTGACCCTGGTCTATCCCAACCTAAAGGCAATAATTCATTACCTCATTAATGGATCTGTCCTTTTTCTTTTTAAACAGTTCCTTATGTTAGCCATGAAATCTAGCTGGGGCTGTGTGGTTTCTGATTCCCCCTGGCTTATTCTTTACTTTTTCCTACTTTTCCAGGCTCAGCAGGGAGCTGCTGGATGAGAAAGAGCCTGAAGTCTTGCAGGACTCACTGGGTAGATGGTATTCGACTCCTTCAGGTTATCTTGAACTGCCTGACTTAGGCCAGCCCTACAGCAGTGCTGTTTACTCATTGGAGGAACAGTACCTTGGCTTGGCTCTTGACTTGGACAGTGAGTACCTTACTATGAAGGTGATAAGCCTCCACCTGGTCTTCCAGATAGAGGTGATATTCCTGTTCCAAGTGGCCCTTACTGACCTGAGAGATGTCATTGCCACAGGCAGGACCTATGGGCGCATATAGGTTGTAATGAAACTGTAGTCTCAGCTGGAAGCCTAGACATGAAATGGGTCAGTGAGCAAGGCTCCATTCCTAGTCTCCAGCCATGCCTGTGGCAACCTGAGCCCGCTCTCAGCACATTGGACCCAGGCAGATGTAAAAAATTCACAGAAGTATGATTTGGACTCAAGGGTTTGTAGATTTCCTCCTTCATTCTAATTTCAGTGTCTAAAATTCTTGCATCCATGAACGAGCTGGGCATTTGATGAGACAGGGCTGAATACTGCAGTTTTCCTCCTAGAAATCATCTGGGGCATTTTCTTTGAACTGATGGGAACAATAAGGCATAACTGTTTGCACAAACTTGGGATAAATGATTTTGGGATAACGATCTACCAGAATGGGGATATTTCACCCTTGGTTCTGAGATGCAAACCAAAGAATATCATGACCAGCTTTCAGGCTTCCTGAAGTATATCTGTCACATTGTCCTGTGCTCATGCTGAGGAGCCTGAGATCCCTGTGTGGGGATTAGACAGTGGACTGTTATGGGTGTAGGTGAATTGGCTTATTTTGTCTGTCCCTGTCTGAATGTATTGCAGGAATTAAAAAGGACCAAGAAGAGGAAGAAGACCAAGGCCCACCATGCCCCAGGTAACTGAGCAATTGTGAACAGCTACTTCTGTGTTGACATCTGGAGACTCCTGGTTCAGGGAAAACAGAGCGGGCTGACATTATCGATTACATCTTTTCAAGCAAGCCTGAATTATTCCTACTAACATTGCTGTTGGTTTTCATTGCAGTAGATATTTAGGTTTCCATTTCTTCCTCCCCTTATCATTTACTAACCTACTGTAGGTGGACCAGACTTCAAAAACTCTATTCTCATGGCGACTGCATGGAAATTTGAGCACATTTTATGGAAAATTATTGAGCTCAGTCTTTTCATGATCCCTGTATGCTGTGTGTCCTGAGGGCACTAACTCAGAGTGTCCTGTTACTCCCTCATCAGTGTGTCATCTGGACAATTCACTGAGCTCGTTCTCTGTGTGTGTGTGTTTGTGTGTGTGTGTGTGTGTGTGTGTGTGTGTGTCTATCTGTCTTTCTCTTTCATTCTTTTCCATTTGGCCCCGTTGTGTCCCAACATGAAGGCAATAATTTGTTACCTCATTAATGGATCTATCCTTTTAGTTTTTTAACCACTTCCCTATGCTACCCATGAAACCTAGTTGGGGCTCTGTTGTGTCTGATTTCCCCTGGCTTATTCTTTACTTTTTCCTCCTTTTCCAGGCTCAGCAGGGAGCTGCTGGAGGTAGTAGAGCCTGAAGTCTTGCAGGACTCACTGGATAGATGTTATTCAACTCCTTCCAGTTGTCTTGAACAGCCTGACTCCTGCCAGCCCTATGGAAGTTCCTTTTATGCATTGGAGGAAAAACATGTTGGCTTTTCTCTTGACGTGGGAGGTGAGTACCTTTCTATGAAGGTGATAAGGATCCACTGAGTCTTCCATATAAAGATCATATTCCTGCTCCAAGTGGCCATTACTGAGCTGAGAGATGTCATTGCCACAGGGAGGACCTATAGGCACATGTAGGTTGAATGAAACTCTAGTTCTACCTGGAAGCCCAGATGAGGGATGGGTCAGTGGGCAAGACTCTCTTCCTAGTCTCAGGCCATACCTGTGGCGCCCTGATCCTATCCTCATGACATTGGACCTGGGCAGATGTGACAAATTCAGAGAACTATGATTTTGACTCAAGGGTTTGTAGATTTCCTTTTTCACTCTAATTTCAGTGTCTAAAGTCCTCACAACCATGAACAATCTGAGTATTTGATGAGACAGGGCTAAATATTGCAGTTTTTCTCCTAGAAATCATTTGAGGGTATTTGCTTTAAATTGATTGGAAAAATATGGCATAACTGTTTGCACAAATTTGGGACCAATGATATTGGGATAACGATCTACTAGAATAGGGACATTTTACCCACAGTTTCTGGGAGAAAAACTGAGGAATTTCTATCATAACCAGCCTTCAGGCCTCCTGAAATATATCTCTCACAGTGTCCTATTCTTATGCTGAGGAGCCTGAGGTCCCTGTGTGAGGATTAGACAGTGGATTGTTATATGTGTAGGGGAATCAGCTTAATGTGTCTGTCCATGTCTGAATTTATTGCAGAAATTGAAAAGAAGGGGAAGGGGAAGAAAAGAAGGGGAAGAAGATCAAAGAAGAAAAGAAGAAGGGGAAGAAAAGAAGGGGAAGAAAATCAAAACCCACCATGCCCCAGGTGACTTTCAGCAATTCTGGATCCTTAGTTCTGTGTTAACACCTGGAGGCAACAGATTCAGGGAAACCAGAGTGTGTTTGATGTCACGTTTTCAACGAAGGCTGAATTACTCCTACTGTCATTGCTGTTGGTTTTCATTGCAGTAGATGTTTAGGTTTCCATTTCTTCCTCCCCTTATCATTTCCTAACGTACCATAGGTTGACCATACTTCAAAAGCTGTACTTTCATGGCCACTGCATCGAATTTTGAGCATATTTTATGGAAAACTATTGAGCTCACTCTTTTCATGATCACAGTTTGCTGTGTGTCATGAGGGCACGAACTCAGAGTGTCCTTTTACTCCTTCATCAGTGTGTCACCCGGCCAATTCACTAGGTCACTTTCTCTCTGTCTCTGTCTCTGTCTCTCCCTGTCTTTCTCTTTCATTCTTTTCTACCTGGCCCTGGTCTATCCCAACCTAAAGGCAATAATTCATTACCTCATTAATGGATCTGTCCTTTTTCTTTTTAAACAGTTCCTTATGTTAGCCATGAAATCTAGCTGGGGCTGTGTGGTTTCTGATTCCCCCTGGCTTATTCTTTACTTTTTCCTACTTTTCCAGGCTCAGCAGGGAGCTGCTGGATGAGAAAGAGCCTGAAGTCTTGCAGGACTCACTGGATAGATGTTATTCGACTCCTTCAGGTTATCTTGAACTGCCTGACTTAGGCCAGCCCTACAGCAGTGCTGTTTACTCATTGGAGGAACAGTACCTTGGCTTGGCTCTTGACGTGGACAGTGAGTACCTTACTATGAAGGTGATAAGCCTCCACCTGGTCTTCCAGATAGGGGTGATATTCCTGTTCCAAGTGGCCCTTACTGACCTGAGAGATGTCATTGCCACAGGCAGGACCTATGGGCGCATATAGGTTGTAATGAAACTGTAGTCTCAGTTGGAAGCCTAGACATGAAATGGGTCAGTGAGCAAGGCTCTATTCCTAGTCTCCAGCCATGCCTGTGGCAACCTGAGCCCGCTCTCAGCACATTGGACCCAGGCAGATGTAAAAAATTCACAGAAGTATGATTTGGACTCAAGGGTTTGTAGATTTCCTCCTTCATTCTAATTTCAGTGTCTAAAATTCTTGCATCCATGAACGAGCTGGGCATTTGATGAGACAGGGCTGAATACTGCAGTTTTCCTCCTAGAAATCATCTGGGGCATTTTCTTTGAACTGATGGGAACAATAAGGCATAACTGTTTGCACAAACTTGGGATAAATGATTTTGGGATAACGATCTACCAGAATGGGGATATTTCACCCTTGGTTCTGAGATGCAAACCAAAGAATATCATGACCAGCTTTCAGGCCTCCTGAAGTATATCTGTCACATTGTCCTGTTCTCATGCTGAGGAGCCTGAGATCCCTGTGTGGGGATTAGACAGTGGACTGTTATGGGTGTAGGTGAATTGGCTTATTTTGTCTGTCCCTGTCTGAATGTATTGCAGGAATTAAAAAGGACCAAGAAGAGGAAGAAGACCAAGGCCCACCATGCCCCAGGTAACTGAGCAATTGTGAACATCTACTTCTGTGTTGACATCTGGAGACTCCTGGTTCAGGGAAAACAGAGCGGGCTGACATTATCGATTACATCTTTTCAAGCAAGCCTGAATTATTCCTACTAACATTGCTGTTGGTTTTCATTGCAGTAGATATTTAGGTTTCCATTTCTTCCTCCCCTTATCATTTACTAACCTACTGTAGGTGGACCAGACTTCAAAAACTGTATTCTCATGGCGACTGCATGGAAACTTGAGCACATTTTATGGAAAATTATTGAGCACAGTCTTTTCATGATCCCTGTATGCTGTGTGTCCTGAGGGCACTAACTCAGAGTGTCCTGTTACTCCCTCATCAGTGTGTCACCTGGACAATTCACTGAGCTCGTTCTCTCTCTCTCTCTCTCTCTCTGTGTGTGTGTGTGTGTGTGTGTGTGTGTGTGTGTGTGTGTGTGTGTGTCTATCTGTCTTTCTCTTTCATTCTTTTCCATTTGGCCCTGTTCTGTCCCAACATGAAGGCAATAATTTGTTACCTCATTAATGGATCTATCCTTTTAGTTTTTTAACCACTTCCCTATGCTACCCATGAAACCTAGTTGGGGCTCTGTTGTGTCTGATTTCCCCTGGCTTATTCTTTACTTTTTCCTCCTTTTCCAGGCTCAGCAGGGAGCTGCTGGAGGTAGTAGAGCCTGAAGTCTTGCAGGACTCACTGGATAGATGTTATTCAACTCCTTCCAGTTGTCTTGAACAGCCTGACTCCTGCCAGCCCTATGGAAGTTCCTTTTATGCATTGGAGGAAAAACATGTTGGCTTTTCTCTTGACGTGGGAGGTGAGTACCTTTCTATGAAGGTGATAAGGATCCACTGAGTCTTCCATATAAAGATCATATTCCTGCTCCAAGTGGCCATTACTGAGCTGAGAGATGTCATTGCCACAGGGAGGACCTATAGGCACATGTAGGTTGAATGAAACTCTAGTTCTACCTGGAAGCCCAGACAAGGGATGGGTCAGTGAGCAAGACTCTCTTCCTAGTCTCAGGCCATACCTGTGGCACCCTGATCCTATTCTCATGACATTGGACCTGGGCAGATGTGACAAATTCAGAGAACTATGATTTTGACTCAAGGGTTTGTAGATTTCCTTTTTCACTCTAATTTCAGTGTCTAAAGTCCTCACAACCATGAACAATCTGAGTATTTGATGAGACAGGGCTAAATATTGCAGTTTTTCTCCTAGAAATCATTTGAGGGTATTTGCTTTAAGTTGATTGGAAAAATATGGCGTAACTGTTTGCACAAACTTGGGACAAATGATATTGGGATAACGATCTACTAGAATAGGGACATTTTACCCACAGTTTCTGGGAGAAAAACCGAGGAATTTCTATCATGACCAGCCTTCAGGCCTCCTGAAATATATCTCTCACAGTGTCCTATTCTTATGCTGAGGAGCCTGAGGTCCCTGTGTGAGGATTAGACAGTGGATTGTTATGTGTGTAGGGGAATCAGCTTAATGTGTCTGTCCATGTCTGAATTTATTGCAGAAATTGAAAAGAAGGGGAAGGGGAAGAAAAGAAGGGGAAGAAGATCAAAGAAGGAAAGAAGAAGGGGAAGAAAAGAAGGGGAAGAAGATCAAAACCCACCATGCCCCAGGTGACTTTCAGCAATTGTGGATGCTTAATTCTGTGTTAACACCTGGAGGCAACAGATTCAGGGAAACCAGAGTGTGTTTGATGTCATGTTTTCAACGAAGGCTGAATTACTCCTACTGTCATTGCTGTTGGTTTTCATTGCAGTAGATGTTTAGGTTTCCATTTCTTCCTCCCCTTATCATTTCCTAACGTACCATAGGTTGACCATACTTCAAAAGCTGTACTCTCATGGCCACTGCATCGAATTTTGAGCATATTTTATGGAAAACTATTGAGCTCACTCTTTTCATGATCACAGTTTGCTGTGTGTCATGAGGGCACTAACTCAGAGTGTCCTTTTACTCCCTTACCAGTATGTCACCTGGCCAATTCACTAGCTCACTTTCTCTCTGTCTCTGTCTCTGTCTTTCTCTCTCTGTCTTTCTCTTTCATTGTTTTCTACCTGGCCCTGTTCTATCCCAACATAAAGGCAATAAATTTTTTTTTTTACCTCATTAATGGATCTATCCTTTTTCTTTTCTAACCACTTCCTTATGTTACTTCTGAAATCTAGTGGGGCTCTGTGGTGTCTGATTTTCCCTGGCTGCTTCTTTAGTTTTGTCTCCTTTTCCAGGCTCAACGGCGTGCTGATGGAAGTGGAAGAGCCTGAAGTCTTGCAGGACTCACTGGATGGATGTTATTCTACTCCGTCAATGTACTTTGAACTACCTGACTCATTCCAGCACTACAGAAGTGTGTTTTACTCATTTGAGGAACAGCACATCAGCTTCGCCCTTTACGTGGACAATAGGTTTTTTACTTTGACGGTGACAAGTCTCCACCTGGTGTTCCAGATGGAAGTCATATTCCCACAATAAGCAGCCCTTACTAAGCCGAGAGATGTCATTCCTGCAGGCAGGACCTATAGGCACGTGAAGTTTTGAATGAAAGTACAGTTCCATTTGGAAGCCCAGACATAGGATGGGTCAGTGGGCATGGCTCTATTCCTATTCTCAAACCATGCCAGTGGCAACCTGTGCTCAGTCTGAAGACAATGGACCCACGTTAGGTGTGACACGTTCACATAACTGTGCAGCACATGCCGGGAGTGATCAGTCAGACATTTTAATTTGAACCACGTATCTCTGGGTAGCTACAAAATTCCTCAGGGATTTCATTTTGCAGACATGTCTCTGAGCTTCTATACCTGCTCAAGGTCATTGTCATCTTTGTGTTTAGCTCATCCAAAGGTGTTACCCTGGTTTCAATGAACCTAACCTCATTCTTCGTGTCTTCAGTGTTGGCTTGTTTTAGCTGATCCATCTGTAACACAGGAGGGATCCTTGGCTGAGGATTGTATTTCAGAACCACCAACTGCTCTTGACAATTGTTAACCCGCTAGGCTCCTTTGGTTAGAGAAGCCACAGTCCTTCAGCCTCCAATTGGTGTCAGTACTTAGGAAGACCACAGCTAGATGGACAAACAGCATTGGGAGGCCTTAGCCCTGCTCCTCTCAATTCCATCCTGTAGAGAACAGGAGTCAGGAGCCGCTGGCAGGAGACAGCATGTCACCCAGGACTCTGCCGGTGCAGAATATGAACAATGCCATGTTCTTGCAGAAAACGCTTAGCCTGAGTTTCATAGGAGGTAATCACCAGACAACTGCAGAATGTAGAACACTGAGCAGGACAACTGACCTGTCTCCTTCACATAGTCCTTATCACCACAAATCACACAACAAAAAGGAGAAGAGATATTTTGGGTTCAAAAAAAGTAAAAAGATAATGTAGCTGCATTTCTTTAGTTATTTTGAACCCCAAATATTTCCTCATCTTTTTGTTGTTGTCATGGATGGTGGTGACATGGACTTGTTTATAGAGGACAGGTCAGCTGTCTGGCTCAATGATCTACATTCTGAAGTTGTCTGAAAATGTCTTCATGATTAAATTCAGCCTAAACGTTTTGCCGGGAACACTGCAGAGACAATGCTGTGAGTTTCCAACCTCAGCCCATCTGCGGGCAGAGAAGGTCTAGTTTGTCCATCACCATTATGATATCAGGACTGGTTACTTGGTTAAGGAGGGGTCTAGGAGATCTGTCCCTTTTAGAGACACCTTACTTATAATGAAGTACTTGGGAAAGCGGTTTTCAAGAGTATAAATATCCTGTATTCTAATGATCATCCTCTAAACATTTTATCATTTATTAATCCTCCCTGCCTGTGTCTATTATTATATTCATATCTCTACGCTGGAAATTTTGGGTCTCAATTTTTACTGTGCCTTTGTTTTTACTAGTGTCTGCTGTTGCAAAAAGAAGAAAACATTCTCTGCCTGAGTTTTAATTTTTGTCCAAAGTTAATTTTAATCTATACAATTAAAACCTTTTGCCTATCACTCTGGACTTTTGGATTGTTTTTTACATTCAGTGTTATAATATTTGATTATGCTGATTGGTTTTGGTGGGTACTGATGCGAATTAATAAAAACATTTCATTTCCATGTTTATTTTCTAATCTCTTCCACATTGTAGGCTATGTTTACCATATGTAGCAGAATGTATTTACATTTCTTGGTTCTAGTCATTTGTATTCTTCGTGAGTGTGAGTGTGTGTGTGTCTGTGTGTGTGTGTCTGTGTGTGTGTCTGTGTGTGCCTTTGGCATTTAGGAAGGGTTGTATAGCTCATGTTAAATATTGCACTAAAAATGTTTTTGATGGTTTTCCTCCCTTTGGACTAGACACACTTCTAATATTTGGTTTATAGTTTTAAATTATAACTTTCAGCATCAAATATTTCCATACAACAGTCAATTACATGATGTGTTTTCTTTTTCCTACCTCCTTTACCTGCCACTTCTCATAATAGTATTTGAACCTAAACATATACCGGTGACATTCTGTGATTATCATCTTGCCCCTACCTTGGTTTTTGGTTTAGATCCACAATGAAATATATTAACGCTCATGAGCTATTCAAAAGTGAATGTCACAGTCGTCACTTGCTGAGTGGTACTCATCCTTAACAGAGTCCTCATGAGGGAATCAGGTCTCGCTGAGTTTAGCATGTTTAATAATCTTTTCTCACGGTCTCGATACATGGATCGCATTACTAGATATAAGGTGCTTGCCCAAAATGATTTTTCTGGAGTTTTTAGGAGATATTGTCTTCCTTGGGGGACATACATGGTGTATGTTCTCATTGTGGGATTCTATTTTGTTCTACCAGGACCTCTAATTTCTGCCAGTTACTTCATTCATTTGTTCTCTTCACCATGAGTCTCCAGAGGATACTTCCATGGTCCGTGCCTCCCCATCTCCCAGCAATTCTGCATTTCCAAGATTGGCACCTCTGGTCCTCTGCACGGTGAAGCCCCTTCCTTTCAATTCCCCAGTAGCCAGTGCTCTAATCCACCAGGTCTCAGGCATGATCTATGTTTCTCCACACTCGCTTTCTGAGGAGAGTTTTGCCTGGGTTCTATCATGAACAGGCCCTCCCTGCTGTCCTGGCCTCTATTTGCATAGTGTTTCCTGCTCCCTCTGCCGTCGTGTGGCTCCCAGACCTGGCTAAAGAAAATCACCTGAGGGCCACAGTGTTCCCTAGCCCTGGTGTTTAGGGCAGGATTATGGGTGAGATTTTTGAGTCTCTAACTTGACCCCTACAGCTCTGAAGTGTATGTTGAGAAATTCAGCTGTTATCATCCTAGGTGGACTTGCTCCCTCCTATCCTCCTACTTCAAATGCAGAACTTCAATCGTTTACAAAAGAAGACTGAATCGTATAATAGAACACACCCTTATTCATTGGCTGGCTTCACCAATCTCATGGCTGAACTTGTAAAAATACAATCTTAGCCACATACCTATGAAATGTATATGTGTGTGTATATATATACATGAATTTGCTTCTGAGATTATGGAGGCTGAAATTCCCAAGATGGAAGGAAAGCTGGATACCCAGGAAAGCATTTGTTTCCCATTAGGCCTCTTAATTCTCTCCTGGCCCTTGATGGATTGCATGAGGCCCACCCCTATTAAGGAGGGCAATCTGCTTCACTTAGTCTGCCCATCCCAATGTTAATCGTATCTGAAAGACTCTCTGGAACACAACCAGAATCATGTTTGGCCAAATGTCCTGGCACCCTGGTGCTCGGTCACAGTGACAAGTACAAGTAACTATCACACATGCCCTTTGTCATATTGGTGATTTCCACTGTTTTTCTCCCAAACTGCAGCTTATATTTGTTCTCTTAGTACTGTTGAGCAAAAACTTTTAATTTTCATAAAGTCGAATTTATCAATGTTTTCTTTAATGGTTTGTGTTTATTGATAATAAAGAACACTTTACCTAACTCTGTGTCATGAAGATTTTGTCTTATATTTTCTGCTATACTTTTTCTAGTTTTATAGTTTATATTTAGTTGCATAATCCATTTTGAGTTAGTTTTTGAGTTAGTATTGAGGTTCAGGTGAATTTTTTTCCTTTGGGGATAAAAAAAACAAATTGTGTAAAAAAAAGTTGTTTCTACACAATTTGTTGACAAGAGAATGCCTTCTCCACTGAATCATATTTGCACCTTTGTCAATCCATTGGGTGGTTGAGACTGGTGAGAGGACTGTCCTGGTGTTTGGACAGAGAGACAGGGCATGAAGTAGGGTGGTTCTTATGGGAAAAATTAAGGAAGACACATTTTTCCATGAGGAATAGGAAATCCCCAAGCACAATTGGGGGTACCCTCTACCAGCATGTTGTAGCACACTCATCTCTGCTCTACCTGTCCTGCTGCAAAAGCTTGGGTGTGCATAGACACTGAGGTTGAGTGGTGTCTTTGGGCATTTTGAGCATTGACACCAAAGTTCCAGCATCAAATCTTAGAATATCAAGCAGCCAGATGGATCACCTGAGGTCAGGAGTTCACGACCAGCCTGACTAACATGGTGAAACCCCATCTCTACTAAATACAAAAAAATTAGCCAGGTATGATGGTGCATGCCTGTAATCTGAGCTACTTGGGAGGCTGAGACAGGAGAATCGCTTGTGTACCTGGGAGGTGGAGGTTGCAGTGAGCTGAGATCACACCATTGCACTCCAGCCTGGGCAACGAGAGCAAAACTCTATCCCCCCGCAAAAAAAAAAAAAAAAAAAAATAAAAGAATATCAAGCAGCCAAAGAAGCAGGAAAACATGACACATAATGAAGAATCTAATAATCTAGTTGAAATTGACAGACATGTTGGACATAGAAGAAAAGGACATTAGAGCAGTTAGTATAATTGTATTTTAATTAAATGGGGAGGTTGAAGATTTTTTAAATATCAAATTCTGTAGATAAAAAGTATGATTTACAGTCTGAAATGGAAGAAGGCAGTGGATTAAACATTGCAGAAGAGAAGATTATTGAACTAGAAGGAATAGAAGTTGAAACTAACATAAATGAAACACACAGTAACAAATGACTTGAAAACATAAAAACACCATCGGCATCAAAACTTTAAACCCCCCAGTATAGGGCTAAATGGAATCCCTGAAGGGCGTGTAGTGGAGAAGAGAGACAAAGATATTTAAAACATACTGGATGAAAGATTTAGAAGCTCCATGGAAACCATAAACTTCAAATATTACAGAAATATGATTATTCTAAGAACAAGAAACATGAAGAAAACTTCACCAAGGAACGCCTTAATCAAATCCATCAAAACCAGTGATAAAAAGGAAATCCTAAAAGGAATAAAAAGGGAAAGAACATGTTACATACAGAGCACTAAATATAAGGATGGCATAAGATTTCTCATACAAACAAGAAGTTTGCAATAAAGAACTTAAAAAAAGAAAAACTGTCACCTACAATTCTACACCTGGCCAAATTATCTTTTAAAAATAAACATGAGAAAAAGTATTTTTGAACAGAAAACAAAATGATCTCAATTTGCAGATGGTGTGATCCTATGCATAGAAAATCCCAAATAATACCTACAGATGCAAACACACATACATGCACACAGAGGCCAGACACACACACACACACACACACACTCACATACACACACTACTAGAGTTAATAAGTGAATTCAGCAAACTTTCAGTAAACAATCAGTTGTGTTAGCAATGAACAATCTGAGAAGAAAATTGACACAATGATTTCATTTATAATAGCACTTGTAAGAATAATATGCCTGGGAATAAATTTGTTCAAGAAGGTGCAGTACTTGTACACAGACAACTACAGAACATTGCTCGAGGAGATTCAGGAAGACCTAAATCAATGGACAGACATCTTGTGTCCATGGGTTGGAAGTTGTAACATGGTTAAGATAAAAATACAACTCAAAGCAACCCACAGATTCAATACAATCCTATCAAGAAGTGGCCTTTTTTACAGGAATGCCTAAGAAGAACTTCATATTCCTAAAAAATAGTGTGTCCCCCCAAAACAAAAGCAATCTTGAAATGCAAGAAGAAACATTTTCTATTCCAAAGGTCTTTAACTGCTCTAAGCAGTACTTGGTAGTCTTCAATATATAGGCTTTCACATCTCTTTTTTTCTTCTTTTGTTTCTGCACAGGATCTCACTCTTTCACCCAGGCTGGAGTACAGTGGCACAATCACAGCTCACTGCAGCATGGAATTCTCAGGCCTATGACATCCTAGGGCCTCATCCACTGATTCCTGGGACTACAGGCTCACACCACCAAACCCGGGTAATTTTTCTGATTTTCAGTAGAGATGAGGGCTCACTATGTTGCCTAGGCTAGTTTCAAGCTTCTGAGATCAAGCAACCCTCCTGCCACAGCCTTCCAAAGTGCTGGGATTCGAAGCCAAGCCTGGCTGGCTTTCATGTCTTTTCTATGTAGTTTATGTTTCTGGATGCCATTGAGAGTCTGGCTGGCTTTCACATATTTGCTATGTCGTTTATATTTCTTGATGTTATTGTAAATGTTTATTAAAGGAATCTTTTAAAAACTTTGTTTTGGCCAGGCGCGGTGGTCCACGCCTGTAATCCTAGCACTTTGGGAGGCCGAGGTGGGTGGATCATGAGGTCAGAAGATCGAGACCATCCTGGCTATCATGGTGAAACCCCATTTCTACTAAAAATACAAAAAAAAAAATTAGCCTGGCGTGATGGCGGGCGCCTGTAGTCCCAGGTACTTGGAAGGCTGAGGCAGGAGAATGGCGTGAACCTGGGAGGTGGAGCTTGCAGTGAGCCAAGATGGTGCCACTGCACTCCAGCCTGGGCGACAGAGTGAGACTCCATCTCAAAAAAAAAATTGTATTAAAATTATATATTTAAGGAATTACATATATATTTATATATATATAATACATATCCTTAAATTATATATATTTAAGGAATACAACCTGAGGACTACATATACATATACATAATGAACTAATGCCTACTAGGTGAGGGGCTGCCTTGTGAGCAAACCCAAGGTCCCTGGCTTATGAAGCCTTTGTCTAGAAGGAGGGAGGGATCAGCAAGGTGGGCACGCAGCAGGTTCTGTCTTTGGTGTGGGCATCTGCCCACTCGGGTCTCTGGCAATACTAACCAGGCTTCACGATGGGTGAGGTGAGCTAGGAATGGGAAAGTGGATGACTTCAGATCCAGAGACTGCAGTTGTCACCTGGGGACCTGGCGTAGGCGTGGAGGAGTCTCCCACTGACTTGGCCCTGGGTCAATGCCCAAACATGCACAAGGACGGGACTCTCGGCCTCAATGCTTTAGGAGCCCCCAGTCTTCTAAAGAGGGTTTGTGGTGGGGAAGAATGTTCAACAAAACAGAAGAGTTATGGGTACTCTAGCTTGGCAACAGAGAATACTTCCTTGTGCTACTAAATGGCAATATTTGACAATTACGGATGACACAATTGAGCAACAGCTTTCACTGTTTAACAAGCAGTGTCTCTGGAACACTGGGTTAGTGCTGTCGGATGTTGACTGAAAAGTCAGTGGTTTGAGCCCATCCAGTCATATTAATGTTTCTAGCTGACGTGACCTTCCATCTGAAGAGTCTCTTCCTTGGACCAAATATCTCTTAAAGCTTCTCTTCCTCTTGTCTCTTGTCTATTTTCTAAGGTGCCTCTTTGTTGCTTGGGGCAAAAAAAGTCCATTTTTAATCCACACCCAACAAACATCTACCCTTACGTATCCTGGTTTTTAGGGTTTTGAGTTTGTTGTTTGTTTTCTCAGCTTCTCATATTTGGAATACTGGAAATTCCTAAAGTGGAGAATGACAGAACGTGAATCACAGCTATGGTGAAGCCACAGGCTCTGGATGAAAAACCTAATCTGCCAGGGTTTGAAGTTAAACACATGAATCTTCTGTGCCTCCATTTCTATCTGTCCAATGGGCTAAATCAGAACACTTAGGTTGTCCAGTGTTTAAATGAGCAGTGCAGGAAAAGCGTGGAGCCAATGCCTGTCACGTAGTAATTGGTCAACACGCATGAGCTCCTATCAGCTCCATGGTCTCCAGCATTTCCATCAGGCTTTGATCTTTGAAATGTCCTTCTTGATATGAATGGATCATTCCTCAAACATTCTCTAACTGATGGCCATGAAATTGCTCCAATGTGTATTATTACAAATACAACTGCAGGGACCAGACTGACACATGTATCTGTCGTGCATCACTTGTTTATTTCTCCGTAGACACCTGGAGATGGAATTGTCAGACCAAAGTATTTATACATGTTTGATTTTGCTAATTTCTGTCTAAATTACTGTGAAAAGAAGATATAACATGTCATACTTTTAACATTTTTTGAGAATTATTTTTTTCTCCATCTTCTGGCCAAAACTGGGAAGTACTTGCCTACCACTTCCTCTGAACTCACTTTTGCCAACATTTGTGTAGTCATACAGTGGGATCACATTGTATGCAAGACCTCAAACTCAAATCCTTAAATGAAAGCGATTAACATGACTGTGTAAAAATTTATCTTCAAAATACAATGAATACATATATACACATACTTATATGGGAAAGGAATTATTTTATTTGGATACCTTATCAAAGTTATATATACTTGAAAATTTGTTTAGTAAAGTAGCAGTCCCCTTGTGTACTCCCAGAGTTTCATCACATAGAAGCAATTATTTCGTTATTTATCTCCTTATGTCTAAATAGATATTATTACTTTTTGATTTTCAAGTTTAGGCACTACCTCTCCTTCACATACTTGCTCATCACCACCACCCCCAAACACGCCTCTCACCACCTTACCCTCCAACACGTTTGTGTCCTCATTTGCTGGGTCAATTGCTACATTGTTATAACTTGTATATTTTATTCAGAGTTCAGTCACATTGGATATACATAGCAGGAATGAGAGGCCAGTATCTTCAGGGACTCTCTCTCAAGTAGATAAGCTTCAAAGATTTTTGCAATCTTTGGTCACCCTCCCCATCGTTTTCCTATTCCAGGTAAGTACTGGATCTGATGGGCCCAGCTCAGGTCAGGCACTCTCTCCTTGAGCAGGGGAGAGCGGGACATCTTCATGTGCAGTACCAGGAAGACACTGTCCAAAGAGGGACAGGTAGTTCTAAGACAGAAAAGTCTATCTGGGGTACAGGTAGGCAAAACAAGGACACACACACAAAAATTAGTCTGTTCTGTGAGGGGAGCATGCAGTAGAGGGTGGATTCAGAGTGGGAGGGGAGAGTTTTGAGAGATATGGGCCATGGATATCACTCTGTGGGCCGGAGCCACACAAGACGGTTGGGGTCTCTCAGGGGCAGGGAGCTGAGGAGAATCTGCCCTCCCCAACCTGGGAGACTGGTGAGGGGACTGTCCTGGTCACCAGACAGAAATGGGGTCTGGGCCAGGGCAGTTCTGGTGGGAAAGAAAGAACAGGACATCTCCTTAAGGAAAGGTCCTGAGTCAGGTCTTGGCAGGGAGGGAGGTTACCTTGTCCATTGGCAGCTGAAGATGGTTGGCCAGATGAGGGCACTGAAATCCATGTCCTCTAAACTTGTAGTTCAGTAAAAGAACGACAGCAGTAAAGGGTCTTTAGGAAGAGGAGGTGGAAGACCTGATTTGGGTTGGGGGCTCCAAGAAGAATGTCTGCCTTGCTGTGCAGAAGCCTCTGCACAACCTCCCTGGTCCCCTTGCTCAGTCTCCTGGCCAGACCCCTGTGAGCCCTGGAAGTGCACAGTCAGCTTAGCCAAGGCATCTCCAGCTGGGACTCATCCCTGGGCATTTCTGTGGCCTTGGGTGCCCTGGCCTCCTCCAGGCCCTGTCTTGCAGGCAATCGTCCTGCTAGGGAAGGGGGAAAGGAGGCTACTTGACAGTTAACTCTGAGTGGCTCCACAAGGTCCTGACTTAGCTCCTAGTCACTTGCAAACCTATATACCCCCATCTCATCCCCCAAACGATGAAAAGAAACTTTGCAGGACTCATGCCAGACAAATAGGGTGGGACCATTCTGCAGAGCCAAGTTCTCAGGACATCAATAAGAGATGGGAACCACCTGCTGGAAGGTGCCACAGTGGGAACTTTGGGGTCAGGGAGCAGTCACTGAACTGTCAGGGTGAATCCTGGCTCCTGGCCCTCACACACCCTTTCTCCCCCTCCCTCCTTCTCTCCTCCCTCCTGTCTGCTCTTTCCCCTCTCTCTCCTGAATCCCTCAGGTACCTTCCATGGGCCCTGACCCCTCCTTTTCAGAGGCTCCAAAGTGAGCCCTCAAAACACTTGGTAACCTTGGACATTTCCAAAACTGGAGAGACTTGACCACAGCATTTTTATGAGCTAGGAAGGTCCTCCAGAGCTCTTGCCTAAATTTTTCTGCTGATGAGAAGAGAACAAGAGTGTCCATCTGATCTGGTCCTAAGGCAACTGCTCCTTGGAGCAGAGTCTGGGCAGGAAGAAGGCGGTTGCCCAGGGCCCTGGACTTGCCCCTCCCAGCTGCTCTGCTCCTCTCCCCTTCACTGCGGGAGGCTGGCCAGGGATCAGGAACCTCTATTCTCCACAGATGCTGGGATTCCAGGCTCAAATCTAAATATTGGCTGATTTAGGAGGCTAAGGGAGGCAATTGGCTGGAGGGAGGTGTCAGGATTTGGGACAAGAGCAGCATCTAGTTGCCGTCCACAGAGACCCCAAGGACAGGAATCCACTGGTAGCTGGTCGGAGGGGATCCCATGAAAACAAAATCAAACGCGCGCTTTAGTACTGGACCCAAGATCAGGAGATGAAAAACTGCACTGTCCTAAGGGATGAAGGAATTAGGGAATCCCAGAAGTAAAGCTTTTCATATAGGTCATTTCTTCCAAAGAGATGTAGGGCAATGGCCCAATGATGTGAACAAAAGAAAACTCGGGGTCTAGGATTGAGGGGAGGCAGCCTTTTTAGTGGAGACCTGTGACCTGGAGGCCCAGGGTCACCCTGAGAGGGGAGGGGTCTTGCTGGTCGCTGGGTCCGGGACTCCAATTGCACACAGCCAGTGGCATGGAGGGTCTGTGACCATGATTGGGCAATTTCCCCCATTCTGCTTATAGAGCAATAGAGAGGAACCTCACTGGAATTATACAGAAAGGTCCCAGTGAGACTTGAACTCTGATCACTGTATTCAGAGTCCAAAGTGCTCACCATTACACCATGGAACCTCACACTAGCTTATAACTGGAGGTAACTGAGTTCATACTTAGCAGCCATAGTTCCCACACACCTATGTTAAGGCATTTCTTCTGATCCCTCAAGCAACACCAAGGAAGGTGGACCTGTGAGAGAGGAGTCATCCTCTTTCTCTCTGCCCTCTCCTTTGATCAACTTTTATCATTTCATTTGCACCTCAGAAAATGAGGCAAAATCCAGTTTGGGCTTAGGGCCAGAGAAGAGCCCTTGAGGCCTCCCTCATGGAAAACATACTCTCTCAGTTTACCAGAGTTTCCTGTACCAAGGGGAAATTTCTGCAAACCGTAGTGCTATATTCTTTTTGCCTTCCCTCTTTTCCCTTTGCCCAGGGAGGCCAGATGATTGTGAGAACAGGACTTGGGACTTCCTGGGTGCCTTTCCCCCTTCCTCCATGTGATAAATAATGGCTGACACCAAGCAAGTGGGATTGGGAGGCAGGGAATCTTTCATTTCCTTCTTCATATACTTCTATGCATTTGTTTGGTTGGTTTTGGCAAGATTTTCTAACCAGAAATGGAGATTTGTTGGATTTAAAATAAAAAGTAATCAGCCATGTTTTACATTTCTATAAAACACTCAAACCAGGCCATACTCCCCTGCTGTGCCTCAAAATCAACCATAAACTGTCGAGGTCAGGAGGCAGGGCCCTCACACTTAAGCACAGTGTGTTTCCTCAGAATTGGCCAAGTTGATGCCACTCCAATTTCTCAATATACCACAACCCATTAATTGCGGTTTTTAAAAGTGTACATGTATTTTTACCAAAACCCCAGGGCTTCAGTGTTCTCAGCACACAGAAAGACAATCATTGAGACATTGAGTATTGCTGAGGAAGAAGGCTTTAATCAGGTGCTGCAGCTGAGTAGACAGGAGTTGAGTCTCAAATCTGTCTCCCTGATTGACTCAAGTTAGGGGTTTATATAGCACAGAAGAAATGTAACTGTGTGTGGGAAGAGAGAAACTAGGGAGGGGTGAGGAAGCACTTGTGATGAGTGAGGGGACTGGCATCTCATTGTCTGGATGCTGTGATTGGCTGAGTTTCAGGTCTCTGATGCTTTTTGAGAGGACTGAGAGTCCTTTCCTGAGGAAGGAACTCAGATAAAACAAATATAATTTTCTTTTATAGAATGGCTTGACCTCAGGAGTTTGAAACCAGTCTGGGCAATATGGTGAAACCCTGTCTCTACCAAAATACAAAAAAAAAAAAAAAGAGGGTTGCTTCCAAGATGGCTGAATAGGAACAGCTCCGGTCTACAGCTTCAAGTGAGATAGACGCAGAAGACAGGTGATTTCTGCATTTCCAACTGAGGTACCTGGTTCATCTCACTGGGACTCGTTGAACAGTGGGTGCAGCCCATAGAGGATGAGCCAAAGCAGGGTGGGGTGTCACCTCACCTGGGAAGTGCAAGGGGTTGGGGGATTTCTTTTTCCTAGCCAAGGGAAGCTGTGAGTGACTGCACCTGGAGGAGCAGTACACTCCTGCTCAAATACTGTGCTTTTTTCCACTGTCTTTGCAACTGACAGACCAGGAGATTCCCTCTTGTGCCTGCCTCGGCAAGTCCCATGCCCATGGAGCCTTGCTTGCTGCTAGCACAGCAGTCTGAGATCAACCTGCGACATTGGAGCATGGCAGGGAGAGGGGGTTCTGCCACTGCTGAGGCTCGAGTACTTGGTTCCATGGTCACAGTGTAAACAAAGTGGTAGGGAAGCTCGAACTGGGCAGGGCCCACTGCAGCTCAGCAAGGCCTACTGCCTCTAGATTCCACCTCTGGGGGCAGGGCATATCTGAATAACAGGCAGCAGACAGCTTCTGCAGACTTAAATGTCCCTGCCTGACAGCCCTAAAGGCAGCAGTAGTTCTCCCAGCGTGGCATTTGAGCTCTGATAATGGACAGACAGCCTCCTCAAGTGGGTCTCTGACCACCGTGTAGCCTAACTGGGAGACACCTCCCAGTAGGGGCCGACAGACACCTCATACAAGTGGGTGCCCCGCTGGGACAAAGCTTCCAGAGGAAGGATCAGGCAGCAATATTTGCTATTCTGCAGCCTCTGCTGGTGACACCCAGGCAAACAGGGTCTGGAGTGGACCTCCAGCAAACTCCAACAGACCTGCAGCTGAGGGACCTGCCTGGTTAGAAGGATTAACAAACAGAAAGGAATAGCATCAACATCAACAAAAAGACATCCACACTAAAACCCCATCTGTAGGTCACCAACATCAAAGACCAAAGTAGTACATAAAACCACAAAGATGGGGAGAAACCAGAGCAGAAAGGCTGAAAATTCCAAAAACCAGAGCGCCTCTTCTCCTCCAAAGGAACACAAGTCCTCACCAGCAAGGGAACAAAACTGGATGGAGAATTAGTTTGATGAGGTGACAGAAGCAGGCTTCAGAAGGTCGGTAATAACAAACTTCTCCGGGCTAAAGGAGCATGTTCTAACCCATCACAAGGAAGCTGAAAACCTTGAAAAAAGGTTAGATGAATGGCTAACTAGAATAAACAGTGTAGAGAAGAGCTTAAGTGACCTGCAGGAGCTGAAAACCACAGTATGAGAACCTCATGAAGCATAAACAAGATTCAATAGCCAATTCAATCAAGCGGAATAAAGGATATCAGTGATTGAAGATCAAATTAATGAAATAAAGTGAGAAGACAAGATTAGAGGAAAAAGAGTAAAAAGAAATGAACAAAGACTCCAATAAATATGGGACTATGTAAAAAGACCAAATCTACATTTGATAGCTGTACCTGAAAGTGACAGAGAGAATGGAACCAAGTTAGAAAACACTCTTCACGATATTATTCAGGAGAACTTCCCCATCCTAGCAAGGAAGGCCAACATTCAAATTCAAGACATACAGAGAACACCACAAGATACTCATTGAGAAGAGCAACCCCAAGACACATAATTGTCAGATTCACCAAGGTTGAAATGAAGGAAAAAATATTAAGGGCAGCCAGAGAGAAAGGTCGGGTTACCCACAAAGGGAAGCCCATCAGACTGAGAGCGGACCTCTTGGCAGAAACACTACAAGCCAGAAGAGAGTGGGGACCAATATTCAACATTCTTAAAGAAAAGAATTTTCAATCCAGAATTTCATATCCAGCCAAATGAAGCTTCATAAGTGAAGGAGAAACAAAATCTGTTACAGACAAGCAAATGCTGAGAGACTTTGTCACCACCAGACCTGCCTTACAAGAGCTCCTGAAGGAAGCACTAAACATGGAAAGGAACAACCAGTACCAGCCACTGCAAAAACATGCCAAATTGTAAAGACCATCTATGCTATGAAGAAACTGCATCTATTAATAGGTAAAATAAGGCCGGGAGCAGTGGCTCACGCCTGTAATCCTAGAACTTTGGGAGGCTGAGGCGGGCGGATCACAAGGTCAGGAGATTGAGACCACCCTGGCTAACACTGTGAAACCCCATCTCTACTAAAAATACAAAAACAGAACTAGCCGGGCATGGTGGCGGGTGCCTGTAGTCCCAGCTATTCAAGAGGCTGAGGCAGGAGAATGGTGTGAACCTGGAAGGTGGAGCTTGCAGTGAGCCGAGATCACACCACTGCACTCCAGCCTGGGTGACAGAGCGAGACTCCATCTCAAAAAAAAAGAAAAAAAGGTGGGAAATAACCAGCTAGTATCACAATGACAAGATCAAATTCACACATAACAATATTAACCTGAAACATAAATGGGATAAATTCCCCAATTAAAAAACACAGACTGGCAAATTGGATAAAGAGTCAAAACCCAGGGGCTGTTCCAAGATGGCTGAATAGGAACAGCTCCAGTCTACAGCTCCCAGCATGAGTGATGCGGAAGATGGGTGATTTCTGCATTTCCAATTGAGGTACTGGGTTCTTCTCACTGGGGCTTGTCAGACAGTGGGTGCAGGACAGTGGGTGCAGCTCACCGAGCATGAGCTGAAGCAGGGCAAGGCATCGCCTCACCCAGGAAGTGCAAGGGGTCAGGGAATTCCCTTTCATAGCCAAGCAAAGCTGTGGCAGATGGCACCTGGAAAATTGGGTCACTCCCATGCTAATACAGCACTTTTCCAATGTTCTTAGCAAACGGCACGCTAGGAGATTATATCCCATGCCTGGCTCAGAGGGTCACACACCCACGGAGCCTCACTCCTTGCTAGCACAGCAGTCTGAGATCGAACTGCAAGGTGGCAGCAAGGCTTGGGGAGGGGTGCCCGCCATTGCTGAGGCTTGAGTAGGAAAAAAAAGCTGCAGGGAAGTTCAAACTGGGTGGAGCCCACTGCAGCTCAAGGAGGCCTGCCTGCCTCTGTAGACTCCACCTCTGGGGGCAGGGCATAGCCAAACAAAAGGCAGCAGAAACCTCTGCAGACTTAAATGTCCCTGTCTGACAGCTTTGAAGAGAGTAGTGGCTCTCCCAGCATGGAGTTTGAGATCTGAGAACAGACAGACTGCCTCCTCAAGTGGGTCCCTGACTCTCAAGTAGCCTATCTGGGAGGCATCCCCCAGTAGGGGCAGACTGACACCTCACACGGCCGGGTACCCCTCTGAGACAAAACCTCCAGAGGAACGATCAGACAAAAACATTTGCTGTTCAGCAATATTTGCTGTTCTGCAGCCTCCACTGCTGATACCCAGGCAAACAGGGTCTGGAGTGGACCTCCAGCAAACTTCAACAGACCTGCAGCTGAGGGTCCTGACTGTTAAAAGGAAAACTAACAGACAGAAAGGACATGCACACCAAAACCCCATCTGTATGTCACTATCATCAAAGACTACAGGTAGATAAAACCACAAAGATGGGGGAAAAAAAGAACAGAAAAACTGAAAATTCTAAAAATCAGAGTGCCTCTCCTCCTCCAAAGGAATGCAGCTCCGCACCAGCAATGGAACAAAGCTGGACAGAGAATGACTTTGATGAGTTGAGAGAAGAAGGCTTCAGAATATCAAACTACTCCGAACTAAAGGAGGAAGTTCGAACCCATTGCAAAGAAGTTAAAAACCTTGAAAAAAGATTAGATGAACGACTAACTAGAATAACCAATGCAGAGAAGTCCTTAAAGGACCAGGTGGAGCTGAAAACCATGGCATGAGAGCTACATGATAAATGCACAAGCTTCAGTGGCCGATTCGATCAACTGGAAGAAAGGGTATTGGTGATTCAAGATCAAATGAATGAAATGAAGTGAGAAGAGAAGTTTAGAGAAAAAAGAATAAAAAGAAATGAACAAAGCCTCCAAGAAATATGGGACTATGTGAAAAGACCAAATCTATGTCTAATTGGTGTACCTGAAAGTGACAGGGAGAATGGAACCAAGTTGGAAAACACTCTGCAGGATATTATCCAGGAGAACTTCCCCAACCTAGCAAGGCAGGCCAACATTCAAATTCAGGAAATACAGAGAACACCACAAAGATACTCCTCGAGAAGAGCAACTCCAAGACACATAATTGTCAGATTCACCAAAGTTGAAATGAAGGAAAAAATGTTAAGGGCAGCCAGAGAGAAAGGTCGGGATACCCACAAAGGGAAGCCCATCAGACTAACAGCTGATCTCTTGGCAGAAACTCTACAAGCCAGGAGGGAGTGGGGGCTAATATTCGACATTCGTAAAGAAAAGAATTTTCAACCCAGAATTTCATATCCAGCCAAATGAAGCTTCATAAGTGAAGGAGAAATAAAATACTTTACAGACAAGCAAATGCTGAGAAATTTTGTCACCACCAGGCCTGCCCTAAAAGAGCTCCTGAAGGAAGCACTAAATATGGAAAGGAAAAACTAGTACCAGCCACTGCAAAAACATGCCAAATTGTAAAGACCATCGATGCTAGGAAGAAACTGCATCAACTAATGAACAAAATAACCAGCTAACATCATAATGACAGGATCAAATTCACACATAACAATATTAACCTTAAATGTAAATGGGCTAAATGCTCCAATTAAAAGACACAGACTGGCATATTGGATAAAGAGTCAAGACCCATCAGTGTGCTGCATTCAGGAAAACCATCTCACATGCAGAGACACACACAGGCTCAAAATAAAGGGATGGAGGAAGATCTACCAAGCAAATGGAAAACAAAAAAAGGCAGGGGTTGCAATCCTAGTCTCTGAAAAAACAGACTTTAAACCAACAAAGATCAAAAGAGACAAAGAAGGCCACTATATAATGGTAAAGGGATCAATTCAACAAGAAGAGCTAACTATCCTAAATATATATGTACCCAATACAGGAGCACCCAGATTCATAATGCAAGTCCTTAGAGACCTACAAAGAGGCTTAGACTCCCACACAATAATAATGGGAGACTTTAACACCCCACTGTCAACTTTAGACAGATCAACAAGACAGAAAGTTAACAAGGATATCCAGGAATTGAATTCAGCTCTGTACCAAGTGGACCTAATAGACATCTACAGAACTCTCCACCACAAATCAACAGAATATACATTATTCTCAGCACCACACTGCACCTATTCCAAAATTGACCACATACTTGGAAGAAAAGCACTCCTCAGAAAATGTAAAAGAACAGAAATTATAACAAACTGTCTGTCAGACTACAGTGCAATCAAACTAGAACTCAGGATTAAGAAACTCACTCAAAACCACTCAACTACGTGGAAACTGAACAACCTGCTCCTGAATGACTACTGGGTAAATAATGAAATGAAGGCAGAAATAAAGAGGTTCTTTGGAATCCACGGGAACAAAGACACAACAAATCAGAATCTCTGGGACACATTTAAAGTAGTGTGTAGAGGGAAATTTATAGCAATAAATGCCCACAAGAGAAAGCACGAAAGATCTAAAATCGACACCCTAACATCACCATTAAAAGAAGTAGAGAAGCAAGAGAAAACACATTCAAAAGCTAGCAGAAAGCAAGAAATAACTAAGATCAGAGCAGAGCTGAAGGATATAGAGACACAAAAATCCCTTCAAAAAATCAATGAATCCAGGAGCTGGTTTTTTGAAAAGATCAACAAAATTTATAGACTGCCAGCAAGACTAATAAAGAAGAAAAGAGAGCAGAATCACATAGACACAATAAAAAATGATAAAGGGGATATCACCACTGATCCCACAGAAATACAAACTACCTTCAGAGAATACTATAAACACCTCTCTGCAAATAAACAAGAAAATCTAGAAGAAATGGATAAATTCCTTGACACATACACCCTCGCAAGACTAAACCAGGAAGAAGCTGAATCTCTGAATAGACCAATAACAGGCTCTGAAATTCGGGCAAAAATTAATAGCTTACCAACCAAAAAAAGTCCAGGACCAGATGGATTCACAGCCGAATTCTATCAGAGGTACAAGGAGGAGCTGATATCATTCCTTCTGAAACTATTCCAATCAATAGAAAAAGAGAGAATCCTCCCTAACTCATTTTATGAGGCCAGCATCATCCTGATACCAAAGCCTGGCAGAGACAAAACAAAAAAGGAGAATTTTAGACCAATATCCCTGATGAACATCGATGCAAAAATCCTCAATAAAATACTGGCAAACCGAATCCAGCAACACATCAAAAAGCTTATCCACCATGATCAAGTGGGCTTCATCCCTGGGATGCAAGGCTGGTTCAACATACACAAATCAATAAACGTAATCCAGCATATAAACAGAACCAATGACAAAAACCACGAGTATTTCAATGGAGGCTGAAAAGGCCTTCGACAAAATTCAACAGCCCTTCATGCTAAAAACTCTCAATAAATTAGGTATTGATGGGACGTATCTAAAAATAATGAGAGCTATTTATGACAAATCCACAGCCAATATCATACTGAATGGGCAAAAACTGGAAGCATTCCCTTTGAAAACTGGCACAAGACAGGGATGCCCTCTCCCACCACTCCTATTCAACATAGTGTTGGAAGTTCTGGCCAGGGCAATCAGGCAGGAGAAAGAAATAGTCTTTTCCTCAATTAGGAAAAGAGGAAGTCAAATTGTCCCTGTTTGCAGATGACATGATTGTATATCTAGAACCCCCCATCACCTCAGCCCAAAATCTCCTTAAGCTGATAAGCAACTTCACCAAAGTCTCAGGTTACAAAATCAATGTGCAAAAATCACAAGCATTCTTATACACCAACAACAGACAAACAGAGAGCCAAATCATGAGTGAACTCCCATTCACAATTGCTTCAAAGAGAATAAAATACCTGGGAATCCAACTTACAAGGGATGTGAAGGACCTCTTCAAGGAGGACTACAAACCACTGTTCAAGGAAATAAAAGAGGACACAAACAAATGGAAGAACATTCCATTCTCATGGAGAGGAATAAACAATATCGTGAAAATGGCCATACTGCCCAAGGTAATTTATAGATTCAATGCCATCCCCATCAAGCTACCAATGACTTTCTTCACAAAATTAGAAAAAACTACTTTAAAGTTCATATGTAACCAAAAAAGAGCCCGCATTGCCAAGTCAATCCTAAGCCAAAAGAACAAAGCTGGAGGCATCACACTACCTGACTTTAAACTATACTACAAGGCTACAGTAAACAAAACAGCATGGTACTGGTACCAAAACGGAGATACAGACCAATGGAACAGAACAGAGCCCTTAGAAATAACACCACACATCTACAACTATCTGATCTTTGACAAACCTGACAAAAACAAGAAATGGGGAAAGGATTCCCTATTTAATAAATGGTGCTGGGAAAACTGGCTAGCCATATGCAGAAAGCTGAAACTGGATCCCTTCCTTACATCTTATACAAAAATTAATTCAAGGTGGATTAAAGACTTAAATGTTAGATGTAAAACCATAAAAACCCTAGAAGAAAACCTAGGCAATACCATTCAGGACATAGGCATGGGCAAGGACTTCATGTCTAAAACACCAAAAGCAATAGCAACAAAAGCCAAAATTGACAAATGGGATCTAATTAAACTAAAAAGCTTCTGCACAGCAAAACAAACTACCATCAGAGTGAACAGGCAACCTACAGAATGGGAGAAAATTTTTGCAATCTACTCATCTGACAAAGGGCTAATATCCAGAATCTACAAAGAACTCAAACAAATTTACAGGAAAAAAAACAACCCCATCAAAAAGAGGGCAAAGGATATGAACAGACACTTCTCAAAAGAAGACATTTATGCAGCCAACAGACATATGAAAAAATGCTCATCATCACTGGTCATCAGAGAAATGCAAATCAAAACCACAATGAGATACCACTCATGCCAGTTAGAATGACGATCATTAAAAAGTCAGGAAACAACAGATGCTGTAGAGGATGTGGAGAAATAGGAACGCTTTTACACTCTTGGTGGGAGTATAAATTAGTTCAACCATTGTGGAAGACAGTGTGGCAATTCCTCAAGGATCTAGAACTAGAAATACCATTTGACCCAGCAATCTCATTACTGGGTGAATACCCAAAGGATTATAAATCATGCTACTATAAAGACATGTGCACTCCTATGTTTATTGAGGCACTATTCACAATAGCAAAGACTTGGAACTAACCCAAATGTCCATCAATAATAGACTAGATAAAGAAAATGTGGCACATATACACCAAAGAATACTATGCAGCCATAAAAAAGGATGAGTTCTTGTCTTTTGCAGGGACATGCATGAAGCTAGAAATTGTGATTATCAGCAAAATATCACAAGGACAGAAAACCAAACTCCGCATGTTCTCACTCTTAAGTGGGAGTTGACCAATGAGAACACATGGACACAGGGAGGGGAACATCACACACCGGGGCCTGTTGTGGGGTAGGAGGCTGGGGGAGGGATAGCGTTAGGAGAAATACCTAATGTAAATGATGAGTTGATGGGTGCAGCAAACCAACATGGCACACGTACACCTATATAACAAACCTGCACGTTGTGCACATATACCCTAGAACTTAAAGTATTTTTTTTTAAAAAAGATTATTTCTTTGAATAAGTGTTCTACTCTTTGCTCCTTCTCAAGTCCCTCTTTAAGGCCAATGAATCTTTGATTTTCTCTTTTCAGGCCCTCTTCTAGATCTCTTAAGCATTCTGTGTTCCTGCTCATTCTTCTTTTCTTTTTTCTCCTCTGACTGTATTTTCAAATAGCTTGTTTGCATGCTCACTAATTCTTTCTTCTGCTTGATCAATTCTACTGAGACCCACTAATGTATTTTCCAGCTCCAGCATTTGATTTTTTTCTCTTACTTCAGTAATCTTGTTAAATTTCTGATATATTTCTGAATTGTTTCTCTGTGTTTTCTTGAAGTTCATTGAGCTTTCTCAAAATAGCTATTCTGAATTCCCTGAGAGGTTACACGTCTCCATCTCTCCAGGGTTGGTCACTGAGTGCCTTACTTGGTCCATTTGTTGAGGTCATATTGGCTTCAATGTTATTGATACTGTTGATGTTTGTCAGTATCTGGGCATTGAAGGATAAGGTATTTATTCCAGCCTTTGCAGTCAGGTCTTGTTTGTACCTGTCCTTCAGAGGACTTTCCAGGAATTCAAAGTGGGCTGACGAGTTCCCTAAGCCAGTGATCACTGCAGCCATTTTTGTACTACAGGGCACCCTAGGCCCAGGTACACTGCAATTCTTACCGATTCCTAGGTCCCCAGCCCTGTGGACTTGGGGGAAGATCAGGGATTGTTCTCCGCATTCCCAGGTAAAGCCCCTAGCTTACTTCCCTTTCTTTCCCCCAAGCAAGAGGAACCTCTCTTCAGGCTGCACTGCCTGGAGTGTGGGGAGGGGTGATACAGGCATTCCCATAGCTGCTGCAGCTGCTGCCATCATACTGGCTCACACCACAAGTCCAGGGTGTTCCAGACCTATGCAGCATCAGGGCTTGCCCAAGGACTGCGGCCACTACAGCCTGCCTGCCACTGAAATTTATTTGAAGCCCAAGAAATTTCCAGTGATAAAGCCGGCCAGAACTTTGCTGGGTTCTTCCTGCTGGGGCAGCTGGTTCCCTTGTGGCCCAGGGTGGGTCTAAATGCTTCTTCTGTGGGCACCAGCCTGGAATCAAGTGCTGTGGGGTTCTGCCCAGTGCCGTGTATCACTATGGCAAGACTGGTACTAAGTTTCAATATAAAGTCTCACACTTTCCCCCTTGTCCCCAAGCCATTAGATTCTCTCTCAGAGAATTTCCTGTGGTTGGGGGAGAGGTGTCATAGGCAATGCAAGACTGTCCTTCCTCCCTTCTTCAATGCATCTTTTCTTGTTAGCAAGTTAAAAGCGGGTGCTATGATCTCTCACCTGGCTAGCCCTTGTGAAAGTGTTTTCTTACATAGATAGTTGTTTAATTTGATGTTCCTTCAGAGAGACCATTGCTGGAGAATTCTATTCTACCATCTTACTCCACCTTCTACCTGTTTTTATTTTTTAAATGTTTCTAGTACATAATTGTGAAGTGATAGCTTATTTTAATCTTGGGAATCAAAAGCATGTAGCTAAGAACTTTTCCCAAGGAATATTTTAAAATTTTTATATCAATGTTTATGGAATGACATACTTTTTGATTCAAGGTTCTTAAATGTAGTTTTAGTTTTGATTCAATGTTATAGAACACTGTTTTTTAAACTGTGATCTGAAGCCCACATGTAATGGAATCACCTGGGGTGCTTATATTAAAAAAATGCAGATTCTAGGGCTCACACCAACTAAATCTCCTGGGATTGGAGACCAGGAGGTAGCTCCTATAATCTCCACAGCTGCTTCTCAGGCACACCAAGTTTAAGAACCATTCTTTCATATTTTCAGACTGGGGATTCTTACAAAATGACAAAGAAGGAAAACCTTAATCTTTTAAAGTTAGAGTTCAAGCATTAGACTATATGCTTCTTAAACACAGTTTGTCTTTCCCATTTTCTCTTTCCAGTTCTTTATACTGTCAAGGGATTGGTGCAGAAATGGGAAACAAAGCAGTGAAAGAAAAACTATTTATTTCTTTATACACATTTTGCTTTAACAATCACCAAAAAGACTTTCATTTTCTGTCACCCACCCTGTCCACCAGTTATGTTGGCCTTCAATATATGGCGTTAGCAACATATATAAATCTATATCATATATTTATACACACAAACACATTCTACCAGCACTGTGAAGACACAGACTAGGCTTTACTAGGCTTGGGGCCTCTCCCATGCCACTTAAAAATGAGCACAGGTTTGCTCTATGCAAGAATTTCAACAGAGTTGGTCTGGCCATCAGTCTGCAATTTCCCCGAGATAAGATAGGGTGACAAAATGGGACAGCAACTTTGAAGTGAGGTCAGTCCAATTTGGATATCATAGAAGAAAAGAAATAGGATGTGCTAGGTTAAGCCTGAGATGGTATCTGGGAAGTCACCACATTCATGATGTGAACTCAAAGAACACAGGTGCTACAGTGCAGACCAAGGCCCAGCCTGACTCGACCCAACAGGGTCAGGTGTGGATCTGTGAGTAGTGCTCACTGAGCCCCCGCCAGCAGTGTCCGGCAGGGCACCGCTGCTCAGTAGTGTGCTTTTAGAACCTGCCAGAGGAGCTCCAGCATTGGGACCACGTGCCCCTTTCATCGGAATCAGGGTCCTATATTCACTGAGTTTTCCATCTCAGGACAGCTGATGAGGCAAGAAATGTGCTCTTGCTAGTTCCCAAGCTGCTGGGGCTGTTGAGAGGCAGGATCACAAAACCTTCTGTGCAAACTACGCATCTTTTTCTTAGTGCTGGGCCAAGTGGACCTTGGCTAATCGTATTCCATAGCCGTCAGAAAGGCTTTCTGCCTTTCTCCCAGCTCCACCAGGATACATCTCTGACTCCCTCTTCTGGACCCTCCCGTGGACTTGGAGGAATGAGGCCCAGATGCTCCTCAGCAGATAGGTAGCTGCACAAAAGGGGGACAGGCCCACCTTTCCTGCTGTTTTAAGGACTTCTGGTGGCTGCGCTTCTTGCATGGTTCCTGGAAGGCAAGGGTCACAAGGCTGGAGTACATGGCAGAGCCCTTAGGGATTTCACCTGCAGACAAACATAAAACAAACCAAATCAGTGTATATTGCCAGGCCCTACTGATGGCTACCTGAAGCTGGAGTGAGAGCTACGTGGTGACCAAAGCCAGGAGCACGGTGAGAGCCAGTTAAGAGGATGAGCTAAGAGCATGCGCTGCAGTCTGGAGGAGCAACAGGTGCCCGAGGTTAGGGGGAGCCTCCCCACCTCCCTGTGTGCTGAGATCCCTGCTCCAATTCACTGCACACTGGGTGGCTGGATCCTACCACTCCCCCTTCAGGGGCCAGGTGACTCTCCAAATCACTTTGTCTCAGCAGAAAGAGGCCTTTGCCATGTCCACCCAAGAAAGAAGTGCTTAGCATGAAACATGCACATATAGAAACAGCCTGTTTGTAGGAAGAAGAGGACATTTTGCTGGGAAGCCCTCTGTTAAGTTTATGTCCAGTTGCCATAATGAGGGTGTGGAGGGGCCAAGTCCACAGGGACCTCAGAGCTCAACTAAGTCCAGTTCCATCTTTGACAGATGAGGGTGCAGCAGTCTCACAGAGACTAAGGGACAAGCCAAAGCCACACAGCAGTTAGTGATAAGCCAGGGATTAGAACCGAGGCCTCGGGTCCTTTCCAGTGATCTATGGGAGGTGGAGGGGAAAGCTTCCACACTGGAGAAAGCCAGTGGATACTAGAGATTTTTGGGTTACCTTTTAGTGGATACTAGAGACTTTTTGGATTACCTTTTCTGGGACAGGAATAAGGCTTTACAGAGGCAATCCTGTAAGTGCTGCTCTAAAGAGGCTCAGGAAAGAGAAGAATTATCAGAGAAAAACAAAAGGGAATTAGTGAAAAAATAAAAAAAAGAGCAAGTTAAACTGGCCCAAGTCATTTTCACACTATGGAGATCAACATTCTCTCAGGTTATGGATTAGAAACATTTCTAGGAATATGCTGAATTGCTTATGGCAAAGCTTTGATGTCCATGTTAAAAGGTTTAGTTTCTGATTTTTAACCATTTCATATACCTCAAGTTTTTCTTCAAAGCACTTCCTAGGGAATGATTAACACTTAGTGTTTTAAGTAAATGTAGATAATGTCTGGTACATATATAACATTTTTTCCCTGAAGGTTCAGTTGTTATTTATTAACAAATTCGCTTTTAGACCAATGAGACCCAACAGATCTCTTTTGTCATGTTACTTAAAGATATAGCAAAATCAAATTGCTGTTCTTAACCCGGGAATGTGCAGTGAAATCAGTTTATTAGGTTGCAAATTGCTTTTACTTTTTCATGAAGAGTAGAACACATAACTGGCCTCAAGATCCCTCTACTAGAAGCTCATTCAGAGGCAGACTCCCGAATGTCTAATGACTTCAAGAGTCAGCTGAATTGCATTTCTCCAGTCTCTGAACTTGGCCTCAAAGAAGAAAAATTGGAGTAAAAAGGAGAGATGATGACAATGTGAGAGTGAACCAAGATACAGGGGCAGGAGCTGACGGGGTGGGAGGGTGATGGGGACAGAAACTAGCAGGATGCTCACTGAGGACCTGTGATCTTGCAAGTGGACCCCAAGTCTTCTCCTGGAAGGCCAAAGCAGGCCAAGGGTCACCTACAAGATCTGCTAACGGATGGTGATGGGTGGGGGACAGGCTTGGTGCCTCTGACTGGTGCAGTAGTTTCCTTACCTCTAAGTTAGTCCTTGCCTTCTTTAAAACATCATGTGTTCTGGTTACTGAAACAACAAAAGAGCACCACAGAGTAGAAACCACCAGCAGAAATTAACCCTACTTGCTTAGCATGAGAATTCTAAAGCATTTATTTCTTTCTGGCTATTCAGCTTGGAGTCTCCTTCTATCCACCCCCTGTCCTCCCCTCCCTCTGCAGCCACAATTGCTCCTGGTACAGGAGGTTTGGGGACATCAAATCAGTCTCAACTCCCAACATCCCCAAGCCCCCCTGGTCACTGCTCATCTGCAGCACAAGTGGGGCATCGGGAAGACTGCCTGTTTCTTCCCCCATTCCCTCTCAGGGAACCTACGCTGGCTGACGATGAACTGCTCCATGCTCTCCTTCTGCTGGTTGGCGTTCTTCAGATGCTCAGTTGTGCTCTGAAGGAGTCGCTCCTGTTTGGATACTTTGGTTCTCAGTTCCAGAAGTTCCCTTTCTGTTGATTCTCCCTGGATAAGAGGAACAGACTCTTACTGACCAGGCAGAAGGCCTAAAGCACCCTGTGCTTTGTGGCTCTTTCCAATTCAAAGAAGGATTCTACAGTCTTCTCAACTCTCTTGAACTGGATTTCCTCCTTCACAGCCTCGGATACCTCCAGCTGAGGACAGTTCAGGATGAGGCCATTAGGCAGGAATAATGAGACTCTGGAATTCCCCATGCAGACTAGCACAGGCCTACACACCTGTAGCTTAAGAGAACCTCGCCTCAGGCTGGTATCAAACTCCCAACTCTGAAGAGGACCTTGCTTTAGTCCTGATATCAGTTCTGTCACTCTCCCTTCACAGGTAAGATTGAGAGTTCAGAAGTGTTATGCTGGGGTGAGAGATCTGGACTCAGGGAAGTCTGCAAGTTTGTAAATATTTGTGCCAACATGAAGATGGCAAAACACCCTCTCCCTGGAATTAGCATAGTTGGATCCAAAAGGTATTGGTGCCATTGACCTGGAAGTAGAATCCCTGGGGAGGGGATCCTGAAACCTGCCTACATGAGGGTCTGCCAATCAGAGTTAGCCTGAGCTCTGAGCAGATCCTGAGGGGTGGCTGACTTTCCCCAGGCCTGGTCCAGCGATGCCAGCTTAAGTTGTATGTTGGGATTCCAGGCAGTGGCTAAAAAGGCTCAGTCTCATGGGGCATTCTGTGATCATTTAACCATGGGACCTGAGGGGTGGGAGATGGGTGCTGAAGCTTTAACTGAATTTCAGCTCAGTCAAACTTCAGAGAAGTAAATAAACTGAACATTTATGGATGGCCAGGGTTATGATGTCTCCGCCTTCTTCACACCCCTTCATCTTCTTTGATTTCTTAACCAGGGGACAGGGGGCTGGTGGGGAATGGGATATATTCAGAGCTGTAATGAAAGCAGCCACCATGGGTCAGAGATGTCCCTCCAGGGACACTCCTCTAAGTTCCTGTCTATCCCAACTCACTATGTGGCTCCTGATTTTCTGGAAAAGCTGTGACATTGAGGAGACAGAACAGTATTGGAGGGCAGGAGAACTGGGTTTGAACCAAGAAAGGGCACTGGCATCTTACCACTTTGCCAGGCAGCACAGGGATGTGGGTGCTTGGCAGGGCCGCTCTCCAGAACATGGTGAGGAGGGAAGCTGACTCCTCTAGGGCATGGTGCAGGGCACTGGTGCTGCTCCGAAGCTCATGAATACCTTTGCTGCCTAGCACCTGGGGAAAGGTAACACCACAGGAGCGGAGAGATTACTTTCTTCCCCCTGCATGGGCTCAAGCTTCCTTTGTGAGTGAGGCATAGAACATGGGCCTGCTTGAACCTGTGAAGCCCTCACACAACCATTTGCAGCTCTCAGAACTAAGGTGCTGCTCCCTTTACCAGGAATGCCTTCCTCCACCTGCAGAACCCACAAGGCTTTCAAAACTCACCCCCCTTGCTATGTCCTCTATGAGCCTGTTACCTTCCTTGCCTGAGATAAATGACCACATTTGTATTGGAGCTCTCACAGCACAGAGGATGACTTCTCATACTGTGCCTGTAGCCCCTTACTGTGCTTATCTACTTGGGTGTGTGTCTTGCCCTCTAGTGTGGGGGCTCCGTGGAGGCAGGGCTGTCCCTACGCATCCATGGGTCTCCAGCAGCTCAGACAGCACAGCCACAGGTTCCTGGTCTCTCTCACTGGCAAGGTGCTCTCAGAAGCTTTGCTGACTGCCTTCCCTCCCTCTATGCAGTCTGCACAAGGAAATGACATGGCTGCCAGGCTTCTCACCCCTTCCACATGTGGGGGCCATACACCTGCAAATCCTTCAGTTTCTATCCATCCCATTGAGTTGACTCTGCCCACAGATGGTCATGTGCCTGCATGACTATGGTAGATAATAAGCTACCAAAGGCTGCTAGGCAATGCCACATGTTTCTGTGGGGCTGAGGGGAAATATCCAGTCAGCTACATCTGGAACAGAGCAGAACTCACAGTGAAAATAGGAGATAGAGAAGAAAGGGCCTGGCTGCTATACATGGAAGAGGAAGTCTCAGCTGTTGAGAGATGCAAAGCATGAAAAAAACAAAAATGGTGGGAGAAGGAGTTAACATCAAAGGAAGAAAGGGCACAGGGAAAGAGTGCACCTAAAGCTTCAGGTGTGATTACCTCTGTGCCTTGGGCTTCAAGGCCAGGGAAGCTGCACGCTGATCTCACAAGAGACACTATCTTTTTGACCAGCAGCTTGCCCTCCGCAATCTGCTGTCTTAGGGCACTGTAGTCATCAATGTGGCCAATGACATGGCGGCCATGCTTATTGGCAAAGGAGCCATCAGTAGCATCACCCTCTAGCTTGGGAGGGGTCTTCATTACTGGAGAAGTATCCAAACCCAAGCCTGAAAAAGAAAATGACAACACAACAGAATCTTCTGTTATTCATAATGATATCCTCAGTTTGCTCCAACTAAAAAAGAGGTAGGGAACAAGAAAAGGACGAGGCCGGGAACAAGAAAGGAAGCCTGGGAATGTACAAGGGTGGGGCAAAGTCCATAGAGATCTTCTGGCTTCTATATTTTTATAATCTTTCTTACATTATCTCTTAATGATAAATTTGCCAGGAGACAATTTTTTCCTTATTGGCAAATGAAATAGGATGAATCATAATAAATAATAAGTTTCTGAGTAGAGAAGACACAGACAAGGAAGTCAAGCTGGATACAGACAGCATTTTCAAGAATAGAGAGATTATGGTGCAATGAAGCAAAAACAGCAGTAGGAAAACTACAGGAGGATGAACAATGGCAAGAAAGGCAGCCACAGAAGGTGCAGGGAGTAGGGCTAAAGGCCTTGGGGCATGCAGAGAAAACTCTCTAAATACAGATAATATGTTTAGAGACAACAAAAGGTTGTTTGCATTAATCACTTTCCATCATCAGTCCCTGGGCCCTTTAGTTGCCATATTTACCATTTGCTCTGTTGATTATGGGCGTTTCTGAGCCAGGAGTAGAGGAAGCAGAGCTGGGGAAGACCAGAGCTGGGGAATTCATACCAACATCCCGGACTGGAGGGGACACAGCTGAATCTAGGGGGTAAAGGCAACCACAGTTTTCAGGAGCCCTGGAACACACTGCACATGAAGCACATGCACACCTAGCTGTCCCCACTGAGACCTAAGGTGGCAGGACTCTCCTCTTACAGAATTATCCATACCCCACAAGCCAAAGCAAAATCAAAAGCCTATGAGTCACTGAGTTCAGAATGTTTCCATTCTTCAGAACAAAAAGATATTCCTGTAATTGAGGGGTGTTCCATGAGAACGTAACTTCTAGTTTGAAAAATTATTAGGTGTATTTTTATAAACCGAGTCTTAAGTATAATTTGTGTGTGGTATCTAATATGATGCCCTGTAACTAAATGTAATATGTATAAATATACATAGTACATATTAAAATCTAGAATCAAAGAATCAAGGAATGAATGGATTCATGGGGGACTCAACATTCTAGTCATCATTCTGATGAGGTAATACTGAAAAAAATTGACTTGTATGAGAAGAACGGAGACAGAAGGCTTGGTGGGTTAACATTGTCTTGCTGGAGACTAAAAAGCAACCCTATGGTGGAGGAATTGGAAAATATCACAAAGAAGGTAGAAAAGGTCCTGCTCAGGCAAGTGTGGCCCAGTGCCTGCTTTCCAGCTCAGGCCTCCGGGGTGCTAGAGAAAGAGGGGCAGGGACTGCATCAGTGGGGCTGAGTCTTGGCTGCTGTATGGGAAGCCAGTGAGAGAAGAAGGCCTGGTTAGAAGGAAGAGTTGGAGACATAACTGAACACCACAACCATCAGGGCAGCCCAGAGGAGGGCAAGGTGTCCAACTAATGTAAGCTGAGCAGTGCCTGGTGGTCAGGCGGTTTGCTTGGTGGACCACATGTGTTTTTTTATTGAATTGCCAAAACAGCATAATCATGTTATTGTCACCTTCATTTGACAAATAAGGTTACTGTCAGATAAATGAGAATCTACAAGAACCACAGAAAAACAAAGATTAACATGACCCAGAAATAGCTGGCAGGAGAGTTTGAAAGCTCAGCTTTAGAGAAACTGAACAGAAGTGGTTCCTGATTTGAATAAAATTGAAGGTATGGCCATGGAGGTGAGTGGAGATGGTGTACTAAACGGTGTATCAAAAGGAGAAAAGGACAGAGGAAGTAGAAATTGAATGATTTAAGAGACTAGGGGGACACCATTGACATTTCAATGAAAACTGGGAGAAGTGAGATTGATAGAGGATATTGAGAAGGGGGACCTGGTCAAACACGCCTATCTGAAAAGGCAGGCAAGGGGTGGGGTAGAGAAAGCGAATGATGACCACCCGAAATAAATCACCCACCATCCAGGACTTCCCCAGAGCCCTGTTTCCTTAGGGGCAGGAACATTTTACCATACACTGAGTTCCCCACCTGTGAGGGAAAGGGGGACTAGAGAATCTGGGAAGGTCGGCAATACTGAGACAGGGCACAATGAGCTGGAAGGAACACAGACTGAAAATCACAACATCTGGTTCTGATCCTGGCTTTGTCTATAACTTCTCTAAATCCCCGCTTGTCTGTTAATATCTCAGGACCTAAGTTTTCTTATGTGAAATACAGAGATAGCAAAACCTGCTTTACTTCAGATGAAATTATATATGTGAAAACACTTGGCTAAAACTAAAGCACCAAGCAAATCCAAGAAAAAGATATGAACATATACAGCTGCTAATTATTGAGTAATTCTTAGTGTGCCAAGCACTTGTAAATGATTTCATTTAATGCTCAAAATCATATAAGGTACATATGATCATTATCCTCATCTTAAATATAAGGAAACTAAAGCTTAAACCTCTGAGACTTTAGACACCTTGCCCAAATCAAACGACCTCTAAGTGGTAAACTCAGAATCTGGAGCCCAGTCTGACCTAAATCCCACGCTTTCACTCAGGTTGCTAGACTAGAGCATCTCTGATTTCAACCTGACCCTAAGGAGCATGGACCAGGCAGATTACACCTTCTGCCGCAGAACTTCCTGGTGATCTCCCCACTGGCCAAGGGCTTTCTAAGTCCCTTTTCCTTCCTACCTTGGAGGAGCAGCTGCTTGTTTCCAGGGTCAGTGCTGGCTGGGAAGTTCTGGTTAATGGAGGAGGGGCTGAGGCTGGCTTTGCCAGCACCGCTCTCCAGCTGCTGTTGCAGCTGCAGTCGCAGACAATTGTTCCCCTGAATGCTCTGCTCCAGCTGCCCTCTCAGAGCTCGTACCTCTGCCACCAGGTGGCTCAGGTCACTGCTCAAAGGGATTTGGTGACAGGCATCCAGGCTGTAAGCTGAGAGAGAAGGAGTCTGGTAACATTGACCCAAGTATTTCCAAGCACTTGTCAGAACCCTCCTCTGTGACATTCTTTTCTGCCAAGGACCCCACTATCATCTGAGTCTCATGCAACCCATCTGTGATGGAGATGTCACCATTTCTGTGTGTGGCCTGGGGATGGCACTGAGCTGGCACACATCCAGTCTGAAACTTCCCTGCGGCTTAAGTTACACACATGCACCTATAGAGCATTTGATTGGCAGATGAAGATAAGTCCATATTTCATCTCCATAGTAACCTTAATCCTGTAGGCTAAAGTATAGGATACTCCAAGGTAGAAGGTCAGCACTGAGCTAGAGAAGGGTAGGGGATGAGGAAGAAAGAGATTTCATAGTCCTCACTCTCAAAAATGAAAGAGAAGGAGGAGGTCTTTTGGTAGCATGTGAGAATGTGAGTTGGGCACCTTAGACGAGGGATTATAACTGAGTTTTTCAATTTCTCTCTCTCTCTTTCTCTCTCTCTCTCTATATATATGTGTGTGTGTGTGTACATATATATACACCTACATATAGTGTGTTTATATATGTTGTGTGTATATACATACTATATATAGGTGTATATATGTGCACACATATACATGTACATATATATGTGCACACATATACATGTACATATATATGTACACACATATACATGTACATATATATGTGCACACATATACATGTACATATATATGTGCACACATATACATGTACATATATATGTGCACACATATACATGTACATATATATGTGCACACATATACATGTACATATATATGTGCACACATATACATGTACATATATATGTGCACACATATACATGTACATATATGACATGTACACACATATATATACATGCACATATATATAAATATATATATGTATATATATTTACCTCCATTCACCACATGGCTATTTCTTTGTACTGGGGATGAAGAGATCTAAGAAATATTCTACGAGGCTACAATCCCTTATCTGAAAACCTTAAGGCCAAATGTATTTCGAAAGGTAAAATTTGTTTTAGTTTTTAGCAAGGCAACAGGGTGCATATATCATATATAACATGTACCCAGTTGCATGTGAGCCACAATCCTTTATCAAACATATAACTATTTCCGCAATGAGCTATGTGAATATTCTAAGTAGATAAATAAAGACTTATGAATATCCTCATGTCAGATCATCTAGATTTTGTCACTAAATGAGTATTTGAAAAATTTAATTTGGAAATCTTACTGGATTTTGAAATTACAGATAAGAGATTATGGAGCTTTAGTGGTTGTAGCTTTGAAATGAGTCCTAAAAGGCAGGGAGAAAAGCATGAAAGGAAAGGTAGCTCAGGATGAACCAATTTTAGGGACTTTGGTAAATAATCTACTCTTGAATTTTGCCCAAAGTTTTATGATGTTCCTCTCTCTCTTTCTCAACCCAACTTCTCACTAAATTTTGCTTATTTTTTAAGAGATGTTTTAAAATCTATCTATACCCTTTCATCTTCCCAATAGCACCTTATATTAGACTGTCATCTCTTAATGTGCCAGAATATCACTAGACCCATCCAATACGTTTCCCAGATTCTAATGTCTCCCAATTCCAGGACATCCCCTAAGACTTAGCATCCTAAAGTTCTGTTTTCATCATATGCTTATCTTCTTTGAAAAAGAACAGACTTAGTTTCATTATCTACTATACAGAATGTCAACTTTTACCCTGACCTGTGAGCTTTCAAGATTTGGTGACTCTGCTCCACCATCCTGACTTCTCACTCCAACCTCAAGCTTCTCCTGTGGTCAGGCTGGTCCCACTGACCCAACACTCACCATGACTGTGTACTTAAATTATTCTCCCAGCCTGGTGAGCCCCCTCTATTTCTTCAGGTTCCAGTTCACCTTCTCTTTAGAAAATCAGGAAACTAAATCAGGATTTATGATAATTCTAATCTAACTTCCACTGCCCTTCACTCTTTGTTTAGCCTTCTGGAGGGACATAAAATACATGAGTTCTTTTTCACCTGACACTTCTTCAAATATCCGAAGCCAGTTCTCATGTCCTCAAGATCTTTTGAAAGCCTACATTTCTTTAGTTTCTTTGACTAGTTGGAGATTTCTGGTCCACACCATTGTGCGCCCTGTCTTCATTATGTTCCCTAGTGTGTCAACGCCCTTTTCAAAGATGGTGCCCCTTAATCTAACAATATTTTAGACATGGTCTCCACAGGCGAACATCACACTTACACTACTGTAGTTCCAGTTTGAGCTGGCATTTCTAGCAACCTTTGTCCTACACCTTACTTGTGTGAACATGTTTCTACCAAACCCCAAACCCTCATGTCCATGAATGGCTGCCTGTCCTATATTTCTACCCTCATCCTATATTTCTACCACTGATATTTTTAATCAAGCTCAGGATTTTGCTTTTTATCTTTGCTAAATTTCACGACATTGATGTCGTCCTCTGTTCCAGCCTGCTGTGACTTATTCACATTATGTTTTGAATACCCTTCTCCATTTAAAGAATGAAGAAATATATCAAAATTCTCAAATATTAGATTATTATTTCAGCAGGCAGCAAAGTCTTCAATAAATGTCCTTAATATTTAAATCCAGGATTGAAATTTAGGTCCTATTAGTGGTATTTCTATAAGGTTTTTTTGTTTTTGTTTTTGTGTCTTTTAATTTTCTCCTGTGGGCAGGCTGGTCCCCACTGACTCAACACTCACCATGACTTTGTACTTAAGCTATTCGCCCAGCCTGGTAAGCCCCTGTATTTCTTCAAATTCCAGTTCACCTTCTCTTTAGAAAATCAGGAAACTAAATCAGGATTTATGAAAATTACATGAGAGGGCAATAAGCTGAGCGCCAGATGTCACTAGGGAAAGGGTCAGGGTGGGAGCGGACTGCCTGCTGCATTGGGCTGAATGGGTTGTCAGTATGTATCACCGACAATATTAAAGGCCTTTTCAAATGATGATATCATTAGGACAGTTCTTTTGCTTTCAAAAATGTTACAATCTAGACATTGATAGGAATGTCTAGATTTTCTTAAAGTAATTAGGAATGATCAGGCCGGATCTTGCTCGTGCCACCAACCTGTCCCGTTGGGCTTTGTGTTTGAGAGCTCCTACTGGGAGCCCCAGGCTCGGGTGGGGGTTTCTGCAACAGAACTCTGTAGCTTCCCATGATCTCCACAACTCCCAAAGGAAAGACCTCACTAGCATCCTATGCAAGGGCAAAAAGCTCATGGGGTGAGGGGAGAAGAACACATACCTTTCAGCCCCTTCTTGGAATTGCCATAAAGTGCCTCGTAGATTTGTAGCTCTGACTGGAGGGACTCAAAGAGCTGCTGTTTCTCTTCACACTGTTGCTGCAGGAGAACCAGCTTGTGCTGCAGTCTGACCAGGGAGAGGCAAGGCCCACTGAGATGGCAGAGCTACTCAGCCACACCAGAGCAACAGGCTGAGAGCCAGATGTCAACTCAGAGGGTCATAAAGGGTTACAGTTAGGGTTACATCTGAGCCCCAGATGTCAACTCAGGGGGTCATGAAGACTATCACTTTTATTTCGCAGATATGGAAATGGAGGCTGAGGGAGGTCAAGTAACTTTGCTTGAAAACACACCATTACCTACATTAGTTCAGAGCAGAACAGACACACCAGCACAGTCTCCTTACTGTTCCTACAGTGCTCTTTGCATTCTGACAAGCAGTTACAGGGCTTATGCTGGGACCAAGCATCACAGCCAGTATAGAAGCTTCCTAGGTGATGGTGAGACTAATGTCCTATATCTAATTGGAAGCATGGGAACCCTTCTTTTTCATGTCTCTGATATACTGAAGACTTCTATAACAGAGTTTTACTCTCTCAACTTGGGAGTGACAAGGCATTCCCAGAGAAGTCCTTTCTTCTGCTCAAAGCGCCCCTCCCCCCACCCCACTGACACACAAAAATCAGGAATAGCAGAGGGAACATTTAGGTTTCCAAAAGAGGACATCAATTGTCTTGCCAATATCCCTTCCTCTTGTAATGTAAGAATGAATGTAAGAATGAAGAATGCTACCTTCTCTGTCAATGGGTCCCCTCTTACCTGGAGTCGTTTTCCTGGAGGGAAAGACGTTCCTCCCTGAAATGCAAGACCTCTTGCTGCTTCTCCCTCAAGTCTTCCAAAAGCTGCTGCCTTTCCACCTTCTGGTGCTCCAGCTCCTTTTCCAGCTCTTGAAGGTGGGATCGAGAGGACAGCAGAGCCTCCCTCAGGCTTTCTGTTTCCTGGGAGTGCTCTGGTGAGAGGAACACAGGATTGATTTATTATCATGGGGCCAGAGCTCAGCTGGAAGATGACCCCAAGCACATCCACCCTGACAGACAGAGCTAAGGAGCAGGGAAGGAAGGCCCTATGTTGGTGGGAAGAGCATGCTGGCTCAACATCCCCCAGAGCCTGGAGCATGGTGCCTCTCTCTCTTTGCAAAACCCTTCATGCCACTTATTTAATCTGTCCTACCTTGCTCTTAGAGAAATTCTGCTTTCTAATGATCACCACTTTCCAAGTGCTCACATATCGTCTGTTCAATAATCCATTCTTGAATTTTGACAAAGATCAACGTCAAGATTTCTTTTTGGATCTCATTTTCATTATTTTGAAAACTGAGATTTTTTGTTTTTGAACTTGCAGCACTTCTCTGATCTTCACAAGTTGTCAAAGATTATTGAAGGGACTCTAAAAATACAGCTGCAGGCTCAGTAAGTCCTCTGGGGAAAGAGTCACCTGAGCCTGGCAAATTGTACTCGTTTAAATCTCTTACTGTCTTCTCACCTGCTGAGGTCTGTTCTATTCTCTCCAAGCATGCAATGGTAGCTCAGTAGTTCTGCCCTCTTTCTTATCTGTTAACTTTTGTTATCGTCCCCCAGCAGTGACCTTTCCTCTCAAATCTTCTCGCTAATACAGAAATCAATTAATTAAATTAATTAATTTGGGTGGCTAATTTAGAAATATCTCTTGGTGGCTTTTTCCTTTTCCACAAGCATTCCTTCATTCTGGGCTTAATCCTTTTGGATACTACCCTCAGTCTTTTCATGGCTGTTCATAAATATTTGTGAATAAAAATACTTTGTTATCGATAATACATTGATCTGATCAAGTAGACTAACACCAAGGTCAGCTGCCTCCCAGCCACACGAGAAATGATGCCCACCTGTGAGCGCCCCCTGGCTAGGGCTGGGAAAGTGCTGGGGGGCATTTGCTAGTGCCACTCGGCATGGAGTCATGGGAGTACTGACCAGAGGGAAGCCCTGAGTCTATGAGTGAGAGATGTGGTGAGGAGGCAGAGGGATGGCACAGCAGGGCCAGGAGCGACACATGCTGCTGCAGTAAAGTCTGGAGAAACTTGAGAGGGAAGATAGGCATTCGCACTCCCTCCTTTATTGGTTCCAAGTCAGTTGTGAGTGAAGGGAGGTAGAGCAGATACCAGACTGGTATCCAAATTGATAGCTTGTGACTCTGGATATATGCAGGTGGGCTTGTACAGAAATGATGGATTTCCTAGAGCTCTTCGCTTCTGGGGACTAGGAGTCTGAGGGGCCCATAGTTGGAACATCTTAGAAAGCAGCCTTCTCTAGACTGAGAATAGCTGTGAGTTTGGGTTGGTGGATCTGAGTAGCTCTGTTACCTCTACCTTCTTCTGTTTGCTTCTCCAGTTGGTGATTAGTGTGGCCAGGGAAGAAAGAAACTTAAGAGTGACCACAGTTTGTGGGTTTTGACCACGTACCTCTGGAAACATGACTCAGTTGAGCCTGAAGTCTTCGATTGTCTTCCCTGAGGACTCTGTTCTCATTGCAGAGCTGAGGTATGGACTCCAGGCCCTGACTGTAGAAGTTAGAAGTGGATCCTGTCCCAGAAAGTAGACATTTGGGTAACAGAAACTTTCAAAAGTTTCCCATTCGTTATCTCTCAAAGATACTGCCCCAACCCAGCAGAAAACCCCAAGGACTGAAGGCCTGGCCCTGAATGAAGCGTGGGGGGCTGGGTACATGTTTTCTGTGTGCCTCTTCTCAGTGGATTCTTTGCGTGCATCATCACATGCCGTAACTGCAATGGTGCAGGAGGCTCGATCTCCCTAAACAGCTGCTGCTGTGGTATAGGCAGGACAACAACATATGGAAAGACTGGCCTCCACATGACAGCAGCTTGGAAGGAGAGTGTAAGGAGAAAGGCCACCTTGGTAAAGAGGCGAGGGTAGAGGTGGGAGGACCCTTACAGACCTGGTTCCACCACTTATCAATCACACAACAAAGGCACAGACATCAGCAGTATATAAGCAGATTAAGTATGGGGTGAGAAGTCAGGTGACTCTGGGCATCAGACGTAGTTCTGCCTTAAAGAGAGTTACTCTCTAAACTCAGATATATTCAGAAAGTAGGGATGACAGTACTTGCCCACCTCCCTTGCTGGACTGTTCATAAGGAGCGAGTGAAGTAAAGAATATCTGTGAAGCTCTGCCTAAAAGTCCCTAAATAGAGCCAGAAACAGGAAGGTCTGGGCCTCTCCTACCCCTTCCACGAGCAGTAGAGGTCAGCCGGTGTTCCAGTTGCTCCCGTAGGCGGTCATTGATGCAGATGGATTCCTCCAGGCGCTGGCGCAGGTTCCGGATTTCACCAAGATGCTCTTCCAGCAGGTCAGCCCCTGCGGCCAAACCACCAGGACATGAAGAGAGGTGGGAGATGGAGAATCCTGGTTACTGATGGGGGTGGGGCTCGGCTAGGGGACCTGCAGCAAGACCTGTAAATATCACTAGCCTTCTGCCAACTGTGTCCTCTCACACGGACACCCAAAAGAATGGTAGTTTTGTTTAAACAGTCAATGTGCTTTCAAACACATGACAGTCACTTGCTAAAAAATCTCCATGGGCCTCCTCCCACACAGGGGTCTTGTGAGAGTTCCACGTTTTAGAAAAATAACTGAGGGCTCTGGACAAGGCCTGCCTAGCATCTGGAAAGGTGTGGCCACCTCCTGGGTGTGACTATGAGGATGATAGGTGAGACCTCACTCTACCTTTCTTCTTACTGACACGTGAGTGAGCATTCTTTAGCAAGGGACAAAGCCCTTCCTCCCACCCTTAGAAAGAAGGCCTAAAGTAAAAGTACGTGATCTTACACTCACCCTATGCGGTTAATGACTGACACTGAATGCTTCCCTGAAATCACTTTTAATATGGAAGATGAAAGAATAGCCTGGAAGGATCTAGAGATCTGAAGGCAAATTAGAGAGGGGATGACACCCCCCTTCCCCCTGCCAAACAAAGCAAAAATATCCAGAAAAGTCAGACGGATGCTTACACCGGACATTAACTGCACCATTTTGCTTTGGGCTCAGTCTTTTCCTGAAAATTACGATTGTCTTACTGTTGGAACTGCGCGGCATCTCAGCATTTATGAGCTTAGCTATACCTCTCCACTTGCTGTGACTGAATTTTGTGCACAGGATATATTTGCAGGGTCAGGGAGCTGCACCCTTACACCCTTTCCTGTGACAAGTCCTGACTGATGGAAGAAAGTCCCATCTATGCCTGGCATTCTGGAAGGGTCTAAGAGAGTGGGCTGCAAAGAGGCCAGGCTGCAGAGGGATGGAAGGACATGAGTGTGACAGCACAAGAGGTGGGTCCCTGACTTTCCCATATCCCTACAGAGCACTGAGGCCCTGGGCAGGAGAATGAAGAAATGTACTTGGAAAGGATTGAGCCCTGATACAGCTCTTGCATTTTATATCCACTCTGTGAGCCAGGGATGGAGGAGGAATGAAATAGTCCTGCCTGGGTAGGAAAAGAGTAGACTCCAAATGAGACTTCTTTTCAAAGGCTGCCATCTCTGCTTTGTGCTTTACCTGTGGGTTTGGAGTTAAGCTGGTACACAGAGGAGCCTGAGGATAGGTCCCCAGATACACTCCCTTTCTGAGGCCTCATCACATCCCACTTGCCACTGCTGCCCAGGTACCCAGGCTCTAGGATTCTTCCCAGTTCTATGGTGCCCCTTGGAGGAGAGTGAGGCTGGGCAGAGTTGAGGTAGTAGGAAGAGTCGGCTTCCAAGTCGTTGCTCAGCAATGTAGCTGTGGAAGCAGGAGGAACAGTGCTGGCACCTGGGCAGAAAGAAACATTAGTAAGAAGCAAATGGGGTGTCAGAAGGGAAGAATTTGCAAGGAAGTGTGTGATTGCTAAGAATAGAGACTAAAAGGAGACATGTGGAATGTCAGAGATCCCAGTTCACTTTGGTATACTAATTAGACTAAGGCTTGTAACCTAGAGGTTGTAACTCTCACCCTTTGTATTTCCTAGCAGGAGACACAAGAGGTAGAGAATAAAGTATCTTAAAGTCATCAGTATATACAATGGAAAAGTCCAGTGGCCCCACTCCTGGATCCTACTATAATCCTTCATGACAGACTCCAAGGAAAGTTCTAAAAGTAGGATTCACTCCCACAGTTAGAAGTTGTGAGTGCAGTGGAATGCAGGATTGAGCTTACCTGTGAACACGAACATCTGTTTGTCTACATGTACTTGCCTTCCCCTGAAACTAACTAGTCAATATGTCCGTTCCACGTTGGAGTTTTTCAGAAGAGAAAGGGGACATGAAATCAAGCTGGATATGGTGGCCCTAGTTCCTCCAGACTGAAGAACTCTTTGCTGAGGCTGGGGAAGGGCCTATGTAAGGCAAGTATTTATTTGGATCCCATCCAACATGACTCAAGGAGCTGCAAAATGTCATCACTCCTGTCTAAAGAATCATTGAATACTATTCCACAGAGGCAGGTAGGACCTTTCATTTAATAGGCTGATACTTTCATAGATCCTTTGAAATCATAGGCCTTTCCCTTGAGCCCCATCATCTCCACTTCTCTGTAAAAAGAAGCCTAGCATGGGGGAGATGAGGAAAGAGGTGGGCAGAGACACAGTTTAGGAGAAAATTCAGAAGCCTGCTTTCTTTCAGGGATTATGAACATGGGCAGCAGAATAGACAGGTAGCTCCTCCTAAGCAACAGGAGTGAGGTCATTGTTTCTTCCATCCAAGCCAAACTCCTTGGAGGGGTTAGTGTAAATGCCACTTGCCAGTTTTTAGCCCTACTTGTAGCTGGTTCTCAAATGTGGGTACATATTGGAATCACCTGAGAAAGTATGGAAACATATACTGATTCCTGGATTCCAGAGATTTTGCCTTAGTCTATATGGGATACATCTTGAACAATGGATGTTTTAAATTCATTTTAGGTAATTCTAATAGGCAGAAGTTTGGGAAGTCTTGTCATGAGTCTCTCTTCTAATTTGCAAAATACTAGATGTTCATTAGGATCACTTAGTTAAGGAAGAAGGTTAAAAATTTAAGCACCTACATTTTAGAAGGAATGCAACAAATACATGATTTCCTACCTCTTTCAAACTGCCTTCAACCCCATCCGAACACAAGGCAAAGGGAGAAATCAGTGGTTGCAGATAGTCAGCTTACTTTTTAATCAAGGCCATGTGAGGTTTTAAGTCTATCAGTAACAATGATCAGTATTCTCATGTTCCAGTCCATTGGCCACACAATACACAGTACATGCTCTAAACCATGCAAAGATACCATACAGACTCTTGCACAAGATTTTAACCCAGGGACCTGAGAGGCCACCATGCACCACTGTCCACACGGAAACTTGGCTCAAAGCAAACAATGAGCATGTATAAGCAATGGTCCCTTGGAGAGGACCTTGACTTCAGGTGGAGAAAGAAAGGGCTACAATCTTCCTCATCTAGGCTGGGACCATTTGAACTCCGGTCAATGGCCTCAGACTTGATGTAATTCCAATTTAACCCAAAACAACAGACCCTTTTTCATGGACAGTGCTCTCCTTCCATCCTTCCGTTTGGGCAAAGACAAATGGACAAATGTGGAAAGATAAAGGAAAAGGAGGCAAGATAAAGAAATGGAAGCTAGAAAATACTCTTGCCATTTGTCATGGGACACATTTGTTGCCCATTCATTGTTGGTGCCAGAACTGCTAAAATAACAAGTTTTAGGTCAGAAACAGCAGCACTTCCTACTGGTCTCTAAAGAGAGGGAAAAAATTGTTGCAACGAGTCCCCAGAGTTTGATCAGCTGAGCTCAGCTCCATACTCTAAGCAGGATGGTGACAAAGCCATCCTAAGTAGAAAAGATATAACAGAAACATAAAACCTGGAGCAGAAGACCAGATTCAACCCCATCTCTCCCACTTACCAGTGACCTTGAACAAGTAACTTCACTTCCCTGAGCTTTACAGTTCCCTGCATTAGACAAAGTACCCATTTCCTGGGTTGACAAAATAAATAGGCTAAGCTGGGTGCAGTGGCTCATACCTGTAATCCCTGCACTTTCAGAAACCAAGGTGGGCCAATCACTTGAGCTCAGGAGCTCTAGACCAGTCTTGGCAACATGGCGAAACCCTGTCTCTACAAAAAATACAAAAATTAGCCAGGTGTGGTGACACACACCTGTAATCCCAGCTACTTGGGGGGCTGAGGTGGGAGAGTCGCTTGAGCCCAGGAGGTAGAGACTGCAGTGAGCCGAGATCGTGCCACTGCACTTCAGTCTGCGTGACAAAGTAAGACCCTGTCTCAAAAAAAAAAAAAAAAAAAAAAAAGAGGAAGAAGGAAAGAAATATGCTGGTCCACATGACATTTGGGGCTGTAGGGAGGGGGATGCAAATTCTTGGCTGTTGTCTTGCATCACTAGAAACTTCTGGCATGGTGACCCTATCAGTCTCTGGCTCACCTAAGCTTCTTTACAGGCACAGAAAGTGCCTGACAAATGAGTTTAAGTTCATTCAAACTGCTTTTTAACTGTTGTGCCTAAGGTGCTATGAAAGAGCAAATTCATGTGAAGGTTGTCATTTTTTTCTAAGCTATCAGTGACCACCAGCACACTAAATTTATGATGAGCATCCAGCCTACAAATACATCAAAGCACTTTCTAAAAGGTGACTGTCCACAGTCTACGTAACTACATGAGATCAATTATCTTTGGGAGTCAGAGGATGGGATTCACAGTCAGATGCCATAGCTGGTGCTGTGGTTCTAAGCTGCCTACGTGTCACCTGTCCCAGGGCAGGGACCAACCCTGTGCAGTAGGAAAAGGGGCTCATCATTTCCTCTTCTGAATCCCTCTATCATTACCCTTTTTGCTCCAACCTAATGATATCAGGAACTGAACTTGATTAACAGCATTTCACAGCAGAAAAACATAATAGCCACACAAAGGAGCCCACTGAATGTGGCCATCTTTTTCTTGGCCACTTCATCCTGCATAGGCAAAGCATAACATCTCTCTCCCACCCCCAACCAATGAGCAGTCCACCAGTCTGTCAGGGATTCAGCATACTTGGTGGTATCCAACACTGTCTACAGTGTGAGAGCACCAGGTCTAGAGCCTCGTGAACATATCTACCTGTTAACTGATGAGACATACACACCACAGAAATAACAGTAAATACATTTCCAAAAAATAAGCAAACAGAGCTTTCCCTCCCTCTTACATTTGTAACGTGTACCCGTGTTGTTTTTTTAAACTCTGCCATCCAGCCCGAGCCATGCAGAGCAACACAGTGTGGGGCTGCCAATCGCAAGCACACAAATGCAGAAGTGCTCACTTTCTCCCAACTGCTTCTGCAGCATCTGTAGCTCCTGCTGAGCCTCAGCCAAGGAGACCACTGGTGTCTCACAGCAGCCAAGGAGGAGAGGGCCAGTGGGGCTGAAAGGCAGGAAGCTGGATGGAGCTGAGGGCAATGGTGCCTGAGGAAGGCTAGCCAGCTTGGGTATGGAGTGAAAATGAAAGCCTAGGAAAAGAAAGTTAAGGAGAAAAGAGACACATCATCAAGAGAAAATGAGAGAAAAGAATGGGTAAAAGATTGAGAAGGTAAAAGCATTCCCTGACCAGACATCACCCTGCGGAGTGGCTATCATCTAGTGTGGTACAGGATAAGACAGCCAAGGGTGACCATTGCTACCAGAGGCTGGCCTGGCTGACCTTCCCTCTTCTCCCCTGCCAGGGCTATCCTGCATATATCCTCTGTGTTCATCTTGAAAGCAATTGGCTAAAGAAGGTAAGGTGGCATTATTGAGCCCCACCCCAGCAATCCTGGACATGGACAAGTCAGAGAGCCTGAATGCTTTCAAGGGCCCCTGGGGCTCTGCTCCCAGCATGTATCAGTCCTTGGCCCTGGGACAAGACTCTTTCTCTACCTAGAACTCCTCTTTGACAGCATCAGGTCCCATCCTGAGTAGGAGAGATGTGAACAAAGGCTGTGGGGAAATTTTCATTACTAGTGCATGCAGTTCAGGACTCTGATGGAAACAAACTTCAGAATTCCAAATCAACGTGTTCATTGACCAAATTAAAAATAGATGCCTTGGTAGAGTGGCTTAGACAAAATGGCTTGCAAATCCTTCTGGGCATTTAAATCACATAGCAAAAACTTCTAATATATGTAGATTCTTTAGGCCTTCTTGATTCTGTCTAGGCCTTAATGTAGACTTACAGAATTATAAATTCTTGGAACATGAAATTTACATTTAAAAAAAGTCTTCCCTGGTGATCTTTAGGCAGCCCATCTACAGACAGGTTTTTAGAAACCCTGGCAAGGTTCAATGTTTAAAATTGTTTCCTCTTCCCTAAAAGCAATTAAAGGGCAGGTAGCCAATGGAGAGGGAGCAGAAACCAAGGCTGACCCATAGAGAATGTCTAATGTAGAAGACAATGATTATATCCTAAAACACATCCCAATGGTGCTGGCACCATTTCAGATCAATACTGCAAATATACTCAAATTGCCAGGTAACACAGCCCAGGCATTCTTTGAGGAGGCATTCTGATTTTAAAATCCTCTGTTCTTTACCTACTGCTCTGTTTGAACCCACAACATTTAAGCAGATGTCTATAAGTCTGGAAGCACAGCTTTTCCTCATGATTCTGGTCCAGCTGCTGCCTACTCTGGCCTAGAAACTTTGAAACCAGGCTCAGGAAGCATTGGAACACTTCCTCTTCCTTAAGATTTTAGTTGAATTGCTTTCAGGGAAATGAGGGCAGCAGAAGAAAGCACTGTGCTTTCTGGGAGCACCTCTACTCAAGTCAAACCTCACAACAAACCACACTGAAGGCAGCCAGCCAGCTATGGTGGGAGGTAGGAGGCGAAGACAAGGTTTGCCTTTTCTTGCCATCCCTGGTACAGGGCTGTGAATGAGCAGTGTACCCTCCGGCAACTAAGCTGAACTTGTAAATGAAATGCACCCCTTTAACTGCCCCCAAGATATGCACTATGTACATATCAAGGACTGCCAATCCATTCATACATCCATTAATGGTAACGTACTATGAACAGAACCTTGTCTGAGGCTGTTCTCACCATCCTTGGCTACAAGTAGCACTACCTCTTGCAGAGGATCTCCATGCAGATTTAATGGGTAACACATACAGTGGATCAACAGATGTGAATTTCTTTTCATCCTATGGCTGTTGTAATCCTGGGAGAAACATTTTGCCTCTTTGCTCCCAGGATAAAATGAGAGAAAACCAATAAAAATGTTTCTTTTTAAATGATTAGCCAACTACTGGTCAGAACTGGTATGCAGATCAAAACCTGATGTGGATTACTTATTTTCTAAAATATTTTCTTAAATCAGACACAACTGGAAAATGAGGATGGTTTCTCGATTCTGTCTAGGTTTTGATGCATTTAGGCCCCTAACAGTCCAAACCTCTGTCGTTGAAGAAAAATCAAACAGGCAGCAGAGAAAGAGGAGATGAAGCTTCTGCCCCATTGGCTGTTGCATACCTGAATGGGCCTGGTTGGCCTCCTTGGGGGTATTCTGGGGAGTTGGCAAGCTGATGGGGTTGCTGTTGGATTCGGCCTTAGCCCCCTGAGATGCACTGGTTGATGATGGTTTAGAAGACAACACAGCAGAATGACTCGAATGATGGATGGAATCTATAAAATCCATGAATGAAAGAAAACGTATGATGTTCTACAGAGAACTGGAATCCTGGCCTTATGTTTACCCAGGGGTACCAGGGCTAGAGTCTTGCTTTCAGGGAAAGAACCAAGCACAAGCACTGTTAGCAGTGTTCATTTTCTTGCTTGCAGACAGCTCCTATAGTGAGGCAAACCACCTTAGGGATGACAGCGGTGCTCTGAGCTCTGAAACATGAAAATGGCAACTCCAAAAATATCAGGCAAGACTAGCAGCATCTGTGGACACCCAAATATACTTAGGGAACACTGCTCAGGAATAAGTAGCAAGATCATTGTAGGAGAGATGAAGGAGGTTTTCCATCTTAAAGAAGATCTATCTGACAGAGTCACCAAGGAAGAAGAGTCTGCCGTGATCTTCTCACTCTCCCCACAGTGGCTCACTTTGTGCCCAACAGCTTGTACGTGCCCATGGAGGCCACGGTGACAGAGGTAACTTGTAGAGTCAGGAGCAGAGCAAAGATCCTGATCCACTGGTGCCTGTGCATGGCACTTGGCCCCACAGCCATGTTCAGCCTGATACACACCATGGTGGAGCTATAAGCCCTGTTTCCTGAGTTCTCCACTCAGCCTAGACAAAGATGGTACCACCCAGAAAGTGGAGGCTACCTGAGTGACTGGGAGAAGCTTTCTTCTCTTCATAGTGTGTGTACTCGCTGACTATGTCCATGTCAGAGCAGGCTTCCAGTTCATCAGACAGGAAAGAGGTGCTGCTGGGAGAGCGGTGGGAGTCAGACAAGGCATGGCTGCTGGAGGGTGTGAGGGACCGAGCATCCAGCTTGGCCTGCAGGACTTCAATCACTTTCTCCTTCTCCTGCAGCTCCCTGCTGAGCCTGGTGGGGAGAAGGGGGACAACGGGTAAAACCAAGGTCACCGAAGCCAACCTGTCCTGACTATGGCTCATAGGAAAAGCCAAGTAAGCCAAGGGGACCATGCCTGCAGATAATTATGGAAATAACCCACCTCTGCTTAGGGATGGAGTGTAGGTGGGGTGTAGATGGAGAGAGAATAGCTACCTAGTGCTCTGGCCACATAATATGCTGAGGACAAGCAAAGACATAGCTAGCCCTCCTTTTAAGGCACTGCTGCTTAATGTATGATCCCTGGAACAGTTGCAGCCTGCGAACTGTTTGTTACCATCTCCAACAAGACAAGTATAAAAATTGAAAGCAAGCATTGAGAAACACAGAACAAACCACTGTCCCAACATCCAAGAGCATGATAAGTGGAATCATGTAATTAACTGAATTCAGACCATATATGTTTCTATGATAGATTAGAAATAAAAACAAAACAAAACAAAAAAAACCACTGTGTCCTTCACTACAGATACTTTCAGAAGCATTTATGTAGTCTGAGACACAAGCATGACACAAAGAACCCCAACTAGTGGCTACAACGGACTCTGAGCCCGTATTTCATTGATCATTATATGAAGCAACTCACTGAGAACTGGGTCCTGAGGCACTGCAGCCTCCTGGTGATCTACACCATCTAGGCCTCTTTCACCAGGTCCTGTTATATGATTCCTTTTTTCCCCCAGGGCAATTGAGTGACTATTAAATTAGCTGTCAACCCAACTTTGGAAAAAGCTCATCCTGCTTATTAAACACACAGCAGGAAAGCAGGACCCTTAGTGGGGCAGAAGACTCTTGAAACCTAGTTAGTTCACTTTTAGCTCAGACTGTTTCTAGGTTACTAAGCCTGGAGAATTAATGTGCCAATATGATTCAACCAAAAGGGAAGAAAGAATTTAGTTAAAAACAACAGTGAGGTGTTCAATGAATGCCTGAATTCAATACATTCAGCACTTTGCTTTATTCCCCTTGATTTGTGGAGTTGCCGCCACCCTTGACCCTTTGGGCCTCGGTCCCAATCTCTTTCCCAGATTCTCCTCTGAATTACCTGAGGGCCAGTGGCTCAAGTCCAGCTTGATCTTTCTCACTTTTATGATCCTCTGTAAACCAAATTTAGAAAGAGACGATAAGAAATTAGGCTGGTCCCACTTCCCGCATTACAAATGCAGGAGCCTATCTGGAGACAGAGTAGTGAGCATTTCATGTGTGCATCCAGAACAGTTATTCTGGGATACCTCAGCTTGTGTCTCTAGAGAAGTGACCCCACTGTCCCTGACCTGCCGGTCACCATGATGACTTCCTCTGCCCTAAATCAGGGTAAAACATTTATAATGTCTTTTGTTCCATTAATCATGAGGCCCTTGCCCAGCTGCCCTGCGGGACACTCCAGCCTCCATGTCCTGCTGCAGACTAGCTCCCCAATGCATATGCCCCACCACAGCTTTCATGCAGAACCTGCACTGGTCTCTGAGGAGATGACAAGAAGCCCTGCCCCACCTCTGCATCTGCCACCAGGTGGTGGGCTGGGTGGCTCCCAAGTCTGATCCTACTTTACTCCCTTGGATAGTCGCTGGAAATTCTGAGTAGAAGACCCCAATAATAACCAATGTAGCCCTTGAACTACTGCAGCCAGTGCCTAAACCATGTATAAAAGAGCATGGCGCTTTATCCATATGTGGAGTACCTGCATGCACATTACCATGCCATAAATGGAGACACCACAAGGATAAGGCATTTAGCGAGTTGGTGGCAGCATCCAGGCCAGAGCTTGAGTCTTGTAGTTCTTGGTTCAGGGCTCTTCCTCCTATAACAAAGCCCTTCCATCTCATGTCCCCTACTCCCTCTTAGCATCAGAGAGATGCTGCCCCTGCCCCACAGGTCACATTCCATTAGTGGTGAAGTTTCTATAGTTGTAACCATGGCATCTCCAGCCCTGTGTTTTCCTCTCCATGCTCCCCACTGAGCAGTCTTGATCCTGTATTAGCCCCAGGAAATGAAATAGAAACAGGACCTTAGGATAAAAAGTTGCAGTGGAGATGTGGTGGCCACCAGGGGCTGGAACTGTGGGGGTGACTGAGAGTATTCCAAAGCCCTGTGGCCAACTTACTGGTGCTGAGTTTGCTGGTGAGCCTCTCTGTCAGCTGGCTTCCCTGGGCGAGTTGCTCCCGGAAGCTCTGTCCCAGGTAGTAGTCAATGTCATTGCTCCTTAGGAGATCCTCAAAAGATTTTACTGTATCTTTTGCATGCCGGGTGATAAGATAACAAATACCTCTCCCTTCTCGTATTTTTTGCCGTAGGTAAGACAGTTCCCGGGCCTGATCCTGAATCAGGGAATCATATTTCCTAATGCAGGACAGAAGAGGAAAGTGTAAGTATGGAAAGAGTGGAAGCTAACTTATGGAGTTATGGGGGCTTCTGTAGAGATTTCTATGAGAACATCTCTAAGGAACTCCCCCAAGCTGAATTCTGGCACATAAGCCATAGGAGGTATTTAAGAGTAAATTCTACCCTGATAAAGTATTGCATTAAAAAACTTAGTACGGGCCGGGCGTGGTAGCTCACGCCTGTAATCCCAGCACTTTGGGAGGCCAAGGCAGGCAGATCACAAGGTCAGGAGTTTGAGACCAGCCTCGCCAATATGGTGAAACCCTGCCTCTACTAAAAATACAAAAAAAATGAGCTGAGCATAGTGGCACATGCCTGTAATCCCAGCTACTCGGGAGGCTGAGGCAGGAGAATTGCTTGAACCTAGGAGGTGGAGGTTGTAGTTAGCCAAGACGGCACCACTGCACTCCAGCCTGGATGACAGAGTGACTCCGTATCAAAAAAAAATTTAGTATGTCACTGTTCTTCAACTGTTATACATGTGTTAATTATATGTCCCTAGATAAATCATAAGGTCTGTGAGAATAAACATAGTTCTGCATTTTACATCCCTTACAGCACCAGTATCACATAGATTCACAGCAGTTACTCAATGAATAATTAGCATCATTTCATCCTAAGTCTAGATAGAACCTTTCATGCCTTCTGTTTTAACCACCACCTGATGCCTGAATTTCTTCTATGTTACGATACTGTGGCTGACTACATTTTGCAATGATGGCCATCATTTAAACGCTCATACCATCAACTGATGGGACCCAAAACAAGAGACCCTAAGTGAGAACCACCCAGCTGAGCCCAGTCAAACCATAGAACCATGAAGCATAATAAAGTGTTGTTTGAAGTCACTAAGTTTTAGAGTGGTTATTACTTAGCAATAGATAACCAGGACACACCAAGATGAATGTCTGTGTTTTCAACACTAAGTATCAATAACACTTATAACTATGGCAAATAGCATTGAGAGCTTAACATATGCTAGGCACTATTCTAAGCACTTGTATTAATTCTTTTTTTTTTTTTTCCGAGACAGACTCTTGCTCTGTCACCCAGGCTGGAGTGCAGTGGTGCCATCTCGGCTCACTGCAACCTCCACCTGCCAGGTTCAAGCGATTCTCCTGCCTCAGCCTCCCGAATAGCTGGGATTACAGGTGTGCACCACCATGCCCAGCTAATCTTTGTATTTTTAGTAGAGATGGGGTTTCACCGTGTTGGGTAGGCTGGTCTCGAACACCTGACCTCAGGTGTTCTACCTGCCTTGGCCTCCCAAAGTGCTGGGATTACAGGCATGAGCCACCACGCCTGGTCAGCAGTTGTATTAATTCATTTAAACCTAATATCCACCCTTTGAGATGGGTTCTCTTATCATCCTCATTTAATAGGTAAGGACAAAGGCTCAGAAAGGTTAAGAAGGTTGCATGGGTAGTAAGCACCAGAGGTAGGTAGTCTGATTCCAGTATTACTACTATACTATACCATCTTTACTAATATATCCCTAAGAGGAAATCCCTGAGACCCGGTATCTCCCAGATACTGGAACATCATCCTATGCCCTCCTGGTTGCCTACCTGTCTTTTCTGCAGACCTGTATCTACCATTTAAATCAGTGTCCCTGTGAATACCCAGACATGTTCTTTCTTCCAACTGCCTGAGCTACCCTACGCCAAGCATGAACTTACACATTTTCAATCAAGAAAGTACCCAAACAGTGCCATCCTTACCCAGGCCACGAGGCTGATCTCAGCTCCTCAGCCAGCTTCTCTTCTAGTCCATTTTTTGGGAGCTGGGCCTCCAGCTGGGATACTCTCTGGATGAGACTCTCCAGGTCCTTTTTGGCCTGAAGCCCTGGAGAGTAGAAAGCCCCAGTGCCATCAGACAGCCACCCCTCATCCTCATCAGGGACACTATGAGGTGAAGACCCCTCCAAGGTGCCAACAGCTCTCAGCTTCCGGGGTCTTTCCAGACTAGACGAATAATCACTTGTAACTGAGAGGGACCGGACCCGGCTCTTGAGGTTTTGAATGACCTTGTTGGCATTCTGCAGCTGGGCCTTCAGATCTTTGATGTCCTTTCGTAGGACCAAGATGTTTTCTGACTTTCCATATACCCGGAACTCTTCCTGCTTCCCTAGCTGGTTCTCCAAGGGCTTCCTCTCAGAGGAACTAGCCAGTGTTGAGCCCCGGCGTCCCTGCTCAGAGCACAGCCCCTCCATCAGGACCATTTCCTTGAGGCTGTTGTGCTCCTCACACTCTGAAAAAAGACAAAGATGTCTTCCTAAATAAAAGTTGGATGTGCTGTTGTGGCCACTGCCTTTGAGAGGAGGCAGGTTTGGTCATGAGGACAATAATTACTAGGGAAAAAGTTGAAGTAGTACTTTATTCAACCCTGACACTGTACTAGGCATTCAAATACAATATTTCTTATCTTCCTTATACCTACAAGTTAGGTTTCATCACTTTCTATTTTACTGACTGGGAAACCAAAACTTAAAGAGAGGTGGTAAACTAGCTTGTTCTAGATCACTCAAACTAGCACATGGCAGAGCCAGAATTCAAATCCTCCAATGTCCTGTGTTCATTCCACACACACTGGTGTTTCTTAAGACATTAACATGGCCTTATCTATTTAGGATGGCCACAAGAATGTAGGACAAGCTATTACTGCATGCTGAAAGTTTAATGCTCTTTAAATTTTACTATAATTTAAAAGTTTATTGGGTTACAACTGTATGAAAAATAGGCATAGGAAAATAAGGCTTCAAATAAATATATCAGCATGTTAACATCAGTGTATTAGGGCAGTGGTAGTCAGAATGAGAACTAATCCATGGCATTTTACCAGATGCCAGGCACTGTTCTAAAGCATTTTATAAGAATTTACTCATTTAATTGACCTTAGTACCTGATGGGGTAGGTAGTTCCTTTATTACTATTTTAACACATGAAGAAACTGGGACATAGGAAAGTTTTCAAACTGGGATTTGAACCAACCAGTCTGGCCCCAGGATCTTGTCTCTTAACTGCCACACTACACTGCCTCAAGAATGAGAGAGATTGTGTTTTTCTTCTCTTCTGGTTTTCAATGTGGTGGGTGGCCCTATAGTTGTAGTCTTTTTATAATGCAAAACAAAATTATTTTTAATTTATGGCTTGCATGTTTCTAAAACCTTATCTGGTCTCTAAGTAGGCCTTAGTATTTCTATAATAATCAGTTGGATAGAATTTTATATTATTATTGTTATTAGCAGTATGCCAAAAACTAATTGTAGAAATTCAAACTTATACTCAGCCTCATTTTGGGTAAGATTTCTCCTATTAACCTCCTGTCCTCCTCTTCCCCAATACTTGTCAGGTGTGGAATTGGCCAACAGCATCCAAATGTGACAGCTGACTCCAGGGAGGGGTGAGCCCCACACCCTGTGCTCTTACCAGGACTGGTGGTTTCCTCCCGTTCAGCCTCATTCTCGCTTCGGCCACAAGTCTCATAGCCCAGGTCCTGGAGGTCCACCTGGATCTGCTTGCTGTCCTGCTTCACCAAGGATTCACCTGCTTGGGAAGAGAAGCAGGTGTTACAGAATGTCTGAATTTCCCACATATGCCCTCAGCCTCAATGGCACATACCCTAACCTTTTGAGGCACGGAAGGCAGATCCACAGTGGGAGAGAAGCTTCTCTGAACTGGTGGGAGAAGAGATCACCAGCTCCAGGAAGCAGAATTTCTTTCCAAAGGAGGAGCCTGCATTTGCCATTATCTCCCCTTCAGATAACCCAGGCTTTAGTTGGGACCAGATATCTGTAAGTCAGGGATTGTACACTATCATCTCTAGCAGCCCCATTGAAGCTGGCAAGTGCTTTATCCGCAGGGGTTCAATAAATGTTGAATGGAGCTGAACTAATTTAGAGTCCCAAGACCCTAGACCTGTACTGTCCAATAAGGTAGTTAGCAGCCACATATGGCCACTTTATACTACATCAACTAAAATTAAATAAAACCAAATGTCCAAGTTGCACTAGCCACACTTCGTGTGCTCAATAACCACGTTATGTCGGTATAGAACATACAGAACTTATAAGACATATAGGCTAGTTTTCTTTACTAGTAAGTCATAGTTACTTACTAAGCATAACTCTGTATTTCTCCAGCTCGTTAGCCTGAGCAAAGACAGTGGCTTCTGATAGCAGCAGCTTCTCCTGGAGATCTTGATAGCGTTGTTTGCATTGTGACAGCTGGGAGCGCAGGTGCTGGGTGGACCCTGGTAGGCTAAACGCTGACTGAGGCCCAGGGTCACGAGGCTGGGACTGGTTATCCAACTGTGAAAGGGGCCAATACAGGGATCAGGACAGTCTGAGGTCACCCCCATGCAGTGACGACCACCGCCCCTTCTGAACCCTGTGGACTTTACTCAAGTCTGTCACAGCACTTCTCATGCCATTTGGCAGTGACTTGCTTTCCAGATGGAGCTCCTGGAGCGCTGGGATAATGTTTTCTTCATATCTGTATCCACAGCACACAGCACAGCACCAATCAAGTCTACAGAGGAGCTCTCAGGAAATGTTTTCTCAGTGGTCAAAAAGAGACCACTCATCTCCCCTCACATTCTGTCCCATTGATTCTCTCAGAATCCCTGTATTCTCCATTTCACTGAATCTTCAGCATGGCTCCTTCCCTAAAGAGGATCCCAGTAACCCATCTGAAGCCCAGGAACAGACACCTGTGATGAGCTGTGACAAAAAAATGGCAGTGATAAGGGATGTCATTACATACCACTTGTCTGGGCTGCCTCATAACCTGATGCATCCCTATGTTACAGCAGTTACCACATCCTGTTAAAATTACCTGTTTGTGTGCCATCTTTCCCGACAATATTAAGTATCTCAGGGGCAGCCATTGGTTTTATTGCCCCATGCCAATGCCTAGTGTGTTATCTGAAAAATTAAGTACTCAAGAAATATTTATGTTATAAAAGCCTTTCTAAAGGCTGAATGTAGGCAGAATATTACTATTATTGTTTGTGGTACAAAGAGACCCTTCTCTTGGTACCTCCTGATTCATATGGGAGAATGTTTTAAGGTAAACACTGTCATCTCAAGCCCTTCTCCAATTGTTTTTCACTCAATCTAAGCCCACACTTACTTGGTGGGCATCCACTGTGAAGGTAGCCCCAAGGTCAAGGCTCTGGGGTCTGGGGAAAGGCCTCACAGTCACATTCCCCTCCTCTTGGTGTTGGTGCTTCCCAGGGGAACCAACCAGTTCTGTGTTTATTCTTTCAATGGTGCTGGTCAGATGCACAAGGAGCTCTGGAGTAAGTTTACTATTCCCTTCCTTGCTACTCAGCACAAGTTGTTCTTTGAGGAGGTTGATGATATTGTGGGCATTCTTCAGTTTTCCCTGGAGCTTTCTGAACTCAGCCTGAAGGCTACTCTCACTCAGACCCTCTTTGGTTACCACAGTCTCAACCATCACCTCGCCCTTCTCCTTGTCTTCCTCGATCTCCCATCCATCAGACATTGCTTCTCCCATCTGCTCTTTCAGCTCCGCATTCTCAAGGCAAAGGCTCAGCATGGTGTTCCTGCAGGAAACACACTTAATTGAGGGCTAGGTCTGGTCCTCACAACAGTTCCTAATACTACCTCTTACCAACATCTCAGCCCGCAATTAACTCAGACTTACCCCAGAGCATGAAGCAACCTGAGACCTACCACAGCCCCCTAATTTTATATACAAGAAAGCCAAGGCTCAGGAAAAGTAAGAGACTTGCCCAAACTTCCACAGCTTCTTGGTGGCAGCACCATCACTAGAAACCTTGGACTCAAGACATGCAGGCTAGTTTTCTTTACTTGTGCCCCATAGCCTCATATGTTCTAATTTTTAGTAGCCTCTGGAATAAACCAGAGTACTTACACTGTTAAAAAATAAGACCTTTTCTGTAACAAATTTATTGTTATAAATTTTACAGTTCTATTATTTATCATCAGTCAGTTTCAAACCATTGGGACTTAGGAACACAGAATAAATAAATAACACTAATCAGAACTATTAATATAATCAAAATGTACTTAGATAATTGTTTGCTTTATGTCTGGCTCACGTGATAGAGATAACCTTCTTGAGAGCAGGACTGTGTCTGTCCTATTCATCCCATATCCCCAGTACCTACACAAGTGCCTGCCACATAAATCATTCATATTTGTTGAAGAAATAAAATTGACCAAAACAGCTAATTTGCACCAAGACATTCCAGATAAATTCTTTCCACAACAACAAACTCATACTAGGGTTGAGTGGAAGCAAACATGGCTGTAACAAGTCTATTCACTTAACTTTTTTGAGCCTCAGTTTCCTTTTATATAAAATAAGGATGATAACACTTACCTAGTAGAGTTAGCAGATGCTTAAATGAAATTGCATATACGGTATGGCTAGCTCAGGGTCTAACAGGGAAGTCATTCAATCCCTGCTGTACTAGCTGCAGACCTAAGAAATACCAACAGCAGAATCCCATAAGGTGCTTGTTTAAAAAGCTGTAGAGCTAAGGCCTATGAATCCACATTTTACTTAAGTTCCACAGGTGATTTTTTAATTTTTATTTATTTATTTTTTTTTTTTGAGACAGAGTCTCACTCTGTCACCCAGGCTGGAGTGCAGTGGTGAGATCTTGGCTCACTGCAACCTCCACCCCTGGGTTCAAGCAATTCTGCTGCCTCAGCCTCCCGAGTAGCTGGGACTACAGGCACGTGCCACCACGCCCAGCTAACTTTTGTATTTTTAGCAGCGAAGGGGTTTCACCATGTTGGGCAGGCTGGTCTCGAACTCCTGACCTCAGGTGATCCGCCTGCCTTGGCCTCCCAAAGTGTTGAGATTACAGGCATGAGCCACCATGCCCAGTCCACAGGTGATTCTTAAGCATGCTAAACTGAGAACCCCTGAGCTAGAGGATGCACAGGAAATGGGTAATTCACAACTTGAAGGATCAGCAGTGGGCTATGCACCTAGATTGAATTTCTCAGAATCCAGGAGTCTTGGAACCTACAGCAGAGCTTATCTGGTGTGTTTCTGGGAGGAAAATAGGACATAGGATACAGACAATCTGTGAGATAGTTTCTCAATAAAGAAAAAGGGGATAGGTATTTTACCAAAACTGGGATGTGGAAAGGGGATAAAGAGGGCGCATGTGTATATGGAAAAGAATATTTAATATTATGTTCTAACTTCATATTAAAAAAAACTGATATTTTTAAATACAAACAAATAAAAGAAAAACTCAACAAAACCTTCTTGAAAGGAAGAACAATGCATTAGATTCTACCTTCTACAGTATAAGTGATTCTGTAGGTTGGGTGGAGGGTTGAACAAATCAGAGTTTCAGGTTAGTAATTCTGAGGACAAAGGAAAATAATCCACAGGGATAGCTATAGATGGTTTGATTGTAGGTTCAACAATAGAATCAAAAGAGATGTACTGTTCTTACCCATGACAACTCAATTAAGTTTACACATACAAAAATTTAAGTAAAATAATATGCTTTAAGTAGAACTTAAGGAAAAAGTTATTATGATAATTCAGAGCAAAAGAATCAGCACTTAGAACAATCACAAGAATTTTTTAAAAATTGTTTGACAAAGTATGTAGTATAGAAGCAAGGTTTAGACGTTAGAAATTGGGAGCCACAGATATTATGCAACCTTGAGCAAGTCACTTGAAACTTTCTAGGCCTGAGTTTCCTCAGCTATGAAACAACGACATGAGGCTAGATGCCTGGGCCCTTTTCAAAGTGCTAACATTATTCAGGGAAATTTAAGTGGTATGTAACATGCAGGGAAACAACAGGGCATGATTTAGAAGTCATACAGCTGTACTTTAAACAGGCAGTGATGATTATAGTCCTGGGAGTGAATGAATAAATGGATCAGCCCTACAGTATCAGCATGTTCTCCAAGGAGCTTTTGACAAAAAGCCATCAAAGACAGAGTGGCCAATCTAACCAATCAATGAGCTACCTGCTATTTTTGTAAAATTACTAAAGCAGCAGAGATGATTAAAATTGATACTCTATGATTGAAGGACTTATGAGTGAGAGCTGAGAGGAGAGGGAGGGGCCTCTACACAAACCCTCCAGCCGGGTGCGGTGGCTCACTCCTGTAATCCCAGCACTTTGGGAGGCTGAGGCGGGGGGATCACGAGTTCAGGAGATTGAGACCATCCTGGCTAACATGGTGAAACCCCGTCTCTACTAAAAATACAAAAAGAAAAAATTAGACGGGCGTGGTGGCGGGCTCCCATAGTCCCAGCTACTCGGCAGGCTGAGGCAGGAGAATGGCATGAACCCGAGAGGTGGAGCTTGCAGTCAGTGAGCCAAGATCTTGCCACTGCACTCCAGCCTGGGCGACAGAGCGAGATTCTATCTCAACGAAAAAAAAAAAAAAAAATTCCTCCTCCTTCGTGAACTGTTCTGGTTCTGTATACAGCAGTGAGACATATTAGGTAGCAGGGATTCCTTATACGTTTTGGTCAATTAAAAACAGCAATACTGGTCATGTAACAAGGAGGTTTCCACCATGACTGTCATATGTATGACTGGCAGATGCACAATAATAGTGGGCACTGTTATACTGAATTAAGACCAGGATTATTTGAATAACAGAAAGTGATTACCATTAGCCAATATTACTTACTTTTATCTAAAGAATTTGTAGAAATATTAATGCATGGAGCCTGGGATAGGCACCCCTTGGCTGTGGTGCCTCATGACCTGCAAGCTCCCCTTCCCTGGGAAGAATGTCCTACCTGATGTGGGACACTGAGGAGAATCCTGCTTCCTCAATTTGAGCCTTTAGCTCCTTCAGTTCCTCCTCAGCTTTCCTCTTCTCTTCTAAGTGCTGGTGGAACTCAGCCCTCAGGTGGAGCATTTCTTCCTGAAGACACCTGTTACTGTCCCCTCCCATCGGAGAAGGAGGGGAAAAAGATGGGTTCTGGGTCTCCACAGTTGCCAGACTTTTCTCCAAAGCCACCTTGACAAGCTAAAAGAAAATCATGGTTTGAAGAAGTTAGGCCATTAAAGAGGACCCAAGAGAAACATGAGATTGCAAAGGCAGTTTTAAATGAGAACAAAAACAAACAAAAAAAGCAGATCTAAAATAAACTCCCTAACCAGAACCTCCTTAGTCAGGCATAAGGGCCCTGGGGACTGGTTTGGGTGGGAAGGACACACAAAATGAGCAGGAGGAATTTCCCCATGGAGAAGAGGAGAATCCAGAGATGGTGAGGGAGAAAAGCACATAAGAAATTAAAACAAATGCAAACAAACGAGGTTGAAACAGGACTGGAGGGTGTGAATACGGTGATTCTTTCTCTTCCTGAGGAGACAGAGCCCTGCGAGTTTTCTCACAAGTCAGGAAGCTTCATCAGCTCTGCAACACTTGAGTCCTGGATGGCGGGAGATGATGGCTTAAGATATCAGGGCGCAAAGCCTAAGGCCCTGCCTGTAACTCCAACTCCCTCAAGGACAGCTGAGAGGGAGGACTCAGGGCACTGGGGAAACAGTCGGCAGACACAGTTACAGAATTAGAATAAGGTGGAGCGACAGGGAAGACAACACCAACTATTTCATTGGCAGCAGAAGGATCACACTCCGCAGCTACTGGGAGATGGAGGTGAAGCCATCCTGCCAAGCAGCCAACCTCACTTTTTGGTTATTATCTTTGTGCTGATGCTGCCAGACAAACTCTCTCTACAAATCTCAGCATGTGGAAGAAACAGAGGCAGGAACAACTGCCCAGCACCTTTCTATTTCTTGAGGACACTCTTGAAGTTATTCATCAATGTTTTAATTAAAGCAGATCTTATGGCCTTTGCTCAAATGGGAATTTGTTAACTTTTAGACTTTGTTATTGTTCATTTTGGGCTTATCTTTGGTCTTTTCCCACGCTCTTAAAAGTGTAGAAATCAAAATCTGAGTATGATAATCTACTTAGCATATGACTAATTACTTTAGTACAAGGAGTTCCTGCCTGTCTGTCCAATATTAATCTTAATATGTCCCAATGTCACATTGGCTTCTTTTTCTTCTCAGTGGCAGCATTTGGAGCTTTTACTTAACTTTGGGTCAATTTTGGCCTCTGAATTTTCCACCCCTCCCCCACAGCTGTTGCTGAGTCATGTTGTTTTCTTTTATCTCTACAAATATTGTGACTTGTAATTGTCACTTATAAATTCATTCTGGCTATACTGAATCATTCCCCAATTATCCAAGTCATCCAAATATTTGATGTGCATTTCCACAAATCATGTAGTGGCCCCCACTACAAGTGATTGGGGATAACTTGTAGAATTAATTATATGCTTTATATCTCCATTCAGGTCACCAATACATTGAAGAGAGCAGGGCCCAGAACAGCTTATATGGATCAACGACTGACAGAGCTGCTGGGGTTGGTGCGAAGCCACTGACTTTTGCTATTCCCCGTAACAAAGTATGTTCAAATGTAGGTCACAGGTTTGTGGTAGGGTCGATTCACAGTATGCATGTGCAATGGTGTTCAGTAGCATAGCAGTTGAGGTTGTGAAGACATGCGCACCCAGGTCAAAGAAGAAAGATCCTTAGACAAAGCCACTCAAGTCCCAGGCACCCAATCTTACTTGGACTTTGTGAGCCTGAGATTTGGGAGGCTCCTGGGAATGTCTGTCTCTAAGACTCTGCTGGCAGGCTTAATCAGGCTGGTGGCCATCTCCATATGTGCCCCCAGCATTTGTGACAAAATAAAGGAAGGGGGACCAAATAAAACCACTTCTGAAAGCTTACAATCCCATCCCTTATTTAAACTATGTGATGTTGTCATTCTATATAAACTCTTTCCGAGTAACTTAACTAAAACACACTTTGCCATTAGTCTTGAGTGTGGGCACAGCATTATTCTTTTCTAGGCCTTAAGGGTTCCTTCTGCTTAAAAATAATGTCTAACTTTAATGAAGTTTACCCATTATTAAAGTGCCTTCTGGATATATGTTATCTTGTTCTATTGGTTTCAATACACCTATTTTCTTTAAAAAGAAAAAATTATGGACCATGAATGTTAACACCAGAAAAACCTTAAGGTACATCTGATCTAATTTCCCACTTTAAAGTGAGAAAATCAAACATTGCCTAGGGATCTCATTTTTCCCCAGGCTAATTTGGGTTTTCATATTTCCATCTCAAAGTGGACTTTCTTTGGCTAACTTTAAGGTTTTTTTTTTTTTACATATATACAACTTTTATTTTTTATTTCTTTTTTTATTTTTTATTTTTTTATTTTATTATTATTATACTTTAAGTTTTAGGGTACATGTGCATAATGTGCAGCACAGCATGGCACATGTATACATATGTAACTTTAAGTTTTAAATGTAAATGCCTGAAAAGTAACTCAGGATCTAGCCTTTTCATTAGTTTTGATCATGTATGAAAGCAAGTATTTCTTTCCCCCAAATGAAACCCCAGGGCTTCCAGTATTTGTAGTGATAGTGTGAATCCATTAGGTCTATTTTTAATTATATCTGTCTTATTGGTTTTTTTTTCCACATTTCCTAACTCACTTGTGATATTGCTTCATATAATTCAACTTTTTGTGTGCTGGGTTCCCATCTGCCCCACAAAGGCCTCTGTGCAAATCTGATATCCTGTTTGAATGACATTGTTTTGCTTTTACCCTATTGCTTCGTATCTGTCCCAATGTTAAGTCAGTTCTCAACATTAAGGCATTAAAAATTAGCTTTTCTCAAATGCTCAGCATCACTAATCATTAGGGAAATGCAAATTACAACCATAATGAATATCATCTCACACCTGTTGGAGTGGCATTTATCAAAAAGGTGAATGATATGTTAGAGATAATGCAGAGGAAACGGAACACAGACATTGTGAATAGGTATGTAAATTAGTACAGCTGGTGTGGAAAACAGTATGGAGTTTCCTCAAAAACCTAAAAATAGAATCTACCCTATGATCCAGTAATCCCATTTCTGGGTATATATCCAAGGGAACTGAAATGAATATGTTAAAGGTATATCTGCACTCTCATGTTCATTACAGCATTATTCATAATTTATGTTAAGATGTAGAGCCAACCTAGGTCCATCAGTAGATAAATGGGTAAAGAAAATGTGGCAGATAATACACAATGGAATACTATTTAACCTTAAAATGTTGGGGGAGAGCTCCTGTCATTTGTGACAACATGAATGAATCTGAAGGTCATTATGCTTAGTGAAATAAGCCAGGCACACATACCACATAGGCTCACCTATATGTGGAATCTAATGAAGTTGAACTCATAGAAGCAAAGAGTAGAATGGTGGTTACTAGAGGCTGGTGGAGTGGGGAGGGAGAGTAGGGGGAATTGTTGATCAAAAGTATTGACAAAAAGAATAGGTCTTAAGATATATTGCATAGCAGGGTGACTATAGCCAATAAAATGTATATTTCAAAATAAGAGTAAATTTTCAATGTTTCACCATCAAAAATGGTAGGTAGGTAAGTTTATGAATATGTAATTAGCTTGGTTTAATCATTCCATATTGTTTGTGTGTATATATATATATAATCATATACCCCATAAATGTATACAATTACGATTTGTCAATCAAAAATAACTATTTTTTTAAAATAGCTTTTTTCAAGTTTATCACACTTTGTCTACTAACGTCTGTTCTTCATATTTGAATCTTGATTTTTTTTCTTTAAGAGGTAGGGGTCTCATTATGTTGCCCAGGCTGGCCCTGAACTCCTGGGCTCAAGAGATTCTCTTGCCTCAGCCTCCTGAGTAGCTGCAACTATAGATGCACACTACCTGGGCCTGAATCTTTATTCTTGATTAACTTTTTCTCCATTACAAAACTTCACATAAAAAATGCAATGGTTGATTACTCTAGTTTCTTTCACAGCAATTTCATAGGTATTTATTATAGATCTTACATCTGCTTGAGAATAGAATTTTGTGGGAGATAATCTAGGGAAAATTACTATCATGGCCAGACTTGAGGCTTCCTGAGGTGGCTGAGTCCAAAACATAAGGAGCAAGCAACTTGTATTGGCCAAAAGGTGATTCTCACCTTGGAAGAAAGACAAGGTGGGATGTGTCTGTTAGGAAAAGCATATGAATGCTTGGAGTAGGAAGGGAACTTGGTGTCAGGCAAAAATTTACCTTCCAAGGACATAACAAGGAGAAGCTCAAAATCTACCTTTAAGGGACCATTTTCCTGGAAACAAGCAAACAAATTTTGAGAATCTGGACACAAAACAGTTATGGCAAAGTAAGCTTTATTTAATTGGTAGCAGGAGAGTCACAACTTCAAACTCCAGAAAAGATGAAGTAAATTTGCAATGATTTCATACACCAAGATTCCTCCTACCCAAAGCTGAAGATATATTTTCAAGGAAAGGTGATGGAAAGAAAAATGGTGCTCGCCCAAGAGATTCTTCCATCCAGCAGGCATATACTTTGTCTATCATGAGTCAAGCCCTGATCCAAAGGCTTGTTAACTTATAATTACACTAAGCATCTCTCCTATGCCAAGTAATGTGGCAAGTATTGTGAGGGAAATACAAATGCCCTAATGTAAAAAGTTCATTCCAGTGTAGGCTGACCTTCTCAAAATGGGGTCTGGTCAGATTCTCCATGCTAGGCTACAGGAAAGAAGGCTGAAGAAGCAAATTTACAAATCAGTTTGCCTACAATTGAGAATTAGAGCAAATGACTTGCAATACCAGGAGTACTTCAGACCATATCAATCAGAAACTTTCTTCATATCTGTGTCTCCTGTTCATTTATTCTGAAGTTAATCCTGTCCCACAGTCATTATAACCATCAGTGACCAGCCAACCTCCCAATCTAGCTGTCTTAGAGTAGACATTTGTTCATCCTGCAGGTCCCTCTCTCTCACCCAAGATCCTCAATGAAATCAGAGAGTGAGGACAGAGGGATCTGTCTGGAGGGACAGAGATGTATATAATTAAAGTCACAACCATCGGTAAGGAGGACTCAGGAGAAGCTGTTCAAGCAAAAGGAAAAGTGGAGCTCATGCAAGCACTCAAGGGAGAAGGGAAGGTCGGGTACAGCTATAGCAACAAGAAGGTGATCCTATTATAAGAAGGTGATCCTACTACTACAAAGAAACTGTTGAGAATATGACGTATCCCAGACAACTACTCATGTCCCCAAGTGCCAAATCCCAAAAGATTTGAGGATGCTTATTTGGGCTCTTCTTATTGGTTGATTCGATGTCTCTTCTTTGTCTTATGCAGAAGACATACAGGCAGACCCAGAAAGCCTCATTTCTTGTTTAATTTTCCTAATAGCCCCAAGAAAGCTATTACTGGAAAGTCCAGCTGCTTGTGCAGGATATCTACCAATGATTCACTTTCTCCTTAAGAATCATAGGCACAGTCCATTTAGGAGATGAGATTGCTAAATGGCATGGACAAAGTGGAGACATTATAGGAGTTCCGGTGAGTGCTTGTGAGATCACTATTGGTGACTTAATCTCTGAAGTCCAGATTATTCACTCTTGTAACATGCTAGTTACATCTTCACTGATGGTGGGTGGAAGCAATGTTTCAGCCTCAAGTTCTGAGGTTTGACAGGGGATTGCTGTTGAAGTACCATCTGCTGATCACTGAGTCACCATGACCTCAGTGGTTTGTCAGGTTGCATAAGGTTCTCTTTGTATAATGAGATTTCACTGAGAAAGATTCTTGCTTTGGAAGCATTCCAATCTTCTTGGAGTTTCTTCCCAAGCAGGTCCTCCGCCCTGCCACCTCCCCGAGCAGCCCTTCGATGACTCCCTGTCTTCTGTGGTGCGTTTCAGTTACAAAAAGCCCAAGGGGAATGTGTCCATCGTCTTGCAAGTAAAAATGCTTCTGAAGCTATAGCTACAGAGAATAAATAGGGGCAAAGGTGGGTAGGAGGGGGAAGGAAGCAGAAGAAAGAGATACAATACAAACCAAAGGGTGGATTGGAGAGAAAAATGGAGTGAAGATATGGGTTGGAAAGGCAGCTGGGAAGTTCAAGGAGAACAGGAAGATGACTGAGAAGTAGTTTATGTAAAAAGATATCTTCTCACTAAGTCCGCAAGGGCTGCAGGAGACTATCAGACCTCAGAAGGGCTGTGTGCTGTCCACCCTGGAAGTCCCAGACCCTGACACTGACTTACTTGCTGGTGACTATGGTGTGCAGCCTCCTCCTCAATACTGTCAGTGAACTCAGTGCTTGTATCTTCGGTGTCATCCCCTGCAGCTGCACCTGGAAACAAGTCCAGAAAAGAAAAGTGATTCCCTTCACAGATGGCTTCCAGACAGCAGGTTAAATTATACTCTTTTTGCCCGCTGACTCTGATTTCTTCCTTTCTCCATATACATGGGGCAGAAATTCTCCCTAGCCAGCAGGGCTGGAAAGAAAAATAGAACTTTTTGTATCACAGACACTTTCTTACTCATACTCAAGCCTGAGCCTCACAACATAAGCTGACTTTGCCTGCACAGACCCATTTCTAAGGAGCCGACTGTCGGATGCACTGGTTACCCCACTCGAATGTCAAGAAAGCCTGAATTATTCCCCACTGCCTGGCTACATAAAAACTTTCTCTTCCATAATATGAGTCCAACATGCTTAACCCTTTCCCCACCACTGAGTGCCTGGAGATTAGAGCTGCCCTGAATCTCTCAGAGGTATCTATTGTTGGGATCAGTTGTGCATAGGGTGACAATCTCTCTGAGGAACTTCCCTCTGGGGGTCCTGTGTCCTAGTAAGGTTCAGGTCTAGTCAAGATTCAAGACACCAAAGGATTCAGTTGTTCCCTAATTTCTTCCTCTAACCTCCCTTCCTCCTCACCTCTCTCAAACTCTTATTCTATGCAGACACCCTTTGCCTGAAGGGTTTCTTGCACTGCTTTATCCCCGTGGGATTTAACCCATCCTTTCATTCTCCAGAGATGGACACAGCCACTCTAGGGCCCAAACATCTACACCTTGCTCTAAGGTACAAGTAGCTGCAGTTTGTGGTATGGGCAAAGGTCTAAGGCAGCACTGACCAAGAGGACTTTCTGCAATGACAGCAATGTTCTGTGCCAGTGTTGCCCAGTACAGTGGACACAGTCATATATGGCTATTGAGCTTTGAAATGTGGGTAGTATGGCTCACATTTCAAAGCATTGAATCTTAAATTTTATTTAAATTTACTTATATTTAAATGACTGCATGTGGCTAGTGGCTACCCTATTGGACAGCACAAATCTAGGGTGTGTCTTCCTCCTTATATTGATTAAAATTAAGACTGTTCATACATTTTAAGACCAAGAGCTATGTTTTATATACTGTATTTTTCAGGAAGTGTAGAAATTTATTATGGTTAATTTGTCAAAGAAAATTTACTGTGACACTCACTGTGTCTTATAGAACCTCCCCAACTTAAGAATCTTGAAATCTTGTTCTGATCCTAGCCTCGGCAACCAACCAGTTACAACTCCACTTCTGACCACTGATTAACCTGGACCTCTAAGAGATTACGTGGTGAGTCCAAGGTTACACAACTAGCCCTCACTAGAGCTGCGCCAGTAAGTCAAGACTCTGGACTCTTAGACAGAAGCCACTCACTTTTCCTTCTGGTGACAAATCTGATCTTTATCTTTGCTTCTTCCTCCAAGACCAAAGAACCTTCTGTTGAGTTCAGACATCCAGGCATGAAAGGCTCTGCTTGAATCATGAGCATTCACTACCCAATACAGATAAGGGGCTTACCTTATCTCCGTAAGGAATTCGACGGAGACAAATAAATGCTCATCTCATCTCGACACTGCCACACAGGGGTTTTGTTTCTTCCCCTTCATTCTCTCTTTTTTAAGCTAGCTCACAGTCTTCTTCCATTATGGCAGCTTTAAGGGTTGCTCAGCCTTTTACCAATTTGAATTAAAATGCTGAAACTTTTTCTCCCATGTTTGAGGGGGCAGTTCACATCTATATATTTGCAATGGCCCAGGCTGATCTCATGGAAGTGCTAAGAGGTAGTAAGTATGCTGTGATAACAGCTTAGGTTTCCTCATCTACACCATGAACTTTATGTTAACTTTGGATCAAGGAAGGGTCCTGTTCAGTGAAGCCTCTACCACCTCTACCACTTAGCATCTTTAGAGGTCTGTGGCAGACAGTGTACAAGAGTTATTTCCAATACTTACTCATTCAAACCAACCCCAGAAACCATCTCACTCAGGATACTAGCTGAGTAGAGGTGTATGGACACATTCCCTAATCTTTGGCTGCTTTAAAAACCTACTGAAAACCAGGATACTAATTTACCTAGGACACCCACATCATGTTATGCTTACTTTGGAAAATCTTTCCCTGTACAACAGTAGCGATCACAATCTTTTATGTTTTTCCAGCAAAGGAAATGAATTGTCTCACTCAGTGACAAAAAACAGACTGTTCACATTGTTTCTCTTTTGAACATGGGGCTAGAGAAGGATCCTGTAGTTGAAGAAAGCACAGCTCTATGAGGTCAGGATCCTCATCCCCTACCATTGTTGCTGGGTTGTGGAGTCAGGCTGGGCCCACATCCCAGGACCATTCCTGCCAGGTTCCAGAAGCGAGAATTGGAAAGGGTGACTATCACTGGTCTTGAAGGTTTTTATCTGACACTTTCTGCCCTCCACTTATCTTTGGCAGCCTTTCTGGTGCCACGTCTGCATTCTTGGATAATGCTCCATCTTATTTCACTTAAGAGCAGGATGCTATGGTTCTGGCTTCATAAGGAATTCGACGGAGACAAATAAATGCTCATCTCATCTCGACACTCTGCCACACAGGGGTTTTGTTTCTTCCCCTTCATTCTCTCTTTTTTAAGCTAGCTCACAGTCTTCTTCCATTATGGCAGCTTTAAGGGTTGCTCAGCCTTTTACCAATTTGAATTAAAATGCTGAAACTTTTTCTCCCATGTTTGAGGGGTAAAGCTAAAAAATTTATAGAAAATATGGGAATAAAAGAGTAAGTTATCTCATACAAGGTCCATACAAGACATTAGACATCTTTTACCATTTTCCATTTTTTTAAATAAATGAGAGAACTTCTCTTGTGTGATACCCTTTTCTAAACTTTTACTGCACAACGAAACACTGTCTTCAGAACTAACTTGGAATATTTTGAATTTCTAATTTAAGGTACCTATGATTTTATATTGATGACTCGTCTGCTTATTTTTTGATAAAATATAAAATAGCCTGCCGCCTTTAGATTCTCTGGGAGCTAAGAATCTGTTCATTTAACTTGCTTCTTCGAGATTAAGTTTTACATGTTAGACTGGCAATTTTATAAAAAACTTTTATTTGAGGCTTCAATAAAAGTTCTCAACTTGTGGTTCTTGGAAGTTTCTAGGCTCTGAACAATACAAAATGGAGGTGATACCAAGATGTCCCTTATTTAGAAAAGTATTTTCTATCAGCTATCTAATTCTACAAAGTACACAAAAATAAACCTCTAAAACATAAGACCATAAAATCCTTGGGTGAAAATGTAAGCGTTATGCAAATATAAGGTATTCTTATCACTGAAGCAAAAATTCATACTTTTGTAGAACTTTTTAAATTGAGTATGGCATAATAATTAAGAACAAGAACTATGGAGATAGACTGTCTTGATTTGAATTGTGCTTTTATTGTTAGTTATGTCACTTCAGGCAAGTCATAACCTTTCCATAACTAAGTTTCTTCATTTAATAATTAGGGTTAAGAGTGTTACCCACTCCATACTGTTGTGAACTTTAAAGGGTTTGCTGATTTTGAAGTGCTTAGAACAGTGCTTGGTACACAGTGTGTACTCAATAAATACCATCCTTAAACAATATTATTATTGTTATTGTAAGTAAACTGAAGTAGTCCATGGGCTTATAAGTTGAAGACTGAGAAAGTTGAAGGCCACAGAACCTAAATAGCATCAGCAGAAGGAAGTTTTATACTTGATGTTACTATCTGAATGATCTTGACTGATTCTACCTGCACTTCTTCATTTCTGAATACTTGTTTCCCCAGCAGGAGGCTTGAAATGACACTCTTTGCTCTCTGCCTCACAGGACATTGAAAAGGTAAGGAGTGACAACTCTTTGGCTGAACTCTTTGGAATAGGTGCCTTACAAAAAGGACTAATCATCATTAAATGATAACTGTCTTAAAACTCCAACATGCACAAATAAGCCTTAGGGGGAACTTCATGACCTCTTTTTTTGTTTTATTTTGCTTTACAGATGAGGTCTCATTATGTTGCCCAGGTTGGTCTTGAACTGCTGGGCTCAAGGGATCTTCCCACCTCAGCCTCCAAGTAACTGTGACTACAGGTGCATGCCACCACACCTGGCTCATGACATGTTCTTTAGTAATGAGTCCAAACTGGGTGGAGTCAAGACCATTTCCCCCCAATTCTACTCTGTAGTCATTATCTTCCTTTAAGCCACTAATATGGGATAAACAGAAAAGGAGTGATGTTTTTCCATATAGTTACTTAGAACATAGCAAGAGATCATATTTTATTAATTTTAAAAGGTGATCTGAAGAACTAAAACTTTAAGCATGAATAAGTTGGCAGTGCCAAGTGTTCTTTCCTTCGGTACCGGGCCCTTGTGTCTAATACTCTCAGCCCAATTTCACTCTGACTCCCAGGTACACTGCCATGCGTTCATTACAAGAACGCTCACATTTTCACGTCATGAACCAACTATTGCTGACTTTAATGTTATGGTGCTGTAATGTTATGGAGAGAATCAAGGAAAAGAGGCCTCCTATCAAACTACAATTTCACCTGCACACATTCCCTTCAGGATCATAAGAAAACTATTAAGATTCCATATAGTCCTCCATAGTTTCTGCTAAGAAATAAAATTCTCTATCTAGACAGATTCTGATCGTGGAACAGAAGTGGTAGAAAACTGCTGTCTGCAGTCAAACCCCTTTATGGTGTATCTTTGTCTTTAAATTGCAACATCTCTTAAGTAGCCTTAGGGCTTTCCAGCTCACATGTTTCAGAAAGTAGCTGTTTTAAGTTACTTGAAAAGGCCAAATCATAATCTAAAATACTTTTGGGGGTATGAAATCCCATTAAAATTCTGGAAAGAGTTTCTACTTCTCCAAAAGGGTAATTATTCAATACAACTACAGTCTTCTATCCTTAGGCTAACCAAGGCACATGTAAATTAGGACTCCCAGGCAGACCAGGAGATATGACCACTGCACCTATTTTGTGATGCCATAATTCTGTAATGTCAAGAAATTCTTCCTGCTCATGGTCTCTTTTATTCTTCAAAGAAAACGAGAAATAGGTTTTTCTAGGAATGTTTAGAGACAGCACTACCCACCACAGTTGGCTCCTGAAACCTCTGTCGTGCTTTCTGCTATTCTCCTACAGCAAAGAAAGCAAGGAGGGTTTTTAAGGTAAAGTAGCCTATGTGACATTTCCGGGGAAAGTATAACACTGTTTCTTTAGTCTCACTTCTTCGAGAGGAGAAAAATTCGAGTTTCTTCTTCCTTCCTTTAGTTAAAGACTCATTCTACGAGCCTTGCTTTGACTTGGAATTTAGTAAATAATCAATAGACTGATTCTCCCATAAGGAAAAAAAAGATACAAGCTTTCTCTACTTTTTTTATAAATATCTTAAGAATAAAACCAAATAGTTTCTGTTGGCCTTTGATAATTTTATTGGATCAGTAACAACTTTTTGTGTTTCAACTAAGATAGCTAAAATTCTAACACTTATATGTAAAAATTACACTCCATTTTAGCACAAATGTTAACAGAAATTAACAGCACAGTGCCATGAAGAAATGAAAAATACACAGCTTTGGTAGGGAAATGGTCCTGGAAATAATGTAATGCCAAGTTTCTGATCATTTAACATATCACTCACCTCCTTCTTCATCTGATGTTATGAACCACTTTATTTATTTATTTAAGACAGAGTTTCACTCTTGTTGCCCAGGCTGGAGTGCAATGGCATGATCTCGGCTCACTGCAACCTCCACCTCCCAGGTTCAAGCGTGAAGTTATGAATCACTTTAATTCTTCTTAACAACCCACAAAAGTTTAAGTGAAAACTAGTAAGACTTCATGGACACAGATAGAAACTCATAATTTATAAAACATGCTGGTATAAATGCATGCCTACAAAGGTTATAGATTGAGAAAGAGGTCAATATCTTGGAGCTATGACTTTGATTATTGTAAAAAGAAGCACTACATATTCATGTTATATACTAAAAGTAAACCTACAAGGAAGCCAATATGGTTTATGTACTTAAAACCCCTATTCTCCATATTATTTTAAATACAACATTTTCTGATGTTGCTGAACTTTCTATTTTACCCTTCCAGTTTTAGTAAGAGGAAAACAGTATGATAAAGATTTTTACTTCTGGAATTTGACTTTAAACAAAAAAAAGGGAGAGTAACACAAAAATAATCAGTATATCACTTTATAAGTTTAATTATTCTTATTTGAAAACGGGTAGAATTAGTATTGTCAGGACCACAGTTTTGTGTTCCCTTCCATTTCCCATTCTTTGTTGGAGACAAATTACAAAGCTATTTTTTATTTAGAAAATTGATCTTGGCCCAGGTGAGAACAGGGAGAAGTTGAAGACTTACCTTCTGTTAATACTTAGATTACTTAAAAGCAACAGGCTTGTTATTTGATCATAATAAAATGTTTTAACAAAGCTACTGGTGCAAAGGGTGAGAAGGTGGCTTAAATCCACATTCTAAAACACATTATAACTGAAATAACTGAAATATACACTATATAAAAAACATTATAACTGAAATATACAGAAATCACTCGAATATATTATCCTACTGACTCATTCCTTCTGTTTATTACTGTATTGCCACATTGGAGTTCCATATTTCCAGCTATTCTTTCTACGGTACAAATGGTTCCACACTACCAAAGAGAAAAGAAAAGCTCACTGAGCTTTAACCCTGAGAGAACTCAGAGAAAATACTCTGTGCTGGTATCTCACAGGATATACCTGGAAAAGAAAACTAATTTCATTTGTTCTATCTCTAGTACAATTTCTACAAGGTAAAATGGAAAACTCACTTCAAGTGTGTGGGTTACTAATATTTCTTCCTAACTTCACAGGAAGTTTGTCACCTTTCCTTGCAGGATACTGACTGTAAACCTGCAGAATACTACATGATACCCTACTTGAAAAGGCCACTTGAGCTTTTCAGGGATGCCAAATGTCAAGATTTTGTGACTGTTTTCTATAAAAAGACCATGAAACGAGAAAACAAGTTTATCCTATCAATGGGAACTAGAGTTTTCTAATACTACCTCAAGAAAAGCAAAGGTATTATTGTTCTCTCTAAGGCTTACAGTCCAAAGGAAAGTGACTTTAGGTAGCTCAGTCAACCTTTATTTCTCAATGAAAAGGACAATTTTCAGTATAATGTGATCTGCTACTCCTTTCCACAATCAGAAGACTCCAGATTCAACTGGAAGATCAACATAGAGAGAACTGAAATCAGTCTTCTTGAACAGTTTTTGAAGCTATGAACCAAACATCTCATGACCCAGACACTGAATTAGGAGGATGAATGAGCATAAAAGTGATAGGTTTTTTTATGTACATCGGCCACAGAGTTTACTTATGCATAAACTGTGTAAATAGAATATACTAAAGAACCCTCAAGGAAACTAATTCTTATGATGAGGAACTCATATCCTCTACAGGTTAAGATTTTCTGGATCCTTAATAGATCTCTTGCTATATATAATGTAATAGAAACATCTTTTAAAAATATAAATAAGGAAAAATGTATTTCCTCTAAGAAGCAAAGGTCCTGAAAAAATTACTGCTGTCCACAACTGAATGAAGAGAAGAGGGTGTGGAGAAGGTTGGGTGACAGATAAGAGTACACACTATCAAAGGAAAAGGCTGACCTACTAACTTAGTCCAATAATGTCTTTTCAAAAAAGTTATAACTTGGCTATCTAAAAAGAGAACATCAGATGAATGTTGATTTATACTAGGTACTAATAATCATCAAATTTTCAATACTATAAACTTTCAATAGAAAAGAGTTTAGGGACAATATCTATCTAAGGACATTTATTTCACTCATTAAATAAGTCCTCTTGGAGGTTCTTTTCAACTCTATACTTCTAAAACCTACAGACTTCATCTACCCTGAACTCTTAGAACCATTACTCTGCATTATTTGCTATTATTCAAAAGGGAAGCATGAGAAAAACAAAATCTATCATATGGATTTTTTTCTCAATTTAAGTTCTATGCTTCCAATTAAGCATGGCCTAAGTAAAAATTTACTTCATTATTTTTATTTGAAGACTATTTTTACTCAAGCACAGGTTCTATAAGCACACGATGCTTTATTTAAAATTACTGTCATTGAAAAATGACTGTCAAAGGTAAAATAATCCAGTATGAGAAAGAGTCTGTGCTCCTGTAGAGAAAATGGAATATTATATCATGCTAAATATTATTAAATGATGTGTCCAACCACAGCATGATCTCTGTGTGGATTATAAAATTTATCAGACTCATGCTCTCTAATCAGATGCCAAATTATCACACAAAGTTGTTAGACCAGCAAGCTCTCTCCAGATAACACTGTTTGCAAGCCTCATTCCAGCTATCTAGACCCGAAAAAGTTAGTACCATATTCTAGTCACATTTATGACATTAAGATCAGACTTTTAATTTATCCTGCTATCAATTTACTCTTGCTGGAGGTTGACAGAAGTAGGAGTGATTATTAACATAAACTGTAATCACTATGAGCCATTAGAAATGAAGAATCACCCAGAGCTGAATCTTACTAGCGATTCAGAAGGCTTCCTTGGTTGGTCTATTAGTAAAATTAAGGAAAGATGTTCCCTAAATGCCTTGTTGTAATGACACGACAAACTAGTCTTTGATGGGTTGACATTTCTACGGCTCCATTACCTTCCTCTTTACTTATGGAAAGTTACAAAAAATTTTGTGCAAGAAAGGGTCTCTTAAAATTGGGAGACTAAGAAAAGTGGATGGATCGGCCTACACTTCCTATCTCCTTCCTTAAATGACTCCTTTTTCCTCAAAAGCCATTGAAACTGAAATGGCAGATCCATTAAGAGTAAGGCTTATGGCTATTAATCTTTTGCAAATGACTTAATCAGAAGATTCCAGAGTGCTTCCCCAGTAGAGCATTTTCTCCCTGTCCACTCTAGTTTGACTGATGCTCTATCTGTTATAGACACAGCTAAAGTTACAGAAACAGATGAAATTTAGAATGTAATACAAGCCATGTCAACATGTGAAAGAAATAAAGTGTCATGTAAAAAAAAAATGGAAGGAAAAAAAATCATTGTGCCCCACTTAGTTTAGAAAGGGTATTCAGTCACATTTACTGTGCTAGAAAGCCTCAATCCCTGTTCCCAAATTCCATATTTAAAGTAACTGAAACCTCAGCTTCTAACCTAGGAAACTTCCAACCAGAGGAAATGAAAACAAATTCATGATGTTGATCTCACAAAGCTGCAAAGCAATCTTGGTTACTTTTCACACTTGACATTCAAGACATCAGAAATACAATCTCCAGTGCCCCTCTCCTTATACCTGTCACGCTGCCACAAGAAAGCACTGAGGCAATGATTAAAACTATAAACATACATCTGTAACATTTCTTTCTAAACTATTCTAGCACTTCAAAGCCTGAAGCCTATTACTGTTATATGGAGAAATGTATACATACTAAATAGTGAAAAACATAGGACCCTATCTAGTGCCACAAATGAAAGAAGCAATACCCTCTTCTGGCTATAATGAGTTATTTGGTGAAACACTGAATGTAAAGAGGGATACTACATTTGAAATTATCTTTGTAAACAGAGAATTCTGACTCTGGAAGACCATTCTAGAAGTCATGTTCTGACTAAATAGCATGAGCTTGGTTTAAAGAAACCTAAAGGAATCAATAAAGAACAAATTTTAAGTAGAATTTAATCTGTACCTAATCTAATTTCACTTGTGTACAACAGTCAACTCTGAGACAGTATTGGAGATAAAAGTTGACTATGATCACTTTCATAGTTCTTGCCTCTGTTCTTTAACTTGGCCTTCCCAATACTTGCAGTCTACTATTACAAGACTACTCTCCTGGTTTTGATTACCTTCTGATAAGGATTATATCACTTTTGCAAAGTCATTCTTATAGACTCTCAATCTCTTTCCCGCTCTCTCATCTTAAAACTTGCATGCTTTTGATTTAAAAAATGCTCTCACTCAAAGAGGAGTTGACTGAATGGCAAAAATAATACACACACATGCATTTATGATATGATATGGAACATATGAAATGGATTGTGAAAGTTGGGGAAGAATAAACTTTATTGGCCCACAGAAGGGATGAGGGAACGAGAAGGGGCTAGGGATAAGAATGAATAAAAGTGGAAAAACTAAAACAGAATGATTTAAAATGTGCAAATACACTTTGCAACCTCCACCATTCAATTTAGGGATTGATATGTATGTACAGTGAGATCCATGTAGGCTAAAGTGAGTTTCACTTTGTAGTTGATGCTACTTGTACCAGTTCTATCATTAGTAAGTCACCGTTTAATTCTGCCAAAATCAGACAAGGATCTTTCTGGTTAGTGCAAACAAGGTTTTCCATCCTGGGCTGCAGTCTGACCCGCCAGTGCTCAGTAGGCATGCTTGTGATGAATTCGCACACTTTCCAGTTCCCCACCTCCAATGGCGGCCAGGGTCTCCAGCCTGTTTAAGCGCTCCAAGCTTCTTCCAAGAACTTCTTCTAGCCGACTGCGTAACACCTGAGCCCCTTCCAGTTCCACCTGCAGAGTTCGGTCTCTCTCAGAGCTGATTAAACATGCCACATGGAAGGAAAGTGGATTAGCCATCAACTGTAGTGAGTCCACATTTGTTTCCAAAGAACCATCAATACCACTTTGAGCCACACGACTTTGTAAAGTAATTGTTCTCCAGGACACAATAAATGAATGTAGTCTTTGTGTGGCATTTGTGTTCACTGCTGATAGATTAGTAAGGACTGTTGCTTTTTTTAAAAGCTTGCCCCTTATGCTAGATTCTGGGCCAATTTCACATAAAATTATAGCTCCTAAGACTTATCTCACACCCCTATAGCCCAAACAAGAGAAATTTCATTATTTGGCTAAAAGCTTTTGTTTCTGAAAAACTAAAACCCAGGACAAACTAAATATAAACTGGAGCAAGACTGAGCCAAGTAGAACCACTACTGAAGATATTTGTTTTCTCATTTGTTACCAAACTTGACGGTGGGATGGTGTGCTGAAAAGGAATCTGGTTCATAAAAACTAAAGCTCCAGAGGTTCTTTAAAAAGTAACACAATCAACTGGTCCTATCATACCTTTCCTCTGCCTTCATTTTCCTGGTAGAAAGAAAACATTTTTAAAGCCCAACAATAAATTACAAGAAACTGAATAGCAAAAATAATAATAATAATAAAAATTGAAAAAGAATAAAAGGGGCTAGTAGGGAAGGCAAAATGAGAAAACAAAAATGAAGAGAATATAAAATGATCCAGAGAGGTATCATATATGTGACCAAAAATCAAGAGGTAGAAGAAAAATATATTCATCATGATAGCTATTGGTGGTCCCAGGATGATATTAGCCATCCCAATTAATATATTTTCTTTGATGATATTAAATGAATATCAGTGCCCATTATAGCCTTACTCTTTTTCTTTTTTTTTGAGACGGAGTCTCGCTCTGTTGCCCAGGATGGAGTGCAGTGGTGTGAACCCAGCTCACTGCAACCTCTGCCTCCCAGGTTCAAGTGTGTCTCCTGCCTCAGCTTCCCGAGTAGCTGGGACTACAGGCGCGCGCTACCTCACCCAGCTAATTTTTGTATTTTTAGTAGAGACAGGGCATAGCCTTACGTTTATAATAGAACAGCCTTTAACAGGACATGGATCACAGAAAAGAAATGAACATACATTGAGTGCTTACTACATGCAAGGCATTGTTTTAGACACAAAAGCTGTCTTCTTATTTAATCTCTGCAATAGCTGTGTGAAACAGGCACTAATCCCAACTTAAGATTTTGACACTGAGGCTCAGAGCAATCCATAAAACAAATGACAAAGTGGGTAGCCCCGGTAATTGTCCCTCTTTTTTCTCCCCTCTTCAGTATCATAAGCATCTGCACTTAATGAAGAATAAAAGGCATAAATACAATAGTAAAAGAAATAAAAATTTCAATAAAGAATAAAAGAAAAAACAGCCTCTCTCTTACCTCTCTGGATGGGCATGGAACTTCACCAGACTGCTATAGAGCTGTCTCTCTGCTTGTAAGGCCTCATTGAGCCGACTCCGTTCATCTACTAGTCCTTCTAGCATCAGCAGCAACTGAGTAAAGAAGAGAGAGGAAGCAATACGCAAATGGCACAGTGAGACATGAATAAGAAACAAGAAAATGCATTAGCATGTACTATGACTTAAAAAGCCCACTATCTTAGTACTTAAGCTTTTGATACTATTTTATAGTTTTCAAATCAATGTCATATTATCTTTTTTTTATCTTTAAAACCTGTAAGGTGGAATTCAAACATGGGAGCAAAAAGAAGAAAAAGCAGAGAGAAGCTGGAAGCACAGGAAAGCAGCTAAGAAAAAGGAGTAAGAGGGAAACAGGATGGACAAGAGGGAAATGTATATAATAGGACTTACTAGTATTCTTCATTCATTCAATTAATATTTACTGAGCACGTTCTACGGGACAGACTCTGTTCTAGGTTCTAGGGGAAAGCTTACTATCTAGTGGAGGAAAAAGACATTCATTAATCATAGATGTGTGTCATTGTGAGTGTAATAAGTGCTATAAAGATAATGAGCTATGACAATGTATAATCAACAGAGTTGTTTAAGGTACAGTTAAAAGCCAGAATGCAGTGGGGTGAGTAGTTAGTGAGACAGATGATAATGGAGACAGGGAGTACAGGCAAGTAAGTCTTTTGGAAAAGTCTGGCATTGAAGAAAGGTTAAATGGGGCTGTAGCTACAGAGAAATTTGGGGCAAATGTAGGGGTTTCTTTCTCTTTTTTTTTTTTTTTTAACTGGGAGAGATCTGAACATGGTTAAATGCAGATAAAAGAGAAAGATTCAGTTGAGGGAGGTGACTTAGGTATGAGTGTGAGGGATAACTATTGGTATGTGTCCAAAAGAACTGCTGCTCTTTTCAGAACTACAAATGTCAGAAAGGGGCATCTATAGCTGCTACCGACCAAAGTAGGAAATTTTAGAGCACAGTTTCTCTAGGAAATACCATCAACTAACCCTCCACAAATAGCTGAGATTGACAGCTTTACCATGGTTTATTTCACAGTAGAAAAATAAGGTTTGAGCCGGGCGTGGTGGTGTGCACCTGCAGCTCCAGCTACTCAGGAGGCTGAGGCAGGAAGATTCCTTGAGCCCCAGAGTTTGAGGCTGCAGTGAGCTGTGATCATACCACTGCACTCCTGCCTGGGTGACACAGTGAGACCTTGTCTCAATGTGGTGACTCATGCTTGTATGTAATTCCAGCACTTTGAGGGGCCGAGGAGGATGGATCACTTGCAGTCAGGAGTTCAAGACTAGCCTGACCAACATGGTGAAACTCCATCTCTACTAAAAAAAAAAAAAAGAATACAAAAAAATGTAAATAAATAAATAAGGTTTATATTCCAGTAACTTACCTGTTGTCTTCGGTTTCCTGAAATTTCTTGACCCTGGGATTCTACTGAAGCAACTTTTTCCCGAAGAAGTAAGACTTCCTGGGTCAGGCGTTCCATAGCTGGTATGTCTTCAGGATCAACCAGTTGCATTTGCAGGTCCTAGAAGTCAAAAAATAAGTATGGATGTGAAAATAGTAATAAAAGGATTATTCAGCAGAGTAGCACGGGAACAAATGTCTTGAAATATTCTGCCTATACTTTCAAGTGGGATATGGATAATCACTGGCCAAGGGATTCGATGTGTGCAAATATTGTCTGAAGAGGCCCTACAGGTATTCTGAGCTGTGAACATTTCCAGTGGTCTTTAAAAAGTTTTGAAAGACCTTTATGAGATCTTCTTTAATCTGTATGTTCCTGGTCAGAGACTCCATATCAGCAGCCTGCACCTGCAGCTCTTCTTCCTGCACAGCCATCATGGACTGTAGAGCAGAAAGTTCCATCTGTGAAAAGAGGAAACAATGTCTGCCATGTTTACATTTTAACACTGAGGCAAATGCTTTTGCATATCCTATTACTATCAGCCAGTAATGGAAAAGAAAATGAGAACATGAATAGGGCTCTACAGCATCAAACCAATAATCCATGCAGTATAGTAACAAAGGAAGTTTTATGGGAAGATGTCATAGTTGTTCTTAATGATGTCTTCTACTTTAGCTGGCACTATAAAACACATCAAATTTGTTTAACAAGCTTATTATGATACTGAAAAAGAATGGTTACCATTAGCAGAAGCAAGAAGAGATGAAGTTTTTATGTAAGTAAAACTTCACCTAACAGATGAAAAAATGATAGCATTAGGATATCTCCATTTTGCAACCCTTAATGAATTAAGGGATAAGGCATCAAACAGCAACAGCTGCTAACATCACGAGAGATCACCAAACATTACATGACTCCTGATGGAAGAACACGCCACCACCTGTGAAGAAATACTGCCAAAAGTTGGCACTACATGCCCTAAACTTTCAGTGTTCTCATCAGAAAATGACAAGTACTTGGTTATGACAAACTTCATTAAAAATCATAATAGGCCAGGCGTGGTAGCTCACACCTGTAATCCCAGCACTTTGGGAGGCTGAGGTGGGCGGATCATGAGGTCAGGAGTTCGAGACCAGCCTGACCAACATGGTGAAACCCATCTCTACTAAAAATACAAAAACTAGCCGAGCGTGGTGGTGTGTGTCTGTAATCCTAGCTACTCAGGAGGCTGAGGCAAGAGAATCGCTTGAACCCAGGAGGCAGAGGTTGCAATGAGCCAAGATCGTGCCACTGCACTCCAGCCTGGCAACAGAGCGAGACTCCATCTCAAAAAAAAAATCATGATAACAACCATAGCTGCTAACACTTACTATGCCCTGGGCTCTCTAATAAATGCTTTGTATAGATTTAATCCTTTTAACAAACCTAGTGATCTGGCTCCTGCCTACTTTTCCTACTTTAATATCTGCCATTTTACTGCTCACTCATGACTCTGTAGGCACATTAGACTTTTTCTGTTCCAGGAACACCAGACTTTCTCTTGACTCGGCCTTTACAACTACTCCCTTTGCCTGAAATATCTTTCTCAGGGCTGCCTCCTTTTCATCCTTAGGTCCCAGCTTACGTGTCATCTGCTCAGAGAAGCCTTCTTTGGCCACCCTATTTAAGATGGTCTCCATCCATGTTGCTTTCTATCATTTCCCTCATATCACTTACTATACTCTATAACTATAATGTTTATTTATTTATTGTCTGTATCTCCCCAATAGAAATTAACTACACAGAGCCACAGACCTTACTGATTTCATTCACTACCTACCTCATCCCCAGCACTAGCCCAAGCTTAGAGAAGGTCCCCATATAGCTAATGAATGAATGAGTGAATCCTCACAACAATCCTATGAGATAACTACTCTTTTATTTATACATAAGGTGACTTCTTCTACTCTTCAACTTACAGACAAGGTGATTTGAGTCTGAGAGAAATTAAGAAACTTGTTCAAAAATCACAGGGCTGGCTAGTAAGTGGTAAATCCAGAACGTGAACTCAGGGAAGCTGACTCAGAGCCACTAGGCTATAATATCTTTCCTGTAGATACCACATATCCATACAATCTTTATGGTAAGACAAGTTATTTTAAATAAAACCTTTAAAGGAATTTAGCAATAGCTAAATATCACCCAAAATACCCATTCATAGGCATTACAATTTCATGATCCTGAAAACAGGACAGAACCAAAAAGTAACATTACTCTGGATTTGATAAATGTGAGAAAAACAGGAAGAGGATGTGGAAACTAAAATATCTGACATGAATAATCAGATAATGGCTAAGGTAGAACCACAAAAAGGAAGGGGGACTAGGGGATTTTTAAAACTGGTATTTCTTAAATGCCACACATTCTCATATCCTGAAAACTAATTGAGTCATAAAACATGAGTCTGTTTGTAAGCAGAAATATGACAATGAAATCAAAAGATAAAATATGATAATTCTGTCACAAATACAAACACAGGTTTTATATTATAGATCTAGCTATGGCAAAAGGTAGAAAAAAACTAAGAGCTATTTGGACTAGCTAGCTAAACTGAATTTAGGAAGCCATGACATTGAGTGATCTTCTAAAAGAGATGCCAGCATAGTAACAAACAAGCTTTTAGTTTCAGTCTGTAACTCTGAGCTGTGGTCCTAGTATTTCTTCAACATCATAGTTGAATATGCAACTAGCTGTGGAGGAAAGGCAGGGGGAAGGGAATCTCTAAGGCTGAAAGGCCTCTTCCAAAAAAAATTGAAGAGAACTCTATGCTAGAGCGAGTTAAAGCATAAGGTGGGAAAAATGTGCTCTAGGAAATGAATCTTCTTAGGAAGTATGTGAAGTCACAAAAGGCTTGAGTTTGAATCATAGCTCTGGCATTTATTAGTTACATGACTATTCTCCACTCCCATTTTAAAAGAGAAATCAGTGTTTCAGCTTCTTCGTCTATAATAATTGGGCCGACACCACTTACTTTGTGTAGAGTTGTGAGCATTAGTGCTAATTTAAATACCTAGCACAGTACATTGCACATGAATACTTGATAAACACTGATTATACTCAAATTTCTCGTTTCATGTTTCTAAATCTAATTTCACGGATCTAATGTCATAACTCTAAGCAGCAATCACACAGCGCTTCCTTTTTTCACCAGTGCTTTACAATTATTATTATTATTATTATTATCTTGGAGGCGGAGTTTTGCTCTTGTTGCCCAGGCTGGAGTGTGATGGCACGATCTCAGCTCACTGCAACCTCTGCCTCCCGGGTTCAAGTGATTCTCCTGCCTGAGGCTCCCGAGTAGCTGGGATTACAGGCGCCCGCCACTACACCTGGCTAATTTTTGTATTTTTAGTAGAGACGGGGTTTCGTCATATTGGCCAGGCTGGTCTCGAACTCCTGTTCGAGCGGATCAAGTGATCCGCCCACCTCGGCCTCCCAAAGTGCTGTGATTACAGGCATGAGCCACTGCACCCGGCCTTTACAATTATTTTATTCCAGTTAGCAATGGGGAGAGAGGGTTACGTTTTTCCAGCATTTAATAAGTTTTAATGGTCCCAATCTAAAAACAGGAGCATCTTTTTGAGATAATGTATATATAAAATAACTTATATTTTTCTCCAAAAAGAAAAAAGTCATACCTGGCATTTGGACTCAGATATTATACATGGAGAATTATATGCTTTTAAATATAAACTATTTTGAAAGAAAAAAATAATAGGGATTTTGGAATTAAGACTTAACTAAAAAACTCACCTGACTTTCTCTTTCTTTTTTAGCCATGAGTTCAAGTTCCTCTTTGGCATTACTCAGTTCTTTTTCCAGCCCTGCAACTGTGTCCAAGTCTCCTAAAATGAAAATATAGCACTAGTTTTAATTGCTATTAACATAATGTGGTATCTGCTGCCTCCTTTGAGTAATTTACAGAGGACACATTCCAATAATAAGAAAAAAGAAAACATACACACAGGTTGTTCTTTATAGCATTATTTATAATAGCAAAATACTGCAATCATCCTAGATGCTATAAAGAAAAGATTGAATAAACTATAGTATATTCACAGATGGCACTATATACTGATGTAAAAAAAGAATAAGGATGATCTTTATGAATTTATATGGAGTGATTTTGAGATTTTAAGAATATGTTAAGTAAAAACAAGCTATGTGCTTAAGAATACATCTAAAGTAGTAGGTTTTCTATTAGGAAAAAGGGGAAATAAGAATGTACATATATACATTACATATACGCAGATGATTCATTTGCTTATTTTTGCAAAAAGATATACAGGAAGAATAACCCAGAAATGAAACTGATTACCTGCAGGAGATGAGTGGAAACAGGAGAGAAGGAACAGGAAAATATTGGACATCTGAGTATATCATTTTATATACTAGAGTTTTGAACTGTGTAAATGTTTAATTTTTAATGTGTAAGTCAGTTTGACAATGAATGAGAGAGAAAAGGTCTAAAATTGAATACTAATATAAATAAATAAATCTATATAGCAAATAGATAACAAAACCATCCAGAAGATAATAAAAAAATTAATCCAAATAATTTTTGAACTCACTACTACTCTAACTGAACACTGTCAGTGCAAAATATCCTAAGGATAAAAAGAATTACAAAAAAATCTTAAACATTACTTAATACATTTATTGTTGATGGTGATATTTATGTAACAATTCCAAAAATACTTTTGCATATTATAGTATTCTGCAACTGTGTAAATATTTTGAAATATATTGATGCTATAAGTAACCAGGGCTCTCAAGGAGATACAAATATGAAATGAGGGAAAAAAGAACCTATATTGTTAAATTGGAATTAAGGAAATCAGTATCAAATCTTCACATATATACAAATACACACATACATACTTAAAAATATTCATTGCTAGTTCTGTTCTCTTAAAAGGGCCTAGAAGCGGCTGGGCGCAGTGGCTCACATCTGTAATCTCAGTACTTTGGGAGGCCGAGGAGGGCGGATCACGAGGTCAGGAGATTGAGACCATCCTGGCTAACACGGTGAAACCCCGTCTCTACTAAAAATACAAAAAAATTAGCTGGGTGTGGTGGCTGGCGCCTGTAGTCCCAGCTACTCGAGAGGTGAGCAGAGAGATCGTGCCACTGCACTCCCACCTGGGTGACAGAGCGAGACTCCGTCTCAAAAAAAAAAAAGGTCCTAGAAGCAAAAGGCATTCATGTAGCAATGAACACATCTTGTGTCCAGATCATAGTTTCTGAATGCCATTACCCACCAAAAGGAACCAGGGAGCTCTTTAGGATAATGGCTGATTCTGGGACTGAGGCAGGTAAAGCAAAAGGTAATCATAGAACATCTTATTGTGCCAGAAACTATCAAACTATGCTAACATTATATATATATATAACATTAGTAGGTGATGTCAAGTTACAGTGAGTGGCCCCAGACTTGAAACGATACCCAGGAAAAGGTGTCAGCTCATGGCCCTGCTGTGCAGGATTGGAACAATTACCTCCTGCATTTCTGAATCCCTGCAAAGCTATCTGAAAAGGAGAGTAAGGATAGAATTTCTCTGGGCCGAATTGTGAACCCAGAGCAATCAGCTCAACTCAACATAAGGTAAGGACAGTTCTTCAGCCTTTCAGAGGAATTCCAAACTTATTTGTTCTATTAAGGTAGGAAGAGAAAAGAGTCTTGGCCAAACCTATAATACAGAGATTACTAGAAGAAAAAACAAGAGAAAAACAAAGTCCCTTAATGAAATGAAATTTGATACTTACCTAATGTGGATCTGGGTATGCTGACATCCTCTTTGGCAGTCAATGAAGTGCTATCATCTCTGGAAGGTATCTGCATTGAACCCTAAAAAATTGCAAAAGTCAGGGGACTTAGGAAGATGCAGGAACTATGATCACAATGACAGTACTGAGAATATTCTCAGAATTTGGTATTAAAATTATCAAACTTACACCTCAAATGTAAAAAGGAAATGGAATCAGCATGAATTATGTAAGTCTATAGTTCTTACTTGATCAGTCTGTTTTCCAAGACGGCCAGTGGGGGTAACTTCAGCTTGTTGGTTAGAGATGGGTGCTTGGGACATCAGGGAGTCTCTCCCTCCTAAATATTGGCGCAGGGCCTGTAATTCTGAATTTCTTTCCATTAAGGCTTGCACCAACTTCTCTGCAGCAGCCTAGTAAGAGGAAATCACAAATAACATTATAAAGATATTCTAGTAAAACAAATTTTTTGTTCTGGTATTATTTCTTCAAAGTCAACCATTTGTAAAAAACAAACAACAATGACAACAACAAAAAACAGTGGGTCCTTAGGAAATAGTTTCCTTGCTTTCAGTTTACAGGGAAAAACAGAGTTAAGTGAATGGAAAGAAAGTCTCATAGGCAGAATATTGGGAAAAAAAACTGAATTTAACACATCTGTAACAGATAAGAGAATCTGAAATAGGTTCTGCTACAACTATCAGGCTAAGGTGTTAAGATTCTGGTTTGAATTAGTATAACAAATGTCTTTATTCTCGGATAGTTGCTTCTTAGGGGTGGATTCCTTTTCACTCAAACATTTGTGTGGTTTGCTCCCTTCAGGTCTTTGCCAAATGTCACCTTATCAGGTTGGTCTTTCCTGCGTATCCTATCCAAAACAGCAATCTTGCTGGCCAAAGTATAAGATGAATATGTTTTGGGGATCCAATGATAGCATGGTGACTTTAGTTAATAATACTGTATTATTTACTTGAAATTTGCTAAGAGAGTAGATCTTAAGTGGTTTCACCATACACGCATAAAATGTGTAGTGACGGATGTGTTAATTTGTGGCAATCACTTCAAAATGTATATGTATATCAACACATCATGCTGTACACCTTGAGTATATACAATATTTGTCAATTATACTTTAATAAAGCTGGGAAAAAATTTTTTTTAAAACCCAGCAATCTCTTCTCTATCTCCAACACTTCTTACTGTGCTTAATTTTTTTTCGATGCACTTACCATTATCTAATAGATCTCTCTCTCTGCTTCCCCTACATGGAATGTAAGTTTCCTAAAGGCAATTTGGTGCTGAATCTCAAGCACCCAGTACGGTGTCTGGCACATAATAGGCACACACTACATATTTACTGAATGAATCAATTACGCACATAAACATGTTTATCAGACCACATGATTAGGATAATCTCAACCTCAAAATCACCCAACTCAGCTTGTTTCATTTCAAATCCCAGTTTTCTAAGACAGATGATGACACACTAAGGGAAAGATCTAGAACATTTTTAACTATTAATGCACAGGAAGTCTGCATTTAAACAGAAAATCTGGAAATAATAAATTGATATTAAAATTACTGAGGGTCTAAGATGATGAATCATAACACCAACTGTCTCTGAGGAAAAGTACTATTGTTTTAGGGCAGAAGCTGAGCTCTTGTCACAATTTCTAGGGGAAATATGAAAAAACCTTCCACTTTTCAGTAAGTAAAATTTGGGCTCTTTGGAGATTTGAATTTAACTATTTTAGACGTATCAGAATATTATTAAAGTACCTTAATAAAAATATCTGTGAAAACTGTGGGGAAAAAACATAATAAATAATATACAAGATATATACTGTGCTCTATCTGCCTTGGCACTCCTTTTCTCGTAGTATTTAAGAGTTTTTAGCAGTGCTCCTCCAATGCAGTCCCCGAACCTGCAGCATCACTATCACCTGGAAACTTGTTAGAAATGCAAATTCTTAAGTCCCACCTATACCTCGTAATTTCTTTCTCTGGAGTTGAGCTCCACAATCTACATCTTTAAAAAGCTATTCAGGTGATTTCTTTTGCACGTAAATTTAGAGAAGCAGATCTAGAAGAATACAACCATTAATCTTCTTGAGTTGAAAAATCTCCTGTAATTTCCATCATCTCCATTATTCTATTACCAGCAGTGCATAATTTTTTTTCTGAGGTATAATAAAGACCAATTGTCCCAAATCACAAAGAAGTTAAAAAGAAAACTCAAAGATCCTAGCCTCTTGCCAAAGATTTAAATAATTTAGAATAATTTTGTTAGGTCTATTTTAGAAACAATTTCTGAAGCACACAGCAGGACCTTTCTAGAAAGATGTGTATTTACTTCAGTGGGCCTAACAATTAGAATAGTGGAGTATAATCCTTTCACAACATAAGAAAACATAAGAAAATATTATGGGGTCAAATAACATAGGCAAAAAAGAGTCTATCTTCCTCTAAAAACTGACTACGGGGATTCTGAGCTACTGGTATCTGAAATGCAGCACAAGTCAACTAAGAGTTTTTAGCCTTGAGGAGAAAACACATAGAAATGAGGAAAAATTAACACTTTACTATGGGCAGGGCATGGTGGCTCACGCCTGTAATCCCAGCACTTTGGGAGGCTGAGATGGGTGGATCACTTGAGGCCAGGAATCGTAAGCCAGCCTGGCCAACATGGTGAAACCCCATCTCTACTAAAAATACAAAACTTAGCGGGCATGGTGGTGCATGCCTGTAATCCCAGCTACTTGGGAGGCTGAAGCAGAAGAATTGCTTGAACCCAGGAGGCAGAGGTTGCAGTGAGCCAAGATTGCGCCATCGCACTCCAGCTGGGTGACAGAGGGAGATGCCATCTCAAAAAAAAAAAAAAAAAAGAATTTACTTCTTAAATATTGTGAAATTAATATACCCTGTACTATTATGAGATTGTTTATTCTCACCATGACCTCTGAAAAATGCGATCTTTTTTCCCTCTTAACTCAGATTTTACAAAAACTAAGAGTAAACATGTTGAGTGTAAGTTTTCCCATACCTTGACTGGAAATGCAAAATATCACTCAAGTCTTAACAATTTAGAATCAAAATCGAAACACTCACAACCCCTACTCCTTTCTCTCAAAATTATCAGATTATTAAGGAAAAGAAAATGTATGTAATGAAGTTAATGGATACATGTATTGTTTAGGCACCCTTCCAAATGCAAGGTTTTCAAGAAATGTGTCATACTTTGATGATTAATGTAAAACTGTGGTCTAAGGCCAGGCGCAGCAGCTCACACGTATAGTCCCAGCACTTTGGGAAGCCAAGGCAGGATGATTGCTTGAGCCCAGGAGTTTGAGACCAGCCTGTGCAACACAGCGAAACCCCCATCTCTAAATAAGTAAGTAAATAAATAAAACTGTGGTTTAGGTAATAAATAGAAGGAAAGAAACTAACAGAGTTGACGGTAAAATATATAAATATACACACATCTATAGTCTGCAAATGCTTCCTATTTGCAGACTATAAATGCACTACATGACACTTGTCTGATCTGTGCATTAATCCTTACTTGGCTTTCCTGCTCCCTGGTGCTCACAGACTGAAGCAGGCCTTGAATCTCCATTTCATGTTCCAGCACTTGTTTATTTCGATCACTTAGAAGGTCCTGCAGCATCCTTTCCTTTCGCTGTAGACGCTGGCACAGCTCCTCTGCTATCTCACTCTGCCCTGGTCCAAGTTTGCAGAGCAGTGTTGCACTAAGATCCTAATGCAGAAAGGACACTGTAAGCTTCTGGAGGAAAGAAATGCCTCTGCTAAATATCAAAGGGCTTATAAGAATCTATCATAGAAGAAGGAGGTGTGAGATTCTTGAGAATAAGTATCATGTTTTACTCATTTTTGTTTTACCAGATCTAGCACAGGCCTGCTACACAGAAGTCTCTAAATACATGTCCCAGGAATGAATACAAACCATACAGAAAACTATCTCTGGTGGCCACTTACATACATATTGTTTTCTGAAATAAGTCTTTTTCCTATTTGTTCAGGGCATGTAACAATTAATGTTAGATGAGGATAAATGGACACTCAGTTCATTTATTTGTTTTCTCCCCAGTGTAACTTAACAGGGGGAAGCATAAAACGATAAGCTGAAAGGAATACTAAACACTATATTTGCTATCATAGCGATGGTTTCTATTTCTGTACTAACTGATGGCACATGGTGGAGGAATGGAGCCATACTGCCTAGGTTGATACTGGATCTGCTACTTATTAGCTATGTTAGCTTGGACAAGTTACTTAGCTTCAGAAGTCTGTTTCCTCCTCTATAAAAAGGAATAATAGAAAGTACCTCATGGACTTGTGAGGATCCAATGAGTTAATATCCATTAGGATCTTAAAACAGTACCTGACCCAGCATGAAGACTATAACTAATAAAGGTTAGCTATCATGTTAAAGATGCAATTTTTGGGTCTCATTAATTCTCACATAAGTTCTTTGAGAAAGTTAATTGCCAACTTAAGTTTCTAGACGTGGGGAAAAAAAAAATCCCAGTGAAAGTCAATGACTTGCCCAGGCACAGAATGAAATTAAAGACTTGGGTCACAGTCCTCCCAATCTGAAGAGTCCTAATCCAAGGCTGAGATTACATAATCACTGAACCAACTGCCTTAAAGTTAACTGAAGTCTTGCCTCCACTTCTTTGTTCCTATCATGAAGAGACGTCTGTAACTGCTGAATGATACTCTCTTGTTCCTTCTGCCAACGGCTAAATTTGGTTTCCATTTCTTCTTTCAGCCACTGGAGGTTTTGACAGGTAGTAGATAACTGTTCCACTTCCAGGCCTTTGGCCCTCAGGAGACTCTCCATACTCTACAGCCATAAAGAGAGCAATAATCAGTCAAAATGATTACCCCATACTCCTCAGGATAAACAAGAAATTAGATCCACTTTTAAATAATCTCCCATCAATTTTTTTTTATTTGCAAGATGAGAACATTGATCTAACAATGCCATACTAATCTATTTTTTTGGTTTTTAGAAACTTTTATCTAGTTTGTGGAGAGATTAAATATAGAATATATGATAAAAGGAAGTATTTTGGAGGAAGTGCACTATGCTATAAAGGATTTCTCGAAAAAGTGGCAGATAGATACATAAGCTCTAAAATAAATATGCAAAAAAGTCCACAGTAAATATAGATAAACAAGTGTTCTAATTATGGCAATTCATGGACATGTAGATAATATTAATGTAGAAGACACAATTTAATAATTGCACCCTGGTAATGCTTCAGTAAAAGTAAGAGAGAGAGAGAAGAGCGTGTGTGTATGTATACTTATGTATGAACAAGAATTGGAAATAAATCAGAACTATGTAAACAGAAATCAATATTTACTGGCTCTCCTCACAAAGTTCATATTACAAAAGAAAAGTAGAAGCGCTAAAATCTCTCACTTGCTAATTGACAATGATGGAACTAGTAACTGCTCTTTTTGGTTTTCTTCCCCCTTATAAAGCAAAATCCCTGGTTTTCAGAAAATGATGGAAGGGGGTCATGCTTCAGGCTCAGGATACAAGTGGGAGAGGAACACCAAGTCAGAGATAGGTTTTGCTCTTACTTGCATAGTAGCTTCATTGGAGGAGAGGACATCGCGCAGTCTCTCTAAGTCATGATCTCGCTCTCTCACAGCAAGACGAAGCTGGCGCAGTTCTTTTTCTTTCTCTTCTAGAGCAGAGAATTTTTCATCTATAGCCCGCTGCAAGGAAAGGAAGACTCCTAAAGCTCTGTAAGATTTACTATCCTGATCACTCTTATTCAACAAGATGGCAGAATAGAAAACCAAATCCCAAAGCAGCAAATTTAAGCAAACACAAATTTCTATAATACCTATGTAGATAGAATAATCCATAGCATAGTGGGCGAAATGATGATACATACCTCCAGAGCAACAGCTTTATCATGTATTCGCTGGCGAAGTTTCTCAAGCAACATTTCATTTGCTTCAAGGGTTTTGTCTGAGTTATCTCGATACTGTAGGAGCTCCCGAAATTCCTGAGACCAAAAATAGTTTCTTTTATTCTTTTATCCAATATTAACTAAATTACCAAGTAATTTGCTAGTTATTCAGGATAAAAAAAAAACAAGATGTGATCACTCTCCTCAAAAGTAACAAGTTTAGCAGAGATAACAGACATATAAACTGTAAACTATTCTGCAACATACAACAGACACAACACATAGAATTAACTGTTCTGCAACATACGCTAGCCACCAGGGGAACACAGGATGCACTGCCTAACTCTGCCTGCAGGTGTCAGTAAAGACCTCACAGAGGAGGTAATATTTGCAGTGAGTCTTAATTAAAGGACTAGGATTTCCTAAGTGAAGAAGGGAGAGGAGGATACGTTAGAGAAAAAAAAATATGCACACTATGCATACAATGAAAAAATTGTACATTCAGTGAAATGTAGTGGATTCAATGTGACTGAAGCTTAGAGTAGGTGGCAGAACAGATCAGTCTCTTCTTAATGCTCCATCTTCCCCTCAAACTTTTATTCTATCATCAAAATTACTCTGTGGAAGTTTCTGTACAGTTTGTCTTCATCTATTAAACTGAGATCAGTAGCCAAATCTTTTGTCTTCCCAACACCCAGAAAAGTGTTTGATTCACAGAGGTGCTTAATAACTATTTTCTGAATATTAAGTCTTTATAAAAGACTTCATAAAAGACTGCTTAAGTCAGGGCTATATGTACTGTTTCTTATACTTGTTAGTAAGCATCTTAATTCACAAATTATATTTTCTATTTATTTTAAATCCTCCTGATTCCCACCTCTCTCAATGTTTTCCATATGGCAGGGACTCAGCACAGGTGGATTAATATCTTAAAATTATATAAACAAATTTCAGAGTTCTATGAGCCCAGTTTTCATTGAAATCATGTAAACTCACCTGAAGCAACTGCTCCTTGTGACTCAGACTATGGTTTAGGTGCTGGATGTTTTGTTCCTGGGTTCGAATCTCATTGTATTTTTCAGCCTCCCAGGCACGAAGCTGTTGGCTCTTATTCTGCAATTCTTCTTGTAGCTGCTGCAAGGCTTTTCGCAATTCCTGAATTAAACATATTACCTTTTTAAAGAGATCTAAAATTGTCACATGGTTATTAGATACAGAGGCCTTAAAATTTTCAAGGTATATAAACTGAAAGAGGAGCAGAGGGTGCCATTATTAAAATTGCTATAGAAGTATTATACATGAATTGAATAGGATATGGAAAATTGTAAAAGTTGTGAATGGGGTAGGAAGTAAGCTTGATATTATAGTTCAATACTTATTTTTTGGCTTAAAAAGAATACATCTATAGAACCATTAAGTGAGAATCTGTCCTACGGTAAACCTGGATTATTTACAATAAGCTCAAGGATAAACTATTCCTATCATCCTTTTTTCTAAAGATCTCATAGAGACCATCACTCTTCTTTCTTAGTTTGCCATATTTATTTTTCTAATAATAAAGTCAGTAATCTTTAAATCATCTGTTACTTTAGAAAGCTACCAAATACATATTCTCAACTAAACAAATCTTGGGGAAATGTTTCCTTTAGCTAAATAACAAAAAGTTAAGAATTATTTCTACCTCCATCCCTCCACCACTCCCCGACCCTGCCCAGACATCTGAAATTTTAATATTTCTTTTTTTTGAGATGGAGTCTCACTCTGTTGCCCATGCTGAAGTGCAGTGGTACAATCTCGGCTCACTGCAACCTCCGCCTTCCGGGTTCAAGCATTTCTGTGCCTCAGCCTCCCAAGTAGCTGGGATTAAAGGCTCCTGCCACCACGCTGGGCTAATTTTTGTATTTTTAGTAGAGACGGGGTTTCACCATCTTGGCCAGGCTGGTCTTGAACTACTGACCACATGATCCACCCACCTCGGCCTCCCAAAGTGCTGGGATTACAGGCGTGAGCCACTGTGCCCAGCCAAAATTTTAATATTTCAAAAGGAAATTCAGGGCTAATATTTGATCTCCAAACCACTAAACCAGGGAGATCCTTCAAAAATTACTTTTAAACCTGAGTGTTAAAGAGCTTAAGAAGAGACCACACACAAAAAAATCTTTTAAATCTTAAACAAACACATACACTCTGACCTAACAAGATAAAGGAACCATTTAAGAGTTGTGTATTTTGGCCCAGCGTGGTGGCTCACGCCTGTAATCTCACCACTTTGGAAGGCCAAGGTGGGCAGATCACCAGAGGTCGGGAGTTTGAGACCAACCTGACCAACATGGAGAAACCCTGTCTCTACTAAAAATACAAAATTAGCCAGGCGTGGTGGCGCATGCCTGTAATCCCAGCTACCAGGAGGCTGAAGCAGGAGAATCGCTTGAACCCGGGAGGTGGAGGTTGCAGTGAGCCGAGATTGTGTCGTTGCACTCCAGCCTGGGCAACAAGAGCAAAACTCTGTCTCAAAAAAAAAAAAAATGAAAGAAAGAAAGAAAAGAAAAGAAAGAGAGAGAGAGAAAGAAGGAAAGAAAGAGGCCGGGCGCAGTGGCTCACGCCTGTAATCTCAGCACTTTGGGAGGCTGAGGCGGGCGGATCACGAGGTCAGGACATCGAGACCATCCTGGCTAACACGATGAAACCCTGTCTCTACTAAAAATGCAAAAAAAATTAGCCGGGCGTGGTGGCGGCCAGTGCCTGTAGTCCCAGCTACTTGGGAGGCTGAGGCAGGAGAATGGCGTGAACCCGAGAGGCGGAGCTTGCAGCGAGCCGAGATCGCGCCACTGTACTCCAGCCTGGGCGACAGAGCGAGACTCTGTCTCAAAAAAAAAAAAAAAAAAAAAAAGAAGGAAAGAAAGAGAGAGGAAAGAAAGAAAAGAAAAGAAAAGAAAAGAATCGTATATTTATTATTCAAAAATAAAAAATAAAAAACAGGGCTGATTATTATGCATGTCATTCCTCTGACCTTAGTGGTTCTTCCCCACTTTTCTGCCTGGTTTTACCCATCCTTCAAGAATAACCTCAGATGTCTCCTCCTTCATGAAGTTTTCCTTGATTCCTTTTCCTTGACTCCTTTCCTAGATATTCCTGTAGGACCCCATATATACATCCCCTTCAGAATTTACCACACTGAAACTCAGCTTATGTGACTGTCTCTCTTACTGAACTATAAGTAACTTAAAAGAAAGGAGCCTGTGCTATTCATCCTTGTATTTCCAGGGTACAACTCAATACGGCAGTCGCCCCTTACCCACAGGGGATACATTCTAAGACGCCCAGTGGATGCCTGAAACCAGATAGCACTGAAGCCTGTGTATACTGTTTTTTCCTGTGCATAGATAACTATGATAAAGGTTTACATACAAATTACACATACTGACAGATTAACAATAACAATAAAATAGAAGAATTATAACAACATGCTGTAACAAAAGTTACGTGAGGGAGGCCAAGGTGGGCAGATCACGAGGTCAGGAGATCGAGACCATCCTAACACGATGAAAACCTGTCTCTACCAAAAATACAAAAACAACATTAGCCAGGCATGGTGGCGGGCGCCTGTAGTCCCAGCTACTCTGGAGGCTGAAGTGGGAGAATGGCATGAATACAGGAGGCGGAGGTTGCAGTGAGCGGAGATCGCGCCACTGCACTCCAACCTTGGCGACAGAGCGAGACTCTGTCTCAAAAAAGAAAAGTTACGTGAATGTGGTCTCTCTTAAAATATCTTAATGTTTTTTGTCTGTGGTTGACCCCAGATAACTGAAACCATGGAAAGTGAAACTGTGGATAAAGAGGGACTACTGTAACTAGCATATGGTACAAGGGCAGCAAGTGTTGAACTGAAATACTTAGATTATGCAACTGACTCAAGGGTTCAACACAAACTGTCCTGCTAAAAAGTTATGATCAGGGCAAAGTCAGCATTTAGGGCAATAAAATAGTTAATGATTTACCTGGTTATGTTTCCAAGAAGCCTCTTTCTGCTGTTCACTCTCGTGTGCTGCAGCCTCTACAAATTGCACACATTGTTTGGCATCAGCCAGTTGGCGCTCTTTCTGTCGTACCACCCTCTGGAGCTTCTGTATTTCAAGTTGGCTGCAGAATAAAGCACTCTGAAGATCAAGCAGAGCTACCTGTTGCTGAGCTGGAGAAGTACCCTCTGAGCTCTGAAAAGAGAGTAGAAATCACAATCACAAGGAGGGCAAGCACTGAGCTCCCACAAAGACTAAAAATAAAATCAAGACTGCAACCAAAATGGCACATCCCCAACTGAAGTCTCTCCTGTCCTACGTGACCCTCACATACGTGAAGTTGTCCAAGCTGGCTTTGGTGCAGCATTTCTCGAAGCTTTGCCATTGTGTCATTTTGACCTTCAATTACCTGGTACAACTCCTCAGTCTGAAAATGAGAGAGGGAATATCAAATATGTTAGTAAACTAATTATAAATTCCATTATATCACCTGTACACATTTTAGTAACAGGACTATTCCAAAATATCAATTGAGATTAAGCTACAACTTCTCCAGGCTAAGACATGCTAGTCTGACAATATCCATTTTGACAAAATATAAAATACTTGTCTACTTTGAAGGGACCAATTGTTTCCACACAGGTCCTTGATTGGTAAATATGTTACCTCACGTTCCCTGCTTTTCAGAGTTTCCTTGAGGTTCTGAATTGTACCATCTTGCTTTTGAGACGACTCCTGAGCACACTTTAGTTCATAGCTCATTTCATTAAGTTTCTCTTGAAGAATCTGAATTCAGCAAAGAAAAACAGTTTTTTAGGTCAATGATGTCTTTTAGCCTCAAATGAATAAAGCCTTTCCTCAAATCTAGGATTTAAAGAATTTCTTAGGGGATATTACCTTGTTATTTTTCCTACATAGAGTAACCATTAAAGTGGTAAGTCAATCAGCAACAAAAAGTAGCAGGAGAAATGAAATACTTCCTTCAATACTAAATTGTCTCAATTTTCACGCACTGTGATCTCTCTATGATGGCAGCCATACTAGGAACTTGTCCACATGGACCAAGTAGGCAAGTGGTTTCTAATATGGATCCCTTATACAAGGACCAAAGAGCTTCTGCTATCTAGCATAGGAGAGGGCACTATAAGGGCACCCAGGCCACAAGTTCAGCATCCCAAATTGTAGCAATTTTCTTCTAAGCCAGACATTAAAATTCATGGGCTAGAAAGTAGTAACAAGTTAAGCTAAAATAAAAAACACAGACCTCCTATCTCAGTGCCTTTTACAGTGGAAGACTGCATGCAAGTGTTTTTTTGAGACAGAGTCTCTCTCTGTTGCCCAGGCCTGAGTGCAGTGGCATGGTCCTGGCTCACTGCAACATCCACCTCCTGCGTTCAAGCGATTGTCTTGCCTCAGCCTCCCGAGTAGGTGGGATTACAGGTGTCTGCCACAACGCCTGGCTAATTTTTTTTTATTTTTTAGTAGAGACAGGGTTTCACCATGTTGGCCAGGCTGGTCTCGAACTCCTGACCTCGTGATCCGCCTGCCTTGGCCTCCCAAAGCACTGGCATTACAGGCATGAGCCACTGCGCCGGCCTGCATGCAAGTTTTAATTACACACCTGAAAAGCACCAGAAATTATGATCTGTACAGAACAAGCTAAAATCTTCATAAGAATAAAGAGAAGAACTACACTTTTACATGAAATATTCCCTAGAGCACAAGGAGTACACAGTATTCATCTCCCAAGTCCTACAAAGGTTGACAGACTCAGGCTAGAGCCAGTCACATCCTCAGGAAAACCTTGTCATCTCCTAGGGCATAGTACTAATCATACCTTGTTGGTGGCCTCTGTTTGCTGGATTTTTTCCTGGAGTTCTGCCAAGTGGGAATCAGATACAGACTGCTGAGTTATAGTGGTCTCATGTGAATTCAGCTTTTGTTGTTTCAGCAACTCTTCAGTCATGGGCTAGGAAGAAACGGCAAAACGAGTAAGGTGAGTTAAACATGGCCAACAAAATTTTTTTTTTGTCTTCAAAAATGTCTGTTGCATCTTTTGCCAGAGATTTAGAGAATCAGATTTGTTGCATAAATTATCAGTATGAATTCCTAAAGACAGGTCTGTTCCTTATTAAGAACACTGATTCACCTCCATTTGTACTATGCTCCCCAGCTTCCCTCTCCACTTTTCTGTACCAATTCACACAAACACTACATGTTTATTCAGCGAAAGCAAGTAATTCAGAGTTCAATGAGAAGGGGAGGATTTAATAAAGGAAATGCTTACAATGACCAAATATTTGCTTTATTCTATTTTTAATCAAGGAGTTGAAAAGGCATACTCATCAAACTTACACTTCCTGAGAGAAGTTACATTCCGGCTACCTTTCTTACAACATGCTTGTTTCACATTATTGGAAAAAATTGGCAGATTTTGATATGGACTATATATTAGGTAACAGTATTTTATCAATGTCTAATTTTCTAAATTTGATAATTGTACTGTAATTATATAAGAGATGTCCTTGTCCTTAAGAAATAATGCTTAAGTATTTAGGGTAAAGGAGTATACTATCTACAACTAATTCTCAAATGGTTCAAGAATTTTTAAAAAATACTGTGCAAATACAGACAGTGGGAGAGTTTATAAAGCAAATGTGACAAAATATTTGCAACTGGTAAATCTGGGTAAAGGGTATATGGGAGTTCTTGGTATTTCTCTTATAACATCTCTGTACGTTTGAAATTATTTCAAAATAAAAAGAGAAAAATTAAAATAAATTTAAAATAGATGTGCCTAAAGGCAGATTTATAGCATAAGCACAGATAAATAATCCATAGTGAAATGGGAAAGAGATATATTTTATAGGAATATCAATTCACTTAAAAGATTCAGGAGAAAAAAGTATGATTTTATATATGGGACAATTTATATATGGAACAATGATTTATATATGGGACAATAAGATAAACTTATTGAACTATTCTTAGTAATCATTACAAGCTAAGGATGTTAAAATAAAACTACAAATTTACTGCGGCAATTAAATTTGATCTTCCCGCCTCCATACCTGCTTCCATTCCAATTAGGAATATAAACTCATTAAGAGAGAAAAGGCAACTGCTATTCATTTTTTGTTTCCCTCACACTTTCAGACTTGATTACCACTTTCAAGGCAGTGGAGTTACAGCTTACCTTAAATCCCTTCCTGCCAGCAACTGACTGGAAGCATAAAAATTGCAGAAGAAAAATCTCTTCTATTCCTCCAGTGCTATTTATCAACTTTTCTAACACCTACTAAATGCTATAATAAGCAAAGCACCATGTGAGGCACTGTGAGGAATACAATGCTGACATAACATATATCTGTTGCACACTAACTATGTGCTAGGCACTGTCTTGAAGATAGAGTATCATGCAAGACAAAGTCCCTGTGCTCTTGAAACTTATATTTTGCAGGGGTTGGAGTGGGGAGTACATGATAAACAAACAAGGAAATGCAAAAAATATTATGGACAAGCCCTGTGCGGCAAAACAGGAAAGCATAATACAGAGTGGGTGGTTAAATTACCCTAAATTGTTTGATCAGAGAAAGGTCTTTATGAGGCAGCATTTAAATAGATATCTGAAGGAAAAAGAATCAGTCCTGCAAAGATCAGCAGAACAATCCAGGCAGAAAGAACAGCTAATGGAATATGAGCCTGGAAAAGAGAAAGGCCTCTGTGGCTAGAATAGCACTCTCCAGTAGAAATATAATGTGAGCCATGTATGTAATTTTTAATTTTCTAGTAGCTTCAATGAACAAAGTACAAAATAAATAGGTAAACTTAATTTTAACAAAATATTTTATTTAACCCAATATATCCAAAATGTTATCATAAACATGTAAATAATATAAAAATTATTAATGAGATAACATTATTATCTGAGATAATATTACATGATTTTTCATAAGTCTGAAATTCAAGGTATATTTTATACTCACAGCACATCTCAATTTGGACTAGCCACATTTCAAGGGTTCAACAGCTCCTAAGACTAGTGGCTAGCTTACTGGATAGCACAGGGCTAGAGCATAGTGGGCAAAGGGGACAGGGAAACTCAATGAGGTGGAGAGGCAGGCAGGCACCAGGTCACATCCAGCTTCAGACAACAAAGTTAATGAACTGGATTTCATTTTAATTGAAATGAGAATAGACTGCAGTTTTTTAACAGGTAATCATACAGAAGTTTTGAAAAGATCATGCTGTGGTGAATGAATTATTGGGGAGCACCAAGAGAAGCAGAGAGACCAGGTAGGAGGCTGCTGCGGTAGTGCAGGTGAAAGACAATAGTAGCTTGGATCCTGGTGGTTAGTAAAGGGAGGGGGAAATAAATGGATAGATATGGATATGTTTTGAAAGTATAGCTAACAGGACTTGCTGGTGGACTGGATAGAGGGAGAGGGAAAAAAGCAGCAAGGATAATGACTTCTGGAAAAATTATTTGAGATATTTGTTGTTGTGAGTATAACAGGAAGCCTTCACCTGAGGCAATATGAACTATGTCACACCATGGGCAAAGTAACCACATTAATAGATGTTTACAATGATTCTAACTAATAAATAAATTCATCATTTACTTAATGATAAAACCATCTCTATAAAATTTGGCTTCTTACTTCTTCAGCGTAAAACAACAGTAACACCTACAGTAAGATACTTTGAAATTCAAACTACAACAGGCAGAATTAAAGAAAATAGCTTCAAGTTTAAAATGGCAAGGAAGGTGGTCATATTTATTTACTTTAAACCAAACAATCTTACAGTGGTGAAGGAAACTTTATAAACTAACCATCTGATCCAATCCTATTTTACATACAAGGAAATGGAAACTTAGAGAAGTAATTAGTCCAAGGTTTCATGGGAAATCAGGAAAAAGATCCAATTAAACTGAACTGGATTTCCACTCAGGTTGGGAATGTATCTCTCATTTCTATAAACCCATTGCCTACCATAATGCCGGGAATACTGCAGAGATCAAAAGTTTTTGTTTAATGAACAAATAAGAACAATAAAAACAAACAAAAACGAGCCTTTAGTGGCTCTCTTAGAAATAAGACTGTATATAACATATATTCGAACAGCAACTTTAAAGCCAAAGAATGCCACAGGAAAATACATAATGTATTTGAATCTCATATGAATCAATCTTGACATGAATAATAATAAGAAACCTCTTTTTCTATAAATAATGTACTGACCTAAAAGTTGGAAGATATTTGTTTCTTCTTTATTTGTAATAATTTACTATTTTGCATCTCAGAAAAATGTCCTTGCAGGTAACAGTCTGCTGAAAGAGCACTTAGCAAGTCCCACTAAGCCAACAACATAATGAATTCTTGTGAAGTATCAAGTACATAAAACAGTCACTCCTACAATGATAGTGTAGCCCATGAAATAAGTAATACCTGATTTGGTAGAATCAGTGTTACTCTCTAGACACTCAGGTACTAAAATCATGTGGAAATGATAATATAATTTTAAATTAAGTCACTTTTGACTCAGAATTAGGACAAAGGCTTTCCAGTATCAGAAAAGAGAACCGCTTCCAGGCCTAGTGTTGCACAATATGAGACTTTTTTTTAGGCTAAGGCCAGTTTTTAGACTTTTTGTGTTAACAGCAGTTTTCTTGGCACTTTCTAGTCCTCACAGTAGTGAGTTATAGATCTCAAACTGCTATAATTGTCAACCCTATTGTTAATAATAGGAGACAGACAAGAACCATTGACTACCATAAAATTAAAGGCCTAATCTTTTACCAGCATCTAATGCCAACATCTTCCAAAGGGCCTGATCCACTTCACATAACTAAAATAAGAGTGGGATAAATTTACCATAGTCACAAAGGAGCAGACCTTGGCATTGCAAGGTTTAAGGCAAAGATCTTCTGTTCTTTGAATTTAGATAGAAAGGGAAATTGCACATGGGCCAGAGCTCATTGCTGTTTACTAAGGGACCACATCCCTCCCATCATAGCTTTTCTAGTTCAGGGCCAGACAATAAAGAAGGGAATTACCAGCTAGAAGAAGGCTTCAAACCTTTCTTTAGATATCTGAACAGCCTTAGGTCCTCATACATAAATTCTGTAGAAGGGAAATAAATTACTTTGTATAATATCAGAATATCAGTAAGCAGAACTACACTGTTGCTATTTTTCTTTAATAAATAAGAAAGGAACAAAGAAAAAGACGGAAAGAAGGAAAGAAAAAAAAGAGGAAAAGCAATCAGGAGGAATCCTGATGTCAATATTTAATAGTGCATAAAATATGGTAAGTGGAGGATTAAACAAAGGAATCAAAATAACCTTACAGAACAATCTTGCTCTTTAAGATAAAAGGTTTTCTCCATATTTGTGGCAGAACTGAACTAAAGGAAACATTTTTTTCTTTCATGGTTTCGTGTTTCTACAAACTAAAAAAGAGAACTACCAAAAAAAATTATATTATTTCTATTCTTTCCATATTTGTTCAGAGAAATAGACAAAAACCAGTCTGCCATTGTCCCATCTAGCACTGGTTTTGTCATAAGGCTCTTAAGGAGCTTAAAAGTAACCAGATTTAAACAATAGATACACCGCCCATTTTATTTACAAACATGTTGGGCCCAATTCATCTATTTTCCCTGACATCCTAAATTATTAGAGAAAATGGCATAATAATTAAATGCCACATTTCTTGAAGCTGAATGACATTTTCTCCCACCTCCTAATTTTTGTTTTTCTAGAAACAGTAAACAATGTAAGTCAAGTCACAGCAGAAAGGTCATACACTACCATCTTAAAGCTCTAATGTCCAAATTTAGTGAAGTAAAGGGACTTGACCTGAAGATACAGTTACCATAGTTTATATGTGTTCATTCAGATGACAATTTTTTTCACATAATCTCTAAAGAATCCTCCGAGCATCCTTAGGTTAGAGAAAGAGGGCTCCTGGTTTAAAATAAGTACTTACTTAAATTAATATACTTCAGACAATGGGGTTTAATGTATAGAATTAAAGTGTCTTGCCTGAGAATGGTCAGAAATCTTTGTCTCTGCATGGGCTACGTTAGTTAAACAAGGAACTTTCCATATCTCCAAATTGAGAGACTGCCTGAAGATGATCTTTAAAATCCTTCTCCACTCCAAAATCCAGTCACCAAAATATAGTATTTTATTTAAATACGGAGAAAAAAAGATCTTGTTTTGGCTGTTATTTTCTCAGTCTTTATGTAACGTTCTACAATATTGGTCATATTTGGTGGCGGGCTGGGGGGACGAGTTTATTTCCCATCCATCCTGGCCCAACTAATTTTAGACCCTAATATGAAAACACCATGTTTAATTTGTAACACCTATGTCTAGTCACAGAAATACTGTAAAGCCCAAATTTAGCTGCGAGGCTCCACTGAAAGAAAAAGCAAAAGAAAAGAAGTACACAGTGTTAAGCATACAGTGCTTAACATTTTATACAAAATGAAAATGCACTGACTTTTTACCTTTCATGACACTTTCATCTATGCTGTTTCTCATCTATGCTGCTTCTCATAATTTTGTGTAAATTTAAAAACTTTTCTCCTGTTTTCTGCTTAGGTTCTTATTGTGATAGACAGTATACATACCATAGAACTACTTTCCAAAAATTTCAAGTGGCCATCAACAATGTCACTTATCAAGCTCTAAATTTCTGGAATGACGTTGACCAGTAGCAGGCTTTCTAAAAAATGCCTTCTAGATCACATCTACCTTTGTGACAGTATTGTTAAATAAGTTGTATCAAGTGGAACATGCCAGAATGTTTCACAAAGTTTATTGAAGCTAGCATTTACTGTTGCTATAGAAACAAACTACCATAGTTGAATTTAAAAGGTTGGTACAGAATCAATTGGGCAGACACGAATAGCTCAAATTAAGCAATTAAGAATTCAAGACTATAATGAATGAAACTCTCCTCTGATCCAATAATGGGTTAATCCTTTCTTAATATCAAATATCTTCCAGTAGAACTCAGTAGAGTTCTGGCTGTGAACAGTTTATGCCTTAATCTTTTGACTGACAATACTGTACTTGAATACTTGAATTCCTGTCTCTTTTATGAATGAGTCATCACTAATCCTCAAATGAACTATTAATTCTAATTAATATGGTCCAGATGTTATAATACTTTACTGGTGGATTAATAGGCTTTCCCCAAACCTTTTACCTTATGCTCTAATCATTTACAGGCATTTTGCGGATGAAGGCTTTAATGCTCCAGGAAGAACTAACTAGAGAACTAACTGCCTTACAGAAAACCATTGGGAGGAAACGTCTATAAATCTGAAAACAAGAACAAATTTTAAAAGTTGGAAAAAAAAAAGAGGTAAGAGGAAAAGTTCTAGTGCCAGAAATGAGATTAAATGTCTTCTTTTTATAGGAAAAAAGTGAAGTAGGAATCTTTACCTTTTTGTTTTAAAAGGTATACAATTTTGATAATGGGAAAGTCAACAGATTTTACAAAAAGGATTGTGAAAATCAAATTATCTGAGTGCAAATCACGTTTACTAAATGAGACAGAGCAAAAGGTGCAGCAAAAATGGGGTCATGACTAATTTTCTCAAGTCCAGAATATTTCTAACCTCCACCTAGACCGAAATCACGTGAAGCCAGAGGCCAGCTAGCTATAATCAGAAAGGCACTATGTAGCCGTTTTGTATACCTGGACCCGGAGCGGCAAATAATCTTCACAGAGATCATCCCACAGCTCCTGCAGGTCTGAAAGCTCCAAGGGATAACTCACAGGTGTCTTGTAAAGGGGTTTCAAAGACCTGTTAAGGAAACCGGAACTAACTCCATCTGTCATGCTAGGGCCAGGCTTGGCTCCAGGTAGGCTGGATTTCACTGGAATCGGAAGCCTGCTCCCTCGGGGGCTCTGGATGGGCTTATAATCAAGACCTTTAATCATGCTAAGAGCTAATTCCAGCTTGTGATTACACCCATGCTGCGGAGCCTGATCATCTGAACAACAGTCACACTTTCCAAGTTCCTTTGCACTTCTCTCAGTCTCCTCATCTTTCTGTTGTGGAGGGCTAGCCTGGACGCTTGCATCCAAAGATTCCACAGAGGAACCAGGCGTCTCTTCCTCCATGCTTTCTCCATCTGGGGGTACCTTTGTGCTTGCTAAGTCGGGTGGCCCAACCTCAGACAACGCTGGTTCTTCAGTGCAAATGCTGGTCGACCACCTGCTAGAAGGGCCGCAGGAGATACTTCTGGCCACCTTTCGAGGTACCTTACAAATGGCTTCATAGTCAGAATCAGCAACCCGCAAAGCGGCACAACCACGGCATCTCCTGGGTCGGTTTCCAGGGCCTTCTGAACCATGGCAGCTGTGTGGCTCCTGGATCTGATCCTCATTCTCCACCCAGCACTCAAACCCTGAATAGGCGAAGTCCTCCTGGAGCAGTGCAGAGTATCTCGCATCGGGTAAGACGGACATGTCAACCGTCCCATTCCCCGCCTTGATCTCCGCGCCAGAGTCATCGTTATTCTTCCGATACATACTGGCAATGCAGAACTTGAGGCGATCCTTCTCCAGTAGCAGCTTTTGCAAGCGCTCAATAGAAAGCGCTTCAATCCGGGCAATAACTGTGTCGAATCGATAGATTCGATCAAGCATGAAAGCACACTTGCTGCAAGCGAACTCGGCTTTGCCATCGCGGGGGACATCCTTGCCCAAGACGTGCGAAAGCAGAACCTGGAGATTGAGCTTGGACGCCGTGTGGAAGATCCAGCGCCGCTGGTTTCCACACAGCTCTCGGGCACAGATCCTGCAAATCTCCTTCATCTTCCCTCCTAGCGGGTGGCAAGCTTCCCGAGGCGGCGGCGGCGGCGGCTACTGGGTGACCACTCAATGGCTCTTCGCCGCGCTCTGTCTCCCGCCTCGGTGGTCTCCGGTCAGCATGGCACAGCCCAGTGGGGTCCCCACTCTGCAGGGGCGCGCCCCTGCCCCGCGCGCCGACTCCGGGTACCAGAGCCGTCAGCCCCGCCCCTCGGGCAGGGGGCGGGCGTGGAAACGCCTAAGAGGATGCTGAGTGACAGAGGCGCAGGCCGCGCTCCGACCCTGCCATGTCTCTCCCCAGCTGTCTCTCCCGCCAGCCGCCGCGTCCTCAACGTCCTCCCCTTTTAGCAGACTGGGCTCCCGGAGCAGCAGCGGCCGGCCGCGCAGACGCAAAGCCTCGGGGATGGAGGATCAGATTTCAAGATGGCGCCAGCGGCTTCGCGTCTGCGGCCTCCACAAGGCTCTTCTGGGAGCTGTAGTCCGGTCAGCGGGCTTCCGGCTCTGCGCATGCGAGGTAGCCAGCGCGACCCTCGCCCCAAATCCGGTTGCACACCTGGCTCACGGCGAGTGCGGAGCAGAAAGCACTACTGGCGCGGGCCACAGCCAGCCGCTTTCATCTGCTAAGACCTCACCTGAAAGTCGCACCAGTGCCCTCAAGGATCCTCCCGCCTCTGCAGGATGTCGAGGCTCCTCCTCGCGGGGAGGAGAAAGACGAATCCCCTCCCTGCATTCTCGGACAGTGCCACGTCCTCCGGCTGCCAGCGGGGCAGCGCCGCTAGGTACCGCTGCGCGCCGCCCCCGCTTCCCGCCAGCAGCCTCACCTTTCCCGGCCCCGCCCCGCCTGGGTTCTAAGGGCCTGAGGCTGCGAGGCAGGCGAGGGAAGGCTTGGTAACGGAGGGGCGGGGCCGTGCAACCCTTACCTCGACTCTGAACAGGAATGTCCAGAAAAGAGTAGAGGAGTGTTTCTCCCTTGATGTGGGTGGGGGAGGGTTAGTACCCGTGGGTGACTTGCCCTTCTTTAGATAAAAAAGCACAGAGCAGTCACCTGAGAAAGAGTCCGGCACATACAATGTGAATCTGGTTAACCAAGATCTTGAAGATAGTAGAAGAGAAATGGGCTTTTTTAAGGATGCAGCCAGCCGCGAGTAGATTACCACCATTGAAGTCCCTTTCCCTCAGGTAGAGGGCAGTCATTATTTTAGGACAGGGGACGGTAGACAAACACTAGCGCAAAAGACAGTGCTTCTTTCCGTAAGAGCTGGAGTGTCTGGGAATGCAGCTCGCGCCAGAAAGGACTGGGAACTTCACTGACTTCGGTGAAAACCATGTCTTACTCAGCATTGTACAGTGATAGGTCCTCCACCCTTGGGTCCAAAACTTAGATTGCACACAAAGAGGAGGGAAGCTGGAGCCCTGACTAGGTAGAATGCTGGTACCTCCGGCCATTTTTAATAAGGAATTATCTTCCTGGCTTGAGAGGCATTCAGACACGTAACAAGAGGAACAACCTCAGCAATCACTTGCAGTCCCCTAGAGCAGGACATTTCCCAGTTCTAATCATGCTAAATTTTTACTAACTTGACCTTGTAAGCTAAGGCCAGCAACATCTAAGTTTTTCTGAACCTCATCCCCAGGACAGAGTCCATACTCCTAAGCCTGAAGACATCCAAATGCCATCTCTGAGAGTTCATAATAAGCCCCCAAACTTCTTATTGAAGACTAAATGAGATGATTTTGAGGAAATGCTTTAACCGTGTTTCGCTCATTAAATAATAGCTAATATTATTATTTTACTATGAATTGGAATATTTTCAGTAACTTTAAAACATTATGGGGCCCTGCCTACATAAGATTGTATTGTTCTCTTAATCACCAAAGCAAAATCTTGTAGCTCCATTGTAAGAGAAAAGGACAGTTCTTAGAGCTTTGGGCTTAGTAGGTGATATGATTTGAATATATGGCCCCACCAAATCTCATGTTGAATTGTAATCCCCAGTGTTGGAGGTGGGGCCTGGTGGGAGGTGTTTGGGGCGGTGGGGGGGGCAGATCCCTCATGGGTTTGTGCTACCTTTGCAATAGAGAGTGAGTTTTTCTGAGATCTGGTCATTTAAAAGTGTGTGGTGCCTCCACCGCTCCATCTTGCTCCTGCTCTGGCCATGTGACTTGTTTGCTCCCCCTTCGCCTTCCTGAAGCCTCCCCAGAAGCCAAGCAGATACCAGCACCATGCTTCCTATAAAGCCTGCAGAACTGTGAGCCAATTAAACCTCTTTTCTTTATACATTACCTGGTCTCAAGTATGTATAGCAATGCAAGAATGGCCTAATATCATAGGCTATAGAATTTTGCATATGTAATTTCATCTACTATGTATATTCTGACTCAAAAACCAAGAATAGAAAAGCAGTTCAAGTAAAACCACAGCTGCATTTTTGCCTGCCTCTAGGTATGTGAGCTTCAAAGTTGGAAGAAATTAAGCAACATGCTTTGGAATCTATGGTGATCTATAGAAAGGCAAAGTTTCTGGACTCACCCTGACTGATGGAAAGACAGACTGCCTGCCAGGACACTACCCTGCTGTACCCAGTCTTAAGTATAATAAAGATCTCATTTTTTACTGTCAATGCAAGCCACATTTTCCTATTAGGAAAATGTGAATGAAACAAAGTGCTCTTCAAGAGCAAACCCTGAATTATATTTTGGGTTATTCTCTGTTCCTCAAAAGGATTTTGCATCTAACTGATAGTCTCCAAATTGTAATGACAGTATATAGATAGCTTGGTGTAGACATACAGGTCAATACAAATGGAGAAAAGGCAATTTGCCATTGAAGAATATGTTTGCTTTAAGTAAAGATCAATATACTAAGAAAGCTATACATATCTAGACTTCCAAAAACAGATGGGAATAAACTACTCAGCAATCAGAATATTCGAAGATGGCACTCTGTTCACTTCCAGAGAAAATAGTTCAAAACTGTATCTCAAAGTGGATATAAGCTATTGTACTAGAATTAGTCCCTGTGTGAGCATTTGGCATTATAAAATAAGATGTTCCCAATTAAAAGATCACTGGTATGTAGATAATAAAACGTGAAAATAAAAATTTAAAAATAAAACAAAAATTATGTGATAATCAATTTTGCACTCCTTGGTCCTTACCATTATTATCTTGTGGTCAAGAGTTTGCAGTTGAACTGGTTACCTATGGTGGGGCTACACAAGGACATTTACTTTTTATTCTACATACTGTGTATCATTTGAATTTTGGACAATGAATGTTTATTCAGGTATTAATTTTAGATTTTATTTAATTTAGAAAACATTTTATAGTTAAAATAAGGGCTGCCAATTTAACACACTAATGTCAGGGTCTAAGTGGTAAAACTTGAACCTAAAATAAGAATTTTTATACTACCTATGATAAATATATAATATAAGAAGATAACTTATATAAACAAAAGTTCAAAGGGGATCCACAAGTTATTAGTAATGGTTATGTCTAGAGAGTGGAATTATGGACATTTATTTTCTTTTTTCCTTATTTTCTATAATTTTTTACATTATGTATTACATACTTTAAATAACTTTAAGTACTTACTGCTTTTGTACTTAAATATATAAAAAGAAAAAAATATAATTGTTACTAAGAAAAAGGTAGATGAAACACATTTTGGTGTATTCATACAATACAATACAGTACTAGCCAGCGATCAAAAAGAATGAACTCAGATACATGCAACGTGGATACATCTTGAAAACATTTTAAGTGAAACAAGCCATATGCAAATGAGTACATCCTGTGTGATTCCATTTATTTGAAGTCTGACAACAGGTCTACAGCCGTACTACCCTGAATGCACCTGATATTGTCTGAAGTCTAATAACAGACTATAGGAAAAACAGATCTATTGTGATATAAGTCAGGAAGTGGTTGAACGGTGAGAGACAGGGTGAGAAGTGATTGCAAAGGGGCACAAAGAAATTTTCTGAGGTGATGAAGCTGTTCTGTATCTTGTTTTGGATGAAGATAACATAGGTGTATAGAATTGTTGAAGCTCATTGAACTGGGCACTTAGATCTGTAGATTGTATACATAGTATATTTCAATTAAAAAGATTAAAAGGAGTAAATAAAACTATGTGTTTCCCTCAAAATTTTAATTTGAGGGATTTCTTTGGTAGAAAGTCACCCGCACTTTAAGAACAGTTTTGAAAATTAGGGAAATGCTATAAAATATAGCCCAGAAGAAATTCTGTAAAAGACCCAATTGCAAATTAAAAACTTAAGCCTATCCATATGAGTTTTTTTTTTTTTTTGAGACGGAGACTCACTGTGTCACCCAGGCTGGAGTGCAGTGGCACAATCTCGGCTCACTGCAACCTCTGCCTCCCGGGTTCCACTGCGCCCCACCTTAGGATAATATTTTATATGCATATGTACACCAAACACTTATGATTGGAGGAAGGCATGTTGTTAAGGTGAGACTTAGGGCTTTTGTAATGATGTAGTATAAAATTATTACTTCTAAAACGTAGTGAAGGCACATAACGAAAAGTTTGAGAATAAGCTTCATATTATGATTAAACAAATTATTAATTTTATATATCAACAGTTCACCCTGAACATTGATTAATAAATACATTTACAAGCATTTACTTGCTTTATGGCCTAGGTTAAGTCACTTATATCTGGCTTTTAATTTCCTAATCTACAATGAAATATGTTGAATTTAAACAGCAGTTTTCAAACTTAAGCATGCATCAGAATCACCTGGAGGGCTTGTTAACATAAATTGTTGGGACCTACCCCCTTGAGTTTCTGACACAATAAGGTCTGGGGTGGGGCTCAAGAATTTGCATTCCTGACAAGTTCCCAGATCATGTTGATGCTGCTATCTGGGAATCACACTTTGAAAACCACTGAATGAGAACTATCCTAAGCTGTATCAGACAACAGATCAGAACTTCTGCAGATAGACAGAAAAGCACACCAATGAAGAACTACTTACAAAATCTATGTTGAATTTAGAGAACTGTATCCGCATGTGGAACAAGATTTCTAAATATTACTGTGGTATGGGGTGTTTTGCACTATCTCTGTTTTGACCTCTAAATTTTGCAGTCACCATAGTCACTTTTGCACCCCCTGTGTGGCAACTGGGTTGTAGTGTTTCTAAGACCTACTTCTGGGCTGAGAGGGAGTTTCCAAAAGAATTGGAGAGGTGGAAAATCCCCATGTCCCAAACCAGTTGTATTAGGTTTCACTGCCCTAGTTATGACATTGGAAATAGCTATTCTAATTACTAAAAACTATGCACCAAAAGAAAAATGTGATTCTGGCAGAGAAACTAAGGCAGATGAGAAAATGCAAGAATGTCAAAGTAAAGCCAGTTAGGCTTTGTGGTAACACACAGGCAGTTGCGTGATTTCCCTGTGCTCTTTGGAAACCTTTAAGAAGTCAGAAACAATCATGCTTTCCATTAATTAACAACACAGCATCTTGAAATGCTTGTTTTAAAGCCAGGAGATTTCCGGTTCATCTGCAGATTATAGTAGTATGCTTCTCAGCAAAATCCATCTAATAGTAAACATTAGAGTCTTTCAAGTTATTAAATACGCATAGGTTGTTAAGTAAATTTTAAAGTATTTGTTAAATCAATCAATGAGCAAGAATGCAAACATACCTTTTTTTCTCTCTTCAATGAGCTTTCAGTTTAGTTAAAAGGGAGAAAAGGTGCACGCTACAGTTAGAACAATTGACTGGTAAACTAAATGGTACTGAATTAAATTTAGTGTGAATACAGAAAAAGTAGAGGTTAGTATGGGCTGGTATAGTTGAAGGGACAAGAGTGGCACTTGAGATGGGTGTTAGGATGAAGAAGGCCAAGGAAGGGACTCAGCAAAATAAAATAGCTTCATTAAAAGCCACGGAACTTGGGTTAAACACAGTGCTAGCCTGTAGGTAAAGAGAGATGTTGGGGATTTTTGAATGACCAGGTTCATCCATCCATACATCTAATCCTCTATAGTTGTTCATTCAAAGAACATGTATCAAGAGCCAACTGTAAGCCAGACACTATGCTATGGAGTGCCTTGCCAATTAGAATTTGGTTAATGTTTTGACAAAGGCAAAAGAATTTGGACTTAATGTTATGGATTTAAGCAGACAATGACATGATGAAAACCTTTTTTTAGGAAGATTACCCAGGCAACAGGATGGATGGTACTTCCTTTTTTTTTTTTTTTTTGAGACGAAGTCTTGCTCTTGTCCCCCAGGCTGGAGTGCAATGGCACAATCTCGACTCACTGCAACCTCTGCCTCCCAGGTTCAAGAGATTCTCCTGCCTCAGCTTCCTGAGTAGCTGGGATTATAGGCATGCGCCACCACACCCAGCTAATTTTGTTATTTATTTATTTATTTTTTTCAATAGAGATGAGGTTTCACCGTGTTGGCCAGGCTGGCCTTGAACTCCTGGCCTCCCAAAGTGCTGGGATTATATGCGTGAGCCACCGCGCCTGGCCCTCTGCTTCCCTCTTTTCTAATCTGATGGTTAAGCCCTTAGCATTCCCTTGACTCTGGAACTTTTGCAGAGCAAAGAGCAGAGGCTGTTTGAAGCCAACTGCATTTCTAGACTTTTATGAAATTCTAAGCCCACTGCAAAGATTGAGCCAGATGTCCCATTGGGGAAGAGAGGAGAGAGAAAAGTTTTTGAAGTCAGCGAAGAGGAGAGAGTGACATTTCACACAGATGGAAAGAGACTGGAGGTCAAAGAGTAACAAGTACCCACCTCCATTCCATATCAGTGCCCTGGAGAAGCAGCAGGACCTCAGAGAGGGAAGTAATGGGGTGACTTGGAGAGGCTGCACTTTAGCAGGGGATTCTGGCTCCATAAAAGGTTAAATATAGCAAGCTTCTAGGGTTGGCAAAACCATGCTTACTGAGGCAGGGGTGGTTTAGTGGCAGATCAACGATCAGAGTAGTCTCCTTGGTGCTTTGGTACCAGGTAAAACCTAGGGACCTTTAAATAGCTGAGAAAGTAGGGAGAGGAGGAAATATCAAACGTATGAAATTGAATTTCTCACCATCCTGATTCAGACAGGGGCTTTAAATTGATGACTACCTTAGATTTATGAACTAAGAGTCATACACTATGAACTTTTGTTCATTGGTGCTCAGTCCTAGACCCTTTTCACCTCTCTATTCTCTTCTGGTGTCATCTCATCCTTTCCCATCTTTATACCAGTGGCTTCCAATTTATGTTTTTATTGTAGAATTCTCATCTGAGTGCCACTCTCAAATACCTGGTTACCTATTTGATATCTGCATGTGGATGTGTCATAGACATCTCAAAATTACCGTAGGAAAGACTGATCTCCTGACTGTTGTCTTCCCCTTGTTTAAAGTGCCTCCCTTTCCTCCTAATACTTTATATGAGGAGTCAGAAAACTATGGACTGTGGACCAAATCCAGCCCCCACCTGTTTGTGCAAATACAGTTTTGTTGGAACACAGCCATGTTCATTCTTATGTGTTGTGTGTGGCTGTTTTTATGCAACAATGGCAGAAACTTTACAGCCTGCAAAGCTTATTTACTATCTGGCCCTATACAGAAAAAGTCTACCAATTCCTGCTCTTTGCTTTCTTCAATGTATTTATCACAATTTGAAGTTATATATTTGTTTCATTATCTGCTTATTTATCTGCCTCCTTCCATAGAAGGTAATTCTCTAGTGCCTACCATGACAGCACCATTGCCTAGTCATGGTAGGCACTCAATTGTTATTGAATAGAATGTATGAATGAGAAAATGAACTATTATATATTAAAATTTTATTTTGGTCTTTTGCCTTAGCACAAAACTTTCATCCTTCCTTACCCTCCAATGACTTCATATCTTTGTTTTGTTTTGTTTTTTTCCGAGACGGAGACTTGCTGTGTTGCCCAGGATGGAGTGCAGTGGCACTATCTTGGCTCACTACAACCTCCACCTCCCGGGTTCAAGCAATTCTCCTGCCTCAGCCTCCCCAGTAGCTGGGATTACAGGCACGCGTCACCACACCTGGCTAATTTTTGTATTCTTAGTAGAGACAGGGTTTCACCGTGTTGGCCAGGCTGGTCTCAAACTCTTGACCTCATGATCCTCCCACCTCGGCCTCCCAAAGTGCTGGGATTACAGGTGTGAGCCACCATGCCTGGCCCTAATGACTTCATATCTTAAGTAACAAGAGTGCTAAAATAATGAGTCCCCTCAATTTCTTTGCCCTCTACTCTATCCTCCTTTCAGATTAATCTTTCTAAAACAGAGCTCAGATATCACTCTCCCTCAAAGAAACCTGGAGACCCAATGACTTGTCCATTAATCCTAAACTTCTTTACCTGCTTCTTAAAGTTCTCTGAATCTGGCTCCACTCTATTTTTCTGTCCCCCTATATTCTATTCCTGCTACTACTTCTCTACCCTGAACTTCCCCACCTCTATACTTCATACACTTGGAATATTCTTTTCTATCACTACCACCTCCACCTATCAAAATCCTATCCACCCTTCAAGTATTTCCTCCAAGCTGCCTTTCTGAGTACCACCAAAAGACATCTTTCTCTTCTTCCATCTTCCAAAATACTTTTTTGTACCTATAGTAACTTGTATGTCATTTCTCCATACTGCGTTCTCCCCATTAGCTGGTAAGCTACTTAAGAAAAGGAACCACAGCTTTCTCATCTTGGTATCTGCTATGGTTTGAAAGTTTGTATTCCCCTCCAAATTCATATGTTGAAATCCTAACCCCCAACATAATGGTATTAGGAGGTGGGGGCTTTGGGAGAGATTAGTGTCCTTATAAAAAGAGACCTCAGAGAGTTAGCTAATCCCTTCTACCATGTGAAGACACAGCAGGAAATCCATAAACCAGAAAGTGGGCCCTCACCAGACACTGAAAATGCCAGTGCCTTGATCTTGGACTTCCCAGCCTCCAGAACTGTGAGAAATGAATTTCTATTGTTTATAAGCCACTCAGTCTATGGTATTCTGTTATAGCAGCCTGAGTGGACTAAGACTGCTTCTGAAGTATTTGGAACAGTATCTTTCTAGATCTCAATAATCATTGAATGAATGAATAAAGAAATGCCTTTCCTTTTCATATCTACTTAGTAAAATCCTACTCATTCCTCAGAGACCAAAATCTTTGCTTCTGACCCCAGTCCATGATGATTTTTCCTTTCTGTACTGCCTTGTATTTTTTTCATCAGTGACTTTCTCCTATTGTAATCTCTAGAAGGTAGAGACTAAATCCTGCACATCTTTGTGTTCTTCTTCCTTCACCTAACAGTACCTTGTGCATTACAAGTGCTCAGTAAATATTTTTGATTAAGTTGTAAAGCAGCTGCCTATTTTTCCACTTCCTTTGCTGCTCAAAAGGATTAGAGCAATGATTGCTTTAGCTGCTAAGGCCTGCTTCAGAGACACATTATTAATGAAGGTTGTCTGGGAGACAGTAATGTTGAACGGGGATTTGTAAATGAGTCTCCAGCTTCAACATTCATCAGCAAAAGAAGGGGATACTGAAAAGCTACTCTAAAAAAAAATCTCATATGAAGTTGTCCGGAGCTGCCTGAGCTACTAATCACTGCAAGGTTTTCAGTCTCTGCCTTGAGCATTTAGAGCACATTCTTGCCTTAACCTCCAAGTCAGATCTCTCCATGGTAACGCAGGAATGTTTGCTATTTTAGGAAATATGCCTCACTGCATGCAGTACTATTTACATTAAGTTCCAAACAAGGCATAAATGCAACAGCTTGACTGTGCTAATTTGTGTGAGTGGGAAGGTCTCACTTACTTAATGTGGGCCTCTCCCTAATTGTGTTATCCTGTCTCATTTTATAAGCCAACCACAGTGAGATTACATGTTAATAAATTTTGCTCATCTTATACTGAAGGAGAAATGCAGAGAGAGAAAAAAGGCGACAAACAAAACAAGAATTCCTCCAGACCTCCCTTTGCAAGGGCATCATTTTTTCTGCCTTCACACCCTCCAGGTCTGGTTTCATTTAAAACCTTCATTGAGATGAAGCTTCTAACATTCTGTAGAAGGAAATAATATCAATAACTGAAACAATTGCTAGCTTTTCCCTGCAACTTTGTAGATACCTTTACTGAGGAAGAGAAAAATGCTTTGTAAACTTTATTAGATTTTCTGACTCCCTAGTGAAAAAGATGTGGACAAGATGTCACAGCCTCACATCAAAAAGCTCCTCAACACTCTGATCACACATACTATTGATCTGAATGGACATCAAGAAGGATTGGAAGGAGATATGGAATGATGTCAGTCAATGGCATATCTAGTTGGTGGTACTTTTTTTGCTTTACAAGAAGTTAATTATAGACGTTCATAAATACTGTGCAAGTGCACTCCCACTAAAATGAATGTTGTAGAATGTTTTGGTAGAATGGAAAAGGAAAACAGCTAGAAAGACTGTAAGATCAATTAAATAAAATAATCTTTATCAAAAGTGTCTGTCTTATTTGAGAGAATGAAGACTCTGAAGTGAACTTCCTGTACTCAGATATTACAGTGAGTATATTATACTCATACTCCAGACTTTCATACTGGGATCACTTGAGAGATAGTTATCTGTGGGATGTGGAGTAAATTAGCGTTCTTCACTTGGACAATTCAGACCTAGAAGTGCAAGATCTGTGAGCTCTTCTTTCTTCTAGGGCCCAACTGTTTGTGGTATTCTCAGTTGTGAAGTATAGGTGGAATTAAAGGAAGTGAATAGGTCTTTAGAACTTAAGCTCCTCCATACTCCAGCTGAATCAGTGAGGGATTCCAGGGATGGCTTCACTGGAGATGAGGAGATTCTTTAGCCTCTGAAGAACAGGCCCAGAGCTTAGAAATTGAACTTTTACCTTCCACATTGTAAGGGTCTTTCTTCTGTGGTGACAGTTGGCATGGCAGACAAGGTTTGAGTAGAATACAGTGGAACTATAACTGTTACAGTGAAAGTATACTGTTAGCAGAGAAGGATAACACCCACAACATAGGCTCCAAGTGTCACAAATAGCAAGGTTCACCATACATTACCTATGCAGAGGGGAGAGACAAAGTGCTTTGTAATTGGTTTTATAATATTCTTTTCCCCAACCAATTCAAAGAACAGACTTGACAAAGCAGTTCATAGCTGTGTCAGATTATGATTTGCTCTCTGAGGAGGTGACATCAATTATCTCAGATGCTCTTCAAGCAATCCTCAGTTTCCACGACAACTAGGATTACCTTTCTAAATGCAAATCATATGCTTTTATTCCCCTTGCTTTTTTTTTTTCTGGTGCCTACAACATGAAGCCCTTAGCTCAACATTTATGGTACTTTCCAGCTATATATTTTATCATTCTCCAATACTTATTTTTGGTAACATCGATTACTCCCAATTCCTTAGCTGTGTTCCACATCACTGTATATATTGCTCCGTTTCCTATTTTCTGCCTGGTGTATCCAGTCTTTAAGGCCCAACAGAAGGGTGACCTCCAGGTGAGTTCCTCCTTGGAGTTAATTCCTTTCAGCTGTGGGTTCCTTTAGCACCATGCGTGTATTTCTGTCTCCTCATTTATCACACTGTATTTTAGTTCTTTGTTTACATACCAGTCTTTCACTGGACTATAAACCTTTGGAAGGCTAGGACTCCCTATACTAGTGGTACTCACTGAGCAACTGTCTCATCTCCTAGAGAGCATTTTGAAATTTTGTGGGGGTGTTTCTTGTTTTTGATGTTGTCACGATGATAAGTGAGGCAAGGGATGTTACAGGACAAAGTATTGTACCAAATTCCAAATGACTTTTGGAATTTGAATGTTCCATTGGGTGATGATAAAACTGTTTACAATCATCTGAACCTAGAACTTTATATAGGAGCATGATGTTAATTTACACTAAATTTTTCCATGAATTAAACTACTATGTAAATTGAGGGAAGACACTACCAGTCCTTGGGCCCAATTTTTTTTCCCATAAGACGTAGACCCAAAGGGAGAAACAAGGAAATATGCTATGGGAGGCTTTCTATTCTCCACACTTGAGAGGACCAACTATCAGCGGCCTCCTGTGGCAGAGCTTTCCAACTTGGGTATTCCAGCACAGTGTACCTCAGCATGGTCCACCACTGTGCAAAGATGCTGATCCCCTCAGCTCTCAGGGTGGTGCATGGGTCCTGAGGTGGCCATAAGCAATTGCCTCAAACCATGAGCAGCCATGGGCACTTATTTCAGAATACCATAGATGTACACTCATTTCCTATGAAAATGAATTTTCTATGAAAAAGGGTAGGAAACATTGTCTTATAGAACAAACAGCGCAATGTATCAGGTTTTGAAATGTACAACGTATTGGGTAATAACAACAATAAATTTTTATTAGGCAATGTTTAAAAAGCATATCAATTTAGTACAGTTTATATGATTTGATGCATTTCTTCTGCCCAATGGTCATGCAATATTATCCCCTGGATGCTGTACTTATTCTTGTTCTAAGCATCCTTTTAGAGTAGAATATAAATAATTTAGTCTCTTTGAAATTATAATCTTTTGGTTCTTTAAGTCTGTTCTGAAAACTGGTACCAAACCAATTCCTTAATTAGCATTGAAAATACTGAACTAAATATATTCATTTCAGTGCTTACCAAAGATGATGAAAATAAGTATATGTACAAAATATTTTAGTATTTATGTGCCTGTAAATACAAAAGGAGCAATAAAAGTGATTTCATTTCAGAAGGTGAACATTTTGAAAGAAATAATATTCATGTAAATTCTGAACTAAAATAGAATGAAATAAAATTCTGAAATAAGATAAAAATAGAATGTTAGCATTATAGGAAACTATAGAGATTATTTGAGCTAATCTTCTCATTTTATGTATATGGAAGCTGAGAAGTGACATATCCATAGTCATACAGCTAATAAATAATCAGGATGGAATCGCTTCTCGGCCTTTTGGCTAAGATCAAGTGTAGTATCTGTTCTTATCAGCTTAAATAATCAGGATGGAAATTCAATTCTTCTTATTCTCAGTTGAGCTTTTTCTAATTAAATGTATTACGAAATATTTTCAAGAGTCCCTTAAGAAAATTTCCACATATTTCAACATGTATCTTGCAAAAAGCCTATGAACTTCAATTTGTATTCATACTTGTAAAATTATGTTCACACATTATTTCTTGAGTTTGTTAACCAATGCTTTCCAACCAAAATGGAGCTGCAGTCTAAGAAGTTTGTAATTGTGGCCAAGATAGTAATTTTTTCCTGCCCTCATAGTGGCCTAAGCACCCAAATTGGCCACCTCCAAGTGAGAAGCTTCATCCATTTACCTCTATACCTTACAAATATTATCATTTGCCATGAAATGGAAAGGTTGGGAAGCAGTGGTTTAAACTAATTCTTATCATTGCTCTTTTATCTTGACCCCAACCTTTCCATATGTGAACCAGTAAAGTAAACCACCCACATTTTGTCTTATCAGTAGTCTAAGACCAGTGCAAGAATGTAAGGATACCAGGTAATTGCTTTTGTTGTTTGGGTGCAGGTATATTCTAAAGTTCTTTTAGAAAATATCTTTTTAGTAAATTAAAAGTTGAATGAAGGAGAGGAGTTCCCTTCGAGGTAACTTCCCAGAAAATCAATGCAATTATTTTTTACCACAGTGAGTTCTCTTTTCAATATTAAAACTACATTATGGCCAGGTGTGGTGGCTCACGCCTGTAATCCCAGCACTTTGGGAGGCCAAGGCGGGCAGATCACCTGAGGTCAGGAGTTCGAGACCAGCCTGGCCAACATGGTGAAACCCCATCTCTACTAAAAATACAAATATTGCTGGGTGTGGTGGCATGCACCTGTAATCCCAGCTACTCGGGAGGCTGAGGCAGAGGTTGCAGTTAGCCGAGATCATCCCACTGCACTTCAGCCTGGGCAACAGAGTGAGACTCCAACTCAAAAAAAAAAATTTTTTTTTGGAGGCAAATTTCTATCATTATCTGATACACTTGTACGGAAATAGTAATCACCATTTCAACTAGTACCCAGCACATTTTCAAGGACCTGGAAGGTTCATACTCCAATATATACAAACAGAGAATATGCCTAGCTCATAGATGATCAATAACTGTTTATTTGAACCCATAGTTTGTGTACTTCGGCACAGTATTTTACAACTTAACCCTCAAAAAAACCCCTAAAACATTGTATGTTCTATATAATTATAAATCACTTGATGTGGCTGGCAAATTCTAAGGTGGTCCCTATAATTCTCACCCACTGGCCATCACATCTTTGTGTTATCCTCACCCCTTGAGGATGGGTAGAACCTGTAACTTCTAACCAATATGGCAAAGGTCATGAAATGTCACTGCATAGTTATGCTATGTTATATGAAAAAAGTAAAGAGGTCATATAGATGTAATTAGGGCTGCTAATCAGTTGATTTTAAGTTAACGAAAAGGGATATTATGCTGGTGGGCCTGCCCTAATGAGCCCCTTAAAAGAAAGTCTAGAAGTGAGAAAAGTAACAGACTCTTTCTGCTGCTGGCTATGAAGAAGGAAGCTGCCATAACTTCTACAGCTACACAGCAATAAATCCTTCCAACAGCCTGAGGAGCTTAGAAGCCGATCCTTCCCTAGGTATGCCTCCAGATGAGAAAAGAGCCCAGTCTACATCTTGATTTCACACTTATGAGACTCCAAACAGATCTCAGCTAAGCCATATCTGGACTCTTGACTCACAGAAACTGTGAGATAACAAAAATAAGGTGTTTTAAACTGCTAAGTTTGTAGTAATCTGTTACACAACAATAGATAACAAATACACTTAGATATTAAAAAGCAGGGCTTATGAAAGCATGAAGCAAGTGCTTCTGGATGTACTGACCAAACCTTACCTGCACTTCCATGCTAGTTGGCTCCTCCAACAGATGTAGCAGTTGTTGTTTCTCCCGAGATAGCTGTTCTACAAGCCTCTCCTGGGCAGCCAGGCTCTGATTCAGTTCTTCAATTCTCCTGAAGCAAAGGAAAAGTAAGGACAGTAATTATGATCATGATACTATTATTACCTTATTTTTTCAGCCCATTCCAAAGATAGCATGGTCTAGTATAGCAGGTTTTTATCCTTTTGGATCATTGAACCTTTTGACACATTTGTTTAGAAAACCATGTATTTTCTGCCCAGCCCCCAAATATATACACAAACAACTTTTTGCTTACATTTTCACCACGTTCATGGACCTCCTGAAGTTAATCCATGGATCTTTAGACCATAGGAATTTAACTCTTGGAATAAGGGCCTAGAATTTTTTGGTGGTGGTGGTAGTGGCTGTTCCATTCAATAAACGGTTCTTGGATAACTATTTTGTGTACTCAATGCACTCTACCAAGTACTGGAAATATGAAGTTGGAAAAGAAACAATCGCTGTTTTGCAAAAATTTAAATTCCACCAGCATGTGTTTGCTAGTGATTTGGAGAGTAAGAAGACATACAGCTACAGTCACGTACCATATACTGTTTCTGTCAACATTATGTCATCATACTGCATGTATGATGATGGTCCAATAAGATTATACTGGAGCTGAAAAATTCCTATCACCTAGTAAAGTCCTAGCTGCAGTAACATCATAGTGCAATGTATTTCTCACTTGTTTGTGGTGTTGCTGGTGTAAAGCAAACCTACTGCACTGGCAGTTGTATACAAATATAACATATGTATAGTATGTAATACTTGATAATAAATGTTACTGGTTTATGTATTTACTATACTTTCATTGTCGTTTTAGAGTGTACTCTTTCTACTTATTAAACAAAATAACTGTAAAGTAGCCTCAGGCAGGTCCCTCAGGAGCTATTCCAGAAGAAGGCATTGTTATCATAGGAGATGACAGCTCCATGTGTGTTATTGTCCCTGAAGACCTTCCAGCGGACAAGATGTAAAGGTGGAAGACAGTGAAGCTGATGATCCTGACACTGTGTAGGCCTAGGCTTGTGTGTATGTTTGTGTCTTAGTTTGTAACAAAAAAGTTTAAAAAGTAAAAAAAAAAAATTAAAAATTTAAAAACAGAATAAACCTTTTCTAGAATAAGGATATAAGGAAAATATTTTTATATGACTACAAAATGTGTTTTAGGCCTTCACATTCATCCACTTCACTACTCACTCGCTAAATCACCCACAGCATGTTCCAGTGCTGCAAGTTCCATTTATGGTCAGTGCCCTAAACAGGTGTACTGTTTGTTATCTTTTATACAGTATTTTTACTGTATCTTTTCTATGTTTAGATACACAAATGGTTACCATTGTGTTACAATTGCCTACAGTATTCAGTACAGTAATATGTCATACAGGTTTGTAGCCCAGAAGCCATAGGCTATACCATATAGCCTAGGTGTGCAGTAGCCTATCCCATCAAGGTTTGTGTAAGTATGCTCTGTGATGGCCACACAATGAAGAATGAAATTGCCTAAAGATACATTTCTCAGAACATATCCCTGTAGTTTGTGATGCATGATTGTATATAAGCAAATAATAGTAATAGAATATAATAAATGCTACCAGAATAGAGGCACCATATAGTACATTGAGTGCTGCCATAGAGCTATAGGATGAAAGATAAAGAAATAATTCATTTGACTTGAAGGAGTATAGCGATGCTCAGGAGAAGAAATTTTAAAGATTGAGTGGTTTCAGAGTAAACAGACAACCTACAGAATGGGGGAAAATATTTGAAAACTATGCATTGGACAAAGGTCCAATATCCAGCATCTATAAGAAATGTAAACAAATATACAAAAGAAAAGCAACCCCATTAAAAAGTGGGCAAAGGACATAAACAGACACTTCAAAAGACGTACCTGCAGCCAACAAGCATATGATAAAAAGCTCAATAACACTGATCACTAGAGAAATGCAATCAAAACCACATGTGATACCATCTCACACCAGTCAGAATGACTATGGTTAAAAAGTCAAAAAATAACAGACGTTAGTGAGGTTGCAGAGAAAAGGAAACACTTATACACTGTTGGTGGGAGTGTTAAATTAGTTCAACCACTGTAGAAAGCAGTATGGTGATTCCTCAAAGAACAAAAAGCAGAACTACCATTCGACCCAGCAATCCCATTTCTGGGTATACTCAGAGGAATATAAATCATTCTACCATGAAGACATATGCATGCAAATGTTCACTGCACACTATTTACAATAGCAAAGACTTGGGTGGTTTTCCAGGCTCAGAAGGAGGAGATTGAACAAAGGAACAAAGGCATGAAGACCCAGTGTACAATTTGGGAAGAGTCACTGGAACAAAGGCCCAGGGAAGAGGCAATGGCTGGAGAAGAGACTGAAAATTCAGACCCTCAGACTAGGGTTAAGTTGTAAAATACTGTGCTGAGGTATACAAACTATGGGTTCAAATAAACTTATTGATCATCTATGTGCTAGGCATATTCTCTGTTTGTATATATTGGAACATGAACCTTCCAGGTCCTTGAAAATCTGCTGGGTACTAAATGAAATGTTTCCAGTTGTGATTCTTTTTTTTTTTGAGATGGAGTCTTGCTCTGTCGCCAGACTGGAGTGCAGTGGCGCAATCTTGGCTCACTGCAACCTCCACCTCCCTGGTTCAAGCGATTCTCCTGCCTCAGCCTCCCGAGTAGCTGGGACTACAGGCATGCGCCACCATGCCCAACCAATTTTTGTATTTTTAGTTGAGATGGGGTTTCACCATGTTGGCCAGGATGGTCTTAATCTCGTGATCCGCCCGCCTCGGCCTCCCAAAGTGCTAGGATTACAGGTGTGAGCCATGATTCCCAGGAGAAATAACTTTTAAAACTTAAAAACATTGGGCTGGGTATGGTGGCTCATGCCTGTAATCCCTGTAATCCCAGCACTTTGGGAGGCTGAGGCAGGCGGATCACCTGAGGTCAGGAGTTTGAGATCAGCCTGACCAACATAGTGAAACCCTGTCTCTACTAAAAATACAAAAATTAGCTGGGCGTGGTGGTGCACGCCTGTAATCCCAGCTACTCGGGAGGCTGAGGCAGGAAAATCGGTTGAACCTGGGAGGCAGAGGTTGCAGTGAGCCGAGATCTTGCCACTGTACTCCACCCTGGGCAACAGAGCGAGACTCCATCTCAAAACAAAAGCAAAAACAGAAACAAAAAATTAAAAACATTATACAAATGTAAACTGCAATGATGACGAGAAGGAGGAATGTGGACTCCATATGAAATTCCCTCATGGTATCTGCACTAGAACATCTCTACTTTTCTTAAACCTCAAACTTTGCTCATCTCTTTGACCCTTAGTCTCCACAGAGGATCTGTTCTCCTACTCTCCAAAATTGTTCAAGGTCATCTGATGAGTGGCCTCAATTTATTTTCAGATGTGCATGTGCTTTACTTGGGGTTTTGTTTTGGTTTTTAGTTCAGTTTTTTTTAATTGGGGTTCAAATATGACACTGTCTTGGGGAACCTAGTAGGGAAAATCTGAAAGCAAATACAGTACCATACTGAGAATTGTACAATATGTATATATATAAAAGAAACAATACAGAAACTTCATTCTGCTATCACAAAGCCTTCAAAGAAATGACGATTGATGCCTTAGTGAGGTTCACTAGAAGGGAAAAAGTTGGCAGATGTTTCCCACAGAAGGAAAAGCATGAGCAAAATTCTGGAGACTTGCCATAGCTTCTTATGCTTCTGGAGGCAGTATGGCTTCAGGGTTTGGATGTCAGCAATCCCTGAAACCATGTTTCACAAGTCTCCAGATGCCAATTTTTTCATTAATAAAGTATAATAATTCATATCTCATGGGGCTGTTAAACAAGAACATAAAGTACTCAGCTGTATGGTAAGAGCTCAACAAAGCTTAGCCATCATTATTATTACTAGCCTGGCATGAATGAAGTTAAGGAATGGTGGTGGGTGATGAGTGTGGGAGAAATCAGAGGTTACATCATAAAAGGCTTTGATGGTCACATTAGGAGTATGGATCTTATCTCCTAAAGGTATTGCAAAGCTTCTTAAATGGCTCTGCCATGGTGCGATTAAATTTATGTCTTGGAAAGATCACATTGGTCATGGTATGCACATGTGGTTTTTGCCTATTCAGTTAAAAGCTCCTTAAAGCTTTTTATACCACCACAGTCTTATGCACCTAAGAGGCTAAATTATTTGCCAATTTGTTGTTGTTGAATTATCTATTTCAGAACTACTCTGAATTATTAGGTTGAGATTGAATGAGAGGAGCAGGACTGGAAGTGGAGAGGACATTTAGAAAGTTTCCTCGGTAATCCAGACAGTAGATGGTGGTGACCTCAATAATTGCCCAGTTACCTTCAGGACAAAGTCCAAGTTCCTTATAATGGTATACAAAGCTGGCACAATCAGACCCCTATTCTCAAAACAGCTTACCTCTCACTTGTCTTCTCACTTGCTCCAGTTATGTACAATTATTTAAAGTTCTTGAAATATTCCTTTCCCTGTGTCTTCCCTCCATAGTTTCTCCTTCTGCATAGAATATTTCCTTTCCCTATCCACTTTCTACCTATTTATTCTACCTCCTATTCATCCTTCAAAGCTCAGCTCAGATTTCGCTTCCTCTAGGAAAACTTCAATGGCATTATCTTAGTCTTTTTGGGCTGCTATAACAAAACACCATAAACTGGGAGGCTTATAAACAACGGAAATGTATTTCTCACAGTTTTGGAGGCTGGGAAGTCCTAGATCAAGTCACTGACAGGTTCAATGTCTGGTGAAGGTTCACACTCTGGCTCATAACGGTGCATTCCCACTATATCCTCACATGGTAGAATGGGCTAACTAGCTCTCTGGGGTCTCTTTTACAAGCGTATTAATCCCATTTATGAGGGCTCCATCTCCAATGTCTATGATTTAATCACCTCCTAATGGCTCCACCTCATACTACTTCTGGAGGCAGAAGTATTAACCTTAAGGGTTAAGATTTCAACATATAAACTGGTGGGGGAGGGAGGTGGGGATGGGACACAAACATTCAGACCACAGCAGACAACTTGCTCTTTTAATGTGGAATGGATGACCCTCCAATATTTCCCCAGAGCACCCCATGCTCTTCTATCAGGGAACTTATTAAAATCATGTAACATGTTTCTTGGTGACAAGAATTAGGTCTTTTGTTTCTGTAACACATGCCAGATACTTAGCCCGGTATCTGGCATGTGGCATGCCCAGTAAATGTTTGCTGAATAAGTGAATCTATGTCTCTTGCTTGCCGCTATTTGCCCACTGAATCCATGAAGTGAGTTTTCATAATGGATACCACTGAAAATTCAACCCTGAAAAGAATGTCTTCGGTTGTGGGCCCATAAAGTCTTAGAAATAGTGAAGCTCCTACTGTCAGTCCTTGAAAGGGAACAGGACAGCTGCTGTATGCCTTGAGAATGGGCAAAAGACAAGCGACAAAAAGAGCACCGAAGGCACCTACTTGTCCCTCTGGGCCAGGGCCTCAGTGTATTGGTCGGGCTTGACCTGGTCTCCTGGTACATCTTCCCAGTTTTTGGTGACTCCCTTCAGTTTCTCTGAGAGCTCCAGGTTACACTCCTTCTCTGCTTCCACCAGAGCTGCCATCCGCGCAGCTTCATTCTTTGCTAGCCTGGATTCCTGGAAAAAGAACAAAAACTGAGAGGCTGCAAAATTTCTACCTAGATTAGGAGCCCTAAGACCCAGGAACATTGATGAATTTCAGAGGGAAAGTAGAGACGGAAAAGGTGAATGCCAGAAGGCAGAGCAGTAGGAAGAGGAGTGTTAATAAAAGAGAACCCCTACCTATGGACTTTGGGAACTCCTCACCTCCTGCAGAAGCTGGATCTTATTCTCCAAGAGCTCATAAACATGCTCCGTCTCCTGCTGTCGCTCCTCAAACTGGCGTCGGAGCTCAGCTTCATTCTGACTGTTGAGATTCTCCACATCAGCCCTAAAACCACAGAGCATTAGCCAATCAGAGCCAGACATACAGTTTAGCAAGTGGAACCATTAAGGTTGTTCTTTGATAAATCTCCAAACTGCTTTCTGCAGTGACTGAACTGGTTTATATTTCCACCAACAGCGTGTAAGCATTCCCATTTCTATGCAGCCTCACCGGCATCTGTTGTTTTTAGACGTTTTAATAGTAGCCATTCTGACTGGTGTGAGATGGTATCTCATTGTGGTTTTGATTTATATTTCTCTGATGATTAGTGATGTGGAGCAATTTTTCATATATTTGGTGGGCATTTGTATGTCTTCTTTTGAAAAGTGTTTGATCATGCCTTTTGCTCATTTTTTTAATGGGGTTATTTGTTTTTCATTGTTCAATTGTTAAATTCCTTATGGATTCTGGATATTAGACCCTTTTCAGATGCTAGTTGCAAATTTTTTTAGATTCTACAGGTTGTCTGTTTACTCTGTTGATAGTTTCTTTTGCTGTGCAAAACTCTTTAGTTTAAATAAATCCGACTTGTCTCTTTTTGTTTTTGTTGCAATTGCTTTTGAGGACTTAGTCATAAATTCCTGAGGCCAATGTCCAGAATGGTGTTTCTTGGGTTTTCTTCTAGGATTCTTATAGTTTGAGGTCTTACATTTACATCTTTACTCCATCTTGAGTTAATTTTTATATGTGCTGAAAGGTAGGGGCCCAGTTTCATTCTTTTGCATATGGCTAGCCAGTTATCTATCCCACCACCATCGAATAGGGGAGTGCTTTCCCCACTGCTTATTTTTGTTGATTTTGTCGAAGATCAGATTGCTGTAGGTGTGTAGCTTTATTTTTGGGTTCTCTATTTGCTTCCATTGGTCTATGTGTCTTTTTTTTTTTCCAGCAACATGCTGTTTTGGCAACTGTAGCCTTGTAGTATAGTTTGAAGTTGGATAGTGTGATGCCTCTGGCTTTGATCTTGGTCATTTGATGAATGACATTGGTAGTTTGATAGGAATAGTGTTGAATCTGTAGATTACCTTCGGCAATATGGCCATTTTAATGATATTGATTCTTCCAATCCATGAGCATGGAATGTTTTTCCATTTGTTTGTGTCATCTATGATTTCTTTAAGCAGTGTTTCATAGTTCTCCTTGTAGAGATCTTTCACCTCCTTGGTTAGATGTATTCCAAGGTATTTTTTTTTTTTTTTAGCAGATATTGTAAATGGGATTGCATTCTTGATTTGGCTCTCAGCTTGAATGTTATTGGTGTGTAGAAATGCTACTGATTTTTTTTTTTTGAGACGGAGTCTGGCTCTGTCGCCCAGGCTGGAGTGCAGTGGCATGATCTCGGCTCACTGCAAGCTCCGCCTCCCGGGTTCACGCCATTCTCCTGCCTCAGCCTCCCAAGTAGCTGGGACTACAGGCGACTGCCACCACACCCGGCTAATTTTTTTTTTTCTATTTTTAGAAGAGACGGGGTTCACCGTGTTAGCCAGGATGGTTTCGATCTCCTGACCTCGTGATCCACCCACCTCGGCCTCCCAAAGTGCTGGGATTACAGGCGTGAGCCACCATGCCTGGTGAAATGCTACTGATTTTTGTACATTAATTTTTGTATTCTGAAACTTTATTGAAGTCTGAAAATATTTTTAATAATTTTAGTAATACTTGTCATTTAACACTAAGCTTTTAAAAAACTGTAAATTATAAAAGTAACCATTTTAGCAATATAAATGTATATAAAGAAAAATATCAAGTCTTCTCCCTATCACGGACTGTGATCTCACTCTTCCTCAGTATACTATAAATATCACTCAGCAACTTTTCCCCCTTACTTTAATCAAGGAATTCCCACTAGGACAATAATATAGAGCTAACTCATTCTTCAATAACTGCATAATAGTCCACAGTGTAGTAATACCAAAATTTATTCAATCAATGCCCTATTGATGGATAATTGTTTCTAGTTTTTTGCCATTACAACTAATGATGCAATAAACATCCTTATACATTTATCCTTTCACACTAACGCTTTTATTTATAAGAAACAGATTCCTTCTCGGGATTGTTTGATCAAAGGAAATCCTCCTTTTTTATTATAATAGGTAGCATCCCATACTAAAAATGTTGTCACAATTTACACTCACTGGTAGTGTATGAGAGTGCCCATTTTCCCCAAATGTTATCTCAGCTCTTGATGTTATTATAGGCTGACTGATACTTTTTGATAAAGCTTATTTGCATTTGTCTCTACTAAAAGTGGAAACATTCACTGTTTCAATTTAGTTGATTGCTGACTGATAGGAAGTTTGCAGTCTTAGGTCTGGTGGATTTACCAACTTATGACAAGGTCCATCTGACCTAGTAATAGAGAAAGAGCCCAAGGGAAACACAGCATATGAAAATCTATTGTTTCAGTTCCTGAATCAGATACAGGATTCAAATGCCACAGATAGGTTAAGGAATTTGGTTCCAAATCTATTGCTCTCAGATTAGTAAGACAGACTCTGGAAAGGACCAGAGCTTAAAATTACAACTTACCATGTTTTATCCAGATGCTGTTTCTTGTCCTGGAGTTCTCGTTTCAAGCTCTCCACTTCAACCTTCAGCTCAATGTTCTGAAAAACACACAGGCATTAATCGTTATTAACTGCCACAGACACTCTTTCCTGGATCCAGGTTCCTATTTGAGTCTTGCCTTGGTCCACAGCCTCTCACCTCATCTCTGCCCTCTTTGTGACCCTTGACATAATTAGGGATTTAGTTGGATCAGCAATCTAGTCAAGGAAGAATAAACTGTACAGCTTCAGGGTTTCCCCTGAGCTACTTATCAATTTTCCCAACCTATTTATCATTACCCCTGGATCATGAACACTGCTTAAGTCTATTCGTTCTCTAAACCATTGCAGGACAGAGTATATATTAAAATAAATTTTTCCTATCTAATACAGGTTGTTCCTGAAAACGAAATTGCTGGAATAATACTTTTAATAGAATTATAGTAATAGAACAATACTTTTAAATGTCTGGGGATTTAATTATTTAAAGAAATTTGGTTGTAAACATTTTTAAAAACAATGCTTTTATCATAAAATTGGAATTTTATAAATTAGGTTTGCTTAAGGTGAGAGGGGACTCTGATGGTAAAGTTATACAGGGAACAATTAATTTTTATTGAGGTGAGGATGCAACAAGTAAGATTTGGGGAAACAGAAATAAGGAAATAAAAACATCCCAAGTGTGTCTGGTGCAGGTTAAGTGGCTTAGTGTGTGGTAAGGAGTATAGAAAATAGTTTGCAACTAGTTTGTGAAAATCCTGCTAAGACAACTAGATAGGCCGGCCACGGTGGCTCACACCTATAATCCCAGCACTTTGGGAGGCCAAGGCAGGCAGATCACTCGAGGTCAGGCTTTAGAGACCAGCCTAACCAACATGGTGAAACCTCATCTCTGCTAAAAATACAAAAATTAGCTGGGCGTGGTGACATGCGCCTGTAATCCCAGCTACTTGGGAGGCTGAAACAGGAGAATCGCTTGAACCCAGGAGGTGGAGGTTGCAGTCAGCCAAGATCATGCTGCTGCACTCCAGCCTGGGTGACAGAGAGAGACTCTGTCTCAAAATAAAAAAAATTAAAAAAGTAAAAAACTGGATAATAATCAGTAGAAATCAAAGACTTATCAGGGAGCTTTAAGCAAAGTATTGGCATGATCGGGTCCATGTTGAAGAAGGAATTATGAAGAAGGTGGGTGGGTCAGGGGCAACTAACCAGAATAGGGAGGGGGACTGTCTAAGGACAAGAGGTACAGGGAGAAAGACTCAAAAGCCATTTCAGAGACAGAAGCCACAGGCCTTGATGACTTGTGAGATTCAGATTAGACTGGAGGGAGGACCAAAGACAATGCTGAAATTTCCAGCATGTCAGTGGGAATGCATTCTATTAACTAAAATAGGGGCAGGTTTGTAGGGGAACCTAAGGAGGTTTCTGCAAAATGTTAATTGAGGGATTACTTTATTTCAGCTTAAACGTTAGCATGCAAAGATGGATTAGTCCCTTCCCTGATGAAGTCCATAATACAGTATTAGGCAAGAAGAATGTTATTTAGTAAAGAAGTCTTTAGATCAGAGGTTGACAGAGAGACTGAAGGTAAAGTAGCTAAAGTATGAAAAGTAGTATTGTGGGTACTAGAACAGTAGGGAGGATTTTACTTTACTATCGCCATATAATAACCACCAACACCTAGACTTCTAGAAGTCCAAGGCAACATACAATAGCAGCATATTTTCTACCATACTTGTGAAGGCATTTCATAACCCATGTTTCCATGCAGGGTGGTCGAAACACAAATACTAATTGGGAAAAGTAGAAACCTAGTTTAGATATTTGAGAGTTACTTAGAATTAAAGAATTTTAGAGCTGGAAGGCAGTTGGACTCAAGGCATTTTAGATCATATTACTAGTATGTTTTTAGTGACATACTGAGAAGAATGTTTGTTCCCCTCATAAGTAGGTACCTTTTGACCAAGGTTAGAACATAGATTCAGATCCAGTGAGATGAAAATATCCTAATTTCTTCAAAAGAAGGAATGATAGCCCTGTCTTTTCAGGATATACTTTAAAGTTATTATTTTATGAACACTAAATAGCATTACCAGATTTAGCAAATAAAAATATAAGATATCTACTTCAATTTAAATTTCAGATAAACAACAAATAATTTGTTTCATTAGAAGTATATCCTTTGCAATATTTGAGACATAACTTAAACGCTAAAACATTGTTTGTTGTTTATCTGAAATTTAAATTGAATTGAGTACCCTGTATTTTATTCTGCAATACAAATACCAAAAGATTAACAAATGGAAACACGCATATTTCAATTTTGTATGAAGAACAAGTCTAAGATCTCTATATCAGTTCCATGGCCTGGCACTGCAAGAATAATTCATCTGTACCAATTGATGAATCAGTAAAATAGAAGATTTGCTAAACAGTTGCTATGTCCCCAGCTTTGTGGTCAATACTTAAAGGAATTCAAATGTCTTCATAAAAAATAGTCCCTAAGCTAGAGGCCCTTCATAGAGGTGAAGGAATATGCATTCAATTATGTGGGAAATGCAAAGAGGGAGCAACTTCCTAATGTGTAATAGGCAGATAATTGTATTTTCCTCATTCATAAACCTACCTGAGAGGATCGTGAGGCATAAATAAATCAATACATGTAAAGGACTTAGGACAGTGTTTCTAACACAGGTATAACTATAATTTTAATTATAATAATATTATTATCACCATCATCATCAAGAACAACAGCATTATCATTTGGAACAGCAGTTTGCTTTCCATGAGACCATAATGTTTCAAGTGGATTCAGTGTTCAGGATATGGTGCTGAGAAAGAGGACTCCTAAGTTTATTATTATTTCTGCCACCAATTGATTCACTTCTGTGACCTTGGGTAAAATTCTGCTAAGGCTTCTCCACCTGGAAAATGACAAAGAGTGGGCAAAAAGCTATTTAAATCTCATATGAAAGAAAATGGAATCTATAATTATGAAGTGTTATTATCAATGATATTCCTATGCCTGGCTAATTTATATAAATCAGAAAAGTCTGGATATGCTAAACCACCTCAGATAAGCCAAAACTGCTTGAGCAGATTTTTTAAAAATCTCATATCTAAAAATACGTGAGGTCTCAAATGACTGGAGCTATATGGATGTCCTCTGCCTAGTTCTTAGTCTCATGATGTGACATAGGGAATCTCTATCAGGTATAAACTGATCAACAGAAAGTTCCCTGAAAAGTCCCTTACTATTAATACTATTTTTGCATGAGGAATCTTTGAATATTCAAATAAAAATAAACAAACAACAGGGAAAGTGAGAGGCACTATGAAACCAACCTAAAGCCAGAAAGAATTAGGTTCGAATCCTGGCTCTATCACTTTCCTGCTAGGTGACCTTGGGCAGGTTAACTAATCACTATGAGCCTCAGTTTTCTTATAAGTATAGTGTGGTTGCTTTGCTTTTTAATGAAGATAAGTATTCACGAGGGATTCTGTGAGGATTGAATGAGACAATGTGCATGATAAGCATAGAACAATGCCTTGCACACAGCTGTGCAACAACCTTGATTCACTTTCCCTTCATGTCCAGGCTGACTAGTGCCAGTCAGAGACCCCAGCCTTACCAGGAAAAATACTTAGATCTAAAAGGAAGAAAAACAGAGGACATAAATTAGTACGTTCTATCTGTTCTAAATCCTACTGAAGAAAATGAAGTCAATGCTTTGACCAATTTGGCCAAAGATTCACAGATTTGAAGACCTCAGCATTTCTGTGTTCTAGTTCTCTTAGTTTAAAGACAAGGAAATTGAAATCCAGAAGGGTTACCTCCAAGGTAAAAGCCGTAACTGAAACCAACACTCCACTCTTGCTTTAGCCTTTTATCAGAGAGACCAGCTTAGCAAACACTGCCCAGTTTTGTCTGATTTTGTAGAATGTGGTAAATTATAGAATTAGAGAATGTGCTGCATTTAGTCTTGAAAGAATATATGGAGGCAGTAAGTACAGTGGTCAAGAGCATAGGCTCTGAAGGCGAGAAGGGGGCTTGACAAGTCACCTGCCCTCTCTAAGAGCCTCATTCACCTCATCTATCAAGGAGATAACAATGATACCAATCTACAAAGGATGTTAGGGAGACTAAATGAAATTATGCACAAAAATCACATCGCACAGTGCCTGGCATGCAGTCAGTATTCAGAAAATGATAACTATTATTAACTATAAAAACAATAACAATTTACCCTCTCTAACTAGGATAGCTGAAATCCAGAAGGGTTTTCAAGGTAAAAGCAATAATCTTACATCAAAGTCTAACCTTCTTGCACCTTCTTTCTGTAGAAAAATCATCATATAGCTTATCACATTTATTCATTCTCCATTACTAAATATTCATGTGTAAATTGTTAAATTCTTTTATAGCATCAGTAGATTCCAAATTAACTGCATTTGCTTATTTTATCACCAAGTCTTCTTGGCTCTTTGTCAAGATATCTAAGGAAATTTATGTACTCAAGAAAGGGGAGATGGGAAGAAAGCACTTCTCTTTCTTCATGCCTCCAAAGGAGTGTTCGCCCATCTAACTCAAGAAAAAGTTTCAATGATGAAGCTGAAATTAAACTTCTATTAGGTATTTCTTCCTTCTCCCCAGGACTGGAGTACATGAATAGTCTCATATCTGGTTTCCCCAACCTCAGTCCCTCTACTACTTAAATTTTTCCTAAAGCATAGCTCTGGTTATTTCATTCCGTCTGTTCAAAAAGCATTTAATATGTGATGCAGGTCCAGCTAAAGAAGAAAAAGGAAAGAAAGAAAAAACCTTTTAACGATTTTTAACTGTACAGCGATTAAATTATACACAACTGGCCTGATAATAGAGTCTATTCAAAATTTGACCTCAATCTACCTCTCCAGCTTTATCTTCCATTATTATCTGCTAGCCTAACTGGATTTCCCAAACATGCCCTATGCTTCTTGGTGCCACATCATTGTGTGCCCTTCAGCTTCATGGTTAAATGCTCCGTCCCCTGTGAAGCCTTACTTTATCTCTCCAAATTAAAAGTAATTTCTCATGATGACATTATGAGCTTTCAAATATTCTTTTCATACTGCAACATTGGCATCCCGTGTAAATGCTTCATATTTCTACACCTGTCTTATTTACCCTTTTAAATTGCAAACTCCCTAAGGACAGAGGAAATGATGGTGTGGCAGAACTACCCAGGTGCGCTGGTTATTAAGATACTGCCTCTCAGCGTTGTCATGCTGGGGCAGGAATTTCAGGATAAGTAAACCTAGGTTCACATACCTTTCTGCCACTTCCTAACTGGGGGACCTTTTTTGTGTAAATTACTTCAACTTTTACAACCTAATTTCCTCATTTATAAAATAGGGTTTGCAAAAATTACCTCAAAGTTTGTAGTGAGGAATAAATGAATTTATGTAAAGTACCCAGCACAATGTCTGATACAAATAACCGCAGCTCGGGCGCGGTGGCTCACGCCTGTAATCCCAGAACTTTGGGAGGCCGAGGCGGGCAGATCACGAGGTCGGGAGATCGAGACCATCCTGCCTAACACGGTGAAACCCCGTCTCTACTAAAAATACAAAAAATTAGCCGGGAGCGGTGGCGGGCTCCTGTAGTCCCAGCTACTTGAGAGGCTGAGGCAGGAGAATGGCGTGAACCCGGGAGGCGGAGCTTGCAGTGAGCCGAGATCGCGCCACTGCACTCCAGCCTGGGCGACAGAGTAAGACTCCGTCTCAAAAACAACAACAACAAAAACAAATAACCGGCAGCTGTGACTAATCTGAGGTCTCGCAGTGTCTCTCACCTCTTTGTGCAGTAAAAGCTTTGAAAGAGTGAACCAACAAGAGAACAAAGAAGGAATAGATGACAAGAGGCGGAAGTGGACTAACAATGATACGTTTGTTGAATGAGTGAGAAGGTAATAGATAATGCTGTGAGATTATGTGGAAAACTTTTTATCTGAAGTCTTTAAAAGACATTCTCACTTTTGGCTGGGCGCGGGGGCTCACACCTGTAATTCCAGCACTTTGGGAGGCTGAGGCGGGCGGATCACTTGAGGTCAGGAGTTCCAGACCAGCCTGGACAAACTGGTGAAACGCTGTCTCTACTAAAAATACAAAAATTAGCCAGGCGTGGTGGTGGGTGCCTGTAATCCCAGCTACTCGGGAGGCTAAGGCAGGATAATCGCTTGAACCCAGGAGGCAGAGGTTGCAGTGGGCCGAGATTGTGCCACTGTACTCCAGCCGGGGTGACAGAGCGAAACTCCATCTCGAAAAAATAAAAAATCTACTCCAGCTGGGGTGACAGAGAGAAACTCCACCTCAAAAAAATAAAAAATAAGGGCCGGGCACGGTGGCTCATGCCTGTAATCCCAGCACTTTGGGAGGCCGAGGCGGGCGGATCACGAGGTCAGGAAATGAGACCATCCTGGCTAACACGGTGAAACCCCGTCTCTACTAAAAATACAAAAAATTAGCCGGGTGTGGTGGCGGGCACCTGTAGTCCCAGCTACTCCGGAGGCTGAGGCAGGAGAACGGTGTGAACCCAGGAGTCGGAGCTTGCAATGCGCTGAGATCGCGCCACTGCACTCCAGCCCGGGTGACAGAGCGAGACTCCATCTCAAATAAGTAGATAAATAAAGACTTTCTCAGGTTTTTGTTTTGTTTTTGTTTTTTTGACAGTCTTGCTCTGTCGCCCAGGCTGGAGTACAGTGGCGCAATCTCGGCTCACTGCAAGCTCTGCCTCCTGGGTTCATGCCATTCTCCTGCCTCAGTCTCCGAGTAGCTGGGACTACAGGCGCCTGCCACCACGCCCGGATAATTTTTTTGTATTTTTTGTAGAGACAGGGTTTCACCGTGTTAGGCAGAATGGTCTCGATCTCCTGACCTCGTGATCCGCCCGCCTCGGCCTCCCAAAGTGTTGGGATTACAGGCGTGAGCCACCGCGCCTGGCTGACTTTTTCAGTTTTAAGCTAAGAATATTCTCTAATAGGTATATTATTGACCCATTGACAATAGAAGATTGAATACACTTTAGGATTCCAGCCTCCTCTTCTACTGCTCATGCTCTCCGTAAGAAGGGCTAAACATCCTACTCCTGTGCACTACATTGGAGCTCAGAAATACTGACTTAAAATCTCCAGATCTTAACACGGACTTTTAAAGGGAAGATTGAGTATGGACCCAGTATTAGATGGTATTATGGAATTATTTTTAAGCTTTTTGGGTACAATAATAGTATTGTGGTTATGTTTAAAAACAAAGCCTTCTCTGTGAGAGTTATATTCTGATATCTTCCCAAATAAAATTATATGATGTCAGAGAGTTGCTGTAAGGGGTGGAAGAGGACAAGATGGAGAACGAACAGTGCAGGGAGATCACTGAAAAGAACAGCAAAATGTTGGGAACCGTTAAAGCTGAGTGATGGGAACATGGCTCCCTGGTAAATGGGACACATACATCGGGAGGTACTATTTTCTTAGTCTTTGTTTATATTTGAAAATTTTCAAACTTACATAATGAGAAGTCAAAAGGGGCATTTTCATCCCAAAAAGGTAAATGTCCATATTCTTTTTTATTTTTTCATTTTCATTTCTGGAATTACCTAAACTCAGGTCATAGATAGCAATGAAAATTCGGCTCCCTGTGGCAGCTTCTTTCAGCCACCAGACTTACATAGACTCAGTGGTGCAGAGTCCGTTTCCCAATACTGAGGGATAAAGAAAATTAAGCCTGCCTCTAGGCACGTCTCAAACTTGGGAGACTCAGAATACAACAGAGTATGGGATACAGGGAGGAAAGAAGAGATGCAGAAATAAATTAAAAACAAGATTTGTTTAAAGAGGAACTGCAACTTCTTTAATTGGGCAGATTGAACCAATAAAAGCACAGTTCTCTCCCTTCACCTGTTATCCTTTAGTCTCTTCAACTTTCACATTGCTTCACTCACTCTCTTCCTCTCCCTTTCACCTGCTCACCTTACCCAACTTGAACTGTGCCCTCTGATCTGACACAGGATGACAATGACATCAGTCATTACCTAGCAGCCATTTTTTCTGATAACTAGAGTTCTGAGTGATGATAGTTCATGGTGAGATAATTTCCAAGACCTCGCTAGCCATTGGTGGTACTACTCTCCATTAAAGACAAGGGCATTTGCTGATTGAGAAATCAATCATACAAGTGTCCTTGGAGGCCACCAAGGCTTTGCCTGAACTGTTCTCAGCCTATGATGGTTTCTCTTTCTAAACCTGTTCTTCTAGGTTCAGCTCAAACATCCTCTCCTATAGAAACCTTTCCCCAACCTCCCAGTCAGAACTAATGATTTCTTTTCACTTCAACTGTACTTAGTTTATAATTTATATGACTATAATTTAATAACTGAGACTCTTCTGATAGTACAAACAGGTGCTATCATAATTACCTCTGGGCAACAGGCAAAAATCAAGATTGTCCTTAGTAAACCAGGATTCATACCAGGTCATCTGATGTTTAGTATAGCACTCACCCGACTCTGCCTTACATTGCTTATTTAAAATGTCTGCCTCCCCTTCTAGGTTTTATAAAAGTTCTTGGCTCACAGTAACTCTTAGTATAAGTTTCTGAAATAAACACTTTGTTATCACTTTTGAATTGATGGCTTACATTTTTGTTTTGGCATTTAACTTCACATTTGTGCATTCATGTGTATGCATTTCAACTCATCTGCAAGCTTATATCCCTCAAAGTTTGCTGCTGGGCTAAGAGCAGCCACTCAAAAAATAATAATAGGCCAGGCGCAGTGGCTCACGCCTGTAATCCCAGCGCTTTGGGAAGCTGAGGCTGGTGGATCACTTGAGGTCAGGAGTTCGAGACCAGCCTGGCCAACATGATGAAACCTCATCTCTACTAAAAATACATAAATTAGCCGGGCGTGGTGGTGGGAGCCCAGCTACTCAGGGCTCCTCAGCTACTCAGCTATTCAGCTACTCAGGAGGCTGAGGCAGGAGAATTGCTTGAACCCAGGAGGCGGAGGTTTCGGTGAGCGAAGATTGCGCCACTGCACTCCAGCCTGGGCAAGAGTGAGATTCCATCTCAAATAAATAAATAAATAAAAACCAAAAAAAAAATAAATAGTTTTTAAAAAATCTTGACAGCATACCAGCATACATTCATTGATAAAGTCGACAAGAAAGTATTGGAGATTAAAGATTGCCAAAACCTAAGTGCTTTTCTTGGCATCATTGTCCTTGACCTCAAGGAGTTCTCAGTGTAATCAGAGTTGTGTTAAGGTCAGTGAGTGAAGGAAATGGGTACTGCACCTTTGCAAGATAGTAGGAAGCAAGCCAGAGAAGAGCTGGCATTCCACAAAAGAGTCTTTATTTGGGACAAAAATCAATATGACCAAATCCCATCCTAATCAATTCTGTAAACTAAAGGAATTTTTAAAAAATAATTTAGCAGGAGGAAGAGTTTCAAAATCTTGTAGGGAAACCCTGATGTAACTCCTGATTATTCACCCAAAGTGAAAAGTAACTATTAGTGAATGGGTTTTATTTTAAAACCTTTCATTTTTAGAATCTTATCTCTTCTAGGAAAAGTGTAGTACATACGAATTTTTTGTATGCAGAGTGAATTTTTCTCCAGGCTTCTCTGACATCAATGGGGCAAGGTCATAACTCTATAAAACAGGGAGAAGCACTGAGCATTTTCAGAAAGGACTCTATCTGTCTTGACCAAAAGACAAAGGACTGGTCATTGCAGGATCCCCAGAAATACATTTTAGTAGTTTCCAAGTGAATTCTTTTGTAAATGGAGTTTCTCTCCATTCATAAGTATTAGAGCAAAAATGAAGCCTTAGTGGGTCTAGATATCTGGCTAACATTAACTCCCTGTGTGACCTTAAACTGGTCGTCCCCAAAGCTTTATGCTTTTATACAATTAACTTGATTTACAGCCTCTCCTTCTTGCCCATAAGAATGATAATACCACCTGCATTACTCATCTTTTACGCTTATGTGAGACACCTAGCCACCTATCAGAAGGTATTCAAATGCAAAGCATTAAGTTTTTACACTTTAATGTGAAGTGGAAGAAAGTCTTGATTCAAATGCACAATCTCTACCTTTCTACTGATTCCACATTTGCTGTCTTTTACTAGTGCAGTTAAGTCCCAAATTAGAAACATAAGTCGCCCCAACATGTGACAAATGTCCTTTGTTGCCAGAGAAAGGACAGTGGGGCTGTGTCCTCAGCCTTAGCAACCAGAAGATTCTGCAAGACCAGGACATTCTCCTGCCAGAGCCTGCTTTAGTGTCCAGTCCTGTTCTCCAAAGAGATGGAAAAAACCAAGTGGAAAAGTTTCAGTTTATTCAATATAAGGCTCCACATTCAAATGGCAAAACTGCTCTGTTCAGGTCATATTTCAAGCCCAACCTATGTCAGTCCTTAGTAAAAGCTTCAAAGCAATACCAGTCCTTTCCCAGCCTGGTTTACCTTGATTAGACAAACACAGACACCCATGTCTGAGTAAGCACTGAGACCATGGATGAGTGCTAAGGAGATTAGGTGTTTGGATAGACACAGCTAGGGTGTGTGTGTGTGTGTGTGTGTGTGTGTGTGTGTGTAGAGAGAGAGAGACAGAGGCAAAGACAGAGACAGTGCTCATTGGGCAGAGGACAGAGTAGCTGAGATAGTATCATTTGTTTATTCATTTGCTTTTTCATAAAATACTTAGTAAGCACCTACTTGGTATGTGCCAACACTTTAATAGGTACTAGAAAGAGCAAAACAGACAGAATCACAGTCTTCAGAGAATTTACAGCCTATGGGGTTAATTAAACCAATGATTATCATAGCATGTAACAAACAAAAGAGAACCGAGAATCAGCTGTATGGAAATGCACACAGGTGGCAGATATAAATAGCAGCAGATACACGAATCAGTGCGGGTCCATCATATAACTCCTAGCTTTAGTCTCTAAACTTAGGCTCCCACTCAACTCAACTCCTACTCTAACTCAAGATATACCATACCTTGGTTTGCTCTTTCTCTAAGCATCGCTGTTCTAGTCTTCTAAGGAGCAGGAATATAAATCTACATCTATGTGAAACTACAGCACCCCCAAGGGAAAATAAAGAATCCAGTGCTATTCTAGTAATTTTAGGGCAGTAGTACAGTACAATGCAAAGTATAGGCTTTTGAACTAAATTGGCCTGGGTTCAAATATGAGCCCTCTCACATTCTATTAGGTTGAACCATATAAAAATGGAGATATTCAATCATTTTTTTACAGTTTCACGTAGTTCATCTCTGTATTCTAGAGGTAAATCATTTTAACCTAAGTTTCATTTCCTTCTGTTGTTAGTTTTTTTAATGGTGCTAATACCCCTACCTTTCAGGGTTGTAAATGAAAAGATGTTAAAAAAAAATACCTGACATATAGTGGGTGTTCAATAAATGTTAGTTTTCCCAAAGATAGTCAGATGCATGAATCATAATAAGAGGTATTTCTGGTCAACACTAAGCTTAAGAATCCAAGAAAAGATATATCAAAATGAGACATCTTTGGGTTTGGATAGTGGGGGAGGCTGTATATACACAGGTATGTATGTAGGGGCAGGGAGTAAATGGGAAATCTCTGGCTCTTCTGCTTAACTTTGCCGTGAGCTTAAAACTGCTCTAAAAAACAAAATCTGACCAGGCCTGGTGGCTCACACTTGTAATCCTAGCACTTTGGGGGGCTGAAGCAGAAGGATCCCTCGAGCCCAGGAGTTTGACACCAGCCCGGGCAACATAGAAAGACCCTATCTCATTTTAAAAAACTAAAAAATAAAAAATAAAATAAAAAACAAAATCCATTTTTTTAAACAAAAAGAAAAATGAGGGAAAATGAGGTGTTCTGCTTGTTTTATTTAGACTCTGAGCACAGAGTTCCCAAGATACATTCTGCTGTGGTATTCACACTGATCTCCAATTAAACCCTTCTCAGTGTGTCATGAGCTATTCATTCCCTATAGTCACTCTGTTAGAATAGAATCTTGGTCGTGTCCCAGAGGCCTCTGTTGATGTGGCCCAACTGAGCTGGCCAGTGAGAAAACATACACATAAATACCCATGATCTCAGCGATTCTCTCCCCTCCCCAGGACATTCCTTAGCAGAACCAATCTCTCTCACTCGGCTGGAGCCTCTCTGTTCACAGATAGGCCTGGCTGGGCTTAATTTAGCAAAGGGCAGGCCCCCTGCAAAAGCCAGGGGTAAGTCTGGAGCCCCTGTAATGCCCCAGGACACCTTGTGTGGAGACAGGAGCCCAGCCCTGCCGAAGGAGCTAAAGGGGATGTTCAGAATGTTTGTTTTTCTCAGCTATTTAGGAACTGGAGCTCACAGGAACCACCCTTTACTTCCTTAACTTCTCACATAAATGTTTTCTTTGGGCAGCAGCTATAGAACTGGAAACTAAGTAAAACCTTACTTTGGAATATAAAAACTATATTAATTTTTCTATAGATAAATTGTTGCATAGGAAACTTGCTAAATATTTTTAAATTATCTGTAACATCTAACATAATCTGACATTTATCCCCAAATTCAGCTTTCAATTCTGGATTGAAACATACTTTGATCTGTTCTCTAAAAAGGACAAAGCCAGTCACTGGTGTTTTGCAAAGTCTGGGACCATTTTTCCTACACAGAATCTCACACAATAAACAGACAAGATATTAGAAACTAAGTTCTAATATCTAGCAGTCACTCCTTCCCTGGAAGCCTGGCTGTGTCCTGAAGCCAGGTCCTATGATCAGGCAACTCTTCTGAAGCTCTGCTTCCACTAGAGACAGCACTTACCCTGTAGACTCTACAGATGTACCATCCAGGATGGCAGGCATGAGCCACATGTGGCTACTGAACCCTTGAGATGTGACTAGTCCAAATCGAAATGTGCTGTAAGGATTTCAGACTTAGCACGCACAGGAGTTCAAAGACTAACTACAACAAAAGAATGTGACATCTCATTAATAATTTTAAAATGTTGATTTCATGTTGAAATGATAATGTTTTAAATGTATTATTAACATTAATTTCACATATTTCTTTTTACTTTTTTTAATGTGGCCATCAGAAAAATTTAAATTACATGTATGGCTTATATTTACGTTGGACAGCACTGTTCTATAAGATGTTAGGAAAAAGATGTATTTGCTTTAAGTACTTTGCATTAAGACATAGTCTGACCTGAATCACAGTTAATCCTGTGGTCTCATAGCATCTTGGAGAGTTTTGTGGGGTGCTGGCATCCATCAACCAACAAAATACCAAAATGACTCTAGGTAATTATAAGTGAAGCAAAACCACTGGGCAGGGATGATAACAGGCACTGTACTTAACAGGAGTCAGCGTATCACAATGCTGCTCGGACTATGTTCAGACACTAAACTCTAAGTGTCATGAGGGCAGGGACTCCCTCTATCTTCTCACCACTGTAGCATTGCTAGCACAATGCCCACACACAGAAGATAATGATATATTTATCAAACAAATGGATGCTGTTCAAAATAAAAATATAGCTCTCTTGAAAAACAATTCTCCCTGCAAGAACTTCCTCTTCTTACTGTTTCTTTTCTCAATTTTTTTGCTTCCTACTTCCACCAACCCCTCTTGCAGAGACTGCTCCATTCCAGTAAAAGGTGAAGGTTCAACTGGAGACCTCCAAAGTCGGCTGGGCCTAGGGTTTGGGTAGGCAATTGCTGGAAGAGCACAGAGAGGGAAAGATTTCAGGCAGTGGTGATAAGAAAAGGCCCACCTGGGTCAGGTGTGGTGGCTCACGCCTGTAATCCCAGCACTTTGGGAGGCCGAGGTGGGCGGATCACGAGGTCAGGAGTTCGAGACCAGCTTGGTCAACATGGTGAAACCCCGTCTCTACTAAAGATACAAAAAAATTAGCCAGGTGTGGTGGTGTGTGCCTGTAATCCCAGCTACTTGGGAGGCTGAGGCAGGAGGATCGCTTGAACCCAGGAGGCAGAGGTTGTAGTGAGCCGAGATTGCACCACTGCACTCCAGCCTGGGCAACAGGGACATACTCTGTCTCAAACAAACAAACAAACAAACAAACAAACAAAAAAACCAGAAGAAAGCACTGGCAGTCTCTTACCGCCATATCAATCCATCTACACATCTCGGGTTACATTCTCTGTCTTTCCACTTATAACCATAGATCAACTATCCATGCTCCTATCTAAAGCCAAACCTTCCACTTATGTATTAATTAAGTCCTATTCCCCCTACCTCTCAAAGGCAACACCTAGAAGGTCTCCCCTGCTTCTCTTTATCAATATTTCACTTTCTAATGGAAAATTCTGTTGGCATACGAACATGCTATTATTCATTTATCTTTCTAGAAATCCCCTATGGACCTCATACCCTTATCAGGTATGCCCCATTCCTTTGCTCTCCTTTGAAACAAAACTCAAAGTAATTATTCATCCTCATTGACTCCAATTCTTCTCCTCACATTGTTTCTTAAACCCACTGCAAGCAGGCTTTTGTCTTCACCACTCCACCAGAATTACTTTAATCAAGATCACTAATGACATCCATGTTGTTAAATCCAAAGGTCAATTCTTTTTTGAGACAGAGTCTTGCTCTGTTGCCCAGGCTGGAGTGCAGTGGTGCAATCTCGGCTCACTGCAACCTCCGCCTCCCGGGTTCAAGTGATTCTCTTGCCTCAGCCTCCTGAGTAGCTGGGATTACAGGCATGCGCCACCATGTCCAGCTAATTTTTGTATTTTCAGTAGAGACCGGGTTTCACCATGTTGGTCAGGCTGGTCTCAAACTCCTGACCTCAAGTGATTGGCCCACCTTGGCCTCCCAAAGTGCTGGGATTACAGGCGTGAGCCACCACGTCTGGCGGGCCAAAGGTCAATTCTTAATCATCGTATTACTCAAGCTCTCAGCAGGATTTCAAAAGGTGGATCCTGTCCTCTTCACTACACACATTCTTCATTTGGCTTCCGGGACTCCAGACTTTTTCTCCTACTTCACTGGTTTGTACCTTCTCTATCTTCCTTTTCTGATTCTTCCTCTTTTCTCCAAATTACTAATGTTGGAGCTATACAGGACCAGTCTCTGGTCCTTTTCTCTTCCACCTGGAAAGGTCTAACTCCAACTCCTTTGGTGATCTCCTATGGTTTCATGGCTTTAAATATTTAAATTTAATATTTAATGATCTATTTGCTGATAACTCCCAAATTTATGTCTCTAGCCCTACTCTATTTCCTGAACTTTAGACTTACGTATTCAACTGCTTACTTAATACTGCCACATAAAATGTCTAGCAAATAGCTTACACACCAAATTTCCAAAACTGAACCCCTACTCTCCACCTTCAAATCTGCTCCATCCGTAGCCTTCCCTATCTCAGTTATGGCAACTCCATCCTTCCAGTTGCTTACTCCAAAAACCCTGGAATTTTCCTTGATTCCTTTATTTCTCTCCCATTCTGTATCCAATCCATTGGCAAAATCCTTTTAGATTTGCTACCTTCACCACTTGTTCCCACATGCATCACTATTACCTAAGTCTGATCACTATCAGCCCCTACATACATTACTGCAGTGTCTTCCTAAGAGTCCTCCTGGTGTCTACTTTTGTTCTACAGCCTATTTGCAATACTGTAACCAGATTTATCATTTCAACAAGTCAGACAGGACTGGCATTTGTTAGACCCCTCCTCTGCTCAAAACCCTTCAATAGGTTCCCATGTCACTCTGAGTAAAAGCTGAAGTCTTTAAAATCATCTACAGGGACTTACTACACAAGCCCCATACCCTCTGGGGCCTCATCTTCCAGCATGCTTAATCTTGATTATGCTGCATCAGCCACAGTGGCTTTCCTGATGTTTCTCTGCCTGGAATATTCTTCCCCCAGTTCTCTGTTTGGCCAACTTCGTCATCTCCTTCAAGTTGCTATTTGAAAATTATTTTCTATGGCATAGCCACTTTGAAAAATAGTTAGACAGTATCTATTCAGAAAATAGGCAGAAATACCGACTGGGCATCCCTAATCTAAAAATTCAAAATCCAGCATGTTCCAAAATCCAAAACTTTTTGAGGACCAACATGATACCTCAGGTGGAAAGCTCCATACCTGACCTCATGAAAGGTTGCAGCAAAAATGCAGGCACAACACCCAGTTTATTCAGCATCCCCAAGAGAAAAACATAATTACCTTCAGGCTATGTGTACAAGGTGTATATGAAACATAAATAAATTTCATGTTTAGACTTGGGTCCCATCCCCAAGATATCTCATTATGTATATGCAAATATTTCAAAATCTGAACACATCTGAAAATCTTCTGGTTCAAGCATTTCAGATAAGAGATATTTAATCTATATATACTTATTATATAACCTAACAGTTCCACTACTGGGCATTTACCCAAAAGAAATAAAACAAAGACTTGTTACATGAATATTCATAGCAGCTTAATCCATAATAGCCTGTTACTGAACACAAATCATACATTCATCAACAAATGAATGAATAAACAAATTGTATTATATTCATACAATGGAATACTACTCAGCAATAAAAATGAATGTACTACTGATACAAATAGCATGGATGAAACTCAAAATCATTATTCTAAGAGCCAGATACTATAGTCTGTATTTTATGATTCACTTTCAATGAAATTCTACAATAGACAGAACTATCTATCAACAGAAAGCAGATCAGTGGTTTTCTGCAGCCAGAGGTATGAAAGGTTTGAAACACGTGGCACCAGTAGGACATATGGAAACTTTTTTGGTGTGATGGAAGTATTTTTTTATCTTGATTGTGTGGTGTTTGTTATACAGTGGTATACATTTGTTAAAATTTATCTAACTGCATACTTAATAAAGTTTATTTAAACAAAACATGAAAGGAAAAACTAAAATGACATAGCAAGTGGCAATGCAAACTGCCAAGTGCAAAGAATGAGTAAAGAGCTTGGTTGGCATGGAGACTACCAGTCTAGGATGCTTTTATTGCCTCAGGTCAGCTTGGAAGGCCATAAATGCTGTGAAGGTAAACCTAGAAACAAATCTTCCTGCACTGGTAACTGTCATGTTTATTTGCTTCCCTTTCCATCCCATCCTTTCAAAAAAAAAAAGTAAAAGGTAGTGTGGTCCACAAACTACCGTGTGGCTCCCCATGATCCCCGCCTCTTGGTGTTTGTGCCCTTGTGTAACTCCTTCTCTTTGGGTATGAGCAGGCCCTGCGACTTATTTCTAACCAATAGAATATGGCAAAGGTGAAGGAATGTCACTCCTGTGATTATATTAAATTTCAAGGCTCTCTTGCTTGCAGATTTGCTCTAGAGCCTCTCCTTGCTGACTTGAAGTGGCCATATGGGGAAAGCTCACATGGCAAGGAACACTAGGTGACTTCAAGGAACCCTGGACAGCCTCTAGCCAACCTCTGGCAAGAAGTCAAGGCCCTCAGTCCTACTGCTACAAAGAAATGGATTCTGTTGACAGCCCAAGTGAGCTCTGAGTCAGATTCCTCAGTCAAGCCTCTAGAGGAGAATGCAGCCTGGCCAATACCTTGGCTGTAGCCTAGGGAGACCCTAAGCAGACAACCCAGCTAAGCGGTGCCTGGATTCCTGACCCACACACACTGTGAGATAATAAATGTGTTGGGGGGTGAAGGAGGGATGGGGGTAGGGGTGGCTGTGCATTTGGGTATGGAAGGGTGTTTTAAATCGCTTTCTAAACACGGCCTCTCCTGGCCACTCCTTAATACTGCAACCTGCTCTCCACTCCTGTAATTTTTTTTCAACATTTGTTTTAGGTTCAGGGGGTACATGTGCAGGTTTGTTACATGGGTAACTTGCATGTTGCGGAGGTTTGGTGTATGAATGAACCCATCACGCAGGTAGTAAGTATAGTACCCAATAGTTAGCTTTTCAACCCTCGCCCCCCTTCTACCTTCCACTGGGGTAGGCCCCAGTGCTTATTGTTCCCATCTTTGTGTCCATGTCTCAAAGTTTTGCTCTCACTTATAAGTGAGAACATGCAGTATTTGGTTTTCTGTGCCTGTGTTAATTAGCTTATGATAATGGCCTCCAGCTGCATCTCTTTTGCTGCAGAAGACATGATTTCATTCTTTTAATGGATGCATAGTATTCCGTGCTTTATATGTACCGTATTTTTCCTCCCCAGTCTACTGTTGATGTGTATCTAGGTTGATTCCATGCCTTTGCTATTGTGGATAGTGCTGCAGTGAACATGTAAGTGCATGTGTCTTTTTGGTAGAACAATTTATTTTCCTTTGGGTATATATCCAGTAATGGGATTCCTGGGTCAAATGGTAGTTCTCTTTTAAATTCTTTGAGAAATCACCAAACTGCTTTCCGCAGTGACTGAACTAATTTACCTTCTCACCAACAGCGTATAAGCACTTTTCTCTACAACCTTGCCAACACCTTATTTTTTGTTTTTCACAGTAGGCATTCTGACTGGTGTGCAATGGTGTCTCATTGTGGTTTTGACTTGCATTTCTCTAATGATCAGTGATATTGAGCATGAGAATTTTTTCAAATATTTGTTGGCCCCATGTATGTCTTCCGTTCATGTCCTTTGCCCATTTTTTAGTTGGGACAAGGTCTCGATCTGTTGCCCAGGAGTGCAGTCTGATCACTGGAGTTCAGTGATACAAACACAGCTCACTGCAGCCTTGACCTCCTAGGCTCTAGCAATCCTTCCACCACTGCCTCCCAAAGTGCTGGAGTTTCAGATTTGAGCCACCACACCTTTGCTCATTTTTGAAGTGGGGCAAGACCCCCACTTCGTAGGACTATTACTTGATTGAGATTAAATATGTGTAAAATGCATAACATGGTGCCTGGCTTATAGTAAACACTAAATGGATTTCTTCTTCCATAGGATTTAAATAGGGAGCAATTTTTTTTCTATCAAGAGCTGATCAGAAATAAATGGGAAGCATTTAAATGCTCTCCTTCCCCTGCCCCAAGAGGACTTTCACTTTCCAACATTCTACATACTTTATTTATAATATTTATTGTTTATTTTCTGTCTACTCATGACAGACTATAAGTTCTATGAGGATGGGAATGCCTGTATGTGCTTATTATATGACCTAACAGTTCCACTACTGGGTATTTACCCGAAAGAAATAAAACAAAGACTTATACATGAATATATTGATATATACTCCAGTCACCTCCAATAGAAACTAGAACACAGTAGGGGCTTAGTACATATTTTTAAATGAATGAAGACTAATGTTTAGTTTAAACTAGGATTGACCTATTCTTATCTTCGGCAGAGACAGAGAATAACTAATTACCACTTGTCACATATTGAGACTTCAGTACCTAAAAGGCATTATTAGGTCACCTGTAAGTCTGTTTTCCCCCAAAGTAAAAATCCCAATTCCATTGCCCTTTTCACATAAGCCTCATTTTCTAACCTTTTTAGTTTGGTTTAACGAATTTCCTATTTCCTCTGAATTCTGGAGTTCCAAACCAGACTCAGCACAAGCCTAACAGGGCAACCTATACAGATAAGGACAGCCCAGGCACATTGCACACGGCAAGTTGCACCTGTTTTAAGAGTAAAAATGAGGTCAATGCCACCTTGTACTGCAGGTACCTCAATGAGACAATGCCACCCCTTCCTGCCACAATCTTGGCAAAAGTCACTACGAAAGTAAATATCATTTTACTAGAGTCCTTTCTTTCTCTCCAGTGAATAACACAATGTAGTTATTCACTGGAAAACATCATTTGCATTTGAAAGAGTTACTAACTAAATTCTAAAGAATGTACCAAAGCCTTGCTTAACTGTAGAATGAGGCCACACGGCTGCTGGGATACCAGGTACTCTCCCTGAGCCTATTGATGGCAAATTTCATCCTGTGAAAAATGGGAACAAGACACCCACTTCATAGGACTATTATATGGTTGAAATTAAATATGTGTAAAATGCATAACATGGTGCCTGGCACACAGTAAACACAAAACAGATTTCTTCCTCTATAGCATTTAAATGGGAAGTATTTAGCGTTTACTTGCCATGTGCATGAGTGAATTTGGGAAAAGTGGGGGGAGGATATGGGGCAAAGAAGGACAGAAAGGGCCTAAGAGTAGGAAGAATTTAATACCAGAAGATGGGACAAGACCTGGGTCTAGAAACCTCTTCTGCAGATAAAGTAGCTGCAAATTATAGGGAAGGAGTCCTCAGGCTGCTTTCCTTATAACCATTTATTTTCCTGCACCTTATATCAAGAACGTTAGGCACTGGTTAAGACCCTGTCCCCTTGCAGCAGTAGAGAAAACAGGAGGAAGGAGACGGGAGGTAGAAATTTGGAAGCTAGCAGTTGAAGGCCAACTCAGAAAGCGTCAGGTGGAATTCCATTCCTAATTGACATCACCATCCTCTAACTGCAGCAATTCTCTCCAGCCCTTTTATGTGCTCCCTACAGAACCAAGCTTCCACACAGCTGAAGGAACCTGTCTGCTCTCACCCCAGCTTCACAGAAGATGGCAGGGACTGGTTATTACTAACCTGCCTCCTAGTCTTCTGAGGCTCCAAATGGTTTTGTCAGCAAGCTGAGCTTCCCCACAATCCCACAGACTAGAAGGGGTTGGAAAGAACAAGCCTTAGAACAATACTGCTCCCCACCTCTAAGGGATCTGCTCCTCTGAGTCCCAGAAGTTCACCGCCTTCATTTGATTTCTGCTACAGCAAGACTCTGGGAATCCAGCTCTGGACCCAGCACTTCCTGATTTTTGAAGTAGAGAGTTGACAACCCTGTTGTCATCAATACAACTGTGCTAGGTGGGTGGGAAAGGAAAATATCTTGGGCTCCCAAAATCACTAAGCTAAAAGGAAAACTCAGGATCATGGTGGATGGAAGTCAGGACTAGATTGCAGCTCCGACTCGGATGGACAGAGAAGCATGTGGAGGCTCATATCATGAATTTTTGCTCCAGAACGACTGGAGGAATAAATTACAAAACCTGAGAGGACCCACAGGCCCCCTGAAGGAAGCAGATGGCTCCTGCAGGACCCAGGAGACACACCAAATACTGTGTTAGTATTTACTTATAGAAATGCAAAATGGTCTGGAAAGTCTCAGCCATAGAATCAAACAAGTAGAAGAAAGAAATTCAGAGCTCGAACACAAAGTCTTCAATTTGACCCAATCCAACCAAGACAAAGAAAAACAAATAAGAAAATATGAACAAAGCCTCCAAAAACTCTGGGATTATGTTAAATGACCAAACCTAAGAATAATTGGCATTGCTGAGGAAGAAGAGAAATCTAAAAGTTTGAAAAACATATTTGGGGGAATAATTGAGGAAAATTTCCCCAACCTTGCTAGAGACCTAAACAAATACAAGAAGCACAAAGAACACCTGGGAAATTTATTGCAAAGAGATCGTCACCTAGGCACATTGTCATCAGGTTATCTAAAGTTAAGACAAAAGAAAGAATCTTAAGAGCTGTGAGACAAAAGAACCCAGTAACCTATGAAGGAAAACCTGTCAGATTAACAGCAGATTTCTCAGCAGGAATCCTACAAGCCAGAAGGGATTGGGCCCCTATCTTCAGCATCCTAAAACAAAACAATTATTAGCCGAGAATTTTGTATCCAGTGAAACTAAGCTTCATATACGAAGAGAAGATACAGTATTTTTCAGACAAACAAATGCTGAGAGAATTTGCCACTACCATGCCAGCGCTACAAGAATTGCTAAAAGAAGCTTCAAATCTTGAAACAAAACCTGGAAACACATCAAAACAGAACCTCTTTAAAATATAAATCTCACAGGACCTATAAAACAAAAATACAATTCAAAAAAACAAAAACAAAACCCAAAAAACCAAGGTATACAGGCAACAAAAAGCACAATGAACGGAATGGTACCTCACATCCCAATACTAACATTGAATGTAAATGGCCGAAATGCGCCACTTAAAAGATACAGAATTGCAGAATGGATAAGAATTAACCGACCAACTATCTGCTGCCTTTAAGAGACTCACCTAACACATAAGAGACTTATCTGACACATAAGGACTCACATAAACTTAAGGTAAAGGGGTGGAAAAAGACATTTCATGCAAATGGACACCAAAAGCAAAAGCAAGCAGAAGTAACTATTGTTTTTTTGTTTTTTTTGGTTTTTTTGAGATGGAGTTTCACTCTTGTAGTCCAGGCTGGAGTGCAATGGCGCGATCTTGGCACACTGCAACCTCCGCCTCCCAGGTTCAAGCAATTCTCCTGTGTCAGCTTCCCAAGTAGCTGGAACTACAGGTGTGCACCACCATGCCCAGCTAATTTTTGTATTTTTAGTACAGATAGGTTTAGTACAGGCAGGGGTGATCTGCCTGCCTTGGCCTCCCAAAGTGCTAGGATTACAGGCATAAGCCACCGTGCCTGGCCCAGCAGTAGTTATTCTTATATCAGACAAAACAAACTTTAAAGAAATTGCAGTTAAAAAAGACAAAGAGCGGCATTATATAATGATAAAAGGCCTTGTCCAACAGGAAAATATCACAATCCTAAACATATATGCACCTAACACTGGAGCTCCCAAATTTATAAAACCATCACTAATAGACCTAAGAAATGAGATAGACAGTAACACAATAATAGTGGGGGACTTCAATATGTCACTGACAGCACTAGACAGGCCAATGAGACAGAAAGTCAACAAAGAAACAATGGATTTAAACTATACCCTGGAACACATGGACTTAACACATATATACAGAACATTCCATCCAACAACTGCAGAATATACATTCTATTCAACAGTGCATGGAACTTTCTCCAAGATAGACCACATGGTAGGCCACAAAACAAGCCGCAATAAATTTAAGAAAATTGAAATTTTATCAAGCACTCTCTCAGACCACAGTGGAATAAAACTGGAAATCAACTCCAAAAGGAGCTTTCAAAACCATGCAAATACATGGAAATTAACCTGCTCCTGAATGATCATGAAATCGAGATGGAAATTAAAAAAATCTTCAAATTGAACAAAAATAGTGATACAACCTATCAAAACTTCTGGAATACAGCAAAGTCAGTGCTAAAAGGGAAGTTCATATTCCTAAACACCTACATCAAAAAGTCTAAAAGAGCACAAACAGACAATCAAAGGTCACACTTCAAGGAACTAGAGAAACAAGAACAAACCAAACCCAAACCAGCAGAAGAAAGGAAATAACCAAGATCAGAGCAGAACTAAATGAAACTGAAACAAACAAACAAAAAATACAAAAGATAAATGAAATGAAAACCTGGTTCTTTGAAAAGATAAATAAAGCTGCCGGGCGTGGTGGCTCACGCCTGTAATCCCAGCACTTTGGGAGGCCAAGGTGGGCGGATCACAAGGTCAGGAGATCGAGACCATTCTGGCTAACATGGTGAAGCCCCGTCTCTACTAAAAATACAAAAAAGGTGTAAGGAAGGGATCCAGTTTCAGCTTTCTACATATGGCTAGCCAGTTTTCCCAGCACCATTTATTAAATAGGGAATCCTTTCCCCATTGCTTGTTTTTCTCAGGTTTGTCAAAGATCAGATAGTTGTAGATATGCGGCATTATTTATAGGTGGGAATTGAACAATGAGAACACATGGACACAGGAAGGGGAACATCACACTCTAGGGACTGTTGTGGGGTGGGGGGAGGGGGGAGGGATAGCATTAGGAGATATACCTAATGCTAAATGACGAGTTAATGGGTGCAGCACACCAGCATGGCACATGTATACATATGTAGCTAACCTGCACGTTGTGCACATGTACCCTAAAACTTAAAGTATAATAATAATAAAATAAAATAAATAAAAAATAAAAAATAAAAATAAAAATACAAAAAATTAGCCGGACGCCATGGTGGGCACCTGTAGTCCCAGCTACTCGGGAGGCTGAGGCAGGAGAATGGCATGAACCCGGGAGGCGGAGCTTGTAGTGAGCCGAGATCGCACCACTGCACTCCAGCCTAGGCGACAGAGCAAGACTCCATCTCAAAAAAAAAAAAAAAAAAAAAAACCTAGAAGAGATGGATAAATTCCTGGAAAGATACAACCCTCCTAGCTTAAATCAGGAAGAATTAGATACTCTGAACAGACCAATAACAAGCAACAAGATTGAAATGCTAATTTAAACATTACTAACAAAAAAAGTCCAGGACCGGATGGATTCACAGCAGAATGTAACCAGGCATTCAAAGAATTGGTACCAATCCTATTGACACTATTTCATAGGATTGAGAAAGAGGGAACCCTCCCTAAATCATTCTACGAAGCCAGCATCACCCTAATACCAAAACCAGAAAAGGACATAACCAAAAAAGAAAACTGCAGACCAATATCCTTGATGAACATCGATACTAAAATCCTTAACAAAATACTAGCTAACCGAATCCAACAACATATCAAAAATATAATCCACCATGATCAAGTGGGTTTCATACCAGGGATGCAGGGAGGTTTAACATACGCAAGTCAATAAATGTGGTACACCACATAAACAAAATTAAAAACAAAAATCACCATGATCATCTCAATAGATGCAGAAAAAGCATTTGACAAAATCCAGCATCCCCTTATGATTAAAACTCTCAGCAAAATCAGCATACAAGGGACATATCTCAATGTAATAAAAGCCATCTATGACAAACCCACAGCCAACGTAATAATGACTGGGGGAAAAGTTAAAAGCATTTCCTCTGAGAACTGAAACAAGACAAGGATGCCCACTCACACCACTCCTCTTCAACATAGTTCTGGAAGTCCTAGCCAGAGCAAGACAAGAGAAAGAAATAAAGGGGATCCAAATTGTTATAGAGGAAGTCAAACTGTCACTATTTGCTGATGATATTATTGTTTACTTAGAAAATCCTAGAGTCCTCCAGAAAGCTCCTAGAACTGATAAAACAATTCAGCAAAATTTCTGGATACAAAATTAATGCATGCGAATCAGTAGCTCTTCTATACACCAACAGCGACCAAGCTGAGAATCAAATCAAGAACTCAACCCCTTTTACAACAGCTGCAAAAAATAAAATAAAATAAAATACTTAGGAATATACCTAACCAAGGAGGTGAAAGACCTCTACAAGGAAAACTACAAAACACTGCTGAAGGAAATCATAGACGACACAAATGAATGGAAACACATCCCATGCTCATGGATGGGTAGAATCAATATTGTGAAAATGACCATACTGCCAAAAGCAATCTACAAATTTAACACAATTCCCATCAAAATACCGCCATCATTCTTTACAGAATTAGAAAAAACAATTCTAAAACTCATATGGAACCAAAAAGGAGCCCGCATAGCCAAAGCAAGACTAAGCAAAAAGAATAAATCTATAGGCATCACATTACCTGATTTCAAACTATACTATAAGGCCATAGTCACCAAAACAGCATGATACTGGCATAAAAATAGGCACAGAGACCAATGGAACAGAATAGATAACCCATAAATAAACTCAAATACTTACAGCCAACTGATCTTCGACAAAGCAAACAAAAACATAAAGTGGGGAAAGGACACCCTTTTCAACAAATGGTGCTGGGATAATTGGCTAGCCACACGTAAGAGAACTAAACTGGATCCTCATCTCTCACCTTACACAGAAATCAGCTCAAGATGGATTAAGGATTTAAATCTAAGTTCTGAAACTATAAAAATTCTAGAAGGTATCATCGAAAAAACCCTTATAGACATTGGCTTAGGCAAGGATTTCACGACCAAGAACCCAAAAGCAAATGCAATAAAAACAAAGACAAACAGCTGGGACTTAATTAAACTAAAGAGCTTTTGCACGGCAAAAGGAACAGTCAGCAGAGTAAACAGACAACCCACAGAGTGGGAGAAAATCTTCACAGTCTGTACATCTGACAAAGGACTAACATCCAGAATCTACAACAAACTCAAACAAATCAGCAAGAAAAAAACAAACAATCCCATCATAAAGTGGGCTAAGGATATGAATAGACAGTTCTCAAAAGAAGATATACAGATGGCCAACAAACATATGAAAAAAGGCTCAACATCGCTAATAATCAGGGAAATGCAAATCAAAACCACAATGTGATACCACCTTACTCCTGCAAGAATGGCCATAATCAAAAAAATAAAAAAATAGTAGATATGGATGTGGATGCAGTGAACAGGGAACACTTCTACACTGCTTGTGGGAATGTAAACTAGTACAGCCACTATGGAAAACAATGTGGAGATTCCTTAAAAAACTAAAAGTAGAACTACCATTTGATCCAGCAATCCCACTACAGGGTATCTACCTAGAGGAAAAGAAGTCATTATACAAAAAAGATACTTGAACACGCATATGTATAGCAGCACAGTTCACAACTGCAAAAACGTGGAACCAACCCAAGTGCCCACCAATCAATGAGTGGATAAAGAAACTGTGGTGTGTATATACACACACATATATATATATATGATGGATATATATATATATATATATATATATGATAGAATACTACTCAGCCAATAAAAGGAATAAATTAACGCATTCACAATGATCTGGATGAGATTGGAGACTATCATTCTAAGTGAAGTAAGGCAGGAAAGGAAAACCAAACATTGTATGTTCTCACTCATAAGTGGGAGCTAAGCTATAAGGATACAAAGGCATAAGAATGACACAGTGGACTTTGGGGACTCAAGGGGAAAGGGGGGGAAGTGGGTGAGGGATAAAAGATCACAAATAGGGTGCAGTATATACTGCTTGGGTGATGGGTGCACCAAAATCTCACAAATCACCACTAAAGAAATTACTCATGTAACCAAACACCATCTGTTCCCCAATAACCTATGGAAATGAAAATACAAAAAATAAAAGGAAAACTCAAGCTGGAAACTGTTTAGGGCAAACCTGCCTCCCATTCTATTCAAAGTTATCTCTCTGCTCACTGAGATAAATGCATATCTGATTGCCTCCTTTGGAAAGGCTAATTAGAAACTCAAAAGAATGCAACCTTTTGTCTCTCTTCTGTGACCTAGAAGCCGCCTCCCCCACTGCAAGTTTTCCTGCCTTTGCTTCAAGTTGTCCCGCCTTTCCAGACCGAACCAATGTACTTCTTACATACATTGATTGATGTCTCATGTCTCCCTAGAATGTACAAAACCAAGCTGTGCCCCAAACACCTTGGTCACATGTCATAAAGACTTCCTGAGGCTATGCCAGGGGCACGTGTCCTCAACCTTGGCAAAATAAACTTTCTAAATTTACTGAGACCTGTCTCAAATTTTCGGAGTTCACAGTGGGCAAGACTAGATTTACTTTTGTGTTGGGCAGATACTGAACTTGACTGATGAGAATCTGGAGTGTGAGGTCTGACGGAGTAACTCTGAGAGAGGAAGCTACCTGTGTGGTCTCAGGGAGAAGATCTGAGACTTACCAAGAAAAAGTGACCTGAAAGAACTGGCTGACTTCAGGCCCTTGACCAGTGCCTAGACCCTCTTTCTGCAGCTCCAGATCATAGCCATCATGCTGGCAGCCTCCCTGCCGCTCATCCAGGCACCTTAAAGAAGGGCTTCCTCTTCCCAAGCCTCTGGGTGGGCTTTCTAAAGCCCTGTGTGCATGAAGAGGTGGCTTGTAGCCCTTTGCAGCAGCAGGGCTTACATGAGGCTGGGATATGAAAAGCTGGCATTACAATGCAGCTTGTGCCTTGCATTCACTCCCCACTTCATCAAGCCAAGTTTCTAAATAACAGGGATAGTAACTGCCCACTGTGGCCCAATGTCACTTCTAAAGTTGCTTGGCAAAAAGCCACATGACTATTACTTAGCTCTCCACAGAACGGCATGTACCAAGTCGGATCACTGCTGTCGGTGTGTGGGTGGATTAGCTGCTATTGAACATGATAGGGCGGGCCCCTTTCCAGTTTGCACCAGCCCCGCTCTGTGCCTACTCCATGTATCATAGAGCCTCCTCTCTCTGTGCAGTTGAACTTGATCAGATGAGATGGCAAAAGCCAGAGCAGGGAGCAAGGCAAAAGAGAAAAATATGTTCACGGTGACTTTTGAAAACATATGGATGAAACTCCTGAGGAGGCTGAGGAACTAAACCTTTTCTTTTGGCAGTAGGCGCAGAGTGCAGATTCATCTCTCTGTGAATTACTCTAGCTCCTGCTGTGTGAGTTCTATTTTAGCCCAGTAATGCAAAAAGAAAGAAAAACTAAGTTCTGACAAGCACTTACATTTCTTGAATTTTTGTTGAAGGTCCCAGAGGTCATTGTAAGCAGCCTGAACAGGTAGTTAGGGCTCCTGGATTCTAGTCTCAGCTTGGCTACTAATTTACCGTGTGACGTTAGGCAAATTACTATTCTGAGCTTTAGTCATCTTATCTTTAAAATGAAGGGTTTATTCTTTAGAGGAAGCTGAGTGAATGGCATACGGGAACACTCTGTACTATTTTTATAACTTTGCTATAAGTCTAAAATTATTTTTAAATAAATGGTTTTCTTAAAAAGTGAAAGGATTATGTAGATTATCTTCAAGATCCTCTCTACCTCTGAATAATGATTTTATGTTCTTACTTATCTTCCTTCAGGTGAAAGTAAGTCTCTTTCCAGCTATCCAAACATATAACAGAGTGGAATTTTTCCTCACTCCTTCTGCCCCAGGCAAGATGTTGATCAGCCCCAACACAAACCTGTTTTCTGCTTTAAACATATCCTATACCTAGGGCAAAATTTAAATTATCTAAAACACATTTAAAAACACCCCATCCATACCCACTTTGTTCTTTCAAACAAGTAAATTCACCCAGCAGGGAAAAGCTGTTGCTGGCAGTCCATGCTTACAGAATCTCAGCCTTGCCCTAGCAACGAGGCTAATTATAACTCCGGCTACCTGGTAACCGCACTAGATTTCCCTGCATTGGCTGGCAGTTCTAAAGCCATCTCAGCTCTGCCTGCCACCTCCCATCCTGAGAAGCTGTCAGAGAAGCTGAGAAACTATGAGTCTCTTTTAAGCAACTATCTAAGCTGTGGTGAGAACACCCATGTATCATAGAGCTTCCTTTCTCTGCGCCCAGAGAAAGGCTGCCCAGAATCACAGGACTTCAGAACTGGGAGGGATGTGTGCGTCAATCCTGGTCCAGCCCACTCATTTAAACACAAAGAACCAGAAGCCCAGAAAAAGTGACTTGCCTTAGCCTGGCCTTCCTCTTGATTCCTTTCCCTCAATTCTCCCGTCCTGATCAATCATCAAGTCCTACAAATATTTTACCTCTTAAATATTTTAAAGATGAGTTGCCTCCCCTCTATTCCTACTGCCACAGCCCTCATTCGGGCCTTCATCTTCTTTGGCTTGGCAAGTCTGTTCTCACTCACTTCCTGCCTTGACTCTCTTGAATCCACCTTTCCCATGCATCAGAGGGATCTAGCAGGTTCCCTGCAGCTTAAAGCCCATCAGTGGTGCCTTGTCTTCTTCAGGATAAAGTCTACACTCTTTAAAATGGCACAAAAGACTGTGTCCGTCATATCAGTCTCATTCTTCGCCTAGTACTTAAATCCACCAACACCAAACCACTTCTAATTCTGTGCAAGCACCCTATGGTTTCTTGCCTCAAGGCTTTTGCTTGTGACAAAAACTCTGTCCTTCCACTTCATCATCCATTGACTGATTAGTGCTTATTCCCCTTTGAAGACAAAGTTCAGGGGTCATCACGAATAATCCTTTGCAGATTTTCTTTCCATCCACTCTATTCATTTGGGATAGAAGTGCCCCCTTTGAGTTTCCTTACACTTTGTACACAGCTCTGTTACTGCCTTTTACTATACTCTAGCACCTGTGGTTTACTCATCTTTGAAGTCCCAACTTCTAGTACTTGGAACATAGCAGGTACCTAATTAATGTTTATTAATGAATGAATGGATAAGTCCAAAGCTTTCCATGATTTCTCCCCTGCAGCCTCATCTTACCACCACCACAAGCCCTCCAAACCACATGATCTAGCCATACTGAATGATTCCAGTGTGCCAAGTGCACATTGCTTTTGTACACCTCTGCTTTTGTATATTGTTTCTTCTGTTTGAAATGCCTTTTCCCACCAGGCGCATTGGCTCACACTTATAATCCCAGCACTTTGGGAGGCCGAGGTGGGTGGATTACCTGAGGTAAGGAGTTTGAGACCACCCTGGCCAGCATGGCGAAACCCCATCTCTACTAAAAATACAAAAATTAGCCGGGCATGGTGACACACGCCTGTAATCCCAGCTACTTGGGAGGCTAAGGCAGGAGAATCGCTTGAGCCCAGGAGACGGAGGTTGCAGTGAGCCGAGATCATGCCACTGCACTCCAGCCTGGCCGACAGAGCAAGACTCTGTCTCAAAGTAAAAAAAAAAGAATTTCTGGATTTTCCAGGCATGGTGGCTCATGCCTGTAATCTCAGCACTTTGGGAGGCCGAAGTGGGTGGATCACGAGGTCAGGAGATTGAGACCAGCCTGGCTAACGTGGTGAAAACCCGTCTCTACTAAAAATATGAAAAATTAGCGTATGTTTCACAGCATCTGTAATCCCAGCTACTCAGGAGGCTGGGGCAGGAGAATCGCTTGAACCTGGGAGGTGGAGATTGCAGCAAGCCAAGATGGCGCCACTGCACTCCAGCCTGGGCCACAAAGTGAGACTCCATCTCAAAAAAAAAAAAAAAAGAAGAAAAAAGAAATGCCTTTTCCCATTTCTTGTTATGTTACTACCTTTTAGGATTCAATGCAAACTTCAAACACTTGGCAAGGCCTTTCCTGGTGGATTTTATTGCACTATAGCAAAATCTGTCCATACCTCTATGGCAGCCCTTATTATACCATTTTTATTTATTTGTTGATGTCTTCTCCACCAGAATCTAGCACAGTAGCTGGCATATAGTAGATAATCAATAGACGTTTGACTGAATATACCAATGCATATGCGCAAATATGAGCAAAAAAATGACTAAAATGATATTGCAAACAAGGGAAACATTTGAGACAGAAATTTAGAATGTCTATTTTTTTCAAGTGTAACATGCTACTTCTATCAGTGCATAAACCTGAATGTACATACACTATAGAAAGAAGTGGCCTTGTAATAAGTTCATGCAGAAGTATAAATTATGTAGACATTGTTAGGGGGATAACTGAAAGTGGATTAGAATTAAATTAGGGCCCAGAATTTAGTCTGGGATTTGTTTTCCAGTGGTTGAAAGAAAAATTCCTAAGTATTCAAAGGGAAGAAGCATTTCTCAACAGGCAAGTATTATGAATTCTAATTAAAAGCTCTGAAAAAATGAGATAAGTTGTGTTAAGGAAAAGCAGAAAACAGAGTTGCCTTTGGTTAAGAGTTCCACTATTTTTATAAGCAACTGACTTTTTTGGGGAAAGTTGCTTTAAGCATTTTTTTTTCTGTGTGTATGTGTGAGATGGGGTCTCACTCTGTCACCCAGGCTAGAATGCAGGAGCACAATCATGGCTCACTGCAGCCTCAACCTTCTGGGCTCAAGCAATCCTCCCACCTCAGCCTCCCAAGTAGCTGGTACCACAGCCACACACCACTATGTCAGCTAATTAAAAAAAAAAAAATTTACAGAGATGCAGTCTTGCTATGTTTCCCAGGCTGGTCTCAAACTCCTGGGCTCAAGTGATCCTCCCACCTTGGCCTTGCGAAGTGCTGGGATTACTGACATGCGCCAACATGCCAGGCCTAAACATTTTGTGTGTGTGTGTTAAAATATACATATAATAAAATTTGCCATTTTAACTATTTTAAAGCATATAGTTCTATGGCATTAAGTACATTCACATAGTTGTTCAAATATCACTATCCATCTCCAGAACTTTTTCCCAAATGAAACTGTAGCCACTAACTCCCCATTCCCTCCTCCCCACAACCCCTGGCAACCATAGTTCCACTTTCTGTCTTCATTATTTGACTACTCTAGGTACTTCATTTAAGTGAAATAATAAATATTTGTCCTTTAGGGACTGACTTTACTTAGCATGACATCTTTAAGGTTCACTCATGTTACAGCACATGTCAGAGTTTCATACCTTTCTAAGGCTAAATAATATCCAGTGTCTATATAGCCCACATTTTGTTTATCCACTCATTTGTCAATGAACACTTGAGTTGCTTCCACCTGTTGGCTACTGTAAACAATGCTCCTATGAACACAGAAATACAAATATCTATTTGAGTTCCTGTTTTCATTTATTTTGTGTTATACCCAGAGTAGAATTGCTGGATTATACGGTAAGTCTATGTTTAATTTTTTGAGAAACTCCATACTGGTTTTCACAGCACCTGCACCATTTCACATTCTTTCTAGCAATGTGCAAGGGTTCCAATTTCTCCACATCTTTACTAGTATTTGTTATTTTCTGGGTTGTTTGATTTTTAGTATAATAGCCATCCTAATGAGTGTGAAGTTTAAAAAAATATTTAACCAAAATCATAAATATTGGTTACAAATATTTAATGGATGGATTCCCTCTATTTCTGCCAACTTTCATTCCCTGAAAGAAGAAATAGGTAAGCATGACCTCACGAACCTCAGAAGGCTGAGAATGGGGAATTGGCACACACAGTGTGCGTAGACACAGACACACATGGACCATGTTCATACTAGGCTTCCAGAGAACCATTTAAAAATAGTTTGGCTAATGTAATCTTGTCTGTCTCTTATGTTCCTCCTTTCCCATCATACACATTTCTTAAAGTTCGTGTAAGTAAAACATAGGAGAAAAAAACATAGCCACTAATTAAATAAGGCATCCAAGTGTAAAAGAAGAGCAAACTCTGCTACATATAAGAAGACAAGCATTAATTCTGGCAACAGCAGCCACACAGCCACTTTAGACAATAACCTGAGCAGGTGCATGCTTTCTAGTATGTGTCTCCAGCTATGCAGGATAGAAATCACAATCCTTTCTATTTATCTAACGTCTAATACACTAAAACATGTTTACCCATGGGGGAGAAGAGCACGACAGGAATTGATGACTCTAATTTAGGAAACTAAGGTTCACAGAAGTTAAGTGACTTGGCCAAGATCATGTAGCTAGAAAAGGCAGGTTAAGAATTCAGGTTTCCTTAGAGTTCAAAACTTTTATCACAACATTTTTGATAACCCCCCAAGATACTCATCCTTCTCTAATAGCCTTCCTTTGGTTCAAGTCCAGCTTCCTAAATCCTACCGCCTGATGGAGTTCCTGAGCTTCCTTGTAAGTCTGCAGGTATATTGTTCCTCATCATGTTGCCCAAAGCCTAAAGAAATCAGGCTAGGACCAAAGAAAATCAGTCAATGAGCCAAAAAGAAATTTAATCAACCCAGCCTTTCTTATTTATTTTCTTTGAATGAACATTTGTATCTGAGAATGCCAAGGTAAATTTGATGCAATAGGGACACTTGGATTATATTATGTTATTTACACACAAGCAAACAAAAATTGAGAATTGAGACAAATAGGACAAATGGTCCCAAGTCCACTATTGAGGAAAAAGAAACTGATTTGGAATAAAAAATAGTCCAGCATGAATGTGTCAGTAATTAAGACTTATCTGGATAAGTTTGCCGTCTCTCAATTTGTCACAATAATGGCAAATATTTATTGAGAGCTTACTATGTGATAGGCATTATGCTGAGTTCAGCTAATTGACTCATTTCATCCTCCTCTAGACCCTATAAGATAGGTGTTATTACTGCCCTTGCTTTAGCTCAGAGAAATTATGGTATTTTTCCCAACACAAATAGTAAGTAGAAAAATCAAGATTTCACCCCAGGTCTCGCCAATTTATAGCTCTTAGCCGTTATGCCCAGCAATAACAGAATAGTAAAAACAAGGACAATTTGGTAGGCAAGTAAAATCAGTAGGCTGTTTACCATAGCTATAGAAGTATGCTATGCATAAACCTCAAAGATTGCGCAGGAAAAGTATCATCCAATCTCAAAGATGAGAAAACCAAAGAAGTTTCAATCTCAGAGAAGTCAGGCAGCTTAAGGGTCATAAAACAACGCAACACAACTCTCTCAACTCATATCTAAGGGCTAAGTCCACTTTAACCTTCCAATATCATTACATCATATTTAAACATTGACTCTATCTGGTCAAGGACGACAACATTTTATTTCTCCTGACCCTTTTGCTATCAGATCTGGCCTTGTCAGTTTTTCAATTTCATTCTTAGAATGGAAACTTAATTCACACAAGTTGAACAAGTAGTCATCAGGGGGCAAAACCCAGTGGATGATGGTTTTGTGTGCTGTTTGGAGACTGGGTGTTTACCACACAGCAGTGGATTTCATAAATTCCAGGGTCAGACAAGATTCCAGTAGCGACACACTTGACTAATATGAGAAAATGCAGGATTAGGCAATCAACAATGAGGAAGTCAGCCAAGTTGCCACCCAAAAATTACTTACCACAGCAGCTGCAGTCCAGAAATGCTAACAAGCCAGTCTCCCTAGGAGTGGGCCATACTCAGCTGTGGACCACTCACAACATTTTCTCACTTTATTTTGCTTCAGAGTCAGTGTACTGCAATGATTTCTCCTTTGCTTGCTTTATATGTTTAAAATTGTCTTCCCTAAAAGCTGAACTTAAAATTAATGTTTGCTACCAAAAGGGGGTAGCAGTGCCTAGTCATGTAGGCATATGTCCCACTCTGTCGGTACAGAGGGTAAGCAGCCTCTTCCTTTTTAAAAAATTTATTATGATGATTTACAAAAATTGAAGCTTACAGGATAAACACTCAACAAAAAAGTAGCCAGTCTCAAGAAACCAATTTTTATGTATGAATTAATATTATTTTATTAATCCATGGCCAGGATGATTCTTAAGATTATTTCTCAATTCTCTGAACAGCTTAAAAGAGAGAAACTCCTTCTTTTTTATTTACTTGCTTTGAGGTTGATACTCTTAGGTTTTTAACATAACTCTCTAGCTTTGACAACTCCTCTTATAATTTAAAATCCTTATAGCTTCCATTTACAAGTAAGGATTATATCTATTTTAGTCTCCTCAATCAGCTACCTAGGAGAAGACTTGCCACTTGGAAAGAGAAAGATAGCACCCACTCTCCAGTTCTCTTCTCCCAAAGTTGCCCGTATTTCCCTTCCCTGAAGCCAATCAAATACTTTATTGTTTCTCGCTAAGAGTAATTTTTCACTCTTAAGTACAAACAGCTCAACAAAAATTCCCGGTAGCATAAATATGCACATCAATAAAATAATTACTACTCACAATAGACTTTCCATTACATATGTTTCACAAGCATTGGTTTTCTTAAAAAGAACCACGCATACAGCACTCAAATTATTGCAGATTCTAACTCAGTAGAGTTTGATTTAATGTTTTTACAATATTTTTTTTAAAGAAGTGTCCTTCCAACGCTAAGGAAAAAAATCAGAATCAAGAAAATTCTGTTTCTTAGCAACAGAAAAATCAAACTTCTGTTACTAAGTTTGGTAACAGAACAGTACTCTAAATTATCCTCTGAACCACCTGATTTACCATGTGATGCTGGGCACATTGCTGCTAATTAATCTTCCTAATCTCGTGGGATCACAATATGAATAACAAGAATGAACATCAGACACATCTGTGGGAATTATGAGGGGGAGATTATAAAGAGTCAAACCTTGTCCCCATATTTAAATTTTATAATAACTATAACTACTAGTAGAAATATAATTACTACCCTCTCATATATATGTGATGTTATTAAGTTTATAAAGTGTTTTGATATGTTTCTTATTTCATCTTCATGGCTGCTATTTATTCATAGAAAAATAATTCTCAGTATCTGTAGCATTATTGTTAATGTCAATCCTATAGAGGCTGGAACAGGCTCAGAGAGGCTAAGTAACTTGCCTAACTAAGTCTCCTGGTTGACAATAGGTCTTAATGCAGTGTTTTCCGAATCCCTCGTTCTTACATCAAAACAGAACTGTGGTTGGGTGTGGTGGCTCATGCCTGTAATCCCAGCAATTTAGGAGGCCAAGGTGGGAAGATCACTTGAGCCCAGGAATTTGAGACCAGCCTGGGCAACATAGTGAGTGAGACCTCAATCTCTGCCAAAAAAAAAAAAAAAAAAATACATACACACACACACACACACACACACACACACACACACAGACACACACATATATATATAAATAATTAGCCAGGTGTGGTGGCACACCTGTGGTCCCAGCTACTTGGGAGGCTGGGGTGGGAGGATCATTTGAGCCCAGGAGGTCAAGGCTGCAGTGAGTCGTGACGGTGCCACTGCACTCTAGCCTGGGTGACAGAGCGAGACCCTGTCTCAAAAAATAAAATAAACCAGAACGGCTCTAGTTCCTATCAATCACTCATCATGACATAGTGTGGTAAACTAATTTCAACTCTGAATGATTGATAATGGCTTTATGTGTTCTGTTTCCCAAGTAATAAGAACATTTTAGCACAAGCCTTTAGCGCTTTTCAAATAATCATAGCCAAATGAGAAAATTAATATGACAGGCAGATTGAACAAACATTTGATGAGAAGGAAGAGGAGGGGATACAGTAGTTTGAGATCCCTCAAATCATATGATGCAGTAGCTGCCTGACAACTCTGCTAACACGTAAGACTAGATAGAGACAGGGCCATATCTACTTCCTGTATGGGACCCATGGCAATACTAGAGTCCAGCAAAAGGGTTGTCCTCTCTGCATGTGACAATAGGCTGTGTTCCACTCCCCCCACATACACCTTGTGCAGCTCCTATAATCTCATTTATCACACTTCTCCAGGTGAGAAATGGTGCCTTCTCACACCCCACCCAAAGTTGTTTCCTAAAGATCTTTCGCTAGGGCGGAGCAGAGAGTGAGATCAAATGATCCAGACAGCCATCTGATTCAGCTTTAAAAAAAAAAAAAATCCTGGTGGGGCGCAGTGGCTCACGCCTGTAATCCCAGTACTTTGGGAGGCTGAGGCGGGTGGATCGCCTGAGGTCAGGAGTTTGAGACCAGCCTGGCCAACATGGTAAAACCCCGCCTCTATTAAAAATACGAAAATTAGCCAGGTGTGGTAGCAGGGGTCTGTAGTCCCAGCTACTCCAGAGAATCGCTTGAACCCAGGAGGCGGAGGTTGCAGTGAGCTGAGATCGTGCCACTGCACTCTAGCCTGGGCGACAGAGTGAGACTCTGTCTCAGAACAACAACAACAACAACAAAATCCTTTCCCTCAAATTACCTAAGAAATTGTCCTTTCCTTCTTTGCCCTGAAGACAGTTAATGGGGAAAGTTCCTCCCTCTGCACAGTGAATAAATCCATCCACTATTCCTACCCTAACCCTAAGGCAAAACCTCCCACTCATCCTCCGTCTCTCGCCATCTCTCTGTTACCAACCCTCACTTGGCAATATCCTTCTTGACACGTGGCAGCTCCAATGAGGCACACTCATTACATAGCCACGTAAAAGATAAAAGGTGAATCTGGACCAACTTCTGGAAAATTTGGACTTAAAACATGGAAATGCAGGAGAGACAGGAAATAGAGTTAAATCCCCCAGATTTAGCTATACACATTAATTGAATTAACTAAATAATCATTTGGGTCTCATAGACACCAGCTATTTCCCTGATCCAAGATGTTATCTAGCAGCCTGTATCGCTTCCCAGTCATCCATCCTCTTGACAGGACAGAGCACACATAGAAAATGGTATTTGTATAGCCCTCTGGGGTAAACAGTTGGAGAGTTAGAATCTCTGATAAGGTCAGAGGCAACCAGTCCCCGGTCACTTGGGCCACTTCAGGTCCTGCTTGTCCAGACACAGAGAGGGCTGAGGAAACCAATATTGTGGTGACCAGCTACGAGGCTTAATCCTCATAACCCATAGCCCAATGTCCTCTTATCAAGGTGCTGTCCTATCTCACCCACAGCTCAGCCAATCCAGTAGGTCTTCCTTCCCCACCCTGATCACTGACCCATCAATCAAGATAGCCCTCCCATCCAAGGAAGAGGCCATTTCCCCTCCCACTCCACCCAGGCCAACTGCTATCCCACAGGTTACTCTCTTCTTCATTTTAAGGCAAGCTATTCCAAAGACTAAAAATGCCTAAGATTCTGTCTTAAAAGCTTATCTGCATAGTCATCTTCAAAAGCAAACATGAATTTCTCAAGGAACGGAAACACCCTTAGCCCCTGCCCTTTTCTCCATAGCATCATTCTCTGCCCCACCAAGCCGGAGCTAGGAGGGCACTTTCTCTAGGAGAGGTATGACCTGGAGATGATCTGCTTCAGAGCCACCTCAGGGATCTTGCTTAAAAATGCATATTTTCCCAGGCAAAGTGGCTCATGCCTATAATACCAACAACAGTGGAGGCTGAGGTGGGAGGATCTAAAGGCCAGGAGTTTGAGACCAGCCTGGACAACATAGTGCCACCCCTTTGGTACGAATTTTTTTTTTTTTTTTTTTTTTGAGACAGACTCTTGCTCTGTCACCTAGGCTGGAGTGTAGCGGCGCAATCCCGTCTCACCGCAACCTCCGCCTCCTGGGTTCAAGCAATTCTCCTGCCTCAGCCTCCCAAGTAGCTTGGACTACAGGCATATGCCACCACACCCGCTAATTTTTGTACTTTTTAAGTAGAGATGGAGTTTCACCATGTTGGCCAGGCTGGTCTCGAACTCCTGACCTCAAGCCTTCTGTCTTCCTTGGCTTCCCAAAGTGCTGGGATTACAGGCATGAGCCACTGTGCCCTGCCAATTTTTTTTTTTTTAATTATCTGGGCCTGGTGTCCTGTGCCTGTGGTCCCAGCTGCTCAGGAGGCTGAGCCAGAAGGCATCACTTGAGCCCAAGAGTTGGTGGCTGCAGTGCTATGATGGTGACACTGCACTCCAGCCTGAGCAACAGGGCAAGACCTGTTTCTAAAATAAATAAATTTTAAAAATGCAAATATCCACCCCAGCCCCACCCTCTCCCCCCACCTTCCCCCACATTACTACATCGGAATCCCTAGGGTGAGGCATGGAATCTACATTTTAAACCAGCTCCCAAGGTGATTGTTCCGCACAGTTCCACGTCAGTGTTTGAGAGAGGCTCTGATTTATTCCAGTCCTCTTTCTTTACAGAGAAGGAAAGCAGAAAGCAGGCACCAGAGAGGTGAAATGAGCTTGTCCAAGGTCACAGGTTGTTAAGGTGACCAGAGCTGGACGAAACCCCACCTCTCTCGCTGACTAGCACAGCGCCAGCTAGGAAGAGCCTAGAATAGCGACCAACTGGCAGGCCAAACCGTCCCCTGCCCCTGCCCCTGCCTCGGAGAAGCGGGCCCCTGCACTCACCCGCTTGTAGATGTCCTCCCGGCTGGCCTCATACTTCTGTTGCATGCGCTCCTCCAGGAAGTAGATGCGCAGCTTGAGGCTGAAGTTCTCCTTCTTCAGGTCATTGAGGTGCTGGGACAGAGTGCGATATCCATTAGACATGATGGGCAACCCATGGGGAGGAGCGTGCCCGATTGCCCCCTCAACCCAGGAACATGGTGCAGCTGCACCGCAGCATGAAGCCAGCCGGCTGGGACGCTGCTGAGGCTGCGGACCGAGAGGCTGGGGCTACGGCGACATGGCCCCTATTGCTGGAGCTCTCTCCGGGACTCGGGACTGGGCTCACTGCTCTGGGTGCTGGAGCGCAGCACACTTTCCTTTTTTACCTCAGGGAGATATTTGCGGAATCCCTGACAGAGGAACATGCTGCGTGAACTCAGACACAAGTGGTGTAACCCGACTCCAAGCCAGGACTCTGCTGTCACCCTCCTGGAGCCTCCCAGGCCCAACTGTAGGCAGTTAACAGCTTCTCGGAAAAGAGAGACTGACCCCCAAGAGCTTCCAGGAAAGGGGGAGGGGAGATATTCAAGGTGACAGTGGGTTTGCAAAGAAGAGAAGGAAATAGAGGGTGGGGAGGGGGTATTTAAATGACTTGTGGCTGATTTGGACTATAAGACCAAAAGGAGTGTGGCCAGAAGCAAGAAATAAGGTTGCTATAGAAAAGACCATGTACATAAAACGGCCCACAAAGGTAACCGCATGTCAAATATCCCCTTTCTGTCCAGTGCAAATCTTAAAGAGCTTCTAACCAGAGGAGTCTCAATTTCCTTTGATAATCCAGAGCTCACTTCTAATGAGTTCCTTTGCAGTTTTCAGCCCCAAGCTTTTTGAGCTCTGAGGCAGTTCAACTAATAGCCTTTATTGCCATGAGCCTTCCCCCGAAACACACCATAGCTACCCGCAAAGAAAGAGCAAATCTTCTAGCTCAGCGGAATCTTTGCAGACTCTATTTACCAGTTACAAAGCTCAGAAAGAGGCAGGGTCAAGGGATCCTCCCTCCATGGAAGAAGGGATGGGCAGAAGAGAGTGTGGGAGGATGACAGAGAGGGAGCCGTCATCCTGGAGCCCAAAGATTTCAGGCAGTCACTGGTTCTTAACTCTGGCACCTGCCAAGTGGAGCCGGGCACTCATCACCAGATCTTGCTCCTAAAGTAATTTAAGATCCTTGAGTGACAGCTGCAACATTAGCAGGAAGTATTATTTATACCACATTACATTGAAGGTGATGGGAGACAACCCCAGAGCACAGATAACAAACACGGGTTCTTTGTGGCAATAATATTAGGTTGAAAAAATATATATTAACATTCAAGATAAAGGAAACTACAAAATTTACACTTAATTCAAGCCCTCATTTCCTCCCCAACCTACCTGCTTTTCATTCTTCCAATTCCTTCTCAAACCTTCATAATCATTCCAGTCAACAACTCCTGAGTACTCACCAGGTAGGACATTGGGCATGAGGGATATATAGATCAAGAATGTCCCAACCCTCAAAGAGCTACGTGGCCATACAGCTGGCCATGATATGTTAAGATATGTGTTTTACATTATGATCCTCCAAACCTGTGTTTTTCAACTTTTGTATGTTACATTGCCATCTAGTACATATGCATACACTCTTAACTGAAGTAAATGTTTCAAAAAGTAATTGTCACCATCACTATGTGTGATGTCCTCTGATATTTCCTATTTCTTTTTCTGCCAGTGACCCACCCGACGGATTTCATGACCCACTAATAAGTTTCAGCCTGAGTTTAAAAAACGTTGACTCTGGGGGAGCCCGTAAGAAAGAGTAGTCAGTTCTTACTGGGGTGATCAGAGAAAGCTTCATTAGGAGTTGAATTTGCACTTTGCCTTGAAAAATAAAAAATGTTTGAGTGGATAAAGTGGCCCCAGGAGGGCATAATTAGAGTGAAGCATTCTCCCAAATAGATTTAGATTATAAATAGGCAAAATAGGCAAGCCCAAATATTTACCATTTGAAAAAAAAAAACTACACATTTAAAATCCATTTAACTATTTTCACTAAATCTGAATTCTTAGAATTTGAGAATGCCAACTAGGCTTAGTTAGAGACAGTGAAGAAAAAAGTCTAAGTTAAAACAACTCAAAATATCCTTTTCCATTCCCAGTTCTCTTACTAAATAGCTATGTTATAGACCATTTCTCTAGAAGCCTAACTGTCCTCACTTAAAAAATGAAATGGCTTTAAAAATTGGTGATTTTTTTTTTTTTTTGAGACAGAGTCTTGCTCTGTTGCCTAGGCTGGAGTGCAGTGGTGCAATCTCAACTCACTGCAACCTCTGCCTCCTGGGTTCAAGCCATTCTCCTGCTTCAGCCTCCTGAGTAGCTGGGACTACAGGTGCCCGCCACCGCGCCCGGCTAATTTTTCATTGTTTTAGTAGAGACAGGGTTTCACAGCGTTAGCCAGGATGGTCTCGATCTCCTGACCTTGAGATCCGCCCGCCTTGGCCTCCCAAAGTGCTGGGATTACAGGCATGAGCCACCGCGTCTGGCCAAAATTAGTGATTTTTAAGGCCCTTTCCTGGTCTAAGCTCTTCAAGGTGATAACCCAGTTAATATCACCTCCATTTTGCTCAAGGGGAGCCAGGCTGCCAGAGTTTAGATAAGTGTTTAATCATGCTTTGGCTGTCTACTTAGATTCCTTTATCAGGTAAAATAATTTCATAAAAGTTTTACAGGAAGTAAAACTGTGTATGAATCCAGGGTATTCTTATGCATCCTAGATTTCTGTTGGACATTTATGCTTATTTCCTCCATGATATCTTGTTCTTCTATCTCTCTGGATCCTTTTCTGTGTTTTTTGCCAGCTCCTGAAAGTGGGTATTTAAATGATGGTAAGTCCTCAGCCTTCTACTTTTTTTTCTCTTCACATTTTTATCCATGGAGGTTTTATCCACTTTTAGGGCTATACTTTCACCTTCGAAACAATTCCCAAATCTCCAACCGAGTCTTCTCACCCAAGATCTAGCCGTACATATTCAACTCTTGGCTTAGATCATTCAACTTGAGTGTTCCCAAATTCCACCCAAGCAAAGCCTTTCCTCTTACCCTAGCCTGGAAAGACTTCTTCCTCTTTTGAACTCTAAGGCAGATATTAACATTCAACAAGTGTTCATATGCTGCCTTATGATGTGGCTTTTGTTATCTTGAAGGGTTATTTACATCTTTTAGAGTTACGCGACTTTTTGTGTGTTTGATCTTTCCAACTAGTCTGAAGCTGCCCAAGGAAAAAGTCAATGACTAACTAATACATCTTCATAAACTCCTACAGCTTCCATAACAACCTGAGACCTCTCCAACAGCATTCATCCCATTGTGCTGTCACAGTCTGTTTACGATGACCTCAACCTGGCTAGAGTGTTTTGAGAGCTGACAAGGCATATTTTGTGTCCTTGTATTCTTGTTGCATAGTACTCAGGAAGCACTCCCTAAATATTTGTGGAATCAATGAACAGGAAAATATTCCATAAACATTGTACGTTTTGCTTTGTTATATATGGGCTGGCTCACCTGTATTATTCTCATAGATTTCCAATAATATGAAAAAAGTTTGTTTTAATAGTCCTAAATAAACTATATTTGGTAGAACACTTATTCTAGAAGACGTAGAAAAATGACGTTTTGTTCACTTACATTTCTAAGTTTACATGCCCACCCTGATCTTTTCCCTGAACTCCAATTGATATCTGACTGTCTAGTAGAAATCTCTGCTTGAATTTAGACATCACATACTTGTGATATCTAAAACTGAACTCCTGATCTTTCCCAGTAAACATGCTCCTCCCTCACTACACCTTTTTTCAACTTGTAACAACTCAATATTTTCAGATTTTTGAGCCCAAACCTTTGAGTCATTTCTTGATTCATTCTCTCTCCTACATATCATCTGTCTGTAAATCTTACTATGTATATTCTACATTATAGTATATATATTAATAACATATATGGTAGTATAATATATATGTTGTAGCTGTTGTATTATGTATGTAATATATAATACTATATTATATATACTATTATACTACTATATATATATTTTATATATATGTTATACTACCACTACTGCCACTGGTATTTCTACCACCCTGACCCACAGTACTGCCATCTTTTCCTTACATGATCTGAATAGCCCCTTAACTGGTGTTCCTGCTCCCACTCTTGTTCCCTTGTAGTCTATTCTCAGCACAGCAGCCACAGTGACCCTTTCAAAATACGTCAGATTACTCCTCTGCTGGAGAGCCCCCTGGCTTCCCATCTAACTTAGAGTGAAAGGTGATGTCCCTTCACCAGACTGCAAGGCCTGAGGCCCTACACCCTCTTCTTGCCTCTCCTATTACCTCCTCTACTTCTTCCTACCACTCTCCCTCTGTTCTCTGCTGTAGCCACACTGTTTCTCTTTGTTATTTCTCAAAAACAGGAAGCAAGAGAAGCTTTCTTTTCCGAGGCCTTTGAACTTGTTGACCCTTCTGCCTGGCTGCTCTTTCTCTAGGGAGGTGCACGATTCTCTCCTCACCTTCTTCATCTTTGATTGAATGTCACCTTCTTGGTGAAGTGAATACTCTTTAGGCACCCCATGCCTCATCCCAGCTCTCCGAATCCCCCTTCATTGTTTTTTATTCCGTAGCACTATCACCTTCTAAAATACATTTTCTTATTTATTTTGTTTCTTGTCTGTCTCTCCCCACCAGCATGTAAACTTCCTGAGAAAAGTGGGATGTTTTCTTAGTTTGTTCACTGCTGTGTCACCAGTGCCCAGAACGGTGCCTGATACATAGCTGGTGCTCAATAAATATTTGTTGAATTAAAGAATGGATGAGTAATTAACCTGCTGATTTATTTCTCATTGGAGTAATACAACTTAATCGATACACAAGATTATGTAGATGTTTTAGGATAAAAAGCATACCTAGTAGCATTCCTCCTTATAAAAAGATTATAAGTAAAATAAATTACTCTAACAGACTCATTTTAATACACCATGCAGAATCTGGACTTTCTACAACAGTTCCGAACAAATATGGAATCGTATATGACAAATTATAAAGGACAATATGAACTGTACAAATAGTAAAAACTGGGCCAGGCACGGTGGCTTATGCCTGTAATCCCAGCACTTTGGGAGGCCCAGGTGAGCAGATCGCATGAGGTCAGGAGTTCAAGACCAGCCCGGTCAACATGGTGAAACTCCGTCTCTACTAAAAATACAAAAATTAGCCGGGCGTGGTGGCATGTGCCTGTAGTCCCAGCTACTCAGGTGGCTGAGGCATGATGATTGCTTGAACCTGGAAAGTAGAGGTTGCAGTGAGCGGAGATCATGCCACTGCACTCCAGCCTGGGTGACAGAGCAAGACTCCGTCTCAGAAAAAAAAAAAGTAAAAACTATAAAAATTAGGAAGGAGAGGTGGCCAGAGAAGGTACCACAGAGAATTGGCACTTTAGCTTGTCTCAAAGGATGAGTTGAGCTTGGATAGGCAGTGGGGAGAACACAAGGCAGTCCAGGCAGGTGGAACATAAGCGAAAGGGCAGTGTGCCCACCAGGCCAAAGCAAAGGGCACATACTGTCCTGAAATAGGCCACAGAGATGAGGGGAAATAAAAAGCCGTCTCAAGGAGATCTTGAAAGCCAGGGTGAGAAGCCTGGAGTTTGCCCCTCCAGGATCCTGGCTCTCAATCTGGATAAGAGTGAGGGGAAGGGAAGTGGAGGTGGGGAGGAGGGCAGTGGGGGTGGGGAGGGCCAGGAACTGCTGACTGGGAAGATTATTTTCTTTGTGTATTGCTTAGGTTTTGTTTTACTTATTTGTTTTCTTGCAGCTTTAACAAACATCAGCGCTGCATGTGGAAACTTGGAAAAGAAAAAAAAAGCTTTAACAAACAAAAACACACATACCTGAGATGCACACGGCAACCTACTAGCTCATGGCAAACAGGCCTATATGTTGATAACCTCTGCATTGCTTAGGAAATAAAACACTGCAGATTCTTGAGCAAGGGGAAGTGCTTCTATCTTTGTTCTTCCTTTTTCTCCTAGTACATATAACATCTTTACTCTGGTCTCAGAATGTTTCTTCCAAACCTTAATGGCTCTCCCCTTCTTTTTCCTTAATTTCTTCATTCCACCCCTGGAATAACGTTCTAGTCCAGACTAGAAATACAACGTAAATAAAGACTCAATCAATGCCAACAGTAGGAGGAGGATTACCACCCAGCTGTTGCCTGTCATGCCCCATTAACACAACCAACCGTCAAGTCTGCCTTTAAAAAACCCAGCTTGACATTTGCTTCATCATATTCAGACCCCCCAGCTAGCTCATATAATGTATGTACTTGAAAACATATTAATTGTTTACCAATCTTTCTCCTAAAAATAAAGCTTCACTAACAAAAAATGATTAATCTTCTTAATGGACACATTCTTTTCAAATATAATCAAACTTCCACAATTTTAACTGTACTAATTTGATATCTGTGGATAATTCTTACCTTTACCTTCCTTGAAAATAAAAATATTTTAAAAATAAGTTAATATGGCAAATAGAAAAACAGAAGAGTAGTGCTTTAAGTAACCCTTGACACTTTACATCAATTTACACATAGACAATAAATATGATCACTATTATACATATTTATCTAGGGTGGGTAGCGTGGAACTGTGAAAAGAGCAATAGCTTTGAACCATGAAGACCAGCGTTCAAATCCCGGCTCTCCTTTTTTCTCATTGGGTCATTTTGGGGAAACTACTTAATAGTTAAGTATAGGAAGACAGTCAGAAGACTGGGATCTGGGCAGGATACTAAGAAGGTTGCAACTGTATCTGTAATGGTAACTTTTGTTTTTTCACCTGAGGAAAATAAACTAAAAATAATGTTTTCTAACATTTAGATATTCAACACATGGACAAGTGTTTAATTATTCTTTGTATATTCCTGTTGTTTGTAAAACAGCTTATAATTTTTAAAACTATTTTAAAGGGAATGAAAGTAGGAATTACAGGGAGGCAGTTATCAATTAGATATAAGGATGAATTCTCTAGTAGAGTTAGATGTAATAAAGATATTGCCACACTCTATCCATATGTTTATACATCAAATTTTTACTGAGTACATACATCATGAGACAAAATAAACTTCCTGTCACAAAAGGTGCTTGACCAAAACTCAAGAATCACCTTTCAGGGATACTGTTAAAAGTTTTCCCACATCAGCTAGGAGTTAGCTCTAGAGGGCTTTTAAGATCTTTGGCCATCCCGAAATTCTATGCTTGAAACACGTTTTCTCATAGAAACGCTCCTACCAAAGGCCAGTGAGAGAACTATCACTTTGTGAAGAATTTCAGAATGCCCACTAGCTCTCCTGTAGCCCTAAAAGGTAATGAGAGTCTACCTGTTCAGACTGAGAGCTCCGGCTGCCTTGTGCTACAGAAGCAGTAAGTGCATGTAAAGGACGCCATATTTCTAAGACAAAAGCAGTAACAATGACTCAAGGATGATGCCCAATAGACGATTTAACCTATAACTTTGCTAATTGTCATATTTTCAAAACAGCCCTATGGGAAGGGTACACAAATGTCTGGGGAGTATTTCCTGCTTTTTAGCACCCAGGGAACTACAACCAGGAGCCCAGCTTATTTTGGATTGGGGATGGGGATAGACAAGAAGAGATGGGGCAGGGAGAAGAGACGGCTGGTTTATTTTACATACACATATTTTATTTATAATACATCTCTGTGTCTAGGCGTCTCTATGCTGTTCTCATAAAATCTGAATTATACAAATAAAAGTTTAATTCCTGGCTGTTTTGAATGACTTGGGCCTGTATTACAAAATTAATCAGATACAATTATACTATCTTCACAACAACAATCATCTACATTGGTTTTGACAATGTACAAAGTACTTCCATGTGTATTATTTCGTTTATCTTTACCACAACCTTTGAAGTAGGAAGACATGATGATCCCCATTTTACTGCCTAGGACAGAGAGACATCAGGAGGTTAACTGACTTGTTCACTGAGAAAGCGGAGGAGCACAGACTATAACTCCAACAGTTTGACCCCATACTGCATACGCATCAGGTCCTTAATCATGAGACTGTATGACCCTTCTGAGCCTGGGATTCACTTGCAACTGGGTATTCCCTCTTCTACCTCAGGCCCCCTATACCTTTTCAAAAAGTGTCCTTCACTGTAAATAATCTTCCTGGTGGTGACCCTAAAGGATCTGACAACCTGGATCTATGTAAAAAAAAAAAAAAAAAAAAATTGTTTTCTTCATTTTCAAGATGAATAAACTAAAGTTGGCTCTCAAAGGGTTAAACAAAGAGTTACCATGTGGCCTAGCAATTCCTTTCCTAGTTATATACCCAAGAAAATTGAAAACATATGGCCACACGAAATCTTATATACAAATGTTCATAGCAGCATTACTCATAATAGCCAAAATTGGAAGTATTTCAAATGTCCTTCAACTGATGAATGGATAAACAAAATTTAGCATATCCAAATCATAGAATATTACTCAGCCATAAAAAGGAATGAAGTACTGATACATGCTACAACACAAATGACCTTGACAGCATTATACGATAATGTGAAAGAAGCCAGACACAAAAGGTCACATACTGTATAATTCCATTTACATGAAATGTCCAGAATAGGCAAATCCAGGCAGAAAGTAGATTAGTGGTTTCCAGGAACCAGGGAGAGGGAAACTGGGAAGTGAGTGTTAATGAGTATGAGGTTTCCTATTGGAGTGAGAAACACGTACTGGAATTAGACAGTGGTGATGGTTGCACAACTCTGAATATACTAAAATCATAGAATTGTAAGATTTCAGAAGATGAGCTGTATAGCGTGTTAATCGTTTGAATAAAGCTTTGTTTTTAAAAGAAGACAAAGAAATAAACCAAAGCTGAGAGAAGTAACTAACCCAATCCTTTATCTTTTATAAGAGTTTTTTTAATGATAAAGACTCAGTTAAAGTCCAATTTGATTCAGTTCAGTTAAAGCTAAATGGCTTAGAATGAATCATGTCTAAATATTCTGTATACCAATCCTACCTATATTATAGGGCCCTAAAAGAAGGGTCAGACGAAGTATGCTCTAAGTGGCTCTCAGTACTGAATATTCACAGATTAAGTTTTACAAAAAGGTAAAGTTTTGTGATAACCCTCAGATAAAACAGAAACATATGACCTATGTTTTGACATAAAACATACGTATTTGGCCTGTTCTGAAAAATATGTATAATTTTCACACACCACATTCTACCAAGGAAAATGTCAACCGGAGCCAACCAACTTGGTGTTCCACTCATCAACTCTTTTATGCCAACATGGTGTTTCTGCCCTTGTCTCAGAAGCCAACTACTGATACCTGCTTCAGAAAACTGACTATGAATTCCACAAAGTCCTGCTTTTTTCTTTTGGATTGTACAATCAACAAACAAGTCACCCTTCTAAAACTCTGTTTCTGAAATTTTAACATAATTCCTGAAGTTCCAGAGTCTCTTAAATGCTAAAATATTAACAATAGCATTCCATTTTTTCCCCTAACACTCAGAAGCATACTGATACCCATCCTGTACACAGCCTTTTCTTGCCTGATAACAAGAGCACTAATGACAGAGCTATTGCATCAGGTTGATTAATAAACCCCGTCTTAGGCAGCCTCATCATGTGGATAAAGAAAAGGAGTTAAGATGATGTTCCTGCTGCCTTCCCCAACATAGAAACACACCCACAACACCCCCAATCCTGGAATAACCAGATGTTATCTTCATCATCACACTAGAGCACTGTAAACCACATCAAAACAAAACGAAACAAATAACAACTTCCCTGGCCACCAAAAATAGATGGCCCAGCCAGAAATAGTGCTGCCAGAGGCAGTTAAATGAGCTGCAAGGCAGGAATGACAGTTGAGCTGCAGTGATGCTGGGGCCTCCCAAGGATTACCAGACTCCAAACTAGATTCTCCATCACTTTGGTCCAATCAACATCAGCAGGACTTGGTATTTGTTCACAATTGGTTCAACTCAGATTATTTGCTGAGCTTCTGGAATTCAGAGAGAGTGACTTATGGGCTCACCTTTTTCTCTAGATTTTAAATAATCCTTTCTCCATTTTTTTCTAGGAGTGAAGGCAATTTTGAAGGCATGACTACGACCTGCTCTGGCCACAAGAGCTAAGAGTTGCCAGGTGTTGTGGCTCAAACACTTTGAGATGCCAATCCCAACACTTTGAGAGGCCAAGGCAGGAGGATTGCTTGAGGCTAGGAGCTTGAAACCAGCCTGGGCAACACAGTGAGACCCCATCTCTACAAAAAATAAAAAAACAGGCCAGGCGCAGTGGCACTTAGGGAGGCCAAGGTGGGTGGATCACCTGAGGTCAGGAGTTCGAGACCAGCCTGACCAACATGGAGAAACCCCGTCTCTACAAAAAATACAAAGTTTGCCAGTGTGGTGGCACATGCCTGTTATCCCAGCTACTCAGGAGGCTGAGGCAGGAGAATCGCTTGAACCCGAAAGGCAGAGGTTGCAGTGAGTGGAGATCACGCCATTGCACTCCAGCCTGCGCAACAAGAGTGAAACTCCATCTCAAATAAATAAATAAAATAAAGTTTTAAAAAGTCAAAATTATCCAGGCGTGATGGTATGTTCTTGTAGTCCCAGCTACTCAGGAAGCTGAGGTGGGGGATCACTTGAATCCGGGAGGTCGAGGCTGCAGTGAGCCAAGATTGTGCCACTGCACTCAAGTCTGGATGACAGAGCAAGACCATGTCTAAAAAAAAAAAAAAACAAAACAAAACCAAAAACCAAGAGTCCACAGTGATACCATGAATGCCCATGGCTGCAACAATAATGCCTTGACCAGAAGTAGGGGGATAAGGGAAAAGATAGAGCCAACATGAACCCCGATTGACCCTCCCTTGCTCCATCCATGACAGAAAGCCTCCTATTTCTGAATTCACCAGGCTCATGCTGCCTCCAGGACTTTGCATGGGTAGCAGCATTAGCCTAGAATTTCACTTCTCTTTAATTCCCACCCATCTCTCACTTAACTAATCCCAACTCACCCATAAGGATCTAAGTCAGATATTACCTACTAAAAGAAACCTATCTGGCCCTAATGCCTGGGCAAGGGCTTCTCCTGAATGCTTCCACAGCACTGCGGACCTACTCTTATTGTGGCCCATTTCACAGTATATTGGGATTATCTGTTTGACTCTCTCCCCAGTAGATCTGGAGTTCCTTAACAACAGGAAGAATCTTCTTTACTTTTCTTCCAAAAACAGAAATCGCTTTACTGTTTTTTGTTTGTGTTGCTGTTGCTTCAGTGGTCATAAAAGTACTACATGTGCCTGTCTGTTCCAGTTGTTCTCTTTCTCAGTGGAGGGCATAACCTAGTAGTTGACCAAGCAAGAAAACTTGACATCATTTATTCGTTCAAAACAAACAAAAAAGAAGAAAAGAAAAGGGCATGCCTACTATGTACCAGGCATTATGCTAATCACTGTATCTAGAAGTGAAAAGACAACCACTGTCCCTGCTATAGTGAGCTCATGTTCTAACAGAAAAGGCAGACTTTGAACAAATAACTCACGTTATTGAAGAGAGAGGTGAAGGTAGTCTGGAAGTTTACGACAAGGTGACAGTGGGTAGGATGTGAGTGAAGAGATGAATTGGTGATCAGTCGTCTTTGGGTTTCTTCAGCCTCACTGGTTCTACATCCAGTCAATGGCTTAGCTCTATCAATTCTGCCTCTGAAATTTCTTTCACCTGTCCATTTCTCTAATTTTTATACTGGCATCTCCACCAACCTTTGCCTGGAATACTGCAACTGTTTTCTCTGCCTCTAGACTACTCCTCCTATGCAGAGGCCATAAGGAAGCCAAAAGGATCTTTCTAAGAGGAAAATCTGATCATGTCACCTCTCTGTCTAAAAGCTTTCAGCAGTTCCCTTGAGCTCAGATAAAATTTAAAAGCCTTTACATAACTTGCAAGACTCTGTATGATGACTCCTCTCTCTTTTCTCTGGTTTCAGTTCTCTGCATTCCTTACATCCCATTCTCTAGGAATACTGACTATGGTTCTTTCTCTCATCGGGATCTTGATTCAAGCTATTTCCTATGCATGGAACATTCTTCATTCTCACACTACCACCCCCTTATTAGTGGCTACTTCTTATTCCTTCTTCAGGACCCTGGTTAGATGCAGTTTCCTCTAGGAAACTTTCCCTGAATCCCCCAATCTCTTCAGATTGAGTAAGTGCCCAGTTATATATTCCATAGCACTCTTTACTTCTATTACAATAATAATTACATTCTGTTGGAATTTGCTAATCTGTAGACTCTATGAAGGCAGGAACCATGTTTGCCTATTCAATATTGTATCTGCAATGCTTAAGGTATGCTGCACATAGTAAAAGCCCTAGAATATTTTTTCAATGAATAGATAATTAAAATAAATATAATACTCAGTTATAAAGAAGGCAATAGGCTAATTCCATCATCCAGACATAATCAATATCAATGTTTTGGTATGTATCCTTCCAGACATTTCCATCTTTTCTCCCTCAAAAATGAGATCTTATTTTTTGTAATATTCAGTCAAATTGCTGTTGCCGTTGTTTTGTTTAATCTTAAATTTGTTATAATGGACATCCTCCCAAGTCAGTACATTGCTCTATAATGTTCTATTGTATATATATTCCACACTTGAAATAATCCTCACCTTGAGTACTAATATTGTATTGGTATAGAGAATACTGAAATATAAACACTCATCCTTGAACATACATTTTCTTTTTTTTTGTTTTTTTTGAGACGGAGTCTAGCTCTGTCACCCAGGCTGGAGTACAGTGGCAATCTCGGCTCACTGCAACCTCTGCCTCCTGGGTTCAAGCGATTCTCCTGCCTCAGCCTCCTGAGTAGCTGGGATTACAGGTGTGCACCACCACACCTGGCTAATTTTTGTATTTTTAGGAGAGACAGGGTTTTACCATGTTGGCCAGGCTGGTCTCGAACTCCTGACCTCAGGTGATCCGCCTGCCTCAGCCTCCTAAAGTGCTGGAATTACAGGCGTGAGCCGCCACGCCCGGCCGAAAATACATATTTTCATACATTCATTCTTGATCATTGTGCAACTAACAGCTAGAACATGGCCTGGCACCCACGATGCACTCATAAATGGATGAGTGGATTAACAAACAAATGAATAAGGGGGTCAGCTATCAGTAAGCATAATAAAATTGTGGCTAAGAGTTTAGGCACTAGAACCAGTACACTTATGTCCAAATCCCAGCTCCAGCACTTGCCATCAATTACTAGTGTTTTCCTAGCTTCAGTGTCTCTCTACAAACAAAGACAATGGTTGTACCAACCTCAAAAGACTATTAGGAGAACTGAATAAGATAATAAGGTCAAGTGCATTCTCAGAACTTGGCACACTGTAAGCACTTACAAATATTAATTGGTATCATGATCTTTGTTGCTATTTTTTAAATTTAGTATTGGAATGGAAATTATCATTAGAATGGAAACTTTGCAAAGTCCACAGAAAGAAAGATAGGGCTTCTCTTCGAACAACGGGAGAAGAGAAGAAAACAAGTTTTAATGAGGAGACAGAAAGGAGATAATTTAAAATTACGAAAAGAATTATTCTAATTCAAGTGCTACATTCTCTGTGAAAGTGGTTGCTCTCTTTTCTGTGTTGGTAATCATACCTTTCAGAATGTTCAGGGTTGTCCAACTTTTGTAATTTCATTCTTTTTGATAAAGTTTCTTTATTAATTGCATGACCAAATGTAAGCTAATATTTACAACTTTGAAAAGTTTACACACGCACACGCGCGTGCACAAATTAGAAAAAATGTTCTATCCCAGTATTTAAGATTTATTTATTTATTTGAGACAGAGTCTCGCTTTGTCGCCCAGGCTGGAGTGCAGTGGCTCGATCTCGGCTTACTGCAACCTCTGCCCTCTGGGTTCAAGCGCTTCTCCTCCCTCAGCCTCCTGAGTAACTGGGATTACAGGCGTGTGCCACCATGCCTAGCTAATTTTTGTATTTTTAATGGAGATGGGGTTTCACCATGTTAGCCAGGCTAGTCTCGAACTCCTGACCTCAGGTGATTCGCTCACCTCAGCCTCCCAAAGTGCTGCAATTACAGGCATGATCACCACACCTCGCCATATTTAAGTTTTAAAAACATACATTAGTTTGGCAAGTACTCCCATCTTGAAATATCTCTTTCAATATTGCCTTAGATGTTATTTAAATTAAATCTTGTATAATTTAAATTTTTTTATGCCCCAATCAGATTGTACATTCTTTGAGAATGGAATCTCATGTCCATCTTTGTATATTCTACAGCACTCAGAAGCATTCCTTTTACTCTGTAGTTCTATAAGAAAAAAAGTAATTGATTTGATTCATATCTTTGGTAATGTTGCTTAGGAAAGAAAACTTTGCATGGAAAGTCTGTGGAATGCCTGTGTGTGGAAGCCTTCTGTTTCCCTTTTTAAACATGAGATTGAAAAGGGAAAACAAACTGCACTTGTGATTGCTGAAAGTTTAATATTTACCCCCTGCCTCCTAGTAACTTTTTGAATGTCTTAAGATACCAGTGAAAACAAAACCAGTATGTTTGGGACACTGTGGTTTGGAAGAATGAATGCATTTTTTTTAAATAAAAATGCACTTCACTAGTAGTATTCATTTTCCAAGGCTGTAATTAGAGAGAAACACTCGAGAAGCACCAAAATTGTGGAACATAAAGAGGGCAGTGACAGGACCCCAATTAACCTAAATTAGCACAGGTTACCCAGACTGTGATAACTCAGAGCTCCAGAAACTCCCCAAAATGAAAAAGCCTTCTGCTTTTAGCACTTTTTTTTTCCTTTTTTCTCCCCAAAGACTTCAAGATTCAAGTGGAAAAGTTCACCAGGATGGGTGGGACCTGAACAGGCTGACTCACTGCGGTTAGATTCAGACTGCCAAGGAAAGCTGCAGAGTACAGTTAGGCATACACTACAGCTGGTTTTGATGATATTTTCTTGTTAAAGACAACATTATTAGAAAAATGTGTAAACAGGACAGGGCAGTGGAGGCCCCCTCTTGATTTTATAGCCAAAGACTCCCACCCTTCCGTGGCTTTTCTGTACCGTCTGCCATGTTGATTCTATGTAAAAAACCCAAATGCAGGCATTCCACCAATGTAATGCTCTCCTTCTCTGAGAGTCCTTTCATTTCCCCAAGAGCTTTGGAATCATTGGAGTTACAGTGGTTCCGTTACTTTATTCTTATATAACTTTGGGCAAGTTATTTGAACCTTGATCTCTTCACTAGTATAATGGTTGTAAAAATAATATCTATCTCATAAGTTAGGAAAATGAACTGAAAATACACTAAATTAAATATGTCAAATATCTAGAAAAGTACCTGGTGCATAATGAGCACTCAAATAGTATTTATTGTTATTAGCTACTATTGTGATCTTCTTAATAAATCCTGTCAAATATTATTTCAAAAAGACTCTTTCTCTCCCGTCCTTTTCATTTTTAGTTTTATCATTCCATTTAAAGTGGAAAAGAGGCCAGGCGCGTAGTTCGCGCCTGAAATTCCAGCACTTTGGGAGGCCAAGGAGGGTGGACCACTTGAGGCCAGGATTTGGAGACCAGCCTGACCAACATAGCGGAACTCCATCTCTACTAAAAATGCAAAACATTAGCCGGGTGTGGTGGCGGGAGCCTGTAGTCCCAGCTACTCAGGCAGGAGAACTGCTTGAATCCAGGAGGCAGAGGCTGCAGTGAGCTGAGATTGCACCACTGCACTCCAGCCTGGGTGACACAGCAAGACTCCTTCTCAAAAAAAATGAACAATAAAAAAATAAAGTGGAAAAGAAATGTACATTTCTTGACTTCCTAGTTTCCCATCCTACCCAATCAACTAACACACCAATACCCTCCTTAAAACTATTCAACTTATTGTGAATACCAGGTAGAGGCAGAAGAGATACAAATCCAATAGGATATCTAATTTTTAATACTTTTCAGCTAGTTTAGTTGATGAATATTTACTGAGCACTTACTATGTACTACATTATGCTATATTCTAGAGACTAGAAAAGAATGGGCAAGAGGTGTTTTCTGCCCTCAAGGAGCTTAGAGTCTTGGTATATATTCTGGGATTAGAGAGTAAGAGAAGGCATCCTAAAATTAAAAAATAAATAAATTTAAAAAGGCACCTGAGCTGAATCTTGAAGGATGAGTAAACTTTAACCAAATAAACAATAGGAGAGAAAAGGTTTTCAAGGCAGAGGGAACAGCAGGTACAAATAAATGAAAGTATGAAACAGCTTTGAATTGCAAGCAGTTCAGAATTAATAGAGTAAAAATCATGTAATAGAGAATACTGGAAGACAAAAGTGGATTTACAGTTTACCTAGAGAGGCAGGAATCTGGTAGGATTTCAATCTGCATCAATCTAAATAGGAGGAACTAGTGATTCCATTTCCAAATAAGCCAACACCTTCATTAGCACCAAACTTTCACCAGCTGAGTTCCCCAACATAGGACATGCCCACTATCTTTAGGTCACAAAGACATCAGGTGTTTTCAGGCTCAATCATGAGTTATTGGACAAGTTCCTTTGTTATTCTTTTTGCCATTAGTTCATCATTTGTAAACTGGAATAATAATCATGGCTTTTCTTTTTTTTATTATATTTGAAGTTCTGGGATACATGTGCAGAACGTGCAGGTTTGTTGCACAGTATACGTGTGCCATGTTGGTTTGCCACACCCATCAACCCGTCATCTATATTAGGTATTTCTCCTAATATTATCCCTCACCTTGCCCCACAGCCCCTGACAGGCCCCTGTGCGTGATGATCCCCTCCCTGTGTCCATGTGTTCTCATTAGTCAACTCCCATTTATGTGTGAGAACATAGGGTGTTTGGTTTTCTGTTCCTGTGTTAGTTTGCTGAGAATGATGGTTTCCAGCTTCATCCACGTCCCTGCAAAGGACATGAACTCATTCTTTTTTTATGGCTGCATAGTATTCCATGGCGTATATGTGCCACATTTTCTTTATCCATTCTAACATTAATGGGCATTTGGGTTGGTTCCAAGTCTTTGCCATTGTTAATAGTGCTGCAATAAACATACGTGTGCATGTGTCTTTATAGTAGAATGATTTATAATCCTTTGGGTATATACCCAGTAATGGGATTGCTGGGTCAAATGGCATTTCTAGTTCTAGATCCTTGAAGAATTGTCACACTGTCTTTTACAATGGTTGAACTAATTTACACTCCCACCAGCAGTGTAAAAGCGTTCCTATGTCTCCACATCCTCTCCAGCACCTGTTGTTTCCTGATTTTTAATGATCGCCATTCTAACTGGTGAACATGCCTTTTCACAAGGTTGTTGTAAATGAGATCATGCTGTCACATACTTAGAGCAATATCTGCCACATAGAAAGTGATCATCAAATGCTAGCCAGTATTATGTATGTGCTGCTGAAGTCTTGCTCATTCCAGAGATGCTGCAGCTGGGTGCTGTGATCAGCGAGAAAGCATAGGGCAAGGGATTTTTCTCAACACATCATTGTGACCATTTGTAGGTAAAATTTATTTCTGATCCAATAATGTGTTCAGATTTATGATCATGGTACATAAACTTATGGCCCTGAAAAAGTCACAATTTCCGTGAGTCCTGGTTCCCTCACTTAAAAAATGGGGAGAGTGATGCTTGTTCCGTGTCTTATAAAGACAAAATAAAACAACTTATGAGATACACTTAACCCACTGCTCAATACACTAAACCCACTGCTCAATACACTAAACCCACAGAGAATCCCTTCATCAGTGGATTCTCTGAGTGGGGAAAAGCGCCTACATAACGAAGTTGGTAAGGTTGGGAAATTAATTAAATCACTCACTCATTCAAAAATACAAATGAAGCATATATGCTAAGCAATGCCCTCCTTTCATCATGGAGTGTAATACCTATTGACCTCAACCTGACAAACATACAATTGGAGTTTGTATACACATACAACCATGCTGTTGGTTGTGGGTGGAGAATGAAAGAAAAGAAACACTGTTGTATGTTGGAAATGTTGCTTTCTTTGTCCCTTTTTTCTACACCAACATAAATGATAATTGTCACTTTCGCTTGTTAATTGACTAATTATGTTTTGGTTCCATAATGTGCCAGTATTTGCATTTTTAGTCTGTTATCTCTTTCCCTGTAATCAAAGAGCCTTTTTTCTCTAGAATTTCCTACATCAGCAAACATTTTAGAGGTAACTGCATTACTGAACAATTATAATTACTTTTGACAGATTGAGTACTTTTAGTATTACTTCTCTCCTGTTCTAACTCTCTTTTTCTTACCTCTCTATAGTCCAGTCTCTTATTTGAACATATCTCTCTTCCTTCCCCCAAATCTCCCCTCTGTCTGGAATATTATACTCTACTTCCCTGACTAGTAAAATCTAACTCAGCTTTGGAGACCTTGCTCAACGTGAAGCCCCCAGGAGAAATGTCCTCTGGTAAGAGGCCTTTCCCTACTCCTTTAATAAAAGTAGACATTTTCTCTCAAGATCTCAGAGTGTACTGTCCTTATCTCTATGAAAGCACTTGCCATGCTATATTGTATTTAATGCAATGTCTGTACTTCCAAATAGACTATAACTATCTAAGGGCAGGAACTAAAGTATCTCATTTAATGTGATCATGTGTTTGTTGCATGGATAAATGAAATAAGAAGGGATTCCTGGCTGCTTCTTCCAGGCCTGTCTCCCTTTGTCTTTAAGCCCTGGAGGAGTCAACCCTACTTTGGCAAAAAACATTTAGCATGTCCCCTCCTCTCTCTGAGTACTGCTACCTATCCTATATCCCAAGGCTACCAAATGCATATTTTAAACTTTACAGAAAATACCATGTTATTTAGTATTTTACCATTTTTAGGGTAGGGCATAGGAATGTGTTCCTATCTCTCCTGTATTTTTTCTAACCAATGTTTTCTCTAATTTTTAAACCCTTTCATGGAGGCGTTTTGTATTTTAGGTGCTGTCATTCAGAGTCCACAGGATGGATGAATGGATATGAAAATGAACAAACGTGTGACACAACACTGCATGATTTACCGGCAATGACTTTCTGATCAAGCCTGAAGTGGGTTGTAGCCTCTTTATTTACTTTTTATTTGACACATAGCAGAGAGAGATTTAAACTATCTCTTATTGGCCTTTTCCCTGCGTCTTAGCTTGGTTTCTGTCAGTGTTTCCCAGCATCGAGAAATAAGGACTAATCTGTCATATTAGATCTAAACTCTAAAAGAAAAGGACTTTGGGCCTTATATCTGCCACCCATTCTTTCAATGGAGGTGACACCCCTCACTTCTATATTTCCAGTCATCTCTCAATGAAAAGGAACATGCAGGCTGGCTGGCCTTTGGAGAGCACCCCACACAGTTTTGAGGAGCTCTGCAGCTCTGCTTGCCCTTTCTGCATCACAGCAGATCCAAAAGGTGAAAAAAAAAAAACAAAAAAAGGAGGGGGTTGGGGTGTTAGCATCCTTGCTTCCCCCACCAGCACCACACAGCTGTTCGGAGGTTTAGTCTTCAAAAGCCTCTTGATTACCATGCAAACTCTCCATGTCTTAAAAAAAACATACACACAGTATACATGAGAATGCTAAGCATAAAATTTGAAGAATAGGCTGTTAATTCTTAGGCACACGTTATATGGTGCATATTCTTTGCCCACAGAAATATCTGGTAGGATGTACAGAAAGTATTGGTGAAATATTTCTACTTACAAATTGAGGGAAGATGGGGTAAACCCATGTCAACACAAAATTTTTTGAGATTAGAATTTTACTTTTTTTTTTCTGTCAAAAGTTATCAATTCCAATTCCAGAATGAGAGAAACCCCAGTATCTCACAGACTATTTACACATTATTTATGTGGGACCTGCTTGCTGGGTATCCCTGAGGGGGCACCAAAGAGCTATTTCTTTCTTCCTTTTTTTTTTTTTTTTTTTTTTTTAGAGCACAAGAGTATAAGAAATTCCGGCTGCCTGTTTCTGGGCTATTTAAATCCCAGTAGACATGCTCTCTTGTACAGACTTCCTGGGCTCAACCCAGCTCACAGGGAGCTGGGGAATCTGTATTACATTATCAGTTATTGTTTTTGGTCAAATCTAAGGACAAACATATGAAGAAGCAGAGCATGCAGCACTGGTTCAGGAGGTTCAAGCAACATTATCAGATTCTTGTTGAGAAACAAATGGTTGTTACTGTGCCACCGCACACTGCAGACAATTCCTAGATATCGAGAGAGGTCCAAGCTAGCAACAGAGAATTTAATACTAGCTGCTGGACCGGGACTCCTGGGCTCACTATGTTGCAGCTACAGATTCTCAGAATGCCATTTAAACTTCCTGAGTTTATCTGAGAAGTAAACCAAGGGTGTAGGTGATGAGGCAGCATTTACTGGTACAGTTAGTCCCCCCTTATCCACAGTTTTGCTTTCCATGGTGTCAGTTACCCACAGTCAACCACAGTCTGAAAATGTTAAATAGAAAATTCTAGAAATGAACAACTCATAAATTTTAAATTGCACATTGTTCTGAGCAGCATGATGAAATCTCGTGCCATCCACTCTATCTCACCCTTGAATCATCCCTTTGTCCAGCACATCCAGGCTGTATATATCGCCCACCAGTTAGTCACTCAGTACTGTCTGGGTTATCAGATTGTTGCAGTATCACAGCGCTTGTGTTCCAGTAACTCCTATTTTACTTAACAATGTAAAAGTGCAAGAGTAGTAATGCTGGTATATTGTTATAATTGTTCTATGTTATTATTAACTACTGTTAGCCTCATTAACATTTAATTTATAAATTAAACTTTATCCTAAGTATGTATGTATAGAAAAAGACATAGTAAATATAGGGTTCAGTACTATGCAGTTTGAGGCATCCAAAGGAGGGACTGCTGTACAGGCAAGGGTCCATAACCACACCCCCCAGCACACAGCTGACAGAGCATATGTTTATTGGGACATGCTCTTGAAAGAGACACCATAATGATAATACCATCCATAATCCGGACCAATCCATGGGTCATATTTTTATCAGGCATCACTATTCCATAGTACTGCTTCTAATTGGGATAACAATTATCCACTCACATGACTTACCTTCTCAAAGTCTCGAAGAGCCTGGGTCTGTACCTGAGGGGGTTTCTCAAATGCTCTCAAGGAATATGTCTGCACAAACGGGACCTTTTCACCACTTCTCCAGATCTGTGACTGCACTGGAGGGCCTCGATCTTTAGTGTCACTAAGAAAAGCTGTCAATGAAACAGAACAACAAAAAAAAAGGTTTATATAATAACAGCACTAGGATCATTCTAACTGGCACATTCCAGCAGAATTCAGTTTCTGCAAAATACAAACTCAATCTAGGCCACATAGAAACAGTTTACTTAAAGTAGTCTGTGGTAGATCATATTAATAGCCATCCCCAGTGAATCAAACTAGTTTGGGTCCATAGGCCTTTGCAATGTGATACTCCTGCCATTAAGAAGTAGAGCCTATTTCCCCAACTCTTGAATCTGGGTTGGCAAAGTGGCTTGCCTTGACTGGCAGAATATGATATAAATGCTACTGTATGAGTTCCAGAGACTAGCTTTGAGAGGCCTTGCATTTCTGCTCTTGCCTTATTAGCATCCCAAGACAACCATGCTGTGAAGAAGTCGGTCTACCCCACTGGAGAAGGAAAGGCTGTTCAGGGAAGTGAAGATGCCCCAGCTGACAGTCACCACCTGCCAGACATGTGAGCAAGGCTGTCTGAGACCTTCAGTCTCAGTCAAGCCATCAGAAAGTTGCAGCCAGTTGAGTGATCCCAAGTGAGACCAGCAGCGATAATGCCCAGTTTGCCAAAACAGAATTGTGAGAAATAATAAATCATTGTTGTTTTAAGCCAGGTGTGGGCAGACATTTTCTTAAAGGACCAGACAGTGTTTTAGGCTTGTGGGTCATATCATCTCTGGCACAGGTACTCAACTCTACCCTGTAACACAGAGCAGACACAGACCATGTGTAAATGCATGAGTGTCACTGTGTGGCTATAAATCTTTACTTATAAAAACTGACTGTTGGCCCATGGGCTGTAGTTTGCTGCTGACCCCTGTTTTAAGTCACTAAGTTTTGGGATGGTTTGTCACATAACAAAAGGTAACCAAAACAGTCTCAAGGAAAGAACCAAGCTGCTAGCAAACTATCTCTACCGATAATTTTTCAGGTTACTATTTAGTAATAGTAACAATTATAACAGCCAACATATTTAAAGGGCATTACATGTTACAAAATAGTTTCACATGAATTATTTCATTTATGAAGTCGCTGCAATCAGTGAAATAGACATAAGTGATTATTAAGTCCATTTTACTGATGAATAAGTAAAGATTCAGAAAGTTTGCTTGACCAAGATCACATTGCTAAAAAGTGGCAGAACCAATCCCATCTTTTCTCCATCTGTCTTTCTTAGCAGTATGCTACTACTGTGTTATTTTAGCAATTAAAGGGATTGCAATAGGTCTGAGAGTGGGGAAAACAGGTAAAGAGGCAGAGACTCAATCACTCCATTAACCAATGGAAGCATTGCTTTGGGAGAACCTAGTGGAGTCTAAGCTGTAATTAACCCTATGCTTGCTTTTGAGAAGTAACATTGTTAAAGAATGAGAAAGCAAAGCCTCTGTCAAACAAAGTACACAGAGGACCTCATGTTGGGGCAGGGTTGGAGTTACAGACAGGTAGAAAACATAGAAAGCTACATACTTTCTTGGCTGACAGAAGGAAATAATGAACTTTTATTATGGAACTATTTTTTAAATAAGAAGACAGTCATGGCAAAGCATTAAGCGCTACAGACAGTGTCAGGGCAAGTAAGAGCAAAACAGGTACTGGGTGACTGCCTGGCTGAGGAAAAGTTAACTAGACACTTGGGGAAAGGAGATCCAAGGGAGTAAGAGGCAAAATGCCTTTGCATGCTTTTCTTCCTATCTCTTTTTCTTTCTCTCCTTCTCACTCTCTCCCTTCCTTCCTTTCTTCCTTTCTCTTTCTTTATTTTTTCTCTTTTCCCCCACCTCTCTGCCTGCCTCCTTCCTTCCCTCCCCTCCCCTCCCTTCCCCCTCCCTCCCTCCCTCCCTCCCTTCCTTCCTTCCTTCCTTCCTTCCTTCCTTCCTTCCTTCCTTCCTTCCCTCCCTCCTCTCTCCCTCCTTCCCTGCCTTCTTTCCTTCGTTCTGCCAACTTGCCAGAAGGAGCCCAAGAAAAAGCACCCAGATGCTTCAGTCAACTTCTTAGAATTCTTCTTTTTTTTATGTTCAGAAAAGATGGAAATTCATTTCTGCTAAAGAGAAAGAAAAAATTGGAAGACAGGGTGAAGGTGAACAGGCCCATTATAAGAAAGAAACAAAAATCTATATTCTGTCTACAAGGAAACGAGAGAGAGAAAGAGAGAGAAGAAAGAAGTTCCAGGATTCTAATGTACCAAAGGGATCTCCTTTTTCTTGTTTTGTTCTGAAAATTTCACCAAAAGAGCACAGGAGAACATCTTGGCTAATTCATTGGCGATGATGTAAGAAAACTGAGAGAAATGAAAGAAATGAAGAATTACTGCTGCAGATAATATACAGCCTTGAGGAAAGAAAGGCTTTTAAGATTATAGATATAAAGGCTATTGCTGTATTCTGGGATAAAAGAAAGTCTGATGCAGGGAAAGGGGAAGTTGGAAAAACTGGAAAAAGAAAAAAGAAGAAAAGAAAAAAAGGACTGGAAAGACATTGGTGAATAGAAAGATGAAAAGGGTGAAGAAAAAAATGATGATGGTCAATAGGGTGGTTTTAAAAGAGGCTTTTGTTTTATTAATTTGTTTTTGTGTGAGTGTGTGTGTATGTGTTTGTTTTTTGCCTAAAAGTATTTAACTCCGCATTACACCACTGATTTCAAAGAAAAAAAGCTGAAATGTAAGATCATATGATTTGTTTTTAAACTGAACACTGTATACTGTCTTTTTATTTTTGCAAAATTAATGTAGTATCCAGTGTGTCTTTAGATAACCCTGTCCTTAATGATATTTTCAATAGCCACTAACCTTGCCTGGTACTGTTTCGGGGTTTAAACTAGAACAGAAATTTAAGGCAGGCTTTATTAGTGCATAGTACAAATCAATTACATATATATGGAGATATTATTTTTCCCTCTTCAATTGTTTTTCATGCAGCTTACCCAATATAATTGTTCTGTTAGTTGTACACTACTCTGTGATAGCAAATAATAATAATAAAATAATTATGATGATATTGCCCCTGTTTTGGTGATATTCTGAATGTTTATACGTAAATGCAAAATTTTTAATTAAAAGTAATTAGAGGCTGGGCATGGTGGCTCACACCTGTAATCCCAGTTTTTTGGGTGGTTGAGGCAGGTGGATCACTTGAGGTCAGGAGCTCAAGACCAGCCTGGCCAACATGGCGAAACCCCATCTCTACCAAAACTACAAAAATTAGCCAGGCGTGGTGGCAAGCGCATGTAATCCCAGCTACTCGGGAGGCTGAGGCAGGAGAATTGCTTGAACCTGGGAGGCGGAGGTTGCAGTGAGCCGAGACGGCACCACTGCACTCCAGCCTGGGTGACAGAGCAAGACTCTGTCTCAAAAATAAATAAATAAATAAATGTAATTAGAAAAAATGATTTCTTCCACATTTAGGTGAAAATAAATATACTACTAAGGGGAAGATAATCTGATAAAACAGAATAACAATACATTACAGTTAGATTGGTGGCTATGATAGAAAGAGCAATGCCTTGAGGCTTGGATTTGAATCCTGACCACTTGCTAATTGTGGGAATTTAGGCAAATCTCTTAATTTTGCTGATATATTGCCTCTGTAAAACAGGGGTAATAATATCTGCTTTATAGAACTGTTATATGGATTAAATAAAATAATAAAAGCACCTTGCCACATGTATTATATGTAGTAAGCATTTTATCCATTCCCCTCACATTTTTGCCCTAGTCCTTCAATTTTTGCCTCAAAATGTAGAATATTGACATTTAAAATGTTGAGCACAGTAACCCTTGGAATTTGTGGATTTAACACACATTTCAAATACTAATTTTAAGTGACTCTGAAATTCTTAACTTATTCAAATTAAAAACTTTTTTCCAAATTGTGCATATAAACAATCTGTGCTTCCAGGCTGTTATGAAAAAGGCAAAGAACTTAGCAAGGAAGTAAAACCCTCAGGTCGAGAACAAGTTTTGTGGAAAATAGACCCCAAAAGAATGTTATCTTCCCTTTGGTTTTGCAATTCAGGTAGATCTCTGGCTAATGTTAGTGTAGTAATAATTGTGCTGTTGTTAGGAATACATTAATAGTAACAATAGATAAGATACAGAGTGCTTATTCCTTGATAGCCTCTGTACTAAAAGCTTTTCTCAATCTCACCTATGAGATTAACATTATCATTATACCCATTTTATTTATTTATTATTTTATTATTATTTAATTTTTTTTGAGACTGAGTCTGCTCTATCACCCAGGCTGGAGTACAGTGCCACGATCTCAGCTCACTGCAACCTCTGCCTTCCGGGTTCAAGAGATTATCCTGCCTCAGCCTCCTGTGTAGCTGGGATTACAGGCGTGGGCCACCATGCCTAGCTAATTTTTGTATTTTTGGTAGAGATGGGGTTTCACCATGTTGGCTAGCCTGGTCTTGAACTCCTGACCTCAGGTGATACGCCCGCCTCAGCCTCCTAAAGTGCTGGGATTACAGGCGTGAGACACCATGCCCGGCCTATTATACCCATTTTAATGGTGTATTAAGATAAAGATTTCATTTTAGTAACATAATTTATTTTAATCATTGTACAAGTGAGTTTAGCCTTGCAATTACAGAACCGTTAAAAGTATGAAGAATTCACATAAGTATCTGTAATGATTTACTGTACTATGCTGCTTCTCAGTACATAGAATTATAGCTAGCTTATAATTCTCGTGTGAAATTGCTACAGTAGTATGTGCAAATTTGGAAATTCACAAAAGTTTGAAGATATTGCCATGATGAATTTAAAGAGGCCATAATTCAAGAGAATTAAGATCAATAGAAAACCAAGAATTGGCCAAGTGCCAATTTCTCTCACACACTTTGGAAAGCTGGAGTGGGTGTATTGCTTCAGGTCAGACATTCAAAACCAGCCTGAGCAATATAGCAAGACTCCCACCTCTAAAAAAAAATATTAAAAATTAGGCATATGTCTATAGTCCCAGCTACTCAGGAGGCTGAGGTGAAAGGATAGCTTGACCCCAGGAGTTTGAGGTTGCAGTGAGCTATGATCACACCACTGCACTACATCCATAGTGACAGAGTGAGAACCTGTCTCAAAAGAAAACCAAATGAATAAACAAAAGAAACAAAGAATTTAACAAGGCAAGGCCCACAGCATCCTTACCTGCTGTGTGACTCGTTCTGGGTACCATCTCCCCATCATCCTCTGCAAAATAATCTCTGTGGAGGCAAACACATCATTAATTAATGAGATACTACCCCACAAGGCTCCCATCCCAGGGATCGAGGAGAAGACACCTACCTATTTGTCATTTCTGTTTATCTCTCTGCAAGTATTTACTAAGCTTCTATTATGTATCAGGGACCGTGTCAAGTGCTAGGGATACAAAGGCAAACACCACAGAAGAGTTCCTATTCTCAATAAGTACATGAGAGCCAGCCATTAAATAATTTCACAAGAATTAACTACTATTGTAGTAAATGTTGTGAAGGAAAATGCAGAGGGAACTTAACTAGCACAGGGACTCAGAGAAACTCAGGGAAAGGAACATTTAAACGTAGATGGGAGGATGTCAACCAGGTGTAGAATGGGAGAATGGGAGTGGAAGAGTGTTCCATCATGAGAGAACAGCAAAGGCCCTGAGTCAGAAAGGACTCTGGCCTGTTAGAGGAACAAAGAAAGCCAATGTTGCAACCAGGCCACGCAGGACCTTGTGGTATGGGGTAAGGCCACTGAGTCTAATGTGAAAAGCTACGGGAAATCAATGAAGGATTTTAAATTAAGGAAAGAATGGCAATGATCAGATTTATATTTTAGATAGGTCATTCCAGCTGCATTCTGGCTCTACACAGTGAGACTGTGGAGGGGCAAAAATGGATGGTGAGAATCTATATTCCAAATAGGAAGTTGTGATGGTTTAACAAAGGGGAAATTTTAAAAATTTAAGATATGTTTAGAAAGTAGAATTGACACAGAAACCTTGAAAAACAGACAAAGTTTATGAGTGGAAATGTTAATAACACCATGATTCAGTAGCAAGAGGTGTATCTGTTCAGCATAGTAAATACCACCATCCCTAGCAGAGAGGGGACAGTATCTCAAAATGTATTCAACAAATACTTCTCAAGCCCATGCTTGACAAGTGCTTTTAGGCACTGTTGTAAGCTCCACAAATGTAGCAGTGAGCAAAACAGACAAAAATCCCTGCACTCATGGAATTTTTACAGTAAGGGGAGACAATAAATAAATTGTATAGTAGCAGTTGGGAACAAGTGCTATAAAAAAAAGGAAAGTGGGGAATGTGGATAGGGAGAGCTGGAGGTAGGAGGAGGTAGAGGGGATTGCAATTTTCAGTAGACAAGGCTGCTCTATGAAGCCATAAGGACAGGCATGGGGGTCTCTAGGGAAAGAGTCTTCTAAGCAGAGAACATAAAATGCAAAGGCCCATAAGAGGGAGCATGCTAGTTAGTGGCTGGGTGCAGTGAGCACGTGGTGAGCAGTAGGAGGTGAGGTCAGGGAAGTAATGGGAAGACTGGGCAGGGGGCGCAGACTGTTTGAAGCCTTTCAAGACATGGAGAGGCATTTAGCCACTAGAGTCTTGTGAATCAAAAAGAAAGACGGACTCAGTGACTAATGTTTTAAAGGGGGACTATCTACTGTCTTGACAACTGACTGTCTGATGGGGATGTCAGAAACAGATGATTTCAATAACCCTACAGAAAGATGCTTTCAATAGGTAGCTTATTCTTTAAACTCTTGGGGGCTCCCAAGAATTCTGTAAACAGAGATGTAGAGGACTTCTCTCTTTCTCTCTTTTTTTTTTTTTTTTTTGAGACAGAGTTTTGCTTTTGTTGCCCAGGCTGGAGTGCATGGCACGATCTCGGCTCACCACAACCTCCGCCTCCCAGGTTCAAGCGATTCTCCTGCCCCAGCCTCCCCAGTAGCTGGGATTACAGGTGCCTGCCACCATGCCCGGCTAATTTTGTATTTTTAGTAGAGGCGGGGTTTCTCCGTGTTGGTCAGGCTGGTCTCGAACTCCTGACCTCAGGTGATCCGCCCGCCTCGGCCTCCCAAAGTGCAGAGGTTACAGGCATGAGCCACTGCGCCCAGCCTACAGGACTTCTCTTTTTAAAAGCCAGAAGATATTCACAGGGAGGCAGAGGAGGACCTGGCATTTGCTTGGAAATTGGTGGTTTTTTCTTCCCTGCCTCAGGGCTGGATCTTGGCAGAAATCTTCACTTTGTTAAGTCCCAGATGGACATGAAAATACCAGACAGGGCACATCGGGCTACACATGCCACCTGACAATTATTTCGTATCCAAAAGTAGATCACCAGCTTGTGATTCTTCCAGGCCCCCTGCCTCTTTCCCTTCTCCTCCTTAAAAGCTTTCCCTGAGAGTAAACAATGCCAAAGAGGAATGTACTACGTATGCACTCCCCTCTGTGGAGGTAAAATAGGAGAAGGATGTCAAAACCATCAACCAGAACAATGTCTTAAAAAAATCTGTGGGGAAAAAATTTATACTTAGCTGCTGCTATTCACTGAGCATTTCTGCCTAGTCCACAGACAAAGGTGGCTGCATCTGCTGTCAGGAGCAAGGTCAACCCTCAGGCCAAATTCAGCCCATCCGACATGTTTTATTTAGCCCACACAAGTTTGACCCACTTCTAACTGCTCTTGGGAAATGAGTGGGTCTGCCAACACTGGGCCTGCCTTCCCACACAGCGGGAGAACTTGCCCCCTTTACACAGGACAGGGATGTGTTTTCCAGTTTGCCACAGTCCCTGCCACTCCCTGTCCTTGTCGTCCCTCATTCACTTAATTATGATACTTGCCTGGCATCTTGCAGGTTTCTGATGCTGTTACCCCAGTATAGACCAAGTGCAGACAGAATTTCATTTCTGCTTTATTAAGGCACAGTCTTGAGAAACCCATTGGCTTCACACACAATTAATTAATTTGTGGCAACAAGCTACTATATTGGCTTGCATGTCACTTTCACCTCTCTGGGCATTAGTTTTCTCTAATATTTATAAAAGAAGGACATGACTTTCTAAGGTTCCTTGCAGTAATTATGCAGTTCTATTCTAATAGATGCTTAAGCATAAAACCCATTTTAATACTGTCCAAGGATCCAGGATACCTTCCAGACATGATCTCACTCAATCTTCTCTGCTCTGCAGATTGCACATTATAGGTCAAGAGCAAGCTACAACACAGCAATACATATCAGCCCTACCAGACACCTCACCCTTCCCGCATCACCCACACCCACTCTGAGCACACTGCCTGCCTGATATGAATCAATAACTGGAAGGATAGAGAGGTCACTTTAGATGGGTACTGAGTTAATAAGCATACTCGCAGTGTCTCAGGAGATTTTTAAGAAATCACTTTAGCTCTATTAACAGCTCAAGTTCCCTCTCTTATTGCCAGAGAAAGGGGCTCACTCAGCTGCTCCACAAGTTACAAAGGAATCTGACGCTCCCCAAGGGAAGGGGCTCAGACTGAAGAAACACAGAGTATAAGTCTAAGGGGTTGCAATTTGTGACAACATTTGATAAACCAAAGTGCAAGGAGAATTGGGGTATGGTAGAGACAGACTCCAAGCATGGACACACACACACACACACACATACACACACACACACACACACACACACACACACACACAAAGTGGTAATATATGTTGGTACATTCTTTCGTATTACCCAAGTTCAGAAAAAAATTTTATATCCTTGTCCTAGTTTCTCAAATTCAAGTGTCTCTAGTTTTTGAAAATATCAATTCATGAATGACTCATGCTCAGCTAATATGTGGTTCGCCAGGCCACTTTTAGCTCTCCTGCATTTCCATATATAATCTTTCTCCCATGATGCTTTCACTTAAAATTTTGCTTTTTCTGTATAAATGAACTATATTTTTCCTCAATGTCTTACCTTGTCTTTCTCCCTACGTCATCAATCTGCTAATGACAATACCAATTCCACTAAAACCACATATATTAATATTCTCACCAGGACATTATTTTGCTTTCGGAAGTACCAAGCATTTTCCAAGTACAACCTACTCACAAGCTGTTCACCTGCTTGATTTCTGCATGGTATATCACTCATATTTTCTTGAGTTGCTGATAAGTAGCTATTAAGATATTAGACTCAAATAACACATCAACATTCAATATCCCATATTACTTGGTTTTTCTATGGCTTTCCAGGGTGATTAAGTTGAGAATGATCAGGAAATAATTGCTTCTCTGAAGGCCATCTGCCACCCCCTGATATTCTGACATTCTCAAACTGTCCTGTGATGATTTCTTCCAGTAATTTTCTAAGAATGGTAGTTTCATTTATGGCCAGGGTTATCCAAAACACTCAGTTTTGCTTTACTTGAAACTGGCCACTGATATAGCTCCTTTCAAGATTCAAGCATCTCATTGGTCCCACTAGTCTAGTTTCTCATAACATTGTGGGGAGGGGTAGACACTTGGGTTTCTTCTTGCTTAGGAGCCTGCAGAGAGAGATATTTTCTATAAGGCAGGTATAGACCTTCCTCCGTAAACTGTTATTTCTGGTATTATTTTCTTGTATTTTAGTCTGTCTAATTTGTGGACTGAGAGGAACAACAGATCATATGAATGAATCATCTCATTCAAAAGCAATGACAAGATGGTAATCATCATTACAAAGCAGGTTCTATGAGTCTTTGAACAGTATGAGATATTTGTATTCTAGGACCAAAATCACCACTAAAACTATTTCTAAGGTACTGATGCCTGTCTAGGCTCCATACTTTCTTCTCTCCAGTCTCACCTACTAAAATAATTAACCTAAGGTTATTTATTCCCATATGAGTGTCTAAACTCCCAAAGGAATGGTGATTTTCAGGCCCTCTCTTCAGGCCAATCACAGGTATTTAGTTTGTTCTGAGAACCACATAGTCTGGCCCTCCTACTTCATCACTAACCACCACCCTTGCTTAACATTTCTAAGCCTGAAGACCAGGGCCATCTCCCAGAGGCGTTTTCTAGCTTTCAAGCTTCTTTATATATATATATATATATTTTATTATTATGAACAAAAATTCAGAAGGAGAAAAAACAATCTGCTATAGCAATACCTAGAGCGAAAACCTGGGCCTTCATTGCTATTTTTAGGGTTTTTATAATTCCATTTTGTAAACATTTATTGAGAAGTTGCTTATATGCCAGGTACTGGAAATACAAAGGTGAAAAAGTATATATACCCTGTGGTTAAAGTACTCAGAATCTATTGAGGGAAGCAGGCACATGATTCAGAGAGATAATTATTAGAAAAATTAGATTTAACAGAGATTTCAGAACATAAATAAGATAGCAATTAATTTTGTCCTGGTGGGGAGTGGGCTGGGACAGGGTGGTTGGCGGAGGGGTCTAGGACATTTACAGAAAACAGATAACACTGAATCTAGGTCTTAAAGGATGGGTGTAAATACACAAGGAAACATAACAAAGACCCAATTATAGGAAAATGAACGGTGTGTTCAGGGGGCTTTCATTTTGTTTTCCCCTTCCCAACCACCCCGCTCCATCTTCCCCCCACCCTGAGGAGCCCTAAACTGCCTCCTAGGACATCTTCCAACTTCCTGTTTACCTTTCCCCCTCCTCAAGCCTTCCTCCCCAAGCGCTCACCCTCAGGTGGGAATATGAAGGGAAGCCAAGGGTGAAATTGTTTCTTCATTTGCACCTCCCTCCTCAAACACTATAGCTTAGAAGCCCCCAAAATGATTTAAAATAATGTCAGCAAGAAAGGGGCTAAGATGGCCGGGCGCGGTGGCTCACGCCTGTAATCCCAGCACTTTGGGAGGCCGAGGCGGGTGGATCATGAGGTCAGGATATCGAGACCATTCTGGCTAACAAGGTGAAACCCCGTCTCTACTAAAAATACAAAAAATTAGCCGGGCGCGGTGGCGGGCGCCTGTAGTCCCAGCTACTCGGGAGGCTGAGGCAGGAGAATGGCGTGAACCCGGGAAGCGGAGCTTGCAGTGAGCCGAGATTGCGCCACTGCAGTCCGCAGTCCGGCCTGGGCGACAGAGCGAGACTCCGTCTCAAAAAAAAAAAAAAAAAAAAGAAAGGGGCTAAGATTTGCACTATTGTGAAAATACCCATAGAAACAAACTAGAAAAGAACGCAGAGAAATAAAAAGTCCGGAGGTTTAGAGTGGCGGAAAATATACTGAGCATCCTCCCCCTTTTTTTCTTACTATTTTTGCCAAAAGGCTAATTCTTATTTTTAAAAAGTTTGAATAATCTATTTTTATTGAATTTACATTGCTCTTCCTAATTAATGACCTTGATAAAAGATAACTATGGAAAGGATTCGGCTCGGTGTGGCCTCTCAAACAGTGAGGGGCGTGTGGCATGACAGCAAGACTGCTGAAGTTTGCTCTTTCTTGGGGTCCTCACAGGAGTAGGCATTGAACCAAATGCAGATTGTGTTCCAATTCCCATATTCTTGGAGCTCATTTAAGAAGAGTTGCTGGTTTCTGTTTCAAATGAAATAAATTTTTCAAACGTTCCAAGATGCATTTTTCCTATTTTTAATTTACAGCTATATTCAACTGTGGCAAACACAAAAGGGTCAGAATGAGAAGAACTGTGGCCTATTTTTTAATATGGGAAGCTCTGGCCCTGACAGTTTATAAATGGTAAGATTTTAGAAATAGTGTCAACTTAAAAACAAAGACATCTACAGTTAACAATTTCTGGACTGCTGGTGCATAATTTTATAATTCCACAGGTTTTCTTGCACTGGAATTTTCCTCAATACTAATCTTGTATTAAATGAACATATTATTATCATGGACAACCATCACCACTCACCACCAATGCTGCCTCTGCAATTTACTGAATGCCTGATACTTTCTAGGCATCAGTTCATTCAGTCATCATAGAATCCTGTGAAGTACGTCATACAATCCCTGTTTACAGATGAGGAAACAAGGGGCCTGGAAGGATAAAGTAATTTGCCCAAGATCGCACAGCTAGTTGGTGTCAGAGCCTGAACTTGAAAACTGTCTATTTGACTCCAAACTTTTACTCTTCCCAATATGCCCTATTTCTAACCACACATTTACAGGGAACCTCCTTTGTACCTGCCTTGACTCCAGGGAACTCACCCCTGAGAAGCTGAGGCGAAAGGAAGGGTGGACGGTTTGCTGTGCTGATGAGATGGGATTTTTGTCTCAAACCCTGACACAAATTTGTTTCTTAGACTATCAACTTATCCCTGATGGGCACAGCTTACACTTGAGTATTTGAGTACTGGTGTAACAGATGCCATGTGACAAAATAATTAAAATCCCAAAACGGAAGTGGCTAGTGTGACTTTTTATATAGGTCCTATCGTGAAAAGTGAGTCATCCATCATTTTATACTTCTCTATCTCTAACCCACTTTTTTCAGAATATTTACATCTTTCTCCAACCCCTCCCGTGTTAACACTTGGCATTGTCCCTACCCAAGGGAATAAACTGAAACGCGGGAAAGGTGGTGGAAACAGAAACAATCAAAGTGGAAAAGGCATTAGTGAACAAGCTCTGAGACTTCTCAGATGTGTTTTTTTCCTCTTGCCAAGGAGAGACACTGGATATATTTTCTATGTTCCAAATGTTGCCAAATACCCTCCCACAATGTGGCACCCGAATTGTAAAAACACATATTCAAATGCAAATAGGGTAAAAGCCCCAGATGCAGAACGTTAAGACTATTATATAATACAGTGAAATTATCATTTTTTCTCATCTCAAGATCTATCATTATAACCTCTGCAAGTGAGGATGCTTAATTGGCAAAGCTCCCAGAGGAGAGAGAGCATCACGGTGAGCCTCCTTCTGCATGCTGACTAAGTGTGGGCTGACTTGGCACCGATACAGAAACATCCACTTTATTCCAGTATAGGCTGCAATTACACCCTTCACTCAAAGTCTATTCACTGACAGTGACCATCACTCTGAGAGGCTGTTTTCTGGAGTGCTAAGTCCCCAATAGCTACAGTGAGCTACAAAATCATCGTGCATCCACAACAATTTCTTTAAGTTTCGGGATCTTTGTTTTGTTTTGTTTTTGGTCCAGCACTAAGTCTTCATCCTAAAGAAAATAAGGAAACTAACATTACTTTCTTGATGCTATCCATCAAGGTTCAGAGAAACCCCTTAATAAGTAAGTAATTATTTTTCCTCACTTTACCTTCTGAGGTCATCACATATCCAAATATCTAATAAATTTTCCTCTACCTCCCCTGCATCAGCCAAGACATAGGTATCACTCTTTCAAAAGAAGACATGAAAATAACCTGCTTTGGATTCAGTCACATTACCCCAGGGATGGTGTATGGTCTCTCCACCCACCTCTGAAACTTACCTTTTGCATTTTGCTTTTGGTCCTGGCAATGCACCCTACAATCCTCAGTTTTCATTAACAACTAATATCCACAAGGCACTGGAGTATATTGCAGTTGGCTCAATCTTTCTAGAGCCCTAGACTGAATGTTAAGAAACAGGTGATTTTTTTCCCCTTTCCACCTACTTTTATATTCACATAATCTTTCAGTTTCTTTTCTTTACAATGTCTATTTTTGATGATTTTAAAAGAAGTACATGCCTCGTAGAAATTTTGGAAAAGAGAAAAGTGTACAGAGAAAAATAAAAATAATCTTTAAAATTCTACCACCTGAAGGCAACATTGATAAAGATTTGTATGTATTTAGTTGTTCTTCAGTTTATTTGCCTGTGTGAATTCTGCAAATGGAAATAATATTGAATGTAACAGTTCTGCATCTTGCTTTTATTTACACTACGGAAATCAAAGGTTGTGAGGAATATATTTTTAGAGGAAGAGAAAGAGTCAGGGAAGGAGGAGCAGGAGAAAGAGGCAGGTGGGAGGAGGAGGAGAATTTCTCAGCAGCATTATAGACCTGTTGAGGATTAGCAAGAATGAATCTAGAGTCTCTCTTCTCAGTGCGGTTTTATAACATACTAAAACAACACTCATAGAATCCTCTAGGATTTTAAAATAAAATTGACTAAGGGTTACCAAGCCGGGAGATGGTTAAGGCAGTTAGAGATTCTAAAGCAGCGTTGAGAACACGATTCAAAGAGCTGACTCTGACGTCTAGGTTCAGTATGGAGGTGAATAAACAGCAGATGGCCTGGAAGATACAGAGAGTTGAGGAACTGGAATACATGACGCAGTAAACAACATTCAGAAAGAATGAGGAAGTGGGGGACTTGACCTGTGGTCAAGAAGTATAATTTCAGCATTAAGGATCCTAAGGGTGGAAAATCTGGAAGAAAGATGAGCTACAAAAGATGGCTGTGCTGATAGCATACTGAAGTGAATTCGAGTTAAGGCTATGTCAGGTCAAGGTATAACAGTGATGTATGTCCATGCCTAGTGACCCCTCTAGAATGTCAGTCTCTGGAAGGGAGGGTTTTTAGATCATTCACTATCATCTGTCCAGCATTAAAGAAGTCTAGATCATAGGAATTGGATGCGTATTTCTTTTTTTTTTCTTTTCCCGTAACTGAGGAAACAAGACACATATTTCTTAAACAATGATAAATACAATCTGAATGTATAATGGTGTCAAGTTTGATAACCTGTTGTATCCATTCTACAATAAGGAGACACCCACCAAACAGATATTCCCATCGGCCTTTTGGGGAATGTTCTCTGGAAAGCTCTTAATAGATGACCTTCTAAGTGCTAGAGGCAATGTTAGATGCTGAAGACTTATAGACAAAAACGTTTCATTCTGCCGATAAACTTGGAGTATGGAAAATATCAAGTTAACCAACTAGCTACATGCTACAACAGAGTAGGCAGAGCGTGTTCTGGCTACACCCAGATCTAGGTTCTAAAAATAATTCCTAAAGGAGGTACTTCTGAATCTAACCTCTGAAGGGTATACAAATTTATCCCAGCAAAGGCAAGGCTAGATGTGTAGGTGGGAACAACTGGTATATTAAGGCCCACTCATAATAATTTTAGCTCAGGGTAAATTAAGTCGCAATGACTCTCCAACCAGCTCCCCGGGTCTGCTGGCAATAATGCTGCTCCTGTGGTGCCAATAACCTGAAAATCTCCAAGTAATACAAGAAAGTTATACACAGAAAACCTCCAAGTGATACACAGAAAAACCTAAAACCAACTCAATTCCAAACTTTACATGTTGTCATTTGGTAGACACAAATGTGAACTTCTTCCTGCAATAAAAACCTATGTTGACTTAGTTTAAAAGCAGCATATAAAGGATGTTGCCCATAATCCCCTAACCAAACAAGGCATCTATTTTCTCTTTTCTCTGTCCTTGTAATAGACATCCTAATAGGTATACATAGTTTTGATGTAATTTACATCTATCTTTTACTTTCTTATGTTAAAATTTTCTGTTTATTATCATTTCAGGAAACGTTTCAGGATAGTAATAGAGATTAACAGCAACAGTGAAGCATTTTACCCTAGAGAAGGGTAAAAGTTGGAAATGTTGCTATTGATTCACCTAGGTTATGCCACTTTAATGTCAGTGTGCCTCAGTTTCCCCCTTTACAATACAGGGATTCAGGTCTTGAAAAAGATATTTAAATTGAATGCAATATCTTTCTTATGGGACTATAACTTTAAGTAATTTGCAATGTACTTTCAAGAACTGGAAATGTTGACATAGTTATTCTACTTCTGAACATCTCTCATTCAAAAAATAATGCTGTGGAAGAAGATGCTTTATGCACCTAGACATTTATCAAGTATTATTTATAATAGTTAAAAATTGGAAGTCTACATCCTTTGGGTTAGGCGTAATGATTTAAAAGACACTGTAAATCCACAGCATGTTATTCTACATTATGAATGATAATATACCACATTATGAAGTGGAAAATAAATTCATTCTTAAATTGTGTGAAATGCTAGAAATTATTCAATTTTCTTTGTGAGTCAATGCTTTCTAGTTTTTTTTTTTTTTTTTTTTTTTTTTTTTTTTCCGACAAAGTCTTGCTCTGTCACCCAGGCTGGAGTGCAGTGGTGTGATCTCGGCTCACTGCAACCTCCACTTCCTGGGTTCAAGCAATTCTCATTCCTCGGTCTCCCGATTAGCTGGGATTACAGGCACCCCCCACCATGCCCACTAATTTTTGTATCTTTAGTAGAGATGGGGTTTCAACATGTTGGCCAGGCTGGTCTCGAACTCCTGACCTCAAGTGATCCTCCTGCCTTGGCCTCCCAAAGTGCTGGGATTACAGGCGAGAGCCACTGTGCCTGGCCAGTGAATGCTTTCTATATGTCAGAAGTTATTGCTTCTTTCCACCCTTTCCACCATGACCATGATAAGAAGACACTAGTTGCAAGTTACCTCTTCCCTCACTGGCCTTGGAAAAGACAAGAAAGAAAGACGTTTCTGTGGAATGTAACAAGCAGAAAAGGACTGAAGATAATGAGACAGATTAAGGAAAGATGAATCACAGGCTGTGAAAGTGCTATGAAAATAAAACAGTATTATTATACAATTTATTATAAATAGTCTATGACTAATTTAGCACTTTAGCCATAAGCGTTCAGAAAAAAGAAATTCAGATCATGCTTGTCTTGCTGGCCACAGAACTCAGAAAATGCTCTGAGGCAGAGGAAAACAAGTCCTCAGTGCATTTGAGTGTTTTAAAATAGAATCACATAGAGCCACCTTGGGTCAATATGACATCTCTTGTATTCTGGACTTTCTTCTAACTTTAAATGCTATTTGAATTTTTGCCAGAGACAGCTTGTGGAATGTTCTGAGCCCAGTTTGGAATTTTATTTATAAAATGGGGTAGATTTCAATAGAAGTAGTGTCCTGGGGCATCCACTGAATGGATGGATGCTCCACTTAGCCTTGAAAATATGATCCCTCAGCCACAGTCAGGCGAGCCTCCCAGGATGGGGACGGCACCATGAGGTGTTACTTATCCTTTCTGAGACAAAAACAACCCCTTCCCAGTCTTTAGGTATTTTAAACATAGTCTTAGCATGTAGCTGAAAAAATGGGGGTTGGGGGAGTCAGGTCCAGACTGATCTAGTGTGTGGAAAATAAGCAAGTAGGAGTGAAAGCATTGATTCTGGCAAATTCCCCAAGCCGAAATCCAAGTATAGGCCCATTTAAAAGTAGACTGGAGTTGCCAAGGCAGAATTTCCTTCTTAAAATTCAGATAATTAGTTGCTAGCAGTGCTGAATATTAAACAGGAAATTCAACTTCCAAAGATGTTTCAATAATAGAATTCTGAAAACAAGCATTTTCCTAATATGAAGTGTTACATGCAAAGCACCAGCACCATAATAAGTAAAGGTACTGGAATTAACTAGGCCTTCATACAACACATACTAGTTGTGTGAATGCCAGCAAATCATTTAACCACTTTAACCTCAGTGGCCATATATCTCTGGTTGTAACTATGTCTTTGTAAACAGGACTCTCTACTAACTCACCATAAATTCAGAGAAAAATAAATGTCCCTGATTCCTCTAGGCTAAACATTTATATAGAGAAAAACAAATTCAAATAAGCTATCAATGGAGATCTGTTAAGTACAATATAGCTGTGGTAAATGGACACCTTGTCTTGCTTGAAGGCTGTACTCCAGAAAAGAAACAAAGTCAAAATTCTTAAATTTTGAAACCAGATCATTAATTTTCTTGAATGTTACTTCCATTTTCCAAATTTTCACAGATACAGCAAGCAAATGCAATTAATGCTTGCATTTTATTAAATCAAATTGCAGGGGAATAGAAAACAAAACAAAACAGACTAATTTGCTTTCCTTTTTTAACCTTCAGTCTTATAGTTTGCCCTTAAACATTTCTAGTTCACTCTTTTCTTGAGTTATGTGTTCGGGGAAGTTGTATAAGGTTCATATATGATTCACCTGATGTTTACTCAGCTTTCTCATATGCTAGAAACCAGAACATTTCCACTGAAATGGGGAAGATAATTAGTAATGACTTTTTCAGCATTGAACGATGTGGTAGGCTAAAATAATGGCCTTATAAGAATGTCCACATTCCTAATCCCCAGATCCTGTGTATATGCCACTTTCCATAGCAAGAGAGGGCTTTGCAGATGTGACTAAAGATTTTGAGATGAGGAGATTATCCTGGATTATCTGGTTGGGTCCAATGTAATCATAAGGGTCCTAGTAAGAGGGACACTGGAGGGTCAGAATGATCAAAGGAGATGTGATGATAGAAGCAGAGGCCAGTGATGGCATTGCTGGAAGGGGCTATGAACCCAGAATGTGGGCAGTCTCTCGAAGCCATGAAGGGCAAGGAACAAATTCTCCTTTAGAGCCTCTAGAAGGAGCACAGTCCTGCTGATACCTTGGTTTTAACCTAGAAGACCAAATTTCAGACTTCTGACCTCCAGAACTTTAAGGCAATACATTTGTATTGTTTTAAGCCACTAAGTTTGTGGTGATTTGGCTGGGCGCAGTGGCTCACACCTGTAATCCCAGCACTTTGGGAGGCCAAGGCGGGTGGATCACTTGAGGTCAGGAGTTTGAGACCAGCCAGGCCAACATGGTGAAACCCCGTCTCTACTAAAAATACAAAAATTAGCTGAGTGTGGTGCCATGTGCCTGTAATCCCAGCTACTTGGGAGGCTGAGGCAGGAGAATCCCTTGAACCTGAGAGGCGGAGGTTGCAGTGAGCCAAGATTGCACCACTGCACGCTAGCCTGGGCAACAGAGTGAGACTCCATCTCAAAAAAAAAAAAAAAAGTTTGTGGTGATTTGTTACACCAGCAACAGGAAATTAATACAAACAGTAATCCTGAAGTACTGATAATCTTTAAAGCAGAAGGTGTAGGGAGTTGCTAGTCCAGACAGGTGGATGCTAAAAATTTAGAGCAGTAGAAGCTGTTTGCCTGGTTGACACTGGACCTGCCGGGTGAGAAAACCTCCCCTCATCATCAAGTTCTTCATCAGCTCCATGAGCTTATTCTTTTGACAACTCTCGCCCTGTTCACGGAAATAAATCTGAAAGCTGGTGACCAAATCAGCTTTTTGTAATGCCAGTATATTCATAGAAAATTTGCTATTCCAGAGCCAACCATGCTCTGTCCAAATGATTTAACCAGTGAGTTTGGCAACAGTCAGGTAACGGCCCCAGCGGGTAGGGGGAACCTTTCCATTGAGCTGTAGAGGGGCAGATGATGTGTAGCTGGGAGTAGAGCATATCTAACTTTGAGAACTAAAATACCAAGCACCTTGTCCTTTGTGGGTAAATTGAGCAAGTAGCTAGCTTCAGAAACAAGTCATAAACTGAGTCACCTACAAAACTCTACTAAAATAAAGTAAAAGCATAGATTTTGGAATGAAACAGTTCAAGGCTATATTTCTTTCTCGGCTGTGTGTGTCACTCTGGGAAAATTATTTAATCTTTCTGAAGCTCAATTTCCTTTTCTTAAAAATGAGTATAACATTTACTTCATAGGGTTGTAAGGATTAGGTGAATTAAGTATTCAAAGAGATTAGCACACAATTAAAGCTTAATAAATGTTATCAATTATGGTTAATTTTTATTCTTTCAATCCCCTATCCACTGTGTACCCAGAGCAGCCACTGCGTATCTCTGCCTTAGTGTCTCTCTATTAAAATTATAGATGATGACAATGTAAAGCCATTAAAGGCAGAGACCCAGTCTCATTCATTGCATTCATTGTTTTATTCTTAGCATCTAGCACAGCGTCTGACCTGTTTGGGGCTCTCAAAATTTATTTATTTATTTATTTATTTTTGAGACAGAGTCTCACTGTGTCACCCAGGCTGGAGTGCAGTGGTATAATCTCAGCTCACTGCAACATCCGCCTCCCGGGTTCAAGGGATTCTCCTGCCTCAGGCTCCTAAGTAGCTGGGACTACAGGTGCAGGCACCACACCCGGCTAATTTTTGTATTTTTAGTAGAGATGGGGTTTCAGCACGTTGGCCAGACTGGTCTCGAACTTCTGACCTCAAGTCATCCACCTGCCTTGGCCTCTCAAACTGTTGAGACTACAGGCGTGAGCCATTTCATCCGGCCCTCAAATTTTTAATAAGTGTTTATGAACTAATCTGATCTGTGAGTTAGGAAGGATCTGAGATGTCAGCCATGATCTGTGATTATAGGATTTTTCCAACTGTGACCCATTAGGTGGAGAAATAAATTCAGTGAATCAGAGCCAACATTTTATTTTTAAAGAAAAAGAATAGAATAGCAAATATCAGAGTGCAAAACACATAGTAAAGTTAAGTATTGTTACAAGAAACTTTGTTACATATGTAAGAGTACTTGGTGGCAATGTAAATATATTACTTATTGTGAGTAGTGGTTAAAAAATATGTGAACATTCTGAATGGTCCACCTTGCCAGCATTTGCTACTTTCTATCTTTTTAATTTCAGCCATTCTGATATGTATATAGCAGCATGGTGTTGTGGTTCTAATTTGCATTTCCCTGATAACTAGTGATGTGGAGCACCTTTTCACTATGTTCTTCCCTTTGGATACCCTCTTTTTTTTTTTTTTTTTTTTTTTTTTTTTTTTTTTTTTTTTTTTTTTTGAGATGTAGGCTCGCTCTGTCACCCAGGCTGGAGTGCAGTGGTGCGATCTCGGCTCACTGCAAGCTCCGCCTCCCAGGTTCAGGCCATTCTCCTGCCTCAGCCTCCCGAGTAGCTGGGACTACAGGTGCCTGCAACCACGCCGGGCTAATTTTTTGTATTTTTAGTAGAGACGGGGTTTCACCGTGTTAGCCAGGACTATCTCGATCTCCTGACCCCGTGATCCGCCCGCCTCGGCCTCCCAAAGTGCTGGGATTACAGGCGTGAGCCACCGCGCCTGGCCTGGATACCCGCTTTAGAAATCTCTTTTGTAATCTGTTTAAAAAAAAACAATCTGGCAGTATTTACTAAATCTGAACATGCATTTCCTATTACGCAGAAATCATACTTCTACTTATTTACTCAACAGAAATGTGTACATATGTTCATCAAAAGACCTGTACAGAAATGTTCATAGCAACACTGTTTATAATAGCTCCAAACTGGAAATTGCCCAAGTGCCTATTAAGAATAGAATGGACAAATAAATTTGATATATTTATACACTATAGAAGCCTATTTAAAAGCAAGAATAAATGGACTACAGTACCATATAACAGTATAGAACTCCAAAAGCAAAAGATTGAGTGAAAGGAGCCACGTACGAAAGAGTACATGGTGTATAATTTCATTTACATAAAGTTCAAAACTAGGCAAAATTATTCTATGGTGTTAAAAATTAGGATAATGATTATCCTTGAAGTCATCAGGAGGGCTTCAGGGATGCTGGTAATGTTCCCTTTCTCTATCTGAATGCCCATCCCATGAGTATACTCAGTTTGTCAAATTAATTGGACTGTAAATATATAATTTGCGATTTTTCCAAATCATTTCTGAATTTGTCTGAAATTGTTACATGTAAATATAAAATTTTTAAAACTTAATAAATAATACTTTTTTCTTCAAGTGTGAAAAACACTGGCAGAGAGCAAAAGGCCCTGATACACTCACTCCCATCACCATCAAGTGGTCATCTAGCCTTTGCCTGAGTAACTCCAGGGTCAACAATCTCTTTACTGCCCATACTGCCCAGGCAGCTAACTTGTTAGAAAGCTTTTTTTTAATTTTTTTTTGAGACGGAGTCTCGCTCTGTCGCCCAGGCTGGAGTGCAGTGGCGCGATCTCGGCTCACTGCAAGCTCCGCTTCCCGGGTTCACGCCATTCTCCTACCTCAGCCTCCCAAGTAGCTGGTACTACAGGCGCCCGCCACCACGCCCGGCTAATTTTTTTTGTGTTTTTAGTAGAGACGGGGCTTCACTGTGTTAGCCAGGATGGTCTCAATCTCCTGACCTCGTAATCCGCCCCCCTCAGCCTCCCAAAGTACTGCAATTACAGGCGTGAGCCACCTCGCCTGGTCTTTTTTTTTTTTTTTTTTTTTTTTTTTTTTGAGGCGGAGTTTCGCTTTTGTTGCCCAGGCTGGAGTGCAATGGCTTGATCTCGGCTCACCACAAACTTCTCCTCCCGGGTTCAAGCGATTCTCCTGCCTCAGCCTCCGGAGTAGCTGGGATTACAGGCACGTGCGACCACGCCCGGCTAATTTTGTATTTTAGTAGAGATGGGGTTTCTCCATGTTGGTCAGGCTGGTCTCGAACTCCCGACCTCAGGTGATCCGCCTGCCTCAGCCTCCCAAAGTGCTGGGATTACAGGCATGAGCCACTGCACCTGGCCAGAAAGCTTTTTCTTTACACTGAGCCATAACTCGCCTCCCAACAACTCGCTTGCATCGGTTGTTCTGTCCTCCTAAGAGATTCTAATGTGATTCAATCCCTCTACCACCAATAGCTCTTCGGAAATTTGAAGGAAGCTACCACATCCTCCCCACTCCCAGTCGTCATTTCTCCGGACTCAGGAGTCCCAGGTCCTTCCTTTGGCCATCCCTCAAGGCATGGCTTTGAGTTCCCTCCTGTCTCTTGATTGTACTTATTTTATCTAATGATGCCCAGAACTAAGCACAGCCCTCTCGGAGAGGCCCAAGAGGAGCAGAAAGGAGCCAAAAGTAAAATCATCACTTTTGATCTAGACAGAATCTAGACAGCCTACTTCTTCTGTCAACAAACCCTAAGCTTCAATTTGCTCCTTCTTTAATATTCACATTATACCATTCACTCCTGTTGAGCTTAGCAATCAACTAAAAGCACCCAAGTCTTTTGCATAAGCCCCAAATTTACCTTCTGTGTTTGTACCGTCTTCACTCTCTCAGGAGTCAGAGCGCTCATTTGGCCCCACCCCAATTCTCCAAAGCTAAATCCCACAGATGGAAGCGTATCTGTTATAGAGACACCGCTGGAATAGTCTCCCTACCCTCCCACCCACTAAAAAACAGAAACGAAGTCTTTGTCTCAATACATGGTCTCTTATCCTTACCCTTTCCTTGAATGGGGCTTCATTTTAAAGTGTGTCTGGGGGAAGGACTGGAAGAAAACGCAGTTTCACAGGCCATCTCCAAAATCTGACCTAAAAGCCAACTGTTGCCTGGCCTCAATAAAGCCTGAGCAGTGTGGTGCCCTGATCTCTTTCCTTCTCCATTCCTCCCCCAAGTGGGCTCCAACTGGAGGTTGTGGAGATGAGTGCTGCTGGGCTCTGCTCACTCAGTCCCTTTGCCTTTGTGTGAGTAGTGACAGATGAGGCTGAGAAGGAAAACGTGGCAGGGTGAGAATAAACCTGATATTGTTCAAAGCATCTGACATCAAACATATCTCTCAAGAAGACCTACTGGAATCCCTCTAGCCACACGAACAAGGAAACGACAGAGAACCATTTCTACAGAAAGTTCCAGGCGGCCTCCCTGGGTATTTTTAACATCAGGACTCGGTGGAGGGGAGAGTCATTAAGCAAGGGAAACCCCGTAAAACAGAACATGTGAAAATGACCAAGAGAGGTGGGCTGGGAACCAGGCAGGGCGAGGCTACAGAAAAGGGAAGCTGTCACGGGACCCTGGTGGTGAGGGGCGACCTCTCTCTCCCTAAGGGCGCTGGGGGAGGGGAGGGAGGAGGACCACCAAGTCTGGAGCGCGGCGAGAAGGAAACAGCCCACCTACCTCGTCCAGGTCTGCTCCATTTTCCAGGCTCTTTCCTTAGTCTCAGGACGCTCCTCACCCGGGAGGGGAAGCAGCCTGGGAAAATGAGAAGCCTTGCCCACGAATCTCCAGCGCAAAAGGCAGCAGCTTTTTCCTCCCCAGCTCCTTTCTGCGTCGGCGGCGAAGAGAGAGCTCTGCTCCCTGCTTTTTTAGAAAATGGATTTGACGTGGCCGAACCTGCGGCTAGCCGTGCGACCCGCACAAGGGAGGGACTGTTCTCAGTAGGAGGCTGGACTCAGAGCGGCGCGGCGCCCGGGGCTGTTTCGTGAGCTGGAGCCAGCGGCTGCCCGGGCCGCGGTGCGCGCACTCTCCAGGCTGAGACACGACTGGCTGGCACGAGTTGCTCGGCACCAGCTGAGCTGTCAACCGCGAGCGGAGGCGGGGCTCCCGACAACCAGTGTGCTGGGGCAGAATCGGCCCAGGTTACACGCCCCCTGAACCACCCTCGCGTCTCCCCGACCCCTCTCTCGCTGGCTCAGATGAATGATGACGGCAGAGGGCAGAGAGCTTAGAGGACGCGGTACCAAGCCCCGTCCCTCGCCCATCCCAACGAAGGTCTTAGAATACAATCAACCAACTACAGGAAGAATTTGTAGAGGAGGTTTTCTTGTGTGTCTGCATCGCCCCACCCACAGGTAACCCCAGAGCCAGAGATGGAGTCTAGGAAGGTTTAGGAGCAATCCCGGCTGAATGCAGATGTATACCCTACGTGGTCATGGAACACGATGTTGTCTTCCTAGAGATGTGACATGCCAGTTTCACCATTAATCCAGGGACAGGACCCTTCATCAGGAAGGGAAGCATCCCAACAAAACCTTACAGCCCTATTAGCTGCCTGTATCCCAGACATCTCCTGTTTTAGGGTATTCTACCTCCTCGTTTTTCAGTTTCGCCAGCAACTGGGCTCTACCAATAGCTTCAAGGAGGGAGAAGCTTCCTGACTCCCAGAACACTAGAAAAGCCTCAAGACAGTAGCCATCAGGACCTCGACACTCCCTTGTGACTGTTTTAAGATCATGGAAAAGGCCTCTTTGGAGATGGCATTGCCTCAGGCCCTGTACCATGTACTTATGTATCAAGATTTAAACAAGGCAGACATACTATAATTAGAGTGCTTGCCACCCTGAAGCTCCTTTTTAGCTTTCAAATAAGACCGTTTTATTAAATGACATAATCACTGTTATTATTAGCACTATCACTGACCTTTTTTTTTATCTGAAAAAGGCTTTATAGTGCCCACATGTGGCAATGTTAATTTCGTTGTACTTGTTTCAGAGATGATAAATTTGAGACCCCAAAAGGCCCAAAGTCTCTGCTAAGGTTCTGATACAGGCTGTGTTCTCCATTGGGTGGCCCCAGAGATATGTTCCCTGAATTTCTAAAGCTACGACCCACAAGACTTCTCCAGGATGAATTTATTCTTTCAGGCCTCCTAGGCATTTAACTCAGGAAGAACCTGGCATGCCTGGGTATTGGTGAGACTGTGGGGAGTCTGTGTTCTTGGGGGAACCTGTCATCTGTCTGTTATCTCTTGGATTGGTTCCCCTACATACTAGTACAAAGTAGGGGTGGGGAGGGGAGGATAACAAAACATTTGAAGGTTTAGCAGAACTGTCTAAAAAGCCCCTAGTCTAGACTCCTCCAACACTTGATTTATTGGTAGGACCACACTGCTCCAGAGCTCAAAATGTTACCAGGAAAAATTTCAAGGTCCAGTTTGATCTTAGACAAGGCTCACAGGCCACCTGTCTTGAAAAGAATATCCTGTTGCCTCTGATGGGGGGGAAGAAAAGGCAGGGAGAGTCAGATTCCCATCCTTCATACCAAAGTTGGGGCTATATTTAGCTTTGTCTCAAATCAAATTATGGGCTACCGAGTTGTGGAGAGGAACTCTGTCTACAGGCAGCTCACTGGATTCAAGAAATGATAGCACTAACTAGGTGAGCTGTGGGGTCTCAGAAGTGACGCTAGAAAATACGTTCATGTATTTTTAAAATAACTTTTTTCAAAAGTTTATAGCACATTCATTGTAAAAACATTTGAAAAATACAGAAAGTTATATAGATTACTCAGAATACCCAGGGATCTTCAATATTAAAAATGTGTTGCATTTTTTTCCCACTCTTTAAAAAATGCATCTTTTAATCCAAACACCAACTCTTTCTTACACACATGGGTATATTCTTGAGAAGAGAAATTTCCTTGTTGTTTTAAAAATTATACTTATTGTCAAAAGAACAATTTTTTTGCGTTAGATTTCAGAAGAAAAATATTCACCCATATAACCACTGCTACAGCACAAATGTTTAAATTTCTCCAAATTCCCTTTAGTCATTATCTATATATATTAAATATCTATTTACATAATTACGATTACAGCTTAGGTATATGTTTATATTCTCCTTCTTTCACTTAGTAAATATTTGTCCATGTTTTTAGGGAAAGTTCATAGTTATTATTCTAATGAGTGTACAATATTTTATAATATTAGTAGGACCATAGATTACTTAAAATATTCTACTATTGCATAGTTATGCTGTTTCTGATATTAGACTGTTATAAATAATGCCTTAATGAAGAGCTTTCTGCCTTTATCATTCTCCTTTTTTGAATTATGCTATGGTTGAATGTATGTATGCCTTCAAAATTCATACATTGGTACTTAACACCGAGTGTTATAGTACTACAGGGTGGGGCCTTTTAGGAATATGTCTTAGGAAGTGATAAGGCATGAACACTCCACTCTCATGAATGGGATTAGTGCTCTTAAAAAAGAGGTTGAAAGGATTGCTCTGGTCCCTTTTGTCCTCTGTCCCTCCAGCCATGTGAGGACACAGCATCTGTGGCAACAAGGAGCCATCTTGGGAGCAGAGAGCAAGCTCTTCCAGACACTGAATCTGCCAGCACCTTGATCTTGGTCCAGCCTTCAGAACTGTGAGAAATAAATTTCTATTATTTACAAATTACCCAGTCTAAGCTATTTTGCTATAGCAGCAGGAATGGACTAAAGGCGATTTTCCTGGGATAAAAGGACTTTCTAATTTTATTATCTTAGCCTCAAAAGCACTAGAAATTCTCCTTTTATTTTTTTTCTTATTTAATTTGTAAATAATTGGATAGTTATATTTTAGTTCTATATCTAGCTAGTATACTAATAATGTAACACCATCTCATTTTGCTTTACGTTTCTTAGAATACTAGCTAGTAAGGTCTTATTTCATATCCTTTCTTGGAAACCATATGTGTAGTAGCCAGTCTCATGAAATCCTTGTGTTGAGTCACTGTATTAGTCATCTTTTTGCTGAAACAATGCTGCTCAACAAAGAACTCCCCAATCTCAGTATTATACAACACACATCCATTTCTCCCTCAAGGATCTATAGTTTAGGTATGGATTGGTTTAAGTCTGTCATTTTCATGGCAGAGTGCAGGAGTGCAAGAGAGTTGGCAGAGACTCATGATGACTGGTCTCTGCTCAGAACTGGCACAGTCTCGCTTCTGCCATTTTCCGTTCACCAAAGTAAGTAACATGGCCAAGTCCAAAGTCATTGGTGCAGAAAAGTACAGTCTGCCCACAGAGTGCAGGAGGGGAGAGTAATATTTGTGGAACAATAATGCAATCCACCAGTCACTGTATGTGCTGCTTTCTTGCTTTTTGTTAAGCTTTTCTCCTTGTAGATACATGGTAACTTTATTCTTCCTCATCCCATTTTAACTTAGCTATGACTTTTGAACAGTGAAATGTAACTTGTTTCGTTGGCTGAAACGTGAGAGGAAGTCTCATGTGGTCACTTCTGGGAAGAACGCAGACATTTTTAAGAGCTAGTACATAATTGGCCCTTTTCAGTTTCCGCTGTTTTATTGATCCTTGAAGATCAATAAGATGAAGCTTTCATCAACCTAAGTCCCTGAGTTACTGTGATGGTCAGAGCCTTCCTGCTAACCCTAATTGAACATGTAGAATGAGCAAGAAATTCATTTTTGTTGTATTAAGTTACTGAGATTTGGAGATTATTTATTACTGGAGCATAATCTAGCCTATCCTAACACATTGCTTTTTATTTCCATTTTGCAACCAAGTATCGTTATGTGTGTGTCTGCTCTCAGTTTTCTGGCTTAGAACTCAAATAACCGGCCGGGCGCGGTGGCTCACGCCTGTAATCCCAGCACTTTGGGAGGCCGAGGCGGGCGGATCACGAGGTCAGCAGATCGAGACCATCCTGGCTAACACGGTGAAACCCCGTCTCTACTAAAAATACAAAAAATTAGCCGGGCGAGGTGGCGGGCGCCTATAGTCCCAACTACACGGGAGGTTGAGGCAGGAGAATGGCGTGAACCTGGGAGGCGGAGCCTGCAGCGAGCCGAGATCGCGCCACTGCACTCCAACCTGGGCGACAGCGAGATTCCGTCTCAAAAAAAAAAATAAATAAAAAGAACTCAAATAACCTGGGTAAATGATGTTGATAAATTAAACTATTCATTTTATTCTTTCCTGAGGGCACTGCTCTTAGTTTGGTCAACTGATTGTGCTTCAGGGAATACCTGAATTGATGATAAGGGACAAAAAATCGGAAGGTGTCACAGTCTTTACAGTCAGCTCCAAATATTCCAATGATACTTTTACCTTTCATTCAGTTTTTAAAATTCATTTTCCTTTTCTTCTCTCCAACTTGTTTCTGGGTAAAAAGGATTATTGATGTTGATATAGTTTACTGCATAATCTATACATCAATAATAAAAATAGCTATGTCTAATATATTTTTGCCAGATCCTCCTCTAACAATTGTGTGTATACTAACTCTTTTCATCCTCGCAGCAGTCTTTTGAGGTAGGCTCTAGTTAATGCCCACTTTACAAATGACTAATGTGGAGCACAGGGAGGTAAATTATACTGCCCACATTCACAAAGCTGATTGATGGCAAAGCTGAGATTTGAAACCAATCAGTTTTGTTTCAGAATGGCCTGCCTAACCATTTTGCGTACTGCTTCCCTAATTTTGACACGTAACATTGGCTGGGACTTAGATAGGAGGACAATATGTCTGCAACATCTGTCACTTCAGTGATCCCTGTGATCACCTGGTTAGTCAGAACATGATGTCTTCTTGATCCATCACAGCTCCATGTCTGTCTCTCTAACCTTGGGCTTAAAAAACAAATGCCCTTTCCAGACAAAGAGGCATCATTCTGAGATCAAGGATACAGTGTCTGTAGTAGATTAAAGATGACCACAAATTACTTGCTACTTCTCCCATTGAGAGGTGGAATCTAATTCTCCTCCCTTTAATATGGGCTACCCTTAGAGACTTACTTGACTAATAGAATACAGCAGAAGAGATGTCTGACTGGCCAGGCTAGGTAAGTAAGAAGCCTTGTAGCTTCCATGTGAGACTCTTGGGACATGTCTTCTAAGGCCTAAGCTGCTGGATAAGTCAAACTACCATGCTAGATAAACCACGTGCAGAGGCCATGAGACCACATGACAAGGGGAGGGGCCTAGCTGAGCACAACGACCAGCAGTTCCCATCAGGGTGCCAGGCATTATGTGTGAAGCAGTCTCCCATCAGCTGGACACAACTGAGCAACCCTAACTGTGGCCACTATGGAATAAATTTGCCCTGCTGAACCATGCTAGAATTATTGATTACCAAAATGATGAGATACAATAAATTGCTTATTGTGCTAAGTTTTGGAGTAGTTTACTAAGTAACAATAGATAACTGGAACTAAATTTGGTATCTGAAAGTGGACTTTCACTATAACGAAAACTGAAAACAAATGGCAATGACTTTGTACCTGGTTGCCACAGAAGTTAGAAAGGCCTCGAGAAAAATGTTAGTGAATATTGGAAGGACATCGAGGAGACTGCTGGAGAGACTGAAGGACAGTAAAGAAAATACTATGGGGGGTGGCTGAAGAAATGACCTGTGTTATGTAGTGGCAGAAAGTTTTCGTCTTTGATAATGTGGGAAAATAGAAAAGGTGCCCAATGAATGGGAGGATCTGGCTAAGGAGATTTTCAGCAGAATTTCAAAACTACAAAGAGGTTTCTTTTAGCCACATTATTATAAGATATTGATTAAAAAAAAAAAGAAAAAAAAGTGGGCTAAAAAAGGAGCCATTTGGTTTTTAAGCAGAATTTAGAGGAATTATAAAGAGGCAGGACTTGCTGGGTTCAGAAGAGATCGGGTGCATTCAGGGTGGCATGGCCGTAGACTTTGCTGGGTTCAAACATCAAACTGCTTCTCATCCTCAATCTCTCTAGACAGGGAAAGCTTTCAAAATAAGAAATGGCTTCAGGGCAAAAATAAATTCCAAGATGTGACAGCTAGACCCATGATTAAGACCTCAATTAAGGTGGTGCCTCATATATCCTTTCAGTTAAACAAAAAGCCTTCTACAATCTTGGGCAATGTACCTCTCCATTGGACAAAAGAGTTTCTAAGAATTTTAAGGTTCTGTTATCCCATGTCAGACTCACAGTTAGTCCAAGCAAGGTGAAAAAGCTGGCTTCAGAATGAAATGTGGGTGTGGCTTTTGCCTAGTAAAGTTCGTTATCAATTAGTATATAAGACGCCTTAACATTTTTAAGTGAATTATACCAGCATGGACTGACTGAAAAGGATGAAGAGAGTACAAAGTGAAAAGATGCCTTTGGACCCTCAACCTGCCTCAGAGAAGCAGGCTGAGAAAGTTACCCAGCCAAAAACAAGGATTACTTCTTAGGGAAAAAGAAGAACGGCTCAAAGAATGGAACCAAGAGCCCAGAGGACTGATGGATAGCCAGAGGGAATCATTCCCAGGAGCAGGACTGGGCCCTAATCAAGGAACTGGTAATATGTACTCAGCTAGATTTCAAAATTGCTGTGGACTACTGACCGCTGTATGCCTGTGTTCTCTGACTCTTCGAATGGGAGTGCCTATTATGGTTATCCTATCTCTGTCCCATTGTTTCTTGGGTGTGAGAGCCCCAGTGACTTCAGATCAAGGGGAACTATACTCAAGGAGCTGAGTGCCAGGAGCCTCATGATCACCTGAATTTGAGTTAGATGGTGAGAAAGTGGACTTCTAGGCTGATGCAGTAAATGTCAGGAAACTTTTGAGGGCTTTAGGAGAGTGTGAGTTTATTTTGCTTGTGGTAATAATGTCTGTGGCCAGAGGAAAAGGAATGTGGTAGATTCAAGATGGCTACAAATTTTTTGCTACTTCTCTTATTCAGAGGTAGAATCTAATTCCCCTCTCTTGGATCTAAGCTGGTCTTCATGACTTGCTTGACCAATAGAATGCAGTTCTAGGCCATAAACTCCTGAACCTGGGCAATAAGAAACCTTGCAGTTTCCAGTAGGCCTCTTGATATACTGAGCTGCCATGAAAGAAATCTGACTACCTTGCTGGAGCTATAGAGAGGAGAGGTCTTGAGGCCACCAGCAGTCCTCAAAGGCATCAGGCACACAATATAAGTGAAGTTACCTGGGACCTCCAGAGCAGCCCTGCCTTCCACTGAATACCAGCAAGTGACCCAGTCAATACTGCATGGGGAAAACAAATTGCTCAGCTGAGACCTGTCCAAATTACTGACCCACAAAATCATAAGATACAATAAAATGGTTGTTTTGAGCTACTGAATTGTGGGGTAGATTGTTTATGCAGGAATAGACAACTGAGACCATGCCTTAAAATGGACACAGTATTTTTGATGCATTATCTCATTCATTCATCCAATAAATAATTACTGTGAACCATTATGTGTCAGGCACTACTCTTTATTCTAGAGACACAGTAGTTTAAAAAAAGGCCAGCAAAGACCCTGTTTTCATGGAGCTTACAATCTACTGGTTTAGATAGATAATAAGTAAAGGAATAACTACAATATGCCAGATGGTGATAAGGGCGATAAAGATAAGTGAAGCATGTCAAGGGAGCATCCCAGCAAGACAACCCTCTTTTTATAGAAGAGAAAACAGAGTCTTAGAAAGATTAAATAATAGGCAGTAAGAGAAGCAAGTTCCTAGGTACAATGAAACTGGAGTTTCACTTGATGAAACACTGTTCAATAGAATTTATAAATTCAAATTGTTGTTTAGCACAACAGAGGAACCTAATAGGCAGAAGTGTGGCTTGGATGGATGTTCCTGACTACCCAGGCTGTCCAAGTAAACTGTTGTATATACAAGAATGAAAAGATCTGAGGTGGAGCCAAGGTGGCCAAATAGGAACAGCTCCAGTCTAGAGCTCCCAGCGTGAGCGATGCAGAAGACGGGTGATTTCTGCCTTGCCAACTGAGGTACTGGGGAGTGTCAGAAAGTGGGTACAGGACAGTGGGTGCACTGCACCCAGCATGAGCCAAAGGAGGGCGAAGCATCACCTCACCCGGGAGGCACAAGGGGTCAGGGAATTCCCTTTCCTAGTCAAAGAAAGGGGTGACAGACGGCACCTGGAAAATCGGGTCACTGCCACCCTAATACTGCACTTTTCCAACAGTCTTAGCAAACGGCACACCAGGAGATTATATCCCGTGCATGGCTCGGGGGGGTCCTACGCCCATAGAGCCTCCCTCATTGCTGGCACAGCAGACTGAGATCGAACTGCAAGGCGGCAGCGAGGCTGGGGGAGGGGCACCTGCCATTGCCGAGGCTGGAGTAGGTAAACAAAGCAGCCCAGAAGCTCGAACTGGGTGGAGCCCACTGCAGCTCAAGGAGGCCTGCCTGCCTCTGTAGACTGCACCTCTGGGGGCAGGGAATAGTCAAACAAAAGGCAGCAGAATCCTCTGCAGACTTAAATGTCCCTGTCTGACAGCTTTGAAGAGAGTAGTGGTTCTCCCAGCACACAGCTTGAGATCTGAGAATGGACAGACTGCCTCCTTAGGTTGGTCCCTGACCCCCAAGTAGCCTAACTGGGAGGCCCCCCCCAAGTAGGGGCAGACAGACACCTCACATGGCCGGGAACTCCTCTGAGACAAAACTTCCAGAGGAACGATCAGACAGCAACATCTGCTGCTCACCAGTATCTGCTGTTCTGCAGCCTCCGCTGCTGATACCCTGGCAAACAGGGTCTGGAGTGACCTCAAGCAAACTCCAACAGACCTGCAGCTGAGGGTCCTGACTGTTAGAAGGAAGACTAACAAATAGAAAGGACATCCACACCAAAACCCCATCTGTACATCGCCATCATCAAAGACCAAAGGTAGATAAAACCACAAAGATGGGGAAAAATAGAGCAGAAAAACTGGAAACTCTAAAAATCAGAGTGCCTTTCCTCCTCCAAAGGAACGCAGCTCCTCCCCAGCAATGGAACAAAGCTGGATGGAGAATGACTTTGACAAGTTGAGGGAAGAAGGCTTCAGACAATCAAACTACTCCGAGCTAAAGGAGGAAGTTCGAACCCATGGCAAAGAAGTTAAAAACCTTGAAAAAAAATTAGACCAATGGCTAACTAGAATAACCAATACAGAGAAGTCCTTAAAGGACCTGATGGAGCTGAAAACCAAGGCACGAGAACTACGTGACAAATGCACAAGCCTCAGTAGCCGATTCGATCAACTGGAAGAAAGGGTATCAGTGATGGAAGATGAAATGAATGAAATGAAGCAAGAAGAGAAGTTTAAAGAAAAAAGAATAAAACGAAATGAACAAAGCCTTCAAGAAATATGGGGCTATGTGAAAAGACCAAATCTACGTCTGATTGGTGTACCTGAAAGTGACAGGGAGAATGGAACCAAGTTGGAAAACACTCTGCAGGATAATAACCAGGAGAACCTCCCCAATCTAGCAAGGCAGGCCAACATTCAAATTCAGGAAATACAGAGAATGCCACAAAGATACTCCTTGAGAAGAGCAACTCCAAGACAAATAATTGTCAGATTCACCGAAGTTGAAATGAAGGAAAAAATGTTAAGGGCAGCCAGAGAGAAAGGTCGGGTTACCCTCAAAGGGAAGCCCATCAGACTAACAGCGGATCTCTTGGCAGAAACTCTACAAGCCAGAAGAGAGTGGGGGCTAATATTCAACATTCTTAAAGAAAAGAATTTTCAACCAGAATTTCATATCCAGCCAAATGAAGCTTCATAAGTGAAGGAGAAATAAAATACTTTACAGACAAGCAAATGCGGAGAGATTTTGTCACCACCAGGCCTGCCCTAAAAGAGCTCCTGAAGGAAGCACTAAACATGGAAAGGAACAACCGGTACCAGCCACTGCAAAAACATGCCAAATTGTAAAGACCATCAAGGCTAGGAAGAAACTGCAGCAACTAACAAGCAAAATAACCAGCTAACATCATAATGACAGGATCAAATTCAAACATAACAATATTAACCTTAAATGTAAGCGGGCTAAATGCTCCAAGTAAAAGACACAGAATGGCAAATTGGATAAAGAGTCAAGACCCATCAGTGTGCTGTATTCAGGAAACCCATCTCACATGCAGAGACACACATAGGCTCAAAATAAAGCGATGGAGGAAGATCTACCAAGCAAATGGAAAACAAAAAAAGGCAGGGGTTGCAATCCTAGTCTCTGATAAAACAGACTTTAAACCAACAAAGATCAAAAGAGACAAAGAAGGCCATTACATAATGGTAAAGGGATCAATTCAACAAGAAGAGCTAACTATCCTAAATATATATGCACCCAATACAGGAGCACCCAGATTGATAAAGCAAGTCCTTAGAGACCTAGAAAGAGACTTAGACTCCCACACATTAATAATGGGAGACTTTAACACCCCACTGTCAACAGTAGACAGATCAACGAGACAGAAAGTCAACAAGGATATCCAGGAATTGAACTCACCTCTGCACCAAGTGGACCTAATAGACATCTACAGAACTCTCCATCACAAATCAACAGAATATACATTCTTCTCAGCACCACACCGCACTTATTCCAAAATTGACCACATAGTTGGAAGTAAAGCACTCCTCAGCAAATGTAAAAGAACAGAAATTATAATAAACTGTCTCTCAGACCACAGTGCAATCAAACTAGAACTCAGGATTAAGAAACTCACTCAAAACCGCTCAACTACATGGAAACTGAATAACCTGCTCCTGAATGACTACTGGGTACATAATGAAATGAAGACAGAAATGAAGATGTTCTTTGAAACCAACGAGAACAAAGACACAATGTACCAGAATCTCTGGGACACATTCAAAGCAGTGTGTAGAGGAAAATTTATAGCACTAAATGCCCACAAGAGAAAGCAGGAAAGATCTAAAATTGACACCCTAACATCACAATTAAAAGAACTAGAGAAGCAAGAGCAAACACATTCAAAAGCTAGCAGAAGGCAAGAAATAACTAAGATCAGAGCAGAACTGAAGGAAATAGAGACACAAAAAACCCTTCAAAAAATCAATGAATCCAGGAGCTGGTTTTTTGAAAAGATCAACAAAATTGATAGACCGCTAGCAAGACTAATACAGAAGAAAAGAGAGAAGAATCAAATAGATGCAATAAAAAATGATAAAGGGGATATCACCACCGATCCCACAGAAATACAAACTAACATCAGAGAATACTATAAACACCTCTACGCAAATAAACTAGAAAATCTAGAAGAAATGGATAAATTCCTCGACACATGAACCCTCCCAAGACTAAACCAGGAAGAAGTTGAATCTCTGAATATACCAATAACAGGCTCTGAAATTGAGGCAATAATTAACAGCTTACCAACCAAAAAAAGTCCAGGAACAGATGGATTCACAGCCGAATTCTATCAGAGGTACAAGGAAGAGCTGGTACCATTCCTTCTGAAACTATTCCGATCAATAGAAAAAGAGGGAATCCTCTCTAACTTATTTTATGAGGCCAGCATCATCCTGATACCAAAGCCTGGCAGAGATACAACAAAAAAAAGAGAATTTTAGACCAATATCCCTGATGAACATCGATGCAAAAATCCTCAATAAAATACTGGCAAACCGAATCCAGCAGCACATCAAAAAGCTTATCCACCATGATCAAGTGGGCTTCATCCCTGGGATGCAAAGGCTGGTTCAACATATGCAAATCAATAAACGTAATCAGCATATAAACAGAACCAGTGACAAAAACCATATGATTATCTCAATAGATGCAGAAAGGCCTTTGACAAAATTCAACAACGCTTCATGCTAAAAACTATCAATAAATTAGTTATGGATGAGACATATCTCAAAATAATAAGAGCTATCTATGACAAACCCACAGGCAATATCATACTGAATGGGCAAAAACTGGAAGCATTCTCTTTGAAAACTGGCACAAGACAGGGATGCCCTCTCTCACCACTCCTATTCAACATAGTGTTGGAAGCTCTGGCCAGGGCAATCAGGCAGGAGAAGGAAATAAAGGGCATTTAATTAGGAAAAGAGGAAGTCAAATTGTCCCTGTTTGCAGATGACATGATTGTATAGCTAGAAAACCCCATCATCTCAGCCCAAAATCTCCTTAAGCTGATTGGCAACTTCAGCAAAGTCTCATGATACAAAATCAATGTGCAAAAATCACAAGCATTCTTATACACCAGTAAAAGACAAACAGCCAAATCATGAGTGAACTCCCATTCACAATTGCTTCAAAGAGAATAAAATACCTAGGAATCCAACTTACAAGGGATGTGAAGGACCTCTTCAAGGAGAACTGCAAACCACTGCTCAATGAAATAAAAGAGGATACAAAGAAATGGAAGAACATTCCATGCTCATGGACAGGAAGAATCAATATCGTGAAAATGGCCATGCTGCCCAAGGTAATTTATAGATTCAATGCCATCCCCATCAAGCTACCAATGACTTTCTTCACAGAATTGGAAAAAACTACTTTAAAGTTCATATGGAACCAAAAAAGAACCCGCATTGCCAAGTCAATCCTAAGCCAAAAGAACAAAGCTGGAGGCATCACGCTACCTGACTTCAAACTATACTACAAGGCTACAGTAACCAAAACAGCATGGTACTGGTACCAAAACAGAGATTTTTGGTAAACAAAACAGACCAATGGAACAGAACAGAGCCCTCAGAAATAATGCCACATATCTATAACCATCTGATCTTTGACAAACCTGATAAAAACAAGCAATGGGGAAATGATTCCCTATTTAATACACGGTGCTGGGAAAACTGGCTAGCCATATGTAGAAAGCTGAAACTAGATCCCTTCCTTACACCTTATACAAGAACTAATTCGAGATGTATTAAAGACTTAAATGTTAGACCTGAAACCATAAAAACCCTAGAAGAAAACCTAGGCAATACCATTCAGGACATAGGCATGGGCAAGGACTTCATGTCTAAAACACCAAAAGCAATGGCAAGGAAAGCCAAAATTGACAAATGGGATCTAATTAAACTAAAGAGCTTCTGCACAGCAAAGAAAACTACCATCAGAGTGAACAGGCCCTACAGAATGGGAGAAAATTTTTGCAATCTACTTATCTGACAAAGGGCTAATATCCAGAATCTACAATGAACTCAAACAAATTTACAAGAAAAAAACAAACAACCCCATCAACAAGTGGGCGAAGGATATGAGCAGACACTTCTCAAAAGAAGACATTTATGCAGCCAACAGACACAGGAAAAAAGGCTCATCATCACCGGCCATCAGAGAAATGCAAATCAAAACCACAATGAGATACCATCTCACACCAGTTAGAATGGCGATCATTAAAAAGTCAGGAAAAAACAGGTGCTGGAGAGGATGTGGAGAAATAGGAACACTTTTACATTGTTGGGACTGTAAACTAGTTCAACCATTGTGGAAGTCAGTGTGGTGATTCCTCAGGGATCTAGAACTAGAAATACCATTTGACCCAGCAATCCCATTACTGGGTATATACCCAAAGGATTATAAATCGTGCTGCTATAAAGACACATGCACACGTATGTTTATTGAGGGACTATTCACAATAGCAAAGACTTGGAACCAAGCCAAATGTCCATCAATAATAGACTGGATTAAGAAAATGTGGCACATATACACCATGGAATACTAGGCAGCCATAAAAAATGATAAGTTCATGTCCTTTGTAGGGACATGGATGAAGCTGGAAACCATCATTCTCAGCAAACTATCACAAGGACAAAAAAACCAAATACCGCATGTTCTCACTCATAGGTGGGAATTGAACAATGAGAACACATAGACACAGGAAGGGGAACATCACACACTGGGGCCTGTTTGGGGTGGGGGGGCGGGGGAGGGATAGCATTAGGAGATATACCTAATGTAAATAACGAGTTAATGGGTGCAGCTCACCAGCATGGCACATGTATACATATGTAACTAACCTGCATGTTGTGCACATGTACCCTAGAACTTAAAGTATAAAAAAAAAAAAAAAAGAATGAAAAGATCTGCCCTTCAGTAGCTGGAGTGGAATGGGGCAGGAGGGTTTGGAGGAGGATGTGTGGCTCTGAAGACTATACATAGTAGGCAAAGTGCCAGCTGTGACTCGGAACAACCAAAATCAGGACCAGGAGCAGTTTAGAAGAGAAAATAATTCTTGGAAAAAGCAGAAGTATTTGTGGGGTACAGGGGAATTTGTAAGGGACTTAATTTCCTAAGTGAACAGGTAGGAGTTCAGAGGCAGCTAATGCTCATGGGACTTAATTTTATTTCCACAGTTGGTAAAACTCAAGGACAGTGTGGTTACCTTCATTCATTTAATTAAACAAACACAGAGCATGTGCTAGGCATTGCTAAAATCTAGTGTAGAAATCCAGTGTTAAAATCTAGTGTGGAAAGCCAGGCAAGCATTCATCAAACCATAATACAAACCAGATCGGGTAAAGTGCTACACCAAGCAGAACATGAAGGAGGGAGTGATTAATTAAATTCCACCAGAAAAGTTTTTCTAAAGAAGGTAGCATCTGAGTAGAGTACTGAAGTATGCTAGCAATATAAAATTTTATCATACATTGGGATTGCAAAATACAGTGCTTTTATTTAAAATTAAAAAATATTATTAGCTTGTTTTCATCATTCCACAGTATACGCATATATCAAAACATTGTACCCCATAAATATATGCAATTACTATTTGTCAATTAAAAAATTAACTTAAAAACAGTATTGATGAAAACAATTTTATTTTTCTCTGGTAGAAGGAAAAATATTCCCGGTCTCCTGTGAGTGAGTGCCTAAGGTCCCATTCATCTGAAAGAGCGGTGCAGCGCAGCTGAGGTTGCTGGCAGGCATTACAACAGAGCAGTTAAGATTACTGGCTCTACAGTCAGGGACATGGGTTCCAATCCTCCTCCTCTGTCAATTTCCAACCATGCAATTTTGGACATGACTTAAACTCTGTGCTTTAGCTTCCTCATTTGTAAAACAAGGTTAATGATAATAACTACCTAATAGGGCCACTGTAAGAACAAAATGAGCTAATATATGAAAAGTTTTTAATTCATTGTCTAGCACATTTTAAGCATTCTATAAATCATAGCTATTTTTCATTAATGTTTGCATACTAGGCAGGACTCCAATACTGTGTAGAAGTCATGAATTTTAATTTCAGTTCTGCTCCAAAGTGCTCCCTAGGGCTAGGCCAGTGACCCAGATTTTCCATTTCTCATCTTTCTGATTTATCATGTGAGACCAAAGCATTGGCAAGGAAGCTGAATAAGTGGATTTCCTCACTTGCTGGCTGGAGGTCTAGGGAGCAGAAAAGGTGGACATTTCCCCCATCTTGTATCTGTCTTGAGGAAGTGTGTGTGTGTGAGTGTGTGTGTGTGTGTGTGTGTGTGTGTGTTTATGCAGGAATAGACAACTGGGACAATGCCTTAAAATGTACACAGTATTTCTGATGCATTATCTCATTCATTCGTTCATTCATTCATTCATTCAATAAATAATTACTGTGAACCGTGTGTGTGTGTTTATTCAGATCCATCCCTTTCAATGGTTAGCCTTGTCTGTCAGCCATAACAAAAACCTCAAACCTCAAGGAAAGAAATTACAACCAAGCCTTCAGACAGCTGATGGTAATTTACTCACACAATCCCCTTTATCCTTTCAACACCCACTATTTATCTGTATCTGACGTTGGGAGAGGGGAAATCATGCAAGAAATATGGTATGTAAATTTCTGGAAAGGGGGTTGGAATAGTGAGGGAAGACTTGTGTGAATTACATGAATAATTCTCCTTGATTTGAACATAGATATCAGTTCTCAAAAATTGAAGGGACTGATGTTAGGGTCAATAAATACATTTCTGGGACCAGAAACAATACTGGAATAAATTCATAAATAGCTTTCAAGGCATTCATGACAATCACACCATCACTAAAATCCGAGTCATTTTCCAGGATGGGGCAAGTAGTTCCAGTACAAGTCAAAGGAGCATGTGTCAATCAATCTAGACTGCTTTAAAAATCCATAGTGATAACAATAACTAAATGGAATGCATGATCCTAGTTCAGATCTTGGATTGGATTCTGAATTAGAAAAAAAAAATATTGCTGCCACGTTCAGTGGCTCATGCCTATAATTTCAACACTTCAGGAGGCTGAGGCAGGAGGATCACTTAAGGCCAGGAGTTCGAAACCAGCCTGTGCAACGTAGCGAGATCTTGTCTCTACAAAAAAAAATTTAAAAATTATCTAGGGATGGTAGTGCAAACCACTAGTTCCAGCTACTCTGGAGGCTGAGGTGGGAGGATCACTTGAGCCCAGGAGTTGAGCCTACAGTGAACTGTAATCACACCACTGCACTCCAGCCTGGGTGACAGTGAGCAAGACCCTGTCTCTTAAAAAAAAGAAAAAATACCTCTAAGGACAAGATAGCCATATATATCCATGGTCCTTGCCTTTGTTTCTTGTATCATGCCATCTACTAGCTGGTCCCTGAAGCCATATATAATAACTTTCACTCATACACACATATGAGTGAAAAGTAACACTGATTTTTTTAACTTTCCAGCTTGAAAAATTTAAAATTTTCAACATATAGTAAAGTTGTAAAACTAGCACAATAAAGTCCTGTAAATCTTTCAATTGCTTCATAGATTGTTAACATTTTGCCACATTTGTTTTCTCTCTTTACACACACACACACACACACACACAAGCACACAGACACAATCATTAGTATTATTTTGATGAACCATTTGAGAGTAAGATGTAGATTCTTCACCCCTAAATATTTAATGTGTATCTCCTAAGAATATTTAAAATCGTTGCATAACTGTATTATGTAAAAGAATATAACACCCTTGGCCGGGCATGGTGGCTCACGCCTATAATCCCAGCACTTTGGGAGGCCAAGGCGGGGGGATCACAAGGTCAGGAGATCGAGACCATCCTGGCTAACACGGTGAAACCCCATCTCTACTAAAAATACAAAAAATTAGCTGGACGTGGTGGCGGGTGCCTGTGGTCCCAGCTACTCGGGAGGCTGAGACAGGAGAATGGCGTGAATCCGGGAGGCAGAGCTTGCAGTGAGCTGAGATCGTCCCATTGCACTCCAGCCTGGGTGACAGAGTGAGACTCTGTCTCAAAAAAAAAAAAAAAAAAAAAAAAAAAAGAATATAACACCCTTTTCAGGTCAGCTTTTATCACTATTAAGCAGAACACTTTACATCATAATCTGAAGTCTCAGCAGTGAATTACTTAACTAAAATCAGGAGCTACCCTCTGCTAGATATTTGGCTCACATCTGTACAACCAAAAGTGCTGATCAAAATAATCACTCCCAGGACAAAGGCAAAATATACAACAAAGACAAATTCCCTCTTCTATGCACCAGCCAATTTCTTGGCAGTTTAGAACAGCTGTTTTGTCCTTTCTTCCAGCTGGCAAAGGTTCAAAAATATCAAGATACAGCCTCAGAAAGCTTCACACGAGGAAGAAATTTTAATGAGAAAAATCTCACGTTCTGTATTCGCTTTTGTTTTCATTTTTATTTTAGCATATAAAATGTCAAAATACTGAGCTGTTGAGTACCGTATCAAACATCTGGCAATTCTGGACAAAAGATGAGCAAAACTCAACAGTCCTTTATCTTTGCAAAGTTCAAGTGGCTTTAGGAGTTAATGCCATAGGGGTAGGGTGCCACGCCTCATGCCTGTAATCCCAGCACTGTCGGAGGTGAGGCAGGCAGATGGCTTGAGCACAGTAGTTCGAGACCAGCCTGGGCAACATGTGAAACCCATCTCTACAAAAAATACAACAAAAATTAGCCAGGCGTGCTGGTGCACATCTGTAGTCCCAGCTACTCAGGAGGCTGAGGTAGGAAAGTGGCTTGAGCCTGGGAGGCAGAGGTCACAGTGAGTGGAGACTGTGCTACTGCGCTCCAGCCTGGGTGAAAGAGCCAGACGCTGTCTCAAAAACCAAAACAAAACATTATATCAGTTTGGTAAAAGAACAAGCACATCCAACATTAACCATCACAATTCCTTTCGACCAGAATAATCTTTTATTCAGATAAAAGTATCCCAGTTTTAGGCTATGCGTGTGATATAATAATAACAGACAGAGAGGTACAGAAATACCCAAGCTGGCCCAGGCTCAGAGCTTGTGGTATACAGAAGAGAATTATTGCATCCTTTATTTGCTGGCTTCGGTACATTCTTAGGAGATAGAGGGAGGGAAAAAAAATCAAAACCAGAAGGGTCTGGTGCTGATGGACCAGATCAATTGGTTCAAACTTTGATTCAACTGTTAAGGTATTCAGGGCTGGAACTAGGATGAGAGGAGCAAGGCACTCACCTGAGGTGCGAAGTTTAAAGCGTGCCAAAATCTCGGTAATCAAGATAAATCATATTTTAATGCAATATTTTAGAAAAATAGTAACGCAAAAAAAATCCGCAATGAACAAAATATCAAAACTTTAAATAAAGACAGGATCTGACCCTGCATTTTCATGATTCAGGGAGTGTCTTACTTGCTTCGTCCTAGTCCAGGCCCAACTTGTTCATCCCCAGATGATGTGCCAAAAGCCACATCTTTAGGTGTCTCCTCTGGTGCTCTCTAGTGCTATGTTCTGCTGACCTTGTTGGCAACAGCTCTCTGTCTGTTATGAATGGTTGGACATCAGGTGGCACCTTTAAGATACCACAAGGTAAAAGCAACTCTCTGAGCCAAGGCCAGCTCTTCCAACCTCCTTCCAAACAGTCTTACGTCTCAAGGGCAAGTTTCTGTGATGTATAGGGCATCAGGGAGAGGGTAGAATGGGGTAGAAAGGGGAGATAATGGGAGAGGGAAAAAAGAACAGGTGACCTCATGAGTTGGCACTAATGTAACTAGAGTGCAATTTTTCAAGAGTCTATCTTTTTTAAGAAAACCTTGAGCCCCAACTCTTATTTGGAGGCACCTGCTCACTCACCTCCAAAACCAAATCCACCTCACCTCTATTCTTCTTTTCACATTGTGTACGGGTAGTTCTGGAAATCAAAGTGGCCATGCTGCTTCCTCCATGCAGCCTGTAGTGAATTCAAGTAGTGTAGGATACTTCAAACTGGAGCTTCTCTACTGTGAATAGCTGCTCATCCCCAAGTACCAAACCTAATTTTGTGACAATGAAAACCATCTGCAGGTGCCCCCTGCTGGTGGTACTATCCTAGAGACTTGCCTTCACTGATGTATTTTGTTTGGTCAATGGTCCAGAAAGTCACAGTCACAGTCACCAACACTATTCCCTATGCCCTTACACCTAAGCAGGTTCACTTATTTATGCTACCCGCCAGGCACCTGCAGGTGTGTGGCATTTGCATTTTCCTTCTATGGCTTCCTAGTTCCTCATGGTGGGAACCTGGGGCCCGACTTCTTGCCTCTCAAACTATTAATATGTCTGCCTCACAGGGCCAGGCACTTCTCTAGTCTTGAGTCACCCATGTCATTCTTTTAACCTACCCTCGGGTAGGACACTGGAGCCATAGATGTGAACCTTAGCCTTTAAGGCACGCAAGAAGACACTGAAGTCCCCAGGGCCAGTCACTGCCAGCAATGTCTTCCAGCGGTGGTTGAAGGGATGACTGAGGCAAGCAGAGTCTGAGTTTGTTATTGTTCTGAGGATATAGACAAAAATCTTTAATAAGGCTTACATAGCTTGGCATAGTCTTCAGCCTCAGCTCTGGTTATACTCCCCCTTCCCTTTTGTGCTTAGTTTGTACTAGTCTTGTTCCAGAAGAAGAAAGGGAGAACTAATTCTGCTGCTCCTCTGGTGTCCAGGAGCTCAGGTAATGGATGCAGACTGTAATAGGCAGTCTCTAAGTTGGTCCCCAGTGATCCCTGGTCATCAAACCCTTGTGTAATTCCCTCGCCTTGAGTCTGGGATGGATCTAGTACTCATTTGTAATGAATACAGTAGGGCAGCAGTGATGGAATGTTGCTTCCGAGATTAGATTATTTTTTAAAAAGCAAAAACAACTGTGGCTTCCATTTGGAGTATGCATGCTCTCTTTCTTTTAGATCAGTTGTGCTGTGGGAACTAAGCTACCATGTTATAAGCAGACCTATTGTGTGGACAGGAACTAAAGCCTGCCAAATACCGTGTGCGTGAGTCTGAAAACGGACCTTTCAGCCCCTGTCGAGTCTTGAGATGACAGCAGCCCCAGCTGAGTGCTTGACTGCAACCTCATGAGAGAACTTGAGGCAATTCTAACCAGCTAAGCTGCTCCCAGATTTCTGACCCTCCAAAACTGTGAGTACTAAATACTTGCAGTTTTCAGCCACTGAGGTGATTTGCTATGCAGCAATAGTAATAGTAACAAACACACAGACTTCTGAACCTTTCCCCAATCCAAGGTCATTCTGTGGAGTTAGAGACCCAGCTCTCCCATTCACAAAGAAGCTATTATTCTCTCTACAGTAAAGAAAGACAAAGAAGTCAGAGCAGTTTTTTAACGCTGCACATCAGGAAACTAGATGTATGCTGAAAATTTGGGAGTGATAAGTAGGACCTTTCCCAGTCTGTAGAATATACCACCAAAGCATGCTCACTCGAGAATGTGCTTTTGATTACTACCAAGCACACTTTTTTTTCTTTTTGAAGATATGTGCAAACAATGAAAACCCTTCTTGCTGAAATTACAATATAGCCGTACATTTTGGTTGAAATGTTTATTTGGAGATTTCAAAGTCAAGGTTGATATAGCCAAAAGATAATACAGATTAGACTATCATGGAAACAAAAAGAATCTAAAATTTGATATTGTTTGTACACTAGGGTCACTGCTCATGTTAACATTTCCTTCATTGCATCCACTTTCTCGGAGCTGGTGTTGTAGGGTTAGATGTGAGTGTGAATGAGCATGCGTACAGTGGACAAAATCCCCCCATTCTGTAAATGCGTGTGCCTATTATTCTGGGCAGTGAACCCAGCCTGCTTTAAGTCTTTGTTATTTGAATAGTGTCCCAGATTCTCCTTTGAAATGTGCGGTTCACCTATTTTTATTAACCTTAATATGGAGCTTTCTGATGCTTTTTTGATAGATTCTTGGTCGTGCCCAGGTACACTTCCTTTCGTTTTAAACAGGTCATATATTTCTCTGTGCTGGCCTTCAGGTGGTGTGCCATATAAATTAGAAAGCAAATTTTCACAAGGTCAAATTTTAATCATGCAGCTTAGTATTTTTAAACAGATGACATTTTCATACTTGGTATGCTAACTTGAAGACCAGACCATTTTTGCCCAAGTTCTACCAAAGGTTTTCGTTTTATAGTCTTCATTTGTTTTGTTTTGGTTTACTTTTTAACAAAAAGCAAACCTAGGAAAAAATTTTAAAAACATACAAGATGCACAAAAACAATTACTCTAATACACATGAAACAGAAAATCAACACCTGCCAATTAAACACAACTTCTACCATTTCATAACTGTGTGATCTTGTCAAATTACTTAACCTCTCTATAAAACGGGATCACGATAGCATCTTTCTCACAGAATTATAGTGAAAATTAAATAATATTATTCTTATGAAATGTTTAAGATCGGGCCTAGCATTTATCATTTACTCGATAAATATTAATCATGTAATTATATATGTAATTATGGTGATAATGATAATGTTGCTGCCATGAGATGTCAGGTTTCACAATATAAAATCATTACAGAATTCTGTTTGGAACTCCTGTGAGACCTAGTATGAATCACCTATAGTTATGAGGCTGCTCTAGCAAATAAATCTAAGAGAACAGGCAACTTCATGAAGAGGTTAAAGTGTCCTAGGGCAGTGGTCTCCAACCTTTTTGGTACCAGGAACCATTTTCAAGGAAGACAACTTTTCCATGGACAGGGTGGGGGATGGATTTGGAATGATCATCAGGTATTAGATCCTCGTAAGAAGCAGGCAACCTAGATCCCTCATATGCCCAGTTCACAATAGGGTTCCCGTTCCTATGAGAATTGAATGCAGCTGCTGGTCTGCTGATCGACAGGAGGTGGAGCTCAGGGGTAATGCTCGCTGGCCTGCCACTCACCTCCTGCTATGCAGCCGGGGTCCTAACAGGCCAGAACCAGTACCAGTCCATGCTCTGGGGGCTGGGGACCCCTGTTCTAGGGAAATACCATCACCATGTCTGCTACCCCTCCCACCGTGGGCGCTACCACCATTTGGTCACCATATGCAACCCTGTGTGAAGATATTCTTAATACTATCCAGGGTCCTTTTCATTTGAGTGACCTCTATCTCTTTGTCCCACCATCTAACTCCCACCCTCATAATGAGTGGGGAGAAAACCTCCACCAGGGTGAAGCAAAAAACCTCAAACAGAGGCTTCAAACAAAACTTAATATAAAGACTCCAACCATGAAGTTGTCTCTTTTTATCCCCCGGTTATCTTCTTTGTTGGTTTTGTTTTCGGGATCTGCAGGGTACCAAGTTATCTGCTAGAAGGCTCAGTCCTTCTCTTCTTACCAGCCCCACTGCTACCGCCATGATGTAAATCGCTATGATCTCACATTGGTGTTACTTACTGCAATAGCCAGCAAAGCAGCTCCCTTCCTTCCACTCTTGGCCTCCTAAGGTCTGTTTTCCAATAGCAAAGTGACTTTTTAACATTTTTCAGATCATATGATGTTCCTGTTTTAAATCTTTATTGGCTTCCCCATGTCCTTAGAATAACATCCACTTCTTACCACGGCCTATGAGGTCTCAGGTGACCTGGCTCAGGTTCACCTCTGCCCCCTCCTCTTATTTATTATGCTCCAGCTGCACTGGCCATTTTCTTCCTCAAACACACTAAGCTTATTTCTACCTTAGGGGTTTTGCAGTTCTTTCACCTCCTGCTTTAATTCCTCTCTAACGAAATTTTTTTAAAATAAACTTTATTAATATCAGAAATCCCTTTATTTGTATATTTATTTATTTGTTTTCTGTCTACGTCCTCACTGAGCCTTTATCCAATAATTTTGTTCCTCATTTTATTCTAGCACCTAGTATTGTGCCTGCCATTCCATATATACCTTTTGGAAAGATCAGTGAACAGACTCCAGCTATTTTTTAAAATAGGATTTACTGGAAGAGGAGACCCACAGAATCAAAGGAACAGTTGAAGACTCAAAAGAACAGGCTCAGAAGGGGCAGGAATAGGGAGGGGCAGGAACAGGGGAAGCAATTAGGATCTAGGTAGCAAGAAGGGGCCGATTGGTTCTGGCCACTTTTTGCTACTCTTATGTTGTTCCACTGATGATGCAATGCTCAAAAAATCAGATCATTGGGAGGCCGAGGCGGGCGGATCACGAGGTCAGGAGATCGAGACCATCCTGGCTAACACGGTGAAACCCCGTCTCTACTGAAAATACGAAAAATTAGCCGGGCGAGGTATTGGGTGCCTGTAATCCCAGTTACTCTGGAGGCTGAGGCAAGACAATGGCGTGAACCCCAGGGGGCGGAGCCTGCAGTGAGCCGAGATCGCCCCACTGCACTCCAGCCTGGGCAACAGCGAGACTCCGCCTCAAAAATAAATAAATAAATAAATAAATAAATAAATAAATAATCAGATCATCCTCGTGTGGGTCTCAAGATTATCATTTAGCTCGGGATACCTTAAACAAACTTCCCACCAAGACTATAAACCATGGCAAAGAAGACAATTCTAGCCACCCCCCCCCCAAAAAAAAAGTAGGGTTATTGTCCAAAGAAGGGAGGAATGGACACACCCACAGTCAAAAACCCAAAACAAAACAAAAGTCTGCAATAATCTCTGACTTGACATTTTGTCATCTAGAAGACAACTACTTTCTTTCTTTTTTTTTTTTTTTTTTTTTTTTTGAGATGGAGTTTCCAGGCTGGAGTGCAGTGGCGCGATCTGGCTCACTGCAACCTACGCCTCCTGGGTTCAAGTGATTCTCCTGCCTCAGCCTCCTGAGTAGCTGGGATTACAGGCGCCTGCCACCACGCCCGGCTAATTTTTTGTATTTTTAGTAGAGAGGGGGTTTCACCATTTTGGCCAGGCTGGTCTCAAACTCCTGACTTCAGGTGATCTGCCCCGCTAGGCCTCCCAAAGTGCTGGGATTACAGGCGTGAGCAACCGCGCACGGCCAACATCTACTTTCTTGCAGTATTAACTGATGTTTGTTTAAGAGATATAAACAGATTTCGGCCGAGCTCAGTGGCTCACACCTGTAATCCCAGCACTTTGGGAGGCCGAGGCGGGCGGATCATGAGGTCAGGAGATGGAGACCATCCTGGTTAACACGGTGAAACCCCATCTCTACTAAAAAATACAAAAAATTAGCCGGGTGTGGTGGCGGGCGCCTGTAGTCTCAGCTATTCGGGAGGCTGAGGCAGGAGAGTGGCGTGAACCCAGGAGGCGGAGCTTGCAGTGAGCCAGATCGCGCCGCTGCACGCCAGCCTGGGAAACAGAGCAGGACTCCGCCTCAAAAAAAAAAAAAAAAAAAAAAAAAAAAAGATATAAACAGATTTCAATATTAAGTTAAATAAAAGAAGAAAGATAAATCTGTTCAAACTTACACAGCATACTAAAAAGATATGCTTTTAAATGTCTTCTCTGTCCTATGATTCAGAATAAACTAGAGGTCAGGAGACAGTTCCATGAGATATCCTTTTGGATATCCCAAACTAAATTAATTCTCTCCTTTCCCTGACATCTGCTTCTCATACCATATTATCTATCTCAGTTAATGAAATTACTATTTACTCTCTGACTGGCCTAGGAATTTGTTTAGACAGAGTTTACTTGTCTAGAGTAATAAACTGGAGAATAACATTTGTTTCCACCATCTCCCTCATTTCCCACACTCAATTAATCAAAAAATCCTATCAGTTCTAACTCAAATTCTCCAACCTATCTCTTCCTCGCCATTCCCAATACCAATGCCTGTGTTCAGGCCCTTATTACCTTTGGCCGTGAACCACTTGCAACAGTTTCTCAGTGATCTTCACTCAATCCACTTAAGCCCATCTCTCACACGATTGCCACACTTACAACTCTAAAACAAAGATCTATGTCTGCCAGACTCTTCTTTAAAAGCTTCTATAATTCCACACTGTCTACAAAAATAAAAGCCAACCGCCTCTGTGTCTTAGCTGAAATGACAGAATACAAAAGTTTCTCAGAATGATTTATAAATGCAACCTTTTCTTTAATATGGAGGTTCTTTAACCCTGGTATACATGAGAAAACTTGTAGTGCATTTAAAGAACACTGATGCTAAGACCTCAATCTGAAAAAGTCTGATTTAATTGGTCTGGAATGAAGCCTTACATCAGCTTTTTAAAGACCTCCCCCAAATAATTCTAATATGTAGTCAGGGTTGAAAACTACTAATTTATAACGTGGCTAGAAAGACACTTCTACTTCCAGACAGCATGCGGTAATAGGGTTGGTATTCATTCCCCTTCACCCCTGACAGAAATTACTAAAAAATAGGACAAGATATATAAAATAATTATTTTCAGACACTGGATGTCAGACAACATAGGAAAGTTATCCAAGAGAAGAGAGAAACAAGCAAAGTAAGCCATACAACTGTCCTACTTAACTGCCCCAGAGCTCACAGAGAGGGAATCCAGGCAGAGCCTGGTGATCTGCCTGAGTTGAAGAGATCATGCAGAGATTTGAGAAGGCCAAGGCAGGTAGAGTTCATGGGGAAGAGTACCAGAAAGAATAGAAAATTCCAGAGATCTGTGGAGAGTCTCCTTGAATATTCAGCTGAATACTGATCGGTATATCAGGAAACTACCAAGGTTGGGGTAAGAACCACACAAGAGAATCAGATTAAACAATCCTCTTGGCTCATACAAGGCTGGAAGTAGTTTGTTTCATCATCTACTAAAGTGGGAAAAGCCTCATAATTAACAGGATATTGGCTAGAGTACTTAGAAGGGTATCACCCAAGTAATGGGGAAAATTAATCATCTTTAAAAAGTTGCTTGGGTTCCCCATAATGAAGCTTAAGATCAAGAAGGATCTGTTTCCAACTAACTGTGACCCAGAATAAAGCTCAATAATGTTTATGGGAATGCAAAACTATCTAACACCCAATATGTAAAATGTTTAATGTGTGGTATCAAATCAAAGTATTGCCAGGTGTGCAAAGAAGCAGGAAACAGTACTTAAAATGAAGAGAAAAATCAATTACCAGAAACATACTCAGAACTGAACAAATGTTAGAATTGTTATTATAGTATTTTAAATGTTCAAGAAAGTAGAACAAAGATTGATAAAATGAAGTAAAATATTAATACATGGGCGGGGCACAGTGCCTCACGCCTGTAATCCCAGCACTTTGGGAGGAGGCGGGCAGATCACCTGAGGTCAGAAGTTTGAGACCACCCTGGCCAACATGGTGAAACCCCATCTCTAATAAAAATACAAAAATTAGCCAGGCGTGGTGGTGGGTGCCTGTAATCCCAGCTACTCAGGAGGCTGAGACAGGAGAATTGCTTGTACCCGGGAGGCAGAGATTGCAGGTTGCAAGGAGCTGAGACCGTAACATTGACAAGAGTGAAACTCCATCTCAAAAAAAAAGAAAAAAAATTAATACATGAAAGTTACAAACTTCTAGAGATGAAAAAGACAATATCTGAGATGAAGAATACACTGGATGGAATTAACAACAGATTAGACACTGTAGAAGAAAAAGTTAGTGAACTTAAAGACATAGCAATGAAAATGATCCAAAAATAAAACAAGAGAAAGAAGACAAAAAGTGAACAGAGCATCAGTGATCAATGGGAAAAATTTAAATGACCTAATATATATGTAACTGAAGTCCCTAAAGGAATGGAGTTATAGAGGGCAACAAAAATTTTTGAAAAAATAATGGCTGAAAATTGTCCAAGTATAATGAAAACTGTAAACACACAGATCCGGTAAGCGTAACAAATCCAAAGCACGAGAAACATGAAAGTAACCACACCTAGGCACATTTTAATCAAATTGCTTAAGATCAGTGATAAAGAGAAAAATTTATAAGTATTCAGGAGAAAAAAGAACATTATATAGAGAGAAACAAGGATAAGAATGAGAGCATAACTTGAAAATTAAAAGACAACAGAGAAGCCAGGCACAGTGACTCGTGCCTGTAATTCCAGCACTTTGGGAGGCTGAGGAGGGCAGATCACCTGAGGTCAGCAGTTCGAGACCAGCCTGACCAACATGGAGAAACCCCATCTCTACTAAAAATACAAAATTGGCTGGGCATGGTGACGTATGCCTGTAATCCCAGCTACTCAGGAGGCTGAGGCAGGAGAATCACTTGAACCCGGGAGGTCGAGGTTGCGGTGAGCCGAGATGGCATCATTGCACTCTAGCCTGGGCAACAAGAGCGAAACTCCATCTCAGAAAAAAAAAAAAGACAACAGAGCAACATCTTTAAAGAGCTGAAGGAAAAAAAGAGCAGTCACCTGGAATTCTACAACCAGCAGAGTAGGTTTCTTGTGCATACAACCCGTGTAGTCACACAGGGCTTTGCACTCAGAAGGACTGGCTTGGTTTAATGCTCTGTTGTTGATGACTTGAAATTCTTAATAATATTTGAACAGAGGGGTCTACATTTTTATTTTGCATTGAGCCCCACAAAGTATGTAGTCAGTCCTGATAACCAGCAAGAATATCTTTCAAACATGAAGGTGAAATAAAGACTTTTTCACATACAAAAGCTGAAAGAATTTTCCCACCAGCAAATCTGCACAAGAATAAGAAGGATTAAAGAAATTCTTTCAGGCAGAAGGAAAATGATACCAGATGAAAATAATGAAGAATATTGGAAATGGTAAATATGTCAGTAAATATGAAACTTTAAAAATATCTTTTACATCACTAATCAGTAAGGAAATGCAAATCAAAACCACAATGATATTTCACTTTATACCCATTAGGATGGCAATTATTTTAAAAAACAAAAACAGAAAATATCAGTGTTCATGAAGATATGGGGAAACTGAAACCCTTGTACACTGTTGATGGGAATGTAAAATGGTGCAGCTGCTGTAGAGAACAGTATGGTCGTTCCAAAAAATTAAATATAGAATTACCATATATGCAATAATCCCTCTTCTTTTGCAACCCAAAAGCATTGAAAACAGGGACACAAAGAGACATCTGTACATCCATATCTGTTGCAGCATTATTCACAGTGGCAAAAGGTGGAAACAATTGAAATTTCCATTAACAGATGAATGGATTAATAAAATGTTGTATAAACATACAATGGAATATGATTTGGCCTTTTAAAAGGTACATCATTATAAGCCTGAGCAACAAACTGAGACCCCATCTCTACAAAAATATCAAAAAAATTGCTTGTAATCCCAGCCATTTGGGAGGCCAATGTGGGAGGATCGATTGAGCCCAGGAGGTCAAAGCTGCATTGAACCATGATTGTGCCAGTGCACTCCAGCCTGAATGATAGAGTAAGACTATCTCACACACAAAAAAGTACGTAATTACAACACATGCTACAACACGGATGACCCTAAAAGAGATTATGCCAAGTGAAATAGGCTGGAGACAAAACAACAAATATATGATCCCATGTATAAAAGGTGGCTAGAGTAGTCAAATTCATAGAGCCAGAAAGTAGAATAGTGGTTACCAGGAGGTAGGGGAGGGAGAATGGGTAGCTACTGTTTAATGGATACAGAGTTTCAGTTTTGGAAAAAGAGAAAATTTTGGAGATGGATGGTGGTACTTGTTGCATAATAATGTGAATGTACTTAATGCAACTACTGACCTGTACACTTAAAATGGCTAAACTGGTAAATTTGTGGGGGAAGAAGAGTTTATTTAGTTCTTTTTTTTTTTTTTTTTTTTGAGACAGAGTCTTGCTGTGTCACCAGGCTGGAGTGCAGTGGTGTGATCTTGGCTCATTGCAACCTCTGCCTCCCTGGTTCAAGCGATTCTCCTGCCTCAGCCTCCCGAGTAGCTGGGATTACAGGCGCATGCCACCACGCCCAGCTAACTTTTGTATTTTTAACAGAGACAGGGTTTCACCATGTTGGCCAGGATGGTCTCTGTCTCCTGACCTCGTGATCTGCGTGCCTCGGCCTCCAAAAGTGCTGGGATTACAGGCGTGAGCCACTGTGACTGGACTATTTAGTTCTATTTATTCATTTATGCAATGATGGTCTCAGCAGTAGGTAATAAAATATAACCTTATATTTAAAATTCATTTTTCATTTTGAAAGGTTTGGATCTTTGTCTCTTCTTTCTACTTTACTATTTTATTTATTTATTTATTTATTTATTTATTTATTTATTTTTAATGGTGGTGGATCTGAGATCTACCTTACTGTTTTAAATACTTAACTCCGACCAAATAGAAGATAAATACAAATTGTATTCCCTTACTTTTCTCTAAGGCCATGCTGGTACAACTAGAATTGGCTCTTTAGAATGTAGGTATCATTTATAGTAAGCTGGAGATTTGATCACAGAATGATACATGTAAGAATGTCATAGCACAAAAAAATGCACAGATATTTTTAAAAGGACAAATTTCAGGACACTTTCCATCTGAGTTCATAAGAAAGTCCTCCTGAGTATCCTTCAAAGTTAAAACCCTCTCCCCTTCAGATTAATGAAAATATTAGGATGCATAGAACACAATGGGCACTGGTGATATGGCCCATGGTAGCTGAATTAGATTGAGTATAAATGAAGTCTTCACATAATAGCAAAGAGGCCAACAGAAGAAAGGCCAGAAAGCCACTTGAAACTCATGTCCATGGAAGACCAAATGAAGTTGATTTAACTGTTCCCTTAGAAAGATATTATCCCATTGCTTAGCCCTCAAAGTGCTCATACTGCTACTTTCCTTCTTTATATCACCAGTTCTGGGAGCAAACCTCCTGAAAGAATGGAAGTATAGACTGTAAATACAAGACTGTGGGTACAGCAAAGGGGCTCTGATGCTCTAGTTGTTTGTGTCTAGATACTGTCAAATGTCCCTTGTGATGCACAATTGCCCTTAGCGGAGAACCATTAACCAAAATAAATGAAATAATATGTCATGTTCATGCATCAGAAGACCCAATGTTGTTAAGATATCAATTCTCTATAAGTTGATCTATAGACTCAATGTGACCCCAATCAAATACCCCACTGGCTTTTTGTCTACATTTACAAGTGAATTCTGAAATGTATATGGAAATTCAAAGAACCTAACACAATGAAAACAATTTTGAACAAGAAGAGCAAAGCTCAAGAATTTGACTACGTGATTTCAAAACGTATAAAGCTACTGTAACCAAATCAGTTTGGTATTAGTCTAAAGATGGATAAGGGAGGCTGAGGCAGTAGAATTGCTTGAACCCAGGAGGCGAAGGTTGCCGTGAGCCAAGATTGTGCCACTGCACTCCAGCCTGGGCAACAGAGTTAGACTCCATCTCAAAAAAAGAAAAAGGAAAAAAAAAAGGCAGATAAATAAATCAGTCAAACACAATAGAAACCCAGATACAGACGATTATATATGTGGTCAATTGATTTGAACAAAGGTGCTAAGGCAATTAAATGGAAAAAGGATAGTGCTCTTAACAAACAGTGTTAGAACAACTGTACATCTACATGCAAAAAAAAAAAAAAGATAAAAAAGAAAAAAAAAAACACCTTGATCACAATATACAAAAGTTAACTCAAATGGATCATAGGCCTAAATGTAAAAATGCAAAACTATAAAACTTCTAGAAAAAAATAGAATATTTTTGTAATCTGGATTAAGTAATGATTTCTTAGATATGACATTAAAAGCAGAACCATAAAAGAAAAAACTGATAATGTTTATTTACCACAGCAAAATTTTAAAATGTCTGGTCTTCAAAAGACACTGTTACTAAAATGGAAAGACAATCTGCACAGTGGGAGAAAATATTTGCAAAGAACATATATAATAAAACTTGCATTTAGAATATGAAATGAACCCAATGAACTCAGTGAAACCCAAACAACTCAATGGAAAATGGGCAAAATATTTCAAGAGACACTTTACCAAAAATATGTAGATAATAATCAAGCTCATGAAAAAAAAGCTCAATATCATTAATCATTAGGGAAATTTAAGTCAAAAAACCATAATAAGATTTCACACCCACTAGAATGGCTATAATATAAAAGATGTACAGTAACAAGTATTGAGAAGGATGTGGAGAAATGAGAACCTTCATACATTGCTAGTGGGAATGTAAAAGGTACAACCCTTTTGGAAAACGATTTGGCAGTTTCTTTAAAAGCATGCCTAGTGTTATATACCCCGAGAAATGTGCCCAAGAGAAATGAAAGACATGTGCACAGATAATTATAGCAACTTTATTTGTAATAGCCATAAAACTGGAAACAACTCAACGAATGGTGAATCAATAACGTGTAGCACATTCATACAATGAAATACTACTCAGCAACAAAAGGAAATGAGCTACTGATACCCACAACAGCATAGATAAGTTTCAAAATAATTATGCTGAGTGAAAGAAGCCAGACAACAACAAAGAGTAGATACTGTATGATTCCATTTATATGAAATTCTAGGAAATGCAAAGTAATATATAATGACAAAAGCAGAGGGGCGGGAAGGAGGAATTTAAAAAGGGCAGAAGGAACCTTTTTGGGATCATGGATAAGTTCGTCATCTTGATTGTGGTGATGATTTCACAGGTATATACATACGTTGAAACTTCAAATTGCACACTTTAAATTTGCCCAGTTTATTGTATGTCAGTTATATCTCAATAAAGCTGTAGAACAGCAACAACAAAGAGATGGCTAGACAAGCATATTACAGTAGTTGAAGTTTGATGTTAGAAATTCACTGAATCTTCTCTGAAGTCATTGTCCTCTGACAGTTGTCTGCAGGTTTCAAGCTATCCACCTACACAGAATGTGCAATCTGCTGGGCTTCAAAAGCACACATTGAGGCAGATGGCCAACAGCTGACAATTCACTTAATTTCTCTTTTTAAATAGTTATATACTTGAAAAAGGATCGAGTTTGAATTAAATCCTCACAGAAAATTTCTATCACAGCATGGGATTCACTTCAATAAAGCATCTTCCCACTGTCATAAATCTGCTTGTGTTCTTTTGGCAAAATTTTCTTCCCACTCAACCTGGCTTTGTTATCTTGTCAAGCCAGACAAAAATTCACCTCCTGTATAAAGCCGTCTCTGATCATCTGCCTTTTTAAATTTTTAAATTTTTTAATTTTTCTTTTTTGAGATGGAGTCTCACTCTGCCACCCAGGTTGGAGTGCAGTGGTGCAATCTCGGCTCACTGCAACCTCCGCCTCCCTGGTTCAAGTGATCCTCCTTCCTCAGCCTTCTGAGTAGCTGGGATGACAGGCGCACCACCACACCCAGCTAATTCTTTGTATTTTCATTAGTGATGGAGTTTTACAATGTCGACCAGACTGATCTCAAACTCCCGACCTCAAGTGATCCACCGGCCTTGGCCTCCCAAACTGCTGGGATTAACAGGCATGAGCCACCGTGACCGGCCTCATCTGCCTTTTAGCACCATAGAGAGGTGCCATTAACCACCTGGTTTATATTGCCAGCATGTAGGGGCTGTAATATGGTACCCCAGCCCCACCTCCCTACCCCATCATTATTTTTTCTTAAAGAAAATAAGCTTGCCACTTAGAATTTAAACTTTACAATTAAGATAAACTGATTTAGAGAATAAATGTAGACACTTGAAACAGTCACAAGGATCCCCAAACCAGATTATAATCTGACTGAAAATATTAGCATATCAGAGATAGAAAAAGAGATGTACCTAAGAAGGGAGGACAATCATCAGTGGACACTTACTGTCCAGGAAAAAAGAACCTATGTGTACACCTTGATGCTCTGAAGCTATCAAATTATTTGAAATTTAGAATCCACTAATTAATTCCTCTTGCTCTAGATTCAAGTTTCAAAAACAACCTTTTGGCTGTAATTTGGCTCTCAAATGTGGCACATATACCAAGAGATATTTTGCTGGGATCATAAAAGAGAGTCTAGTTCCCTAAGATGTTAAAATTCTCATTATAAATTAGTAATTTGTTATTCTGGGTTTATATAGTAGTCCTGTGATTTATCAGTTTAAGAAACAGACTTGGCTGGGTGCAGTGGCTCATGCCTATAGTCTCAGCACTTTGGGAGGGTGGGGTGGTAGGATTGCTTGAAGCCAGGAGTTTGAGACCAGCCTAGGCAACATAGCAAGACTCCATCTCTACACAAAATAATTTTTTAAAAGTAGCCGGAAATGGTGGTACACAACTGTGATCTCAGCTACTTGGGAGGCCAAGGCAAGAGGATCCCTTGAGCCCAGGAGTTGGAGACTGCAGGGAGCTATGATTGCACCACTTCACTCCAACCTAGGCAACACAGTGAGACTCCATCTCTGAAAAAAAAAAAAAAAGAAAGAAAGAAAAAGAAAAGAAACAGACTTAACAAGTTAAAGACCAGATTTCAACATATTTTCCAAGATAATGCCACTTTCTATGGCCTGTTAGGGAAGTCAGCTTTCCTTGGAGAAATAGAGAGAGAGAGAGAGAGAGGGAGAGAGAGAGAGAGAGAGAGAGAGAGAGAGGTCTACAGTTCATCTTTCTGTTACAGCACTTACTCCATACTCCAGTTACTGAAGCACATTATAGAACTACAGATTCTGAGTTACCTGAGGGTAGTTTTGTATCCAGTTTGTGCTGGCCTCCACCATCATTGCTCAATAAGTAACACTGAACTGAACTGAATTTGGATAACGTGCAAGGCTGCTTTTTTACATTTTTTAGTTGATTGAGAGTTAGAAAATCGTACCAAAAACACCACTCCCCAAGTATAACCTCTAATACGCTAACATTCATTAAACCTCTAACACTATAGCTAAAGTTGTTACATTTTTTAAAGTACGCTAAACTGGGGAATTGATTTTTAAATAAAGGGCAAAGTAGCACTAACCTCAGTCAAGTTGCTGTAAGTGTTTCATTTGGGAATTGTGAAATTTTTTAAAAACATTTCAAGACTTATCATTACATCAACGAAGATGAATATAGGTGTAGTTTGTCAGATGAGTAACTATTAAGGAAACCATGAATGTTTGCTATCTACTTTCACAATTAAACCACAATTTAGAGGATCAAATTCTAACCCTATAAACTTTTTTTTAACCAAAGACAGGGAGAAAAATCATACTCTTGTGATAAGGAGTCATAATTCATTTTAAATTCTGCAGGATTAATGCTGCTTTCCAGATAAGAAGAATTCACCCCGTGTGCGTAAGGTGATTAAGGAGCCTTGGAATTATAAATACACATTCAGATTAATTTTTTTGTTCTAAGCTTTAAATAAAATTTCAAAGTATTTTATAAAATAATTAACATCCCATAGATATGCTTTTTTAAAAAAGTAATTATGTCTATAAAAGTAATTTGTATAAGGCAATAAAAATTTTACTTTATAAAAAAATCAAACAATGAATACTTTTTGCTTAATTCTTTCTTAGGAGCAGTAATTTATTATGGGTTCCTTAGAAGACATGTGATTTATTTAAGCTCTATTAACTGAATGTGAGTCTGTTTTCTGACATAAACAGTGGATAGTGTTATGAAAAAATAAAATTGTCAGTGAATAGGCTAAATTTCATAGTTCACAAATATAGCTATCCTGAACATAGAATACAGATCCAATGAACATTTAGTTTTATAATTAGCACTGTTTTAATCCAAATTCCAATTTTATGCATGGGAAACTGAGGCCTAGAGAAATGAAGTAACTTTTTACAGACCCGTTAGCTCAGAGG